>NC_000007.14:111881779-112506779 GCF_000001405.40 Homo sapiens
ATGAATGGAACTGGAGGTCATTATGTTAAGTGAAATAAGCCAGGCACCAAAAGACAAACATTGCATGTTCTCACTTTTTTTGTGGGATCTAAAAACCAAAACAACTGAACTCATGGAGATGGAGAGTAGGGGATGGTTACCAGTGGCTGGGAAGGGTAGTGGGAGATGACAGGGAGGTGGGGATGGTTAATGGGTACAAAGAAGACAGAAAGAGTAAGACCTAGTATTTGATAACACAACAGGGTGACTATAGTTAACAATAATTTAATTGTACATTTAAAAATAACTAAAATGTATAATTGGATTGTTTGTAATACAAGGGATAAATGCTTGAGGAGATGGATACCCAATTTTCCATGATGTGATTATTATGCATTGCATGCTTATACCAAAATATCTCATATACCCCATAAATATAATCACCTACTATGTACCCACAAAAATTAAAAATGAGAAAAATTGTATAGTGTATTATAATATCATTTGGGTAAAAAAATCCACACAGAATATCTGGATGATATACACTAAGGAGCTAATAGTTAACATCACCTGGGTAATGAGAATATGGCATTTTATTTTATTTTGGTTTATCTGTATACTGATTTTAATGCTGTAATAATAAAGGTGATTTTAAATTAAAATTTTGAGGAAAAAATTGTAACAGATATACAGCTGGTACGCTCAGATGATTCTGATTATACATTTAAAAACCTGTATTAACTTTATTCTTTCGAATTTGTTCAAATATTTTCAAGGCTACTGCCCTAGTAACAGGTAGGAGTTTAAGCATAGAATCCCTTTAGTGTTCTAGACTATTATGTGTGACTCACAATTTTTTTTTACTTTTTTTGAGACTGAGTTTCGCTCTTGTCACCCAGGCTGGAGTGCAATGGTGTGATCTCGGCTCACCACAACCTCTGCCTCCCGGGTTCAAGCAATTCTCCTGCCTCAGCCTCCCAAGTAGCTGGAATTACATGCATGCACCACCATGCCCAGCTAATTTTGTATGTTTAGTAGAAACGGGATTGCTCCATGTTGAGGCTGGTCTCGAACTCCTGACCTCAGGTGATCCGCCTGCCTCAGCCTCCGAAAGTGCTGGGATTACAGGCGTGAGCCACCATGCCTGGCTACATTTTTAATAATAAATATTTAGGAAAGACCTCTCTAACAAGTTTAGAGAAACAGAATCAGAATATGACAAGATGTTCTAATACACCTGTCCAGTAACAGAAACACCAATACAAACATAATAAACAGCCTCTATACTTCTCTTTTAATATTACAACTCCAAATCATTGCTTTTACTACTGCAAAGTAATTCATATAGACAGAAGAATGCATAAAACATACATATATGGTTTAAAGAATAATTATAAAGTGAATACTTCAAATGCTTTCTTCAGGAAAAGTGTTTAGGCAAAGTAATGTTCTGGAACCCT
This sequence comes from Homo sapiens, assembly GCF_000001405.40. Classification (NCBI taxonomy): domain Eukaryota; kingdom Metazoa; phylum Chordata; class Mammalia; order Primates; family Hominidae; genus Homo; species Homo sapiens. Next base: position 111,883,219 of record NC_000007.14, read on the forward strand.
AGATCACTGACCCCCTCCCCTCAATCTCATCCCTGGCAAGTCAAAGCATGAGGGCAGCACCCCACATTCACCCTATCTGGTCTATAGTGTTGGAAACATCCTTTGATCTCTCATCTCTATCCTGATTTGGGTTCCATATGTCTAACCACCACTTCCTAGTGTGACTAAGTCTCATGCCAAACCCAGCCCAGACACTCTGTCCTGCTATTTCCAGGCCTCCTCCTCAGGATTTGGAGCCTGCCCTGGTCTAGTATGATCCATCTGTTCACAGAAATTCTGCCCCTGTAAACATATCTCTTATTAACTCTCCTCCCCCTAACTGCCTGCCATCTCTGCAGCACTTCTGCAGCCTCTTGGAATTCCTGCTTGATATCCCATGTAGCTCAACTGGTTGCCATGGGATGGACCACTTGTATGAGTGAGGGTGTGATGGCTGTGCTGTATCCTTAGTGTGTATCTATGAATAGAAGACTTGGCTGCTTTTCCATGGGCCAGGAAAAGGTGATGTGGTCAGGTCAGTTCCACCAAGCCTTCATTCTCACTTCTCCCCCAGCCTGGAGGGTCCAAGACCTCAGCATCTGAGTCTGTCTGAGTTATGACATCTTGATAGCTTCTTACAGCTAAACTCTATCACCCTTGCTCAAGTATAAAATATAATAAATATGAACAATACTCTGGACATAAAAGTTATTTCAAGAGCTTTCAGCAAGAACACTGGGGTGTGTGTAAGAGAGATGGGGGTAGCAGGAGAGAATTCCGCCCATCAATTCAGTGAAGAAAAACATGTAACTACTCTTTGGTCTCTATGAACCCTTTTATATATTTACCAGAGGTTCAAATCTGATTTTTTTATCCAGTAGGATTACACTAGATAGGGGGTTAGGTTTTAATCTATTTCTGAAAAACTTAAGCTATCACACAGAAAATATAGCATATCTTTTATTGTTCCTTGAGGTTTTCAGCACGCACCCTTAATATACCATACAAATACTGGAGATTTTTAAGGCAATCCAAGCAACTACCTTTTATGAGTGCTTACTGTGTGACAGGCACTGCTCTGCACTGCGTGTATATTCTCTTCTCACACAATCCTTGAGGCAAGATATTGTAACGTAAGGAGCTTATGTGATTTGCCCAATGTCACAATATTAGAAAGTATCACAGTCAGAATTTGAACCAAAATTTGTATTCACAACTACCATATAACATTGCCTCCCTCTACTGTTGTTTTAGCCAAGTTTTGAATTCAAGTAATTAATTCAAACATTTTTAATTTATAGATAAAATACTGCATGGTAGGTATCGCTAGGAAAGACCAAAAATGGTTAGCTTTTCAAAAGAAAGGTATCTTTGTGGGAGACACCCTGAGAGAGGGCTCAGAGTGGTATATGGAGCTGAAATAATTTCAAATGCAATAAGCTCACGAATCTTATAATGAAATGGCTAGTTTATGTCTTCAAATCATGCAGGGAGCAAAAGGGATCATGCAACCTGGATAAGGTAGGGAGGAAGGGCAGGTGGGAGCAGATGGGGCATAACACAGGAGCTTAGGAACACAACAAATGTGCTAGAAATCATTCACTCTTTCATTCAACGACAAGGGATAGGGAAGAAATGGGTTCAAGAGCAGTGAATAATACAAATGAGGTTCTAGAAGGTAGACTTGTAAGGCAGAAACAGCTGTTGCCTAGAGTTTAAGCCAAAAGGTTATCCAGTTTCCTAATACTAGAACCAGCCAGGGAGTCAGTAAATTCCCCAGGTGGGAAAAGGGTCTACTGTGAGTGAGATTTTGAACTAGAGTATGGACTGGAGAAAACAAATGGGAATAAACAGTCTTCCCATTAGGTGAAAGGCTAAGAGTCAATGAAGTCATAGAAATGAGGCTGGAAAAGTATGGTTTGGCACTGCCTGTGCTTTAATTGGAAATATTAAGTGCAACAGAATAGTGGTTGGGTGCTTAAATGCCTAAAAATCTGAGCAATACAGGCTCAACAGCACCAAACTGCAGATGTGAGATTCTTGTGCTGCATGTAATTGAGAGATGGCTTTGTTACCATGGTAAAATCCAGCTATACTCCTAACCTGGATGGGGTGGTTAAATACGGATCATTTGCATTCTGAGGAATACTTGTAAAACCACAGTTTAGGCTTTCACATAGAGAATATTTTTTCTACCAAACCCAGTGAAGGCATGGAGCATGGCAATGTGGATATGAGAGTAAGAAGACACTGTCTTCTCTACTAGAGAACTCGTTTTCTTGTGGAAGACACAAGCACAGCTAAAGTGTTACCAGTGTTATGGCAGATGTATGCTGGCAGATGGATGAGGGAAGAATTAATGAAGCCATTTGTTTTTTCCAGGGGAAACAAGGCAATGTGACCCCGGCTTCTTGAAGCTGCTACTGGACTGGGGGAACAAAACGATGTCACTGTAATAGTGAAGGATAGTTCTCTGCATTTGCTATGTTGGAATCTGTGCAAGTTATCTTAAAATGGCATGGAGATAATTTACAAATTAGAGAGGAGAGAGATGAGAACCATCCTTGCTTTACTATACTTGGAGTCTGAAATCAGATCTGGCCAGAGAGATGTGCTCCCTCAGACTCTTACAGAATTATTAAAATGCAGGCTTTGCAGCAGCAGCAGCAGCAGTAGTAGTCTCATCTTCTTTGAGATCATATAGTTTGGCTCACAGTGTATTTCTTTCTCTGGAATAAAAATCAGTTGGTACAGCAATGAATACTGCATTATGTTCTAGGCTACTTTTTGACTACTGTCTTAGATATGTGAAAGAGAATGTCAGTGGTCAGTCCCGGACAGTGTTCCAGAAGTGTGATATTTGAGTTATACAAGATATATGATTGAGAGATCCACATCTACAATTTACTAATTTAAAAACTGGCACAGGAATTCATGGAATTAGTCAAATTAAGGGGTCTGTAACTTGTGAAAAGTAGGTAATCACATTAAAAAAATACAGTATGGTAGACAATCCAGTTGAAACTCTGTATTACCAGTTAATAAAAACCAGATTTAAATAGTTTTTGGAGGAAAATACCTTTCTTTGGGGAACTTTTTCAAAATGAGTAGTCATCCTTTATGTCATTATTAAAAATTTATTAAATTCCAAATATTTGTCAGCCTTCCAGTTTAGCATTAAGAATGTAACAAGGAAATGAACACAGTCTCTGCCCTTGAGGGCACTGCATGTCTGATCTCCACACTTATCTGTTAATACCGATTACAACACTGGGATAAAGACCACTAGAAACCAGTTCTGCTGGGGAAGGGAAGGAAGACCTTATCGAAAAGGATGGTCTTTGATCTGAGGTCAAAGGACTATTTGACCTCAGTTGTAAAGGATAAAAGGGTCATCAAGCAGGCAAGGGAGGAAAAGTCAAGGGAGGGAAGAAACAATACACTTAAAGGCACCGGGGAATAAAAACACACGTATGAGACTATGGGGACACGACCATTCAACGCAATGTGGGATCTTGGAATGGATCCTGGAACAGAAAAAATGACATTCGTGGGAAAAGTTATTGTGAAATCCAAATAAATTCCATGTTAACAGAATTGTACCCAGATTAATTTAGTTTTGATAAATATACTATAGCTTATATAAGAGGTTAACATAAGGAGAAGTTGGATGAAGGTTATATGGGAATTTCCTGTACTATTTTTGCAACTCTTCTATAAATTTAAAATATCTTTAAAATAACTGCTAAAAAAAAGTACGGGCATATTGAGGCAACTATACATAGTTAAGTATGTCTGGAGTAGGGAATTTTTCAATACATAAAAGCCTTGGGATTACCCCCAAATCTCTTGAATAAGAAAAATCTCAGGTGGTTCTAATACTCACCTCTGGTTTAAATTCCTTGGATTAAAGTATTATCGAGGAGGTGGAACTGACCAGTCATGCAACCAACTATTTAGACATGGTGGGTAAATGTGACAAGAGAAGCCTGTGACAAGGTTTCTCTTCATGGCAGGAGTGGATGGAGACAAGACAAAATGCTCAGTTTTGGATATGCTGAGTGTGCAGTGTCTTTGGGAAGACCAACTGAAGATGTTCAGTAGGCTGGTAAAAGTTTTGCACTAGAAAAACATATCTGGCAGTTAACAGCATAGCTTACCTGCCCAAATGGATGAGATGGATCTAGAGAGTATAAGACACAGATGGTAGCCAAGGGCTAAACCCCTGGTAACATCAACATTTAAGGTATCCATAAAGAGAAATGAGTCCTCAAAGAGGAGGAAGGATGAAACTCAGGAGCACATCGTCAGGCCAAGGAGTGTGGGATTTTCAAGAAGTGTTATTAATAGTGCTCTATGCTATAGGGCAGTCAAGTATGGAAAGGTTTTTAAAATGTCTAGTGGCTTTAGCCCCTGGCTGGGCACTAGTGACCTAAAGGGGAAAAACTTCAGTTGAGCAATGAGGATGTGAGGAAGCAGAGGCAATGAGGGAAGACAGACATTTCACGCAGGCTGCATGTCATGACGGGAAGGGAAGAAGGAACATGGTGCCTATTTAAAAAAAATTATTAAAAAAAAAAGGCTTGAGCATGTTTATGATCTGTGTGAATACTGCTGGAAGAGATGCAGGAGGAAGAGAGAGGACATTGGGAGGGGCAGGGTCCCAGAAGAGTCAGGAGGGAGGGAGATCCTGAAGGAAGTAGGTGGAAGAACTAGTCTTGAAGCAAAGGAATCCTGCCCAATCCCCTGAGACAGGAAGCCGGAAGGAAAGGAAGGATGCAGATAAGTTTGCAGGTGGCAAGGAGAGAGCACAAGAAGTTAAGGAAGTTCCTGTCTGATGGCATCTGTTTTCTCTGTTAAGTAGCTGGGAAGTGGTGGGGTAGGGAGAATGGTAAGCTCTTGTAAATAGCTCTTGTGAGGACTAGTTTGCCTGCAATGTTGATGGACCCACATCTATACCCAGGTAGATGCTAACCTATAGCAACTGTATAATTTCTTCTAGCAATGCCCTAATCTGTCAGCATTGCCCTCTCCTATCCCCAGCCCTAATTTCTTCTAGGGCTGGGGATAGGAGAGGGCAATGCTTACAGATTCATCTAGGACTATTTTTTATTTCCTATGCAGGCACAGTAGAACTAAGGATTAAGAGATACCTTAGATAACAATGGGAAGAAAATAGAGTGGTCTAGTGGAGGAGAAAAAGACTGAAAAATAGGCATAGTTAGAAAATCAGAAGGTTGAAAGGCTGTGGTCAGAATATTGGGAGTTTATGATTTTTGATATGAAGTGCTTCTGGATGATTTCATCCACCCATCTATCTAATCAGTGGGAGATTCTGATGGGTAGAGAGGCAATACAGCCTAGGGTGTGGCCATAGTGAAGTAGAAGGCAAATGGAGGTAGCTAGAGTTGAAGTGGCCAAGAAAACAAGAGGACAGGAAGTTGGACAGTCAACCAGAAGGAGAAGACTCTGAACTAGGAACTAGACTGATTGTGGAAAACTAATCAGCTACTTACCACACCACTCCATCTTCCCCCCTCTTCCTCACTGGCCCTCAAAATACAAGTTGGTGGAAGACAGTAACTAGGACACATGGAAAATTGCAGCGCTGTATGGAATGAGCCTTATAGAGGATAGGGGAGCTCTTCACAAGAGGGTGGCGAAAGAGTATCTCTGGAAAGCGTTAGGGTATTTGGAGACAGCTGACCACCAGACACTAGACACCTGGCTTAGGAAGAGGGGCTCTCTACTCCAGCAGCTATACAGGAAGCCCTCTCAGCAGAAGCAAGTCAGGTCTCACTTAAGGCAGAACATTTTGGGAGAGCTGAAGATGTAGCAGTATGAACTGGTTAGCATTGAAGGGGCTTTCTGCAGGTCACTTAACTATCCCTAAGTGCTAGGACTAAGTCTACCTATTAAGATAGCTTAGTGTTTTCCCCCCACTGTTCAGCTTATGTGTTCAGCTTGATATGTTTTTATACTAAACTTACCAGGTTATTTATTTTAAAATGTTGCAGATGTTTTTTAATTTCTCTCACAGCATGTAATGAATGAAGTATCAGTCAAGTGATCAATTCTTCTATACCAAAGCCTGGGGAAGACAGATATGTTCCTGGCTTGTCTAAGATTTATAGATTATGGTTATAGGGTAAGTCTTTTAGAAGAGTTGGGGGAGCATATGGGGTTCACTGGGGAGCATATGGGGTTCACTGGGCAGCAGGCTAGATTGCAATCCTGTCAGTCTACCTAAATTTTCAGATTCCCCTCATCTTTTCATTTTACTTATGAATGCAAACATACTACAGGAAAAGGCTACACTGAAGTTTGAGATAAGCAGAGAACAGTAGCTTCTACCTGGATTTGAGAAGTCCATCTCAAAGGTAGTGGCCAGTGAAGTGTATTTGTTGGACTACTATGGACCAAGTTAGGGACTAGGATATAGCATAAGAACCTGAAAACTTGTAGAGAAAAATGTGGGCCACAAAGGGTTTATGGACAAATTTTTAGGTAACAAAGGTGAAATAAGTTACTCCACAATAGACTTTTACTGTCTATGTCATCATATTAAATTAATCCCTCTCCAACCAGGAAACAGCATCACCTTCTATTTGGCTGACTTTGTACCTGGCTCTTTTCCTTCTTGAATGCCTTGGATTAGGAAGCCAATAAACCCCGCTACAGGAAGCAGATTCTCTACTAAGCAAAACTCTAGCTTGTTTGAGTTGGGCACTTCTGCCATGGTGGTTCTTGACAATCAACAGTGATGAATTTACAAAACCCCAACTTCTCCAAGGCAGACGGTATTATTACTATTTTCTTACTGGACCTGAGGGTGTTTCCGAATGTACTTCCAGTGACTAAAACTCCTCCATTACAGTGAGTCAGAATGAATGGGGACTTGAGCACATAGTTACTGTCTTCCTAGGCCCCTCTTTTTGGATTCTCTCATCAATCTCCTCAAGAGATTTGACTTTTGGAGAACAAATTTGCTTCTACTCATTCTTTTTTATTTTATTTTTTGCTTCATTCTCTTTTCTTAACTTTTTCTTAATTCTTTTTTCTTAACTTACTTTCCAGCAGGTAGCTGAAGAAGCTTAGCCAAATACATTCCTACAAAGTTAAGGAAGACAATAATTCTAATAGAATGAAATACCAAAACTTAAGATTAAATATGGTTATTAGCGAACTAGCAATTCCAAAGGGAATTTTTAGGCTTATCTGTCAGCCATTTGGAGATATCACTGATGTTCTGGGGGCTCTGGAAGGACAAAATCTCTAATGATAACTAAGTTATTTTACTTATTCTCCTAGAGCTAATGATATGCAAATTTTTATAGATTTCAGAGTTTATTTACATTGGAAACCACTCTAAATATGTAATCAATCAAGTGATGTTGAAAATGACCTTTTCCCTTAGGATTCCTTAGACCCTGCCTAAAAGGTGAGTCCAGGTCCTTGACAAAGTATTTACTATAACAGCTCGGTAAGAACGGTTTCTTTAGAACACATTGAGAAGTGAAGTCCAGCCATTGCTACAAAGGGAAACTACCTCACAAATTTAAGGCCTAAATTAGGATACTAATAGCCTTCAACACAGCAGATTTCTTCTTAGCTCACTGCAGGATTGAGTCTTTTAAACTAATACTTTACATGAAGAGCAAGTAGGTTTTAACCAATACTCTACTACAAACCAGAGCTATTCTCTGTATCATATCTCCAAGACAGATTTAAAGACACATTTTTAACGCAGTTTTTTTTCATCTCTCATCAACCTTTGACATCATGGGCAGTACCTGCCAATGAATGACACAGAACATGGTTTATAAAAATCCAAGACAATTAATGTTCCTTCAAAACCTTACCATAAACATTACTGTCAAGATTATATGACAGAAGAATGGTCTTCACTTACATAAAAGTCCAGAATTAAATAGTATAAAACAAGGCTAAGTTTAAATTTCTGTCTCTTCCTATTTTTGTTTGGTCAAAATGAAAAAAAAATTATTAATATTATAAAATAACACTTGTCCACTAACAAAAAATTTAAGCAATATGAAAATAAAAAGTCATTAATATTTAAGGATATCATTCCAAGCATCTCTGTATGCACATATACACATAAGAACATACAGTTAAGCAATTTTATAAAAATGGTATTATACTAAATATATGCATGTATAAAGTATTAACAATAAGCACTTTTCCATGCATATAAAATTATCCTGTAAACATTATTTCCACCTATATAGTATTTCATTCACTGTACGGGTATAACTAAATTTAATCAGATCTATGTTATTGGCAATTTAAATTACTTCCATGTTTTCCATATTTTAAGCAATCTGCAGTGATCATCCTTGAATCACCTTTGCTCACCTTGTCTTATTATCTTCTTCCAAAAAATACCAACATGTGTGGGATGGCTGAGTTGAAGGATATACACATTTAAAATTTATCTACGTATTGCCAAACTGCCCTCCAGAAACACAACAGTGTTCATATTTCTTCTATAAATGCATGAGACTGTTTTCCCTTAACCTTGCTCTCCAATTCTGGGCTTTAAAAATCTCTGCCAATCTGATAGGCAAAAAGGTTTCAAATTTTTTAACTTAAACGGATTTCTTTACTTATTCATGCTTTTATTTTATACATTTGCATTTATTATTTTTAAATAGTCTTTGTAGCATTTATCAATTTTTCCTTTTCTTACTGATTTGTGATAACTCTTGGTCAGTCAGGAATAGCAACCCTTTATAAGGGTTACCTATGGGGTTATAAAGCAACTCTTTACAAGCTGTGTTGCAACTATATTTCAGTTTGAAATGTGTTTCAGCCTAGATTATGACTGTTTTATCAATAAATATCTTAAATTTTATGTAGCCAAATTTACTTGATTTTTAAATTTGATTTCTAACATTTGAGACATCCTTAGAAAGGCCCTTCTCACCTGTAGATTATAAGAATGTTCATCCGTATTTTTAAGGCTCGTACAGATTGATTATTGATTGATTGATTGATTTGAGACTGAGTTTTACTCCTGTTGCCCAGGATGGAGTGCAATGGCATGATCTCGGCTCACTGTAACCTCCGCCTCCTGGGTTCAAGCAATCCTCCTGCCTCAGCCTCCCAAGTAGCTGGGATTACAGGCACCCATGACCACGCTGGACTAACTTTTTTGATTTTTAGTAGAGACAGGGTTTCACCATGTTGGCCAGGCTGGTCTTGAATTCCTAACTTCAGGTGATCCACCAGCCTTGGCCTCCCAAAGTGCTGGGATTACAGGCATGAGCCACTGTGCCAGGCCCAGTTTTATTTCTTACATTCAATCTGGAATGTGTTTTCGCAATAAGAGGAAGGTAGGAATCCAGCTCTTCCCCACTTCCCCTAATACCCATTTTATTTATCTCAACACCACTTATTAAATGGGCTATACTTTTAGCTCATAATTTGAAATACACTTCTCTCTCCACGTTTCTTTTTAAATACTGAATTCAAGGCCGCACAATGATCAGCAGGCTGTGTGCTTTCCTGTCGTGGCAGAAGAAGGATTATGTATTATGCTGGTAATATGGTTTCATAATCATAAACTACAAGTGGCCATAAGCTGAAACTGAATTTGTTGGCTCAGTAGTATGAGAAATAAAAATAAAAGTTGTTATACTTGGCAAGTATTTCACAACTCTGTAAATAAGAAATACTAAATAACCCTATTCATAAGAAAACTCAGCTACTTGGGGTTTTTTCTGTGGAGCAAATGCTTCCTGATGGAGCTATACAATGTAGGTCTGCCCCAAATTAGACAGCCTACACATACCATACTGAGTTTCTCTTGTGGTTGAGGTCACAATTTTCATGCTCAAATAAATTTCCCTTTATGGATTAGGATTCTTAGTACTAAGTCAATCTTTGTGGAAGAGCTACAACTGAGTCAAAGTCCTATTTTTGAGAAAAGTTTTGGCCCTGACGACAGGCACCTGGACAGGACTCTGTCTAGGAATTAATACCTGTTTGACTCCTAAATGTTCACATGGAGAAGCGAGCTCTGCTACCTGTCCTCTGGCATTTTAAGCATATGCATGTTTCTAATCAGCAACTGAGAATCTTGGTATGGTTCACGCTCACGAAGAGAAGTCAACCAGGACTTGACTGGAAAGCTAGCACTGCCAAAGACACACCCTCAGACCCATAGGTGACAGGGTCCAGATGGGATATACTATGTAGAAGTGATTCATTCTTTTACATATCATGAGGAAACGGGGAGCCCAGTCTTAGTTATCTCAGCCTTATCTTTTCTGAGCTAAGATTTAATGTTACAAAGACATTTATATGAAGTACCATTTATGTTTTCGAAAATTGAAGCTCAAGACATTGCCTGTTATATTATATATCTTATCGGGCAGCCTCAGACCTAAAGCTGAGATAAATAGATCATCCCCGCAGTCTAGTATATGTAGTTCCTCTGTTTGCTTTTCTGGTTACTATGCTTTAAAATATTTTTGTTTCTTTCTATTTTAACACCTTTAGCTTTGTTAGCTCTTTTAGATTACTTTATGAAGAGAGAACGTAAAGGCCAGAAACAGAAGGATTTGGCTGTTTTGTTTGCCACTATTTTCCCAGCACCTAGAACAGTACCTGGCTGTAGTCTGTGGTCAATAAACATGTTGAACAAATAATGAGAAAATGAATGATTAAAGAAATAGACAATGAAATATACATTCTATAAAAATAGAAAATACCAGGTGTGGGCTGGGCGCAGTGGCCCACGCCTGTAATCCCAGCACTTTGGGAGGCTGAGGTGGGCGGATCACGAGGTCAGGAGATAGAGACCATCCTGGCTGACACGGTGAAACCCCGTCTCTACTAAAAATACAAAAATTAGCCGGGCATGGTGGCGGGTGCCTGGTGTCCCAGCTAGTCAGGAGGCTGAGGCAGGAGAATGGTGTGAACCCGGGAGGCAGAGCTTGCAGTGAGTCAAGATTGTGCCGCTGCACTCCAGCCTGGGCGACAGAGCAAGACTCCATCTCAAAAAAAAAAAGAAAAAAGAAAAAAAGAAAATACCAGGTGTGTTATATGTTGCCTCTCATTTAACTAGCAATCCAAAGAAAGTTTTTGCTTGTAATCTCTTATTCATTCAATAATCTTCACTGAACATCTATCACAGGCCAGAATCCCTTTACATAGCTGTTGTTCTCGAGGGGCTCATAAATCTAATGGGGCAAGCTGAGGGATCAACAGATAGTTCTGGGACAGTGTGATGAGAACAATGGTAAGAGATGTGTGCAGATACCAGGGAGCTCAGGGAAGGGCAACTGGCCAGCTGAGAATATGAATTGGGCCAGGAAGCAGGGGACAGTTTCTGAGGGAGGTTATGGCCCAGGTGAGCCTCCAGGGATGAGCAGAAGACACTCAGAGGGAGAGGCAGGGGAAGGCTGACTCCAGGAGCCACAAGGCAAGGGAAGAGCAGAAAGAGCCAGCAGCAGAGGGTGAAGAACCAGAATGTGCTGGATGTGGTTGTAGCATCAAGAGGCCGGAAGTGGTGAGGAGTGAGGCAGTAGGGAGGTAGAAGGCTGGCATGCCCTGAGATGCCTGGGATTTATTCTCTCAGCAAGAAGCTTTTGAATGGGTCTTAAGCTGGGAAGTGACATGGCTGGATCTGCTCCTTAGATGAGTGACCCTAATGTCTGGGCTAGAGGGAGACAAGACCCAGGTCAGCAGGACCAGTTATCATAGGTGAGAGTTGATAAGGGCCTCACTATTACACAGTTATAGAAATGGAGAAATGCAAAGGAGGAATATTTTGGAGAAAATTGCCTGTGCACTTAAAAATACATTTTTTACCCTATAGTTCATTATTACTAGTATTCTCAGATAATTACAAGGGGTTCTCCTTTGCAAGCTTTCTTTTGTTGCCTACTACAATACACTTTGTTCCAAATGTTTTTTATGACAATTCTTGATTTATAAGAACTGCTAAAGTTGTCATGATGAAATACAGCCACTTCTCTGCCTGCTTAGTAACAATAGCAGACAAAAAAAAGCAATGCTGACCTTGCTAAATTTACTTCTGGGGATACACAGACCTAGATAAGAAAGCGCGTAATGTAGTATTTAAAAAGTTATTTGTAAGGTTTACTTAACCCTATCACAGCAATGGAAAGAACTTTAAGAACAATACACAGGTTTACCCAAACATCCACCCCTAAATTAGGATGAAAACATAAATCATCTCTAAAATATGTTCTAAAATATAACCCAATATAGAAACAATACTTTGAAAAAGACATTCTCCCTGACAGCAATCTTACAAGAATATTCATTTCAGTCATTTTTTTCTCTTTTCAAAATGATAAGATAGTGAGGTGTTATTTCAGCACTGTTTTTTACTGCCCATCGCCACCATCTGACTGATGTTACCTTATGCACGATGAGCTCATGAGTGCCATCTGGAAGAGTCCTACCATCTTCTTGCATCAGAGGGACAAAAGAAAACCCAAACAACTTCTTCTCTCCTTTCTCCTTTGCTGTAAAAAACAAATTACTTGCTTATTTAAGTGTATCTATGTTCAGGTACATAGTTTGTCAAGAAGCATAATCATCGAGAAATATAACTCATACACAACAGTTCCCACTACACAATGCAGCACAGCTTTTCTGATAGGCCATCTATATAGAGCAGCCACCCTCTAATCCCCTCTTCCTGCCCCCTTATCTGCAACTTACATTTCTTGCCTAATTTTCTTTATGGGAATCACTATCTGAAATTGCTTTTTAAAAAATTTGTGGATTGCCTGTTTCTTCTTTTTACCCCAAAGTCCCATTGAGGGCAGGGGTCTTATCTGTTTATTGTTTCAAAGAGTGCTAGGAACATAGTAGGTGCTTAATAAATATATGATAAATGAATGAACAAGTGAATGAATGAAAGTGAAATGGTTTGTTTTGATTACTACCCATCAAAAGGGAATCTCTAAGCTCTACCCTGGTCCATGACAGAACTTCTTTCCCTATATCCACACACGTAAGGAAAGTAAGTCCTGTTGCAGTTACCTCCTTGGAATAAGTTAGGCACGTTGAAAGACAATATGAATATTAAACCTATAGTTTAACAAGAGCTCACTACTCTGGAAGCCGGAAATGAGGCGATGAGGTTTTCAGATGCCTAATTAAGAATTACAATAGCTAGAAATGCCAAGGATCATTAGTAATTATTTATAGATAGGGAAATTGAGGTCATAGATGTTAGGTAACTTGTTGTAGATCTCTTAAGTACCATTCCAGTTCTTTCCACCAAGGTTTTTTTTTTTTTTTTTTTCCTCCAAAAATGGAGAAAGCATTAACAGAACCTTCTTTGGTTAACTTGACTCTCCCCTTGTACTTAGATGGGCAGAGTTCTCCAGAGCCAGCAGCCTGTTAAGGGCTGGATGGTTACTCTTTCACAAGTGGAGCATTATACTTGAACAGACAAGTTCAACTTTGGGATGCAGTAAGATCTGAGCTGGAGGAGTTAGGTATGGTGATCCTGAAGACTGGACAAGAAGGTTAGCAACACAGCATTTAATTGCTCCAGGCATTTAAGCACAGGGAAGTGGAGCCTCATGCAGAAAACGGTAATTTTGTCTGGCTGGTGCTGGTCCCTAATATGAGGACATCCCTGAAAATGTAATTATAGCAAAGGACTTTCTTTTAAAATCATTAATTTCAACCCCATAGAGAAACTGGAAAAATAATTCATGTTTTTTAAAAAGTCAAGCAAAAATCACACCAAAGATCTCTGGGAAGAGATTTCCACATCAATGATAATACAGGAACTTGAATCTACAGGTTCATTTAAGAACAACTGACATCTTGACGACATTGAGTCTTCCTACGCATGACCATAGCTCTTGTATCCTTTATAGCAAAACTTCTCAAAAGATTTGTCTATACCCATTACTCCCCCTTTTCCCCCTCCATCTCATTCTTTAACTCACATTTACTACCACAGATTCACTAAAACCACTTGTCAGGTTCAATGAGTTCCATGATGCCAAATCAAATTATTCGTCCTCATCTTATTTGAACTACCACTGGCACCTGACACATGTGATCAATCCTCTCTTAAAAAACTGCCTTCATTTAGCTCCTGGGTTCTCTTCTTCCTGCATTGGCCTTCAACCTACTAGATAGTCTTTCTTAATGTCATTTAATGCCTCCTTCTCATCCTCCCAGCTCTAAATATGGCAAGTACCCCAGAGACCCATCCTTCGACTCCCCTTTGCTATCTAAACTTACTACCTAGGAACTCCAATCAGTCTCAGACTTTAGAAATCATCAAAATTAGTGATGTGCTGGAGCTGGATCATACTGGCCCGTAAGAGCTGAGAGTGCACATCTCTCCCCAGTTCTACACTCAGTGATGTCATGTTGGAAGCTTGAAATTGGACATAGTGGGAGTATCTACACCATGGAAATCAGCAAATGCTACAGTTCAGGGATCCTCCCCACCCCCCAGTGCTGGCTCAGTAGACCAACCACTGAACTGTATGTTCTCATTCCCAAGTTTCCAAACTGGACGTTACTCAACTGCCCACTTGACATCTTGAGTGTCTAACAGATATCTCTGATTTAACATGTCTAAAATGCAATGTTCGATTTTTGTTCCCCAAACAGATTCTCCCTGTTGTCTTCCCCACTTAATTAAATGATCACTTCATTCTCAGGCCGACATCTTTGGGTTACCCTGGACTTTTCTCCTTCTTTCAGATCCAATCTGTTAATATTCTGTAAAAAAGAACTGAACCATTACCATCGTAATGCAGAACACTTTAAATCTCTTACTTGGAAGACTAAAAAAAGCTTCCCAAATGGTCTTTCTGTTCCCAACCATATTACCTATAATCTATTATCCCATACAGTAGCCAGACGTATCTTCACTCCAAATCCTCTCGTGGTTCTTCTCAATTCAAATAAAATGCACAGTCCTCATCATGAAATAAAAGACTATACAAGATCTGGCACCTCTGCTACCTTCCTGGTCTCCTTGCTATTCCTTGAAAAGGCCAAGCATATTTCAACCTCAAGCCTTTTGTACTGTCCTCTCTGCCTGGAATCTTCTTTCCCCAGACAGAATAGTCTCAATGGCTCAGGCCTTCACTTCTTTTAGTTTGTTGCCAACACATGTCCTTATAAGCGAAGTCTTTCCTGACTGCCCTGTGTAAAATAGCAACACAGTACCATCACTTTCTACTCCCTAGCTGCAATTTAAGTCTTCACTGCACTTCATCACTTGCTATCTGATGTACTATGTACTTAGTTTCTCAGCTATTATCTGTCTTTCCTCTCTGGAATGAAAGCTCTGTGAGCGGGGCTATTTTCTTGTGCTCACTGATGTGTCTCCAGTACCCAGTAAAATGCTTGGCATATAGTGGGTGTTCAACAAATATTTGTTTCATGAATAACTGATGTTTTTGAATAAATATATGAACACACAGATAAATATTTGGAAGCCCACTTTATAAAATGATTGCATTGGTTATTCATAGTTTGTGGTATTATCAAGATTTTTTCCTTCTTCTTTACATTTTGCTGTTTCTTCTGACTTTTAATTATGAAGATTAAAAGAAAAAACCTATGAGGAATTTTTGCAGTACAGGGACAAGAAGGTAGAGATCCAATAGATTTTACTGAAAATAGCCTTTATTTTACTTTCCAAGTTCTGAATTCGAATAATTACCTCCAAATGCTCTTTCTCTCTTTCCCCACTATTTCACCTTTATTTTCTCTTTTTCTTACCTTAAAGCTCAGACCTCATATTAGACCCCAGTGAGAATTCATAACAAAGATTGATGGAAGAAATAGTATGGCACCATTCTAAGTCCTTTATGTTTTCCTACTTCAAGTCCTTTACATGAAACTCTTCTGGGAATTTGGAAGAATTTTAAGACCCTGCTAGCTCTCTTCCTGCATTCAGATACATCCACACAAGCATAATGTATGAAGCTCTTGAGTCAATTCTGAAATATGCCATAGTTCCAGCAAAAGATAAAGTCCTCCTTCTCTGCCTGAACCTTGGGTAAAATACAACATCACTGTGGTAAATTCACCACAAATCTTTTGGCAAAGCCCCTATTCCTTCCAGACTGGAAGAGAGCCTGCTGCTTCTTCAAAAATGTGATTCTCCTGTATCTCTCGTTTGTTGTACTGCTCCCAAAGCTAGATTCACCAAAACTTTCTCTGGTCACAATGTACACTGGCAGTGCTAAGATATACTCAGGGACACAAGGAATATCAGAAGATTCCTGGACTGGGGGTAGTTGGGGGAGAGAGATGGGGCTTGAGAGGGTGGTAATGAATGCAAAAAAATGGAAATAGAAATACTGAGAAGGGATAACTTTATGGATAGCAATGCCCATGTGGACAAACCCTGTAACAGTTCTATGTCTTGGGTTGTTGAGATCTGTAAAATGAGGCCGGGTGTGGTGGCTCACGCCTATAATCCCAGCACTTTGGGAGGCCGAGGCGGGTGGATCACCTGAGGTCAGGAGTTCAAGACCAGCCTGACCAATATGGTGAAACCCCGCCTGTAATAAAAATACAAAAATTAGCCAGGCGTGGTGGCCGGGCGCCTGTAGTCCCAGCTACTCAGGAGGCTGAGACAGGAGAATTGCTTGAGCCTGGGAGGCGGAAGTTGCAGAGAGCTGAGATTGCGCCACTGCACTCCAGCCTGGGCAACAGAGTGAGGCTTTGCTTCGAAACAAAACAAAAAAATCTGTAAAATGAGGCAATTACTTCATGTTACTTCTAAGTCTTTTTCCAGCTGACATTATTTGATTCTCATCTGAATACTGTCTGAGAGAGTACAGTGATGCAGATACACACAAATCAGATATGCATCTGAACTGGCCAAAGGCTTTCCCAGTGGCTTCACATGCCATGAAAAGTCCTAGTGGGTTTCCCCAATCTGTGTGAGAGCTGGATCAGCTCCTGGAGATACCAGAATGGTTAGGGTTGCCTAAGACCACCAGAAACAGTTTAGCTTTTAACACTGTGCCTCCCCTTTCTGGCTAATCTTTCTAGAATGGAACAAACTGATTTTTACAAAAGTAATCAACTTAAGATCAACCCACATCTTCATGACAGCTCAGTAAGCAGGATACTCCAGCACAATAGACACAGGTAGCCAATGCCACCAAACACTTACTGGAACAATGCCGAAACTCGAAGCGGATGTGTGCACCCCGGAATTTATCCACAGGAATGGGAAGTTTCAGCAGTTCAGACCACCTGGGACTGTTGTTATGGTAAAGCACAAAGGAGTGGTACTCACTGGCTGGTGGCTCCCCAGAGCCGAAGGAGATAAAATCCTAACAAAGGGAAGAACACACAGGTTAAAGAGAGCTTCATCTAAAGATCTTTTGAAAAGGCAGAGCAATCACTTTGCTCTATCTGCCTGCCTCTCAAATAGCACTATGAAATTACCTCGCTGGGCCTTTGCCGTGTGTTTCTGTACTTGCTGCTGCTTAGCGGGGTGTATCTATTTAATTCTGATGCTGGTCTCCAAGGATTTACTGTGCCAAGGGTAGACCCGGGTGACACGTGGGAGATGGACGATTGCATGGCCCACTTGGAGTTCAACTACATGGTAAAGTTCCCAACCTGCCATAGTCAAAAGCCTGTTTTGTGCCTCAGTAGGTGACTCACTACGCCCCAGGGCCAACCTTCTTATTTAAATGGGCAACTGTATGTCTCTATGAAGAAGGGGCTCATGAAAAATACTTCTTCCATAAAAACACCTGCTATTCTCACCCCAATTAGTAAGTAGTACCCTAGTCTTCATGCCTATTTTGGTCAGAAAGAAAATATATAGAATTAAATAATGAAATGGCTTTAAAAATATGCTGCATTTATCTCAGCACTTTGGGAAGCCAAGGCAGGAGGATCACTTGAGGCCAGGAGTTCGAGACCAGCCTGGCCAACACGGTGAAACCCTGTCTCTACTAAAAATACAAAAATTAGCTGGGCATGGTTACGCACGCCTGTAATCCCAGTTACTTGAAGGGCTGGGGTACGAGAATTGCTTGAACCTGGAAGAGGGAGGTTGCAATGAGTGGAGATCATACTACTGCACTCCAGTCTGGTGACAGAATAAGATTCTGTCTCAAAAAAAAAAAAAAAAAAAAAAAGCTGCTTTTAAGTAATAGCTGCTGTAAGAAAATTATTGACACAATGAATTAAGCAAACTGTAAAAGTTGTTGTTTTTTTTTCCTGGCTTGTCTTCAGCATGAAGACTGCGTTTTTCTGCTCTCTTTTCTGAAAGGAATTTTAGTGAATTAAAAAACAAAAGAAAGAAAACTACACAGGGGTGAAGGAGAAAAATAAGATAGAAAATAACGCAAATCAGAAATTAACTGATCGTAAATCAGAAAATAACTGATCACATTAAAGATTAAGTGAAAGCAATTATACAGACTTGTTTGACCTGGAAATATCAAGTATTAACATACCTTCAGGGTTTGGCCACTACTGTCTACAATGAACATCGTAACTTCCACATTTCTGGCCACGCTCTTCCCTCCTTTCTCAAATTCTCCCCTTTCAATAGTGATATATAAATCATTCCTCATTTCACCTATAAGGAAAGGAAAATTAAAACCATGTTATATATATATGAGGAAATGTAATAAAGTGCTCTATCAAGAAAAACTTTAGTTTATACAATATACTGCTATACATACATATAAAAGTACAAATATATTTGCATTTTTATAAAAGTGTCCTCACCCTTACTGCCAACATCTGAGAAGAATAACAGCCAGCCTCTGCTAGTCTGAATTAGAAACACTGTAATTCTACATCTAGGAGGTGAATACTGGGACCAAGTAGGAAGGTATTGTCAAGTCTCACCATTTTTCAATATTTCCCTCATTTTATTTATGAGGTGTGATTATAAAATGACAGCCTAGCAGGGGTGGCTCAGAGAAACCAGTCTTATTACTTTATAGTCATAGCAATTTAGGGTAGGAGAAATACCTAAATGTAGTAAAATAATAGGACTGTAAAGGGTACAATTACAACTTAAATCTTTTCCAAAATTCATGGACAAAATGATCTCACTGCTGGAAGAATCCAGATTAGCATTTTATGAACACAGATGTAGAATAATTCCGTCATACAGACAAACTCGGCTTAATATTTCATATCATCAAGCTATAAAACAATTGAGAAAGGCCCTATATTCAAATAGACACATTCTATGTACATATATACTGTCGATTTTTTCTCTACTGGTGATTTATAAAACTTGAGTTTTTAAAAATCTCAACCCTTTCTTATTATTGCAAGATAAAAAAAGATAAATTTGATGCCAACTAGCAAACTTAGGCAAATGTGCTAACAGCATGCTTTTACTTCTTTTATAAAAATTAAACTAGCGGGAAATAATAAATGCATAGAGAAGTGAGAAATAAGTCAACAAAGCACAACTAGAAAGTTTTTAAAGGTAAATGGTGAGATGGCAAGGTCGAATTTATTTTTACTTAACACATATTTCAAACACTTGAAAAAATCAAAAGTAATACTGTTTTCTTTTTTCTTTTCTTTTTTTTTTGAGAAAAAAAAGGGAGGTCTCGCTCTGTCGCCCAGGCTGGAGTGCAGAGGTGGGATCTTGGCTCACTGCAAGCTCCGCCTCCCAGGTTCCCACCATTCTCCTGCCTCAGCCTCCCGAGTAGCTGGGACTACAGGTGCGTGCCACCACGCCTGGCTAATCTTTTGTATTTTTAGCAGAGATGGGGTTTCACCCTGTTAGCCAGGGTGGTCTCGATCTCCTGACCTTGAATACTCTGTTTTCTAATAAAAAATTTCCCCATAAGAAAGAAAATCACTAGAAAGAAAAATAACCATATAACTATGTCTACAATTGGGAGTTTTATAAAACTTCTTCGTCAAAGTGTGCACAAGGAAGTATCCTAGTTCCTCAATACCATGGACCATGGGAGAATATCAGTGTGCCAGATCATCTTCCTCCATAAAGACCAACTTTTTATGATGGCATCATTTACAAATGACCTAGGCTGACAAGGATACAGGTGGGCCATAAAACAGAAAAACTGGGTAAGTTCTAAAAAGAATTACATCTTAGTCACCCTTTACAAAGAGTCTATAAAACATACATTAGTGGAAACAATACAGAGGTCTCTGGCTTATGAATTTCTAGTACTCTTATACAGCTCATACAAACCAACTTGGGAAGGCAATGAACTTAAAGTCCAGGAGAAAAGCAACATATTTCAACACTTTAAAAATTATATTTGTGTGCTTTGAAAGTTTTCTGTTTTAACTATTTCCATTACTAATTTTTAGAGAATGGCCCAGTACATTTTATGTTTATTAGACTTTCTATTTCACTTGATTACTACATATATTTTTTACTCCCACATTTGATGTTATTTATTTAACAATTCCATTATAGAATCAACAGCAAATCAACTGACTTCAACAAACAAAAAATAGGTCTGGTACACACAATGGTCTGCACATGCTAGTTTAACAAGAGGTTTGGGAGGAAATTCTTGACAATAATGTTTCCACGAACAGATGTGGCAGGTAAAAAAAACAACACTCAAATCAAGATACTTTAGAGCAAAATATATTGGCTAAAAACAGCAGAATTCTTTTGCTTCTTGGAGTAAGTGACACATAATAAGTAGCTCTGCTACAAATAGCCTATAAAACCTACACTGACTAATGGGAAGTATAGCTACAGGGGTTGTTACCTTAGGAATTTCTTATAATGAGTAATTAGCTTGTCCAAACCACACAGGGATTAACTGTCCTGCAAAATAAAGACTAAGTGTTTCTTGGGAAGGTGCTTTCCACTGTTATCTGCTGGAAGGACGTGGCCTCTCAGACTCCAGCAAAGGCAAGAGGTGATAAGGGAGGTTTGCAAGGTAACCTGTTTCCCTCTGTCCGTAGGCTAGGCCCAAAGGAGGGAAAATGAGGGATGTACTGCCAGCATCACAAAATTCTTTTTCTATGTACCTGTATTTATTCAACGAATGTTTCTTGAGCATCTCCTGTATGCTAGATACTATTATTCCAAGCCAGGAAGATTCAGTAGTGAATACAGCAAAAATTCTTTCCCCAGAGTCTTGATTCTAGCAGGTGTAAGTCCTTAATAAATACATAAATAAGTAAAATATATAGTATGCTGAGCGATAATAGGCACTGTGGATAAAAGTGAGAAGGAGGATACAGAGTATTGAATGGGGATGGAGGGAGAGTTAAAATTTTCAACAGGGTAATAAGAGAAGGCCTCATGAGAAGATGAGCACCCTGAGTAGGCTACAGTGTTCGACAAAGGAGTAAGGTTCCAAAGGGCATTAGCTTCTCAGGCCAGTCCCCAAGGCCTGTTTAGCTCATAACACAGCTGAATTCTCCTATCTCTTCTTTACAAAAGAGATTCTGAATTCAAATACACTAAAGGCATTAGGTTCACAGGACAATCAGAATAAGGAGATACAGGTTCTAGTCTGTGCTACTGCTATGGTGTGTGACATCAGTCTATACAGGGTATTAGAAACCTCTGGGTCTCAGGTTTTTGTTATTAACATGAGAATAGGGTAAAGGTGGGTAAATGAGAGGTGGTAGGAGAGACAACACTACTTTGTTATATTATGCTGTTTCTATGCCTTACAAAAGAACCTCCGGAAATTAACACGTTCACAAAATCAAACCCCTCATACGTATGCTTTAATTTTCCATTCTTTAACTGTCACTATCCCTGTAACCCCATTATCTTTTGCAAATCTTTTAGACTAAAACCAGATTTCTTTGAAAAGAGAATACATGACAAGAAGAACACTTCTCCTGGACGACATTCTCCATGTGCCTCTCCCCAGGAATTTTACAGCTTGCTTATGTTCCAATTTTGCAAGGTGCCAAGTTTTGCCAAAATATGCAGAAGGATCAAGTTGAAACAAGTGCTAATTAAATCAATACACTTGAGGTTGACTCTGGAGAAAACTCATGAGTCCAAATGGTGTTCAGAAAGCATCTTGGGTAATTAAGAGAGAAACCATCAAGTCAGTATGAAATGGAGTCATAGCACCCGTGTGAAAAGCTATTTCCCTGACAATGTTTATTAACACCTCATACCTCTCAAGTTTATTACTCTAAAAATTTGATGTGCACCACACTTTCTTCCTCTTTAGCAGGCCTGCTGGCTAGGGAGCCTTTACACATATGAAGGCCTTTCAAAATACTACTGTAGACAAGATAAAGATAAGGTCACAAAATTGGGAACAAACTCAAGAGTTCAGTGACTGCAGTCAAATGGATCCATTAACAGCTTGACCTAGATGGGTAAGAGTTTCCGTCAGTAGTTGAAAACTGTAATCCTTGTTTCTGTCTTATGAATGTCTTGGATAAAGGATACAGCGCATGATCACCATAGCATGTAAACCACTGTACACTGTCCCAGCGGCTTTATCTATTTTTTATATATATGCATGTATGTGTGTGTGTGTGTGTGTGTGTGTGTGCACGTGTATTGCGTATACACACACACACAAGCTGGATATTTGTTAAGAGTTATGGAACCAAATAAAATTTCCTGTCCTTTAGTTTTTTTAAAAAAGAAAATGTGTAAATGACTTAGGTGAACTTAGATTACTGTTGATGATGTTGTTAATGATGATGGCAGTAGTAACAGTCCTAGTAGCAACAGCAGCAGCAGTACACTTTATTGAGTACCTACTATGTGCTGGGTACTTTGCAAAATGCTAGAAGTAGAACATCTCATTAAATTATCATATCAACTTTATAAAAAAGGCACTATCATTTCCATTTTGCAGATGAGGAAATTAAAGTGTAGGGATTAAGAATAGTGCCCTAGGTATTATCAGTGACCCCACATTACCTATGAAAACCTGTAATTCCATGCAGTAAGAATGGCCATCAAATAAGCTACTGCAATTCAGCCTTTGTCAGGAGAAGTGACTTGAGCAAGGAAGGTAGTAGTCCTGTGTTGCTTTGCATTTCTCAGACCAGTTTTGAAATACTGATTACAGTTCTAGGGACTATCTTTACAACACAGAGACAGACACAAATGGTGTCATCCAGACCATAAACAATATGAAGAAAGGACTCAGAACCCATCACAAGAAGGAAGAGGTAGACAATAGAATTAACTGAATTTTAAAATGTTGAAGTTCCAAGCAGAAAGGGAAATTGGTCCAACATAAGTCATTTTGAGAGAAAATGTGATGATGTGTTCTTGGTCAATACAAATATTCAAGTATGAGCCAGAAAACCACCACTAGGAACCATGAAGAGGAATGCATGCACTAGACACATGGGTGGGCTGGGTGGCCCCTCATGTGTGTGAAAGGCAGATTAAGATCCCCTCCCCAAAGATGCCTAGGTTCCAATCCCTGGAACCTATGAGTATGTTACCTTGCAGATGTGATTAAATTAATGATCTTGAGATAGGGAGATTTTCTTGGATTATCAGGGTGGGTCCAATATAATCACAGGGTCCTTGAAAAAGGGAGGGGGAAGGGTCAGAATTAGAGAAGGGGATATGATGAGGAACACAGAGGCCGGAATGACTTGGGTCATGAGCCAAGGAGTGCAGGCAGCTTCCACAAGCTGGAAAAGGCAAGGAAGTATATTCTCCCCTGGAAGCATCAGAAGAAATGCAGCCCTGATCACACCTTGATTTTAGTTCAGTGAGACTAGCTCATCCTCTGACCTCCAGAACTGTAACACGGTAAATGTATGTTGTTTGAAGCCACCTTGTTATAGCACCTATAGGAAACTAATACAATGTGACTTCCATATCCAAGCTTCTGTCACTTCATGAGACCTTCAAGGAGGAGGAAGGAATGGGAGCAGGACTCACAGGTAACTGGAGACTGAAACAGAGCACAGACAGGGCAAATGTACGGATAGGCTGAAAAGTTAACTAATATTATATCTCCAATTCTCACACAAGATACACTTGAGTAAAACCCATCAGGTTTTCTCTATTTTCTATCTATCATTCTCATTTTTGTTTTGCTTTGTTTTTAAAAGAGTACTATGAGATACTGAACTCTTTTGGGAGGTAGCTTTTTATGTTTTGCTTATGACAATTAAGCAAGCAAGGGCACATGATGCAACACCCACAATGGGCTCTCCAGACAGTTTTGCTCAGAGGCAAGAGCATGGATAAACTGTGGTTCCCTGTTGCCATCCCACTCTGAGACAATGCATGGAGATCTGGCAGCCCGTTGGGGGAACTCCTATACTCTTGGGGCAGTGGGGACCGTAAGCTTCATAATTTGAGAGGTACCAGTCCCTCCCTCTGTCTGATCTAGGTCTGGGATAAAACTTCAGGGTGACACATTAGAATCTCGGCTTCACTCTCTCTTCAGTCACTGTGGCATTCATTGGTTAAAGACCACCATCTCCTCGCACATCAGGGTTCAGGTCTAAGCTAAGCGGTGTGGGGGTCCAGTGACTAGAGCTGGAGGGTGGTAAGCTTTGGTTAGGTTTAGGATATATATAGATACATTATATATATCAATGTATATTTTGATACAGAGTCTTACTGTCTCCTAGGCTGGAGTGTAATGGCATGATCTCCACTCACTGCAGCCTCAACCTGCTGGGCTCAAGCAATTCTACTACCTCAGCCTCCTGAGTAGCTGGGACTGCAGGCGCACGCCACCATGCCTGGCTAATTTTTGTATTTTTTGTAAAGACAGGGTTTTGCCATTTGTCCAGGCTGGTCTTGAACAACTGAGGTCAAGCAATCCACCATCCTTGGTCTCCCAAAGTGCTGGGATTACAGGTGTGTGCCATCATGCCCAACTAGATTTAGGATATATTTTTAAGGAAAATCAAATCTTACTAGTGCACATCTACTTTCTCCAAAAGAAGGCTTACTGCTGTTTCAATTCCATCTGTTGATGTGTATTTCTCTATCAGTACATAGTAAGGAATATTTATATTGGCCGGGTGTGGTGGCTCACACCTGTAATCCCAGCACTTTGGGAGGCTGAGGCAGGCAGATCACAAGGTCAGGAGATCGAGACTATCTTGGCTAACACGGTGAAACCCCATCTCTACTAAAAATACAAAAAATTAGCTGGGCATGGTGGCGGGCGCCTGTAGTCCCAGCTACTCGGGAAGCTGAGGCAGGAGGATGGCATGAACATGGAAGGCAGAGCTTGCAGTGAGCCGAGATCGTGCCACTGCACTCCAGCCTGGGCAACAGAGTGAGACTCCGTCTCAAAAAAATAAATAAAATAATAATAATAATAATAATGAAATTGCTTACTTCTCTTTTTGTCAAAGTGACTTTTATTTATTTTTTATATTTTTGTTTGTATTTTGCTTTAAGTTCTGGGATGCATGTACAGAACATGCAGGTTTGATACATAGGTATACATGTGCCATGGTGGTTTGCTATGCCTATCAACCCGTCATCTAGGTTTTAAGCCCCGCATGCATTACGTATTTGTCCTAATGCTCTCCCTCCCCTTGCCCCCCACCGCCCCCAGGCCCTGGTGTGTGATGTTCCCCTCCCGGTGTCCATGTGTTCTCATTGTTCAACTCCCACTTAGGAGTGAGAGTTAGTTCCTGTGTTAGTTTGTTGGGAATGATGGCTTCTAGCTTCATCCATGTCCCTGCAAAGGACATGAACTCATTCTTCTTTAGGGCTGCATAGTATTCCATGGTGTATATGTGCCACATTTTCTTTATGCAATCTATCATTGATGGGCATTTGGGTTGGTTCCTAGTCTTTGCTGTTATAAATAGTGCCGCAATAAACAAATGTGTGCATATATTTATAATCCCTTGGGTATATACCCATTAATAAGATTGCTGGGTCAACTGGTATTTCTGGTTCTAGATCCTTGAAGAATCGCCACACTGACTTCCACAATGGTTGAACTATTTACACTCCCACCAACAGTGTAAAAGTGTTCCTATTTCTCCACACCCTCACCAGCATCTGTTGTTTCCTGACTTACTAATAATCGCCCATTCTAACTGGTGTGAGATATATCTCATTGTGGTTTTGATTTGCATTTCTCTAATGACCAGTGACAATGAACTTTTTTACTATGTTTCTTGGCCGCATAACTGTCTTCTTTTGAGAAGTGTCTGTTCATATCCTTCGAAATTGCTTACTTTCTTAAACATAAGACAAACATCTCTATAACATTCTTCTAACTCCAGTCTGTAAATCATTATTTAGTCAACTTTGACCAAATAGAAATTTGACTTATTTGAACTATAAAGACACATGCACACATTTGTTTATTGCAGCACTATTTATAATAGCAAAGACTTGGAATCAATCCAAATGCCCATGAATGATAGACTGGATAAAGAAAAAGGAGGATTGATTTGAATAATACTTATAAAATAAACAAATAAATCCTCAGATTACTATTAAAACTGGTCCCCAAATCTCAACCCTATCACTCCAGTGTTTTCACTTAAATCTTTTTAGGGGATGGGCATGGTGGCCCATGCCTGTAATTGCAGCACTTTGGGAAGCTGAGGCAGGAGAATCACTTGAGCCCAGGAGTGTTCAAGACCAGCCTGGGCAACATAGGGAGATCTGATTTCTCCAAATAATAAAAAATTAGCTGGGTGTGGTGACACACCTGCTGTGGTCCCAGTTATTCAAGAGGCTAAGGCAGGAGAATCACTTGAGCCCAGAAGGCTGAGACTGTAGTGAGCCATGATTGTACTACTACACTCCAGCCTGAGTAACAGATGGAGACCCTGTTTAAAAAAAAAGAAAAAAGAAAAAAAAAAAAACGTTTTAGGGCTAAGAGCTTCAAAGACCTACTAAAAGTGAATGCACTGAAATGTATAAATGATGGGTTCCCTAACAAAGAATGACAGTTTAACCAATGGATATGTGGGAACAAGTCTCTAAAGAAATAGGGTACAGGCATGAAAGCTTAAATAGTGAAATCATGATGGAGGCAAAGAAAATTTTGCCTGGAAAGAATCACAGAGTAAAAAATGGACATTTGGGGAGCAGGGAAGACAGTCAGATCTTCCATGCCATTCCTGATACATCAGCCAGCTTTGCTCCAGAATGTCTGATGGATGGAAACTTGGATCTCCCTGATGCTTAGCAATAGGCCAGGCCTGCTTTGCCTAGGGTCTGTTAAGATGTTTAGAGTTGGGCTGTCCAACAGGGTGACCACTGCCACATGTGGCAATGGAGCCCTTAAAATGTGACTCGCTGAAAAGAGACATGCTGTACATGTACGATACTTGCCAGCTTTCAAAGACTGAGGTTGAAAACAGAGTGTAAAATAACTCATCAGTAGTTTTTCATATGGATCTCCTATTAAAACGCTAATATTTTGGATGTTTTAAGTTAAGTAACATATATGGTTAAAACTAATTTCATCTCTTTTATTCTCACTTTTTTAAAGTGGCTACCAAAACATTTAAAATTAGCTTTGTCGCTCAAATGATGTTCCTACTGGAAAGCACTGATTAAAATAATTTGCTGCTCTCCCTCCCTCTCATAGCCCAGACCGTGGAACGCCTTCAATCAGTTATTTGGCTTGGAGGTGGCAGTGACAGAGCTTCACAGAAAATGTTTTTTCTCAGTTGGAAGTCTGACACTCTAAGAAATAAAGTGCTGTGTGACAGACCCTTAACCAAGGAAGAGTCCAGAGGACTTCATGATGACTCAGAAGCATATGGACAGGTACCTCCTCACACCAGGAGACCTGTCTGTACAATAGTGAGACAAGTGGAGAATTTCTGCGCCTACGTTTTTCCCATTTCAAAAAGAGTCTGGCATTGATTACATTCTGTGATCGAAAAGAGTTTTGTGTATGTTCTTGTCCTTGTCAGGATCACAGATAATTCATTCTGCAGAGAGGCGGTGACTGTGTGCATAAACTGGGTCCTGTTGGTATAATCATGTGCCTCACCTGTTTTGACCCTATCAGAATGCTAAAGATGCAAATTAACTCTGAAGGACACATCTAGACAATGAAAAAAAAATTATGCTTGCAGACGGTCAGTGTAACATTGGGATCAGAAATATTGTTCACACACACTTTCTCATGGAAGAATTCAGCTCAAGTTTTCATTAGAGCCACTGGTGAGAATGAATTGACAAGTCTGAAAGTAACAAAGGAAAACAAAACAATGATTGCATGTTTCCTAGTGTAAAAAATTCCACTGAGTTTTAAAGTTGCTTTCAGTTGTTTAAGGAAATACACACATCTCTCCCTTTTCTATTATGGAAGATTAAAAAGCCAGAGGAAGAAAGGGAAAAAAAAAAGAGAAGGAAGTGCTTTTAAAAAAACCTCTTTTGTACTCCCCTGAACTACAGACACATGTCTGAAAGAACAATTTTCCTGGACAGTGTAGACTTCGCATTACAAGGTGGTACCGGAAAGGGACAGAAACGAGCCTTATTCCACAGAAGTTCATGCCCATCATTAAAGCCACACAAAAGCTGCGTGAGCACAGCAGATCCCAGACAATTAATCAGCCAGTGAAGTGTCATCTTGCTTTATATTTTTCAATTTCTCCATGATACTGCCCAGAGACCAAGCTGAGGAATTCTTCCAGCAGCTGGCTGCATTCTGCTCTAAAATGTTTTTTTTTTTAATATATTAGATTTGCCCATCAATTTGCTTCCCAGTGGGATGAATTTTTTTTGTTGTTGAAGAGGAAATACCAGTTATTTATAGCAACTGAAGGAAATAATGGACAGTTGCAAGGGCCACAGAATAGCATGCCACCAAGTAAACAGTTCTATAAACAGTCATTTTCGACAACAGTACCATGAGATGCTCAGGCTGACTGGGTCCCTAAGCTAGGTCAGGTCATCTGAGGAAAACTTACAGGATGTTCTCTCAGCCTTCCTTGCATGAAGGAATTTCAGTCGGGCAATTACAAAATGGTGCAATGGGCGATACTGGTCATTTTAGGTCTTTATTCATAGCAATCTCATTATTGGGTCTCATAGCTATGCCAGGTGCCTTGTCAGATACAACTTCCTTTGCTTGCACTTACACATGGGATTTAAACAGTGGTTTAGAAGACCTCATTTAAAACAAATACTGTCAACAATTTAAGAGTATTTTATTTGGTCTATTGTTTTTCCCTTTTCTTGGTTGTGGAGGGTGGGGTATGGAGCACCCAGAAATACTACTACTTAGTATGCTATTCGTCATCTTCTATCTGTAGACAAAAGGGCAGAAGCTCTTTGTTTCTATGGAAGATCAAACACAAGTGAGGTCCTTTTATAATAAAATTCATGACTTAAAAAAACTCATTTCTTGATTTGTAAAAACAAGAGGATATGTCAAAAAAATTTTAAATGTAAGCCACAATAACCTGTGTAGCTTAGTCCTATTCTGAGGAGGGAGGAAGCAGAAGAGGGGGAGGAAGAGGAGGAGGAGAAGGAAAGAAGATGGAGGAGGGAGGAAAGATAAGAAGAAAAAGAAAGATTAAGATCAAGACAGAAAGGAAAAGAGAAAGAAAATAAGAGGTCCAGACACACACAAAGAAATAGATAGGTATAGACAGAACCAAGGCTTGTTGAAGATAACCCCAGCTGGTCATAGCCCTGTGTTCCTAGGGACAGTGTGAAATTTCTAGAACTCTAGTGGTTCATTACTAAATAACAATTAGACTTTTTCTTTTTTTTTTGCTTTTAAACTTCAAAAGTTTTTAAAAGGCTATTCTCTCACAAAATTATGACTTTCACAGAATTTTAGAAATTAAAATTTTTTAGAGCATAGAAATTTCCTTTTTTTTTTTTTTAGATGGAGTTTCGTTCTTGTTGCCCAGGCTGGAGTGTAGTGACAGGATCTTGGCTCACTGCAACCTCCGCCTCCCGGGTTCAAGCGATTCTCTTGCCTCAGCCTCCTAAGTAGCTGGAATTACAGTCACATGCCACCATGCCCGGCTAATTTTTTGTATTTTTAGTAGAGACGGGGTTTCACCATGTTGTCCAGGCTGGTCTTGAACTCCTGACCTCAGGTGATCTACCCGCCTCAGCCTCAGTGCTGGGATTACAGGCATGAGCCACTGCGTCAGGCCAGAAATCTCCTTTTAACATTGGAGGTGGGCCAGGCACTGTGGCTCAAGCCTATCATCCAAGCATTTTGGGAGGCCAAAGCAGAAGGATAACTTGAGCCCAGGGATTAGAGACCAGCCTGGGCAACATAGGGAGATCCCATCTTTACAATTTTTTTTTTTTTTTTTTTGAGACAGAGTCTCGCTCTGTCGCCCAGGCTGGAGTGCAGTGGCGCGATCTCCGCTCACTGCAAGCTCCACCTCCCGGGTTCACGCCATTCTCCTGCCTCAGCCTCCCGAGTAGCTGGGACTACAGGCGCCCGCCACCACGCCCGGCTAATTTTTTGTATTTTTAGTAGAGATGGGGTTTCACCATGTTAGCCAGGATGGTCTCGATCTTCTGACCTCGTGATCCGCCCACCTCGGCCTCCCAAAGTGCTGGGATTACAGGCATGAGCCACCGCGCCCGGCCACAATTTTTTTTTTTTTTTTTTAATTAGCCAGGTGTGGTGGTATATGCTTGTAGTCCTAGCTACTCAGGAGGCTGAGGTGGGAGGATCACTTGAGCCCAGGAGTTTGAGACTGCAGTGAGCAATGACTGTGCCACTGCACACCAACCTGGACAACAGAGTGAGACCCCATCTCTAAAAAAGAAAACACAAACAAACAAAGAAACAAAAGAAACATCAGAGGTACAGCCATGTTGGCTATGACTACACAGTCTTTCACTATTAAAGCAGGTACTTGCTATTAGTGCAGTGGAGAACAAAGACTCGGGGGATGTGGGCCTAGAATCATTAGCATTGAAGACCCTGCTCAGGTGTTACCTCCTCAGGAAATTTTAACGAGACTCCTTCAATAAGATTCTACAACTCCTCTGTGCTCTCCATGCTGCATTCTCCAACTCCTTTCGGGTTACAGCGTGTCTCTGCCTGTGGACTGTAATCCCCCTCAAAGTATAAACAGGTCTTACTCTCGCCATCTCCACTGCTAACACCTTGCTCAACACCATGATCACCACTTACCTGGATTAGTTCAAACAGCCTCCAAACCGGTCTCCCTGTTTCTCTGCTGCCCTCCCATATTCCCTCCAGGTATAATCTCTATACAGCAACCACAGTGATCCTGTGGCAATGTAAAGCAGTGTCACACCTCTGTTCCAAACCCTCTAGCTGTTTCCTTTCTCATTCTGAATAAGACCCAAAGTGCTGAGTGTGACCTACAAGGTCCACATGACTTCCCTCTTCGAATCTCCATTCCCATCCCCAGTACTGTATTTTGACCAAGTTAGCCTTCTTGCAGTTCCTCAAACAAGCCACGATTCTATGGCTGCAGGACCACTGCCCTTATTGTTGCTATGCCTGGAATCCTCTTATCTGCACGGCTTCCTCATGTCTTTTAGGTCTCTACTCTACTGCCTTCTCACCTAAATTTCTTACCTACCACAAATCTCCATCTCTCCACCCACTACCCTCTAAGACATTCCCTAGCCCTTTACCTACACTGGTTTTCACCTGAGCATTCATCATCTTTGAACATACATGTTTTACTTACATATTTATTATAATTTTCCTTATTACAAAGTAAGTCCTATGGGTTTCTTCTGTTGTGTTCAGTTTTATAGCCCCAGTATTTGGAAGAATGCCTTTGTACATAGAAAGTGCTAAATATTTATTTGTAGAATGAATGAACTCATCTTTTTAACTTTTGGCTCCTGGCACAAAGTTTTGATTGATGCTCAATCAATGCCTGCTGACTGACTAAATCAATTTTTGCTAAACACACATCCTTCCTCATCAGCAAACGTACTATTCTTATCCAATTCATAAGTTGTAGATGAACACACTCAGAAAACCCTAAATTTCCATAAGCACATAAAGGGGTGTGCTTTTAAACATTTATTTTCGTGGAGAGATTACGACTGACCCACTCCCAAATGCATCAGCTTCAATGAATC
Source organism: Homo sapiens (assembly GCF_000001405.40). Taxonomy (NCBI): domain Eukaryota; kingdom Metazoa; phylum Chordata; class Mammalia; order Primates; family Hominidae; genus Homo; species Homo sapiens. Next base: position 111,915,194 of record NC_000007.14, read on the forward strand.
TGGCATTCATGTCACACTGTAAAACTGCTTAACCCACATCTTTTCTACTTTTGGGGAATTTTGGGGGCACTAATATAGATCTAAATCATACACACAAATAGATCTAGAAAAGGTATAGAAGTACATATAATATTTGCATATGGCTGCTTATTTACATATGGCTAACTAGTGTTCAGTACGTTTTTATCAAAACTTAGGATATCCTCTAAGCATCTTCACCAACATTTTCCATCAAGGAGTACAATATTTTCTGGACAGTAACTCAGTTTTCCTCCTTCTCCTGGTCATAATGAAATGTAGCCATGGCCCCCACAAGTTAACAACTTTAGAATAATCAGAATGTAAAGACATTTTTGAGCTTCAAATCACTGACAAGAAAGTTTATACAAAAGGAAATATTTTAAAATTAAACTGAAAAGGATATTTTAGAAAAAAATGTGCTTACTTACAGTCACATACCTCATTTCATTCTTCAGCATGGCCCATGTGAATGCTTCAAAGCTGGCAATTTGAAAAATTTCTCAAACATCAAAAACAGATAGTATACCCATATTTCATCATATCGGTACGTCCCAAGTCACCTACCAGGCATAATAATATTTGAAAATCCCAGCTTCCTTGTTATGGATACTCCATGAGAAAATACTGATGAATATTCCCTTCTGATTTGTTCAATGTCTCCGTGCAATAGCTGTAAGGAAACTGCTAAACCTAAAACAGATGAGAGATACCCGAGTTAAAAACAGAATAGAAATAGAATAAAGAGAAACTGATGTGTTGCAACAAGCCCAAATTTAGAATATCATGGTTTTAAACTAAGGGTTAATATTCCGACGAAATCGACAGAATCTATATGAATCATATCTGAATAACACTTTTCCAACTTCAACATCTGAGTTTCCCATTCATAAGGAGGTTCATAGCAAGTGGAGAAAATGAGCAGAACTCTAAGAGGCAGCCTGGCTTCCAACCCCCAAATCTCTCCTCCAACCCTAGTCTGGTGGAGCACGTTCCTGCGCCAACACTTATTCCAGAAGTAGATGAAGGTCACCTTGCCCTAAAAAATACTGACATCAAAATGGGAGGTTTAAAACAAAACAAAACAAAACAAAAGGCCTATGAATAGTTGCTTATCAAATATCAAAAGCATGAACACAAATCTGAAGACATATTAATTTAAGGATTTAAAGGATATTGATAGAGATTTTCTTGAAACATAAGTAACAAAGCCGATTATAATGAAACCAGGATTATATTAATAATATATACAGTAGAAACTCATGATGACATGATTTTCTAGTGAGGAGAATTTAGCAGAATACAGGACACCTTGACAAAGAAAAGAGAATTTAGTCAGTAAAGTAGGAAAAATTATTATTTTTACCCCAATTATAAGGACATTACCTTAGCTGGATATACAGAAGATGCAAAACACTTTTTATCATATATTATTTTCTCAATTTCCAGGCAAGAAGTACAGAAAACTTTAATGTCATATCATTGTGAATATGTCTGTATGCATACTCCAAAGATAGCACTTCTCTTTCAGCTTTTTCATTCCTTCTTTGTTTATCTTCTTATGTTTTAATTTTTAAGATAGCCAAATTATTATATTTTTAATTTTTTTATTTCCATGGGTTATTGTGGAATAGGTGGTATTTGGTTACATGAGTAAGTTCTCTAGTGGTGATTTGTGAGATTTTGGTGCACCCATCACCTGAGTAGTAAACCCTGAACCCAATTTGTAGTCTTTTATCCCTCACCCACCTCCCACCCTTTCCCCCATGTTTTTTTTTTTTTTTTTTTTTTTTTTGAGACGGAGTCACGCTCTGTTCCCAGGCTGGAGTACAGTGGCGCGATCTTGGCTCACTGCAACCTCCGCCTCCCGGGTTCAAGCAATTCTCCTGCCTCAGCCTCCTGAGTAGCTGGGACTACAGGCGTCCGCCATCACACCCAGCTAATTTTTGTGTTTTTCGTAGAGATGGGGTTTCACCAAGTTGGCCAGGATGGTCTCGAGCTCTTGACCTTGTGATCTGCCCTCCTCGGCCTCCCAAACTGCTGGGATTATAGGTGTGAGCCACCGCGCCTGGCCTCTATGCTTTAAAATAAGAAGGACAAAAATATCTCCCATCTATATTTACTATATTAGTGATAGAAAATGAAACCAGTCAAAGGTGACTTATTTTTAAAAACATTCAGTCATCATTAACCTGAAGTCAATTTAAAGATGAATTTGCTGGCCGGGTGCGGTGGCTCACACTTGTAATATCAGCACTTTGGGAGGTCGAGGCAGGCGGATCATGAGGTCAGGAGATCAAGACCATCCTGGCTAACAAGGTGAAACCCCACCTCTACCAAAAAAATTAGCCCAGCGTGGTGGCAGGTGCCTGTAGTCCCAGCTACTCTGGAGGCTGAGGTAGGAGAATGGCGTGGGCCCGGGAGGTGGAGCTTGCAGTGAGCCGAGATCGCACAGCTGCACTGCAGCCTGGGTGACAGAGCGAGACCCCATAATAAAAAAAAAAAAAAAGATGAATTTGCTTAGTACAGTCAAGAAGATGATAAATCTACATCGTCAGATTTAGAACCTCTATCTACATTATTACTTATCACATTTCTCTCAATAATGCACAGATCATGTGCAAGTCATAACTCCCAAAAATGACTTACAGTATGATAATGCTGTATAAGAACAAAGGTGTGAGAATGACATCATGCTGTGATGAAAAAAATGCAAAGTTTATTTGTCACATGTGTAGAGGAAGGTCTTCCCTTTTACTCTCTTTCAATAATAGAGCAAACAAACAATAACAATGAAAGTAGCGTTTTTTGGTTGGTTTGCTTGTTTTTCAATAGAGTGGTTAAAATATCAGGAAAATTTGTAAACCAAAATAAAATAGAAGGAAAGAAAAAAGAAAAGGCTTTAGGCTCAGAGAGAAACTGGAGCCTCTCCTGAGGTCCAAATCGGAGCTAGATGAGGGGCAATAAACAAAGAAAAGGAGGACAGGGACATGACGACATGATCGTGTCCTCACACTTTCCGGTTTGTGTACCAACAGAATGTCTCCAAGAGCTGTCGCGAGAATTACATTAAGTCTGGCACATCCTCAGAACTTCAAATCTGCGTCCTAGTTTAACCTAACTACCCCTTATCTCCCTCTCCAGCCCCACCCCATTCACTCTGAGTTAGGTGACCGATGACAATAAAATGGAGAGTGTCTGTCTTTCCATGGTCACGGGAAATGAAGAAGGGGGGAATAAGCCATCTGGATGATTTGATGGAGACAACTATCATCAGTGAAGCTTTTGGACACTTTATGTGATACTAGTAGAACCTTTTAAAACCTGGAGGCGGAAGAATGAAGACAAGCGAACATGTGTTATGATCCATCTGTCCCAGCAGCTATTTCTCCCTAACTCACACTCTCTACCCCCACCTAATCATGGGTGTCTCTGTTCTCCTCCCACTTCTGTCCTTTTGCCTTCAAAATACTCACCCACATCATTACCATCATCATTAGCATCACCAGGATCTGGTATTTGTGGAATACTAGTGTTTGCCAGATCTAGTACATGATAACAGTTCTTCCTGCTGGGGAAAACACTGTTCAAATCCTGACGTACTATATGAGCAATGCTTTCCAGTACAGAATAAGACGAATTTAACAAAATTCTTAAGATCCTGTAATTTTTGCAAGTGAAGATCATTTTACTGGGGCTTCTCAATGAATGATCTGATCAGAGACACTAGCAACATCATGTGGTATACATAAAGGAAGAAGAGAAAAGGACTCAAGAGTAATGAAAAAACAAAGAGATCATGCTATTCACAATAGAAGTTGGAGAGAGAAAAACTGATCAAGATTCTTGTTTTGCCCTATAGGAGCCAGCATTCATTTAACCAGCAGCGACTTTAAAAAAAACAAAAACAAAACAAAAAACAAAAACAAAAGCAAACAAACAAAAAAACATAAGCTGAATACTGTACTTTACAGAGGATAAGACAAGGATAAAAGAAAACCATTGGGTCAGAGAGGTGAATCCTGAAGAAAATTAAAGAAGATAGGAAAAGGAGAAAAAATGCTTTAGAAAAAGACAGATGGAGGGGGAGTAATAATAAACAGAAATACATCAGTGTTCTCTAGAGAGCAAGGGCCACAGAGGGGAGAGAGTGCAAAAGGACAGAGAGGACCCATTTAGGAGACAGTCGACAGAGAGGAGTCGGTCAGTGGAGAAGGGAAGGGAATGGGAAAATGACAGGACAAATAGACAAAATAGTGTGGGGAAAAGGAAAAGCTGGCATTTCAGAGTTGGATGCATACTAAAAGTTTGATAGATACAGTAGTTTTCAACCTGAAGGTTTAGAGCAATATAGATTAAAGCCCTCAGTGTAATTATGTCATTTGACTAGCCAAGTGATGATAATGGGGGTTGAGGGGGAGGGCAGTTACTGCCATTTGGAGGTTCCCTAATTTCTCCAGAATGAAGAATTCACAGACATCAAGAATGACAAAGGTTAACAGGACACAGTGTTTGACCACAGTGTATCTGGCTTTGCCCAAATCATCAAATCTTTCCACAAAGAAACCACAACATATGACTAAGAAACATCAAAGAGTGGGTGCACAAAGAAAAAACATGATTCTGAGAGTGAGTCCACAGGGACCAGACCACAAAGAGCCATTGCAATTCCATTTATTTTCCAATCAAAGAAACTCCAGATCCTATTTTTACAGTGGTCCTTAATTGTCATGACCACAACCAAGAGGCTGGATAAACGAGCCACCAGAACAGTAAGAAACAACATAATGAAGACTAAGAAACTACTCATCACTATAAAGGAAAGACGTAGCAAATATTTACACATTCCTTCTAAAAACGTTGAACTCATAGAAGCAGAGAGTGGAATGATGGTTACCAGGGATTGGAGAGGGTGGGGGATATGGGGGTTAGGGAGAGTAAACCGGGAGATTTTGGTCACAGGAGACGAAGTTTCAGTTGGACAAGATGAAGACGTTCTAGAGAGCTATTGTATAGCATAGTGAGGTGGTTAATAATAATATACTGCATACTTAAAAATCGCTAAGAGAGTGGATTTTAAAATGTTCTCACTGCTATAAAATATGAGGGTCATATGCTAATTAGCTTGATTTAATCATTTAGCAGTGTATGCATATATCAAAACATCACATTGTATGCCATAAATATGTACAATTTTTAATTGTCAATTATACCTTATTAAAGCTGGGGCAAAAAAGACAAATATTTACACATTCCAATTACCTGAGATTAGCCCTGTCTTTTCAGGGTTATGACACAGGGCATGTTTGGAGAATGGTATTTTTCTTTCCGTTTTCTTTCTTATCATCCTACTTCACTTTCCTGGCCTCACCTGCTATCTCTGGGGTTGGGGCAACTTCTTAAATTTTATCTGTACATTTTACCTTATTCCTGCCACAGTTCAAAATGCACACTCTGAGCAGCAGTAACTTATGGCTTGAGAGGAGGGTGGAAAGTGGGATTTAAGGATGTATATTACAGTTTTCCTACACCCAAGAAACTGATAATCTAACAATTAAAATAAGAAACTTATACAGAGAGAGACAGAAAGAGAGAGAATATAAAACAGAATGGATTATAGGTATGATAGGAATATTAAAATAAGAAAAAATTACCACGGAAAGAATTGGAAAGCTTAGGAAATTTTTTATTGGAATTTATGACAACCTGTAAAATTAGATTAAATCTGAATTTCATAAAATTAAAATTTCATAAAATTAAAATTTCATAAAATTTAATTTACAATTTAATTTCATAAAATTTTAATTTCATAAAATTTAACCTAATTTTGTTTATGTAAATAATATTTTAAGTCACTTTTCTTAGACCTTAATATAAGTGCCCAAAATGAAATTGCTGTGGGAGAAATGTTCCCTTTCTTGGAAGAAACGTAATCATTAAAGTGAACTTTCACATCAGCCTAGATGTTCAAGCCCAATGATAAATACTTAACATTTAATTTTAAACAAAAGGCATAGTCATTAATCTGGAGTCTGCCATAAAACAACATATGATTCATGATTAAGTTCAGCTTACGGAGTGGTAGTACACGAAAGAAAGGCTTGGTATCTTTTAAGCCAAATGTGGCTGATTACTTGGAAGTTCTAATTTCATGAGAATTGAAGCTCATTTATTCTATAAGTTGGCTCCTTTTAAATTCATGAAATTCTGCAATTTTACATTAAAAATGGAAAGCATAGCATGATTTATAAGTAGCAGCTGAAATTTTAGAATACATCAGCCATTTTGCCACTAATAAACCACATAACATGTAGCTACGAATGCACAGCGATGCAAAAATGGAAAACTGTGATAAATATATTGGATAAATACATGTTGTTACTAAGTGTGCAGTTTAAGAATCATATCATATGGTTGCAAGTGACTGCCTCAATGTTAACCTCTCTGTGCTTTGGTTTCCACATCTGTAAAATAAAGATAAAGGCACCAATTCCATAAAATACTTTAGGTAATGCTTAGCTCAAAGGAAGTGTCAGCTGCTACTCCTACAATTGCCACTGCCACTACTATCATTATATCTATCATTGTTTCTGTTCTCATTCCTCCCTACCATGAGTATCAACAAATTAGCTTCCATCAAAAAATGGCCAAAGTCTCCTTAGTGTCATATAGAAATAAAATATTTCTTTTAATAGTTGTGCCCACTTACCACCAGATAAATCCAAATATTGTGATTAGGTTCTATAAAGGTTTCAAAGGCAAATATGTCTGTATATTGAGAACAATCCTCTAACATAGGAGACTTGACAAAGACATAACTGAGAAATACAAATAGACGATAAGTACAATTAGACATATGCGAAGGCGGTGAAATTCCTAATGACATGGAGATTACAGTGCTGTCCTCAGATACTAGTAAGTCAACGCTCTGAACAAGTGACAAATTCTGAAATATCCTTTAGAAGACACTTAGCATGTAATTTAGTCAGGAGGAGAGGTTATATTGCTATCTTATTTTGTTTTTCAAATATCATGATTTTTGTTTGCTTCTCTTTTTTCCCCTTCTTTTTCATTTCTACCCTCTAAATGGATTAAGTTTTCTTATTTGCTTATTTATCTCTCTATAGTTCTGGAAATTATACATACTATTTCTATTCTTTAAATGTGTAACATAAGTAATTGACTTAAATACTAAATTTAATCAATAGCTCTATTCTCTTCTGGAACAATTCTGGGAACTTGGATCTTTTAAACTCTGATGATGATATATTTTTAAATTGTTGCTGTTTGCAGTCAGTGCTTAAATAGATTTACCCTGACATTTACTATTCTCTTCGTACACACTTGCTTCTTACATTTCTTTCCTTCTGGGTTCAGTTCTTTTTTTTCAGATGGAGTCTTACTCTGTCGCCCAGGCTGGAGTGCAGTGGTGCGATCTTGGCTCACTGCAACCTCCACCTCCCAGGTTCAAGTGATTCTCCTGCTTCAGCCTCCTTAGCAGTTGGGACTACAGGCGTGCGCCACCACACCCAGCTAATTTTTTATACTTTTAGTAGAGACGGGGTTTCACCGTGTTAGCCAGTATGGTCTCGATCTCCTGACCTCGGTATCCACCCGCCTCAGCCTCCCATATTGCTGGGATTATAGGTGTGAGCCACCACACCCAGCCTGGGTTCAGTTCTTTACTCCTGATGATGAACTCTGACTAGTTGTTTCAGTGAATGTGAATGTAAAATCTCCAAGTCTTCATCTGAAATTTTATTTTATTCCCCCTTTTAAATATGGCAGGCCCTTTGTTCTGTGGGGCTCTGCATCTGTGGATTCAACCAGCTGGGTGTCAAAAATATTTGGAAAAATAAAATCCATAAAAAATAACAACACAACAACAGTAACCACAAAAAACAATACAGTAATAACAATCATTTAGATACCATTTACATTGTATTAGGTATTATACATAAGCTAGAAATAATTTAAAGTATATGAGGGGATGTGCATAGGTTATATGTAAATAGTATATGCTATTTTATGTAAGGGACTTCAGCATTTGCAAATTTTGGTGTCCTGAGAGGTCCTGGAACCAGTTTCCCACGGATACCAAGCAATGACTGTAACAGTTTGGCAAGTAAAGAATTCAAAGTTGGCCATTTGCTCCCAGCAGTTTTAAGATATTTATTATTCCATAATATTCTGACCTCTGTAACTGCTGCTAAGACTATTATTTCTTTTTAGGTAATCAGTATTTTCTCTCTGGTTTCTGGTTTTGTCTTTGGTGTTCTGCAGTTTCACCATAATTTATCTAGATATGACTTTTATTTATCCTGCTTATAACTTTCACTTCTTTTATCTGGGCATTTTATCCTCTGCAAAAGTTATTTAATTTATCCAGATATAACTTTATCCTACTTAATAACATTTTCTTCTTTTATCTGCACATTTTATCCTCTGCAAAAGCTCTACAAATTCTCAACCTTTTCAAATATTGCAGCTTACCCATGTACTTTATTTGTTCCTTCTGGAATTCCTACTAGATGTATGCTGGTCTTTTCATTCAATCCTTCACTGCTCTTAAATGTTTATTCAGGTTATTCCATTGCATTTACCCCTTGGGTAGCATTCTGGCTAATATTTTAAGTTATTTTACTAATTCGTTTTCCAACTATGCTCGTTTGCTATTTAAGTAGTCCACTGATTTCTTATTTTAATAACATTTTTTAAAAGAATTTTAGAAGTTCTATTTACTTCTCTTTAACCACTAGAATTTATACACAAAGAAAACAAAGATTTTTCATTGTCAAAAACTGTATACCAGTGCCTTGAGTAACGCTGAAATATATATACTCAATATTCTTTTGATGTATGGGTTTAAAAATCTCGTTCCATTTTTTTATGATGTTTTCTTTTTCATTAGAAATCTCTTTTGCTACCTCTTTTCCTGATAGTTTATTACCTAAAATTCCAAAAGATCATGATTCTCATTTGTTGCATTTGCTTACTCTGCCTCATTGATTGCTAATTGTTATCATTTTATCACAATTCATCTTTAGTGGGTGTTGTTTTTTTCACAGGGATCCCATGCATCATAGGTGTGGAAGCGACGATATGGAGTGGGTTACACATTTACTTTTTTTAGGCTATACAACTGGGACCAGGGGAAATGTGATATGCTAGTAGCCTACCCTCTCCTGGTGAGATACCATATACCTTGACTGGAAGCTGATGGGAGAGGGAACCCCATCTTCTTGGCTACATGTATATGTAGTGGAATTTTCATCACGCTGAGCTGGTGCAGGCAGGAAGGAGAAAATGAGATGTGATATAAGTTTCACCAACTCTCTTGATTCTTACCAGGAGTTGGCAGTTACTCTTTATTTGCTGTCTACACTTAGGAAGATTTCTAGACATTAGTCCTGTTTTAAAATACAATTTGTGACCAGGCACAGTGGCTCACACCTATAATCCTTTGGGAGGCAAAGGTGGGAGGATTGCTTAAGGCCAGTTCAAGACCAACCTGGCCAATGTAGTGAGTCCCCATTTCATTTTTAAAAATAAATAAATATGAAAAATAATTTAATTTAAAATCTAAAAGAAAATACGATTTTCATCAATAATGGTTGTTCCATTGGAGGAGGATGGTGCAGCTCTTCACACTGCCATTCTGTAGTAAACTCTCAAAACACTATTTCTTGACAGTACTTGCATACTTTGTATGTTTGGGAGGTGGGGGCTGAGAGTAAAACACAATTGGTGGAATTTCTAAACTTGTACTACAAAAAATTACTAACATTATGAGGTATTAGCAAAACTTCCTATAGATGATATTAGTAGATTTTTTCAAAAATCACCTTCAGTAAAACCTGTTCATTTCTGAAATACGTAGGGCCTCAATCTTATCAGAGCACAAATTTTACATCTATTCCTTCCTATGTGCTTGATTTACAAAATTAATCATCTAAGCTTTGCTTTGTGCATTAGAATGTTATGTGTTATATCTATAAGAAAAGATAATTGAATTTCACAGTAAATACATTAGAAGCTATATATCCTATCTGGAGTTCAACTCAAAGCCAGTGAAAACTTTTCCAGAGGCACATCCTAGCTACACCAAGCAGTAAAATCCTGGCTGATTAAAATGAGGTATTTACACTGGGAGGTCAGAGACAGGCTCTGAAAGTCTCTGAAGCAGAGGAAAGAAAGAAAGTCAAATTTCTAGAAAGTGTGAGGTATTAAGTGAGACAATACTATCGGAAAATGAGTCAATGGAGCAAAAGCCAGAATATTAGGAAGAGACTGGTGTGTACAAATGAGCCAGGTTAGATGGAGAAATCAAGATGCAGATGGGAAAATGGGAGCTGTGAACATTACCAGAGGCCTGCTTAACAATGTGTTAATTACATGATGAAAGGAGCCTAGTTACTCAAAGCCTCTACCCAGTAGGACCAAAGTACCCAAATTACAGCTGTCCTTTAACATTGTCATCTTGCAGAGCTAGATACTTACGCTATTAATGTTGCCACTGCTTAAATTTGGGATGTATCTCCTCTTTTAGATATACTTTCAAAACCAATTTAAAATGAAAAGAAAGAAAAAAGAGGGCCGGGCACAGTGGCTCATGCCTGTAATCCCAGGACTTTGGGAGGGCAAGGTGGGCAGATCACGAGGTCAGGAGATCGAGACTATCCTGGCCAACATGGTAAAACCCCATCTCTACTAAAATACAATAAATAAATAAATAAGCCTTGCATGGTGGCGTGTCGCCTGTAGTTCCAGCTATTCAGGAGGCTGAGGCAGGGGAATCACTTGAACCCGGGAGGCGGAGGTTGTAGTGAGCCGAGATCGTGCCACTGCACTCCAGCCTGGCGACAGAGCGAGACAAAGAAAAAAGAAAGAGAGAGAGAGAGAAAGAGAAAAAGAAAGAAAGAAAGAAAGAAAGAAAAAGAGAAAAAGAAAGAAAAAGAAGGAAGGAAGGCGGGCAAGGTGGGCAGATCACGAGGTCAGGAGATCGAGACTATCCTGGCCAACATGGTAAAACCCCATCTCTACTAAAATACAATGAATAAATAAATAAATAAGCCGAGCATGGTGGCGCGCCGCCTGTAGTTCCAGCTATTCAGGAGGCTGAGGCAGGGAAATCACTTGAACCCGGGAGGCGGAGGTTGCAGTGAGCCGAGATCACGCCACTGCACTCCAGCCTGGCGACACAGCGAGACAAAGAAAAAAGAAAGACAGAGAGAGAGAGAGAGAGAAAGAGAAAAAGAAAGAAAGAAAGAAAAAGAAAGAAACAAAGAAAAAAAGAAGGAAGAAAAAAAGAAAGAAAAAGAGAAAGAGAAAGAGAAAGAAAGGAAGGAAGGAAGCAGGGCGGGCGGGCAAGGCGGGCAAGGTGGGCAGATCACGAGGTCAGGAGATCGAGACTATCCTGGCCAACATGGTAAAAACACATCTCTACTAAAATACAATAAATAAATAAATAAATAAGCCAAGCGTGGTGGTGTGCCACCTGTAGTTCCAGCTATTCAGGAGGCTGAGGCAGGGGAATCACTTGAACCCGGGAGGCAGAGGTTGCAGTGAGCCGAGATCATGCCACTGCACTCCAGCCTGGCGACAGCGTGAGGCAAAGAAAAAAGAAAGAAAGAGAAAGAGAAAAAGAGAGAGAGAGAGAAAGGAAGGAAGGAAGGAAGGAAGGAAAGAAGGAAGAAAGAAAAAAAGAAAAAGAACGGAGGAAGGAAGACAGGAAGAAAGAAAACACTTTTATTTCTTAATAGTCATACCTTGGTTTCTGAGTTTTAGCCAGTATTGTTCAATTTGTGAATATGCTTATTGCTGATTGCTTCTTTAAACTAAGTTAAGTCTTAAAGAATATAATTTTGACATCACTGAGGATAACCCAAAGGGTCTGACCATAGGCTCACTGTCTGAAGATCATCTTCCTGAGATCTTCGAAGTGGGTAACTCTGTCCATTGGGATGACTACCTTCTAATATGCAAAAGGTATGATAAGCGTGAACAAATAATCTTGTGATTATAACTGCTGGTTTGCAGATCTGCTAGTTCTAAATTTCAAAGCTTTGGGAAAGGCTTTTATGTTTTCTCTAGAGAAGTGGTTAGCTCATGGCTAAGAGTTATAAAGAACATAAGATTGAAGCAATACATAATGTCACAGAATGTCAAATGAAAAGGCATTAAAGACATGTGAAATTATTTACTTTCATTGAGTCTTAACTACAAAAGAAATCTGCTGACCAGCAATGAAAGCTGGAGAGGGGCTTCTCCACATTTGGTAGGAGTGATGAGAGCATTCGAAGGGATTTCAACATTTCCTTTTTAACTAAGGGGAATTTTTCACTTTAAAGTTTCCATTCTTATTCTGATTTAGTGTATCAACATTTCAATAGCATATACTGAGGACTATGTCTAGGTTTTTTAAACAGGCTTTGTTTGTTTTTACTGTAACTATTATTACCTATTTGTATTTTATTTCCACAATACCAATACAAAGGAATCCATGGGCTGCAAACCATTTAAAAAATGTGTATAGAGCATAGTGATGGGGTTCAGGACACATTACCCTAAAACATGGTTCCTTGGCATACTGACTATTTGGAGAGACACCATGTGCAGGAAGGTCTCTCGGACCTTCCCTGCCATTCTCCCCTGAGCAGGTCATAAGAAGTGCCCTCCGTATATTGGATGAAAAGTACATCCTTATCTCTGAAAACAAAGTGTTGCAGAGAAGAACCTGAATAAACAGGCCTTCCTAAGTTTCTCCCAGTTTATTGCCATTAGACGATACCTTTTTCACCCCCTAGTATTTCTCTACAACTCCCTGTTCTTCATCAGACCTACTATAAAAAAACTAAGATTAAACTGTTTCTTCAGGTGTTCATTTCCTAATGAAGGCTCTCATGTCACAAAGAACTTAAATATGTTTGTTTGTATACTTTTCTTTTGTTACTCTGTCTTTTGTTGTTGGGGCTTAATCCATGAACCTAGGATACATGAGGAAATATTTTTCCTCCTCTACAATAGTATCTATGATTGTAGTTTAATATCTGATTATTTTAATTTACTGAAATACTTCCATATTTTTCCTATGCAGCAAATCTTGCAAACAGTATTGCTAGTGATTATATCTAAATTAGCCATACATAGCTCATTTAGAAAATGAAATCAAGCTCTAATCACTACTTCCATTCACATCATTTGGATTTAGTTTTATTTTTTTTAAATACTGCATGAACTTTAAAAAATATCTTACGGTGTAATGTAGTAACATATTTTGAACTATATTTTTTCTTTGCTGTCATTAGCATGATTTAGATCGAAGGAAACAAGAGATATGACAACTGCATGCAAAATAGCCTGGATTTTCTTTTTCTTTTTTTTTTTTTTTTTTTAAGATGGAGTCTCGCTCTGTCACCTAGGCTGGAGTACAGTGGCACAATCTTGGCTCACTGTAACCTCTGCTTCCCAGATTCAATTGATTCTCCTGCCTCAGCCTCCTGAGTAGCTGGAATTAACAGGCACGTGCCACCACACCCAGCTAATTTTTGTATTTTTAGTAGAGATGGGTTTTCACCACGTTGGTCAGGCTGGTCTCGAACTCCTGACCTCAAGTGATCCACGGACCTCGGCCTCCCAAAGTACTGGGATTACAGGTGGGAGCCACCAAACCTGGCTAGGATTTTCTTTTGTTATAAAAGACGTAGAGAAAATTGTCAAAATCTGAACAAGGTTTGCAGATTAGATAACAGTATTATATCAATGTTAACATTCTGATTTAGATAACTGTACTGTGGTTCTGTTGCTATGTTCTGAAGTAAGCAGGGGTAGAGAGGGATCATGTCTGCAATTTGTTCTCAGGCAGCTCAGGAAAAGAAATGTATATATGTATGATGTGTATAGATGTGTATATGTGTATATATGTACATATGTGTGTATACATGCATATATAAGTGTATATGTACATATATACACACACAAACATATACAATCAAGGCTCTGATATAATCCTTAAGGATCATATCAAATTCATTAATGTTGCGTTATATGACTATATGCACACACATACATATATAAATGGAGGGAGATTATGCAAATGAAATGTAGTATAATGTTAACCTTTGGGAAATTACAAATTCTTTGTACTGTTTTCTACAAATTAGTTGAAAAAAAAACTTTAAAGAGAGATCATGGTAAAATATTTAGGAAACTCCAAAAGTCAGCAAAAAGGTCACATATTAAATGTCTAACCAATAGGTGGTGCCAATAAGTACTACTTTTATTTCAATGATACTAGAAAGCAAATACAATGTTCAAAAATCAGGTGCACTGATCAAATTCTTATGAATTATACCAACTTGGTAACACTGAATAAAATGACTACATTGGTATGTGTGGACCCAAAAATGCAACCTAACACTCTCAAAAAGCCTCCTTTCACCTCAGCCAAATAAAAAACACCATATATTTCCTGAATAGAGTTAAACTGCTCTCGCTATATATTGTGGTCTCCTTATGGAGTTAAAAAGTATAGCTGGCAGGAATACAACCATGTACACTCATCTAAGATACAACAAAGACTCTAGAAACTTACCTGAATAGCAAATATGATTTCTTCTAGGTGTAAGCTACATGTGCAAACCATAGAAAATATTTCATAAATACACAGATAATATGAAAAGACTTTGAAGTTTCTCTTGGGACATACTGAACCATAGCCAATGATTTTTACACACCGTTTCAAGACGTAGAACTTAATTTGCCTCAGTAAATCATATTGGCTCAGTCTAATGTCACATTCCTATAATTCAACTGCTGTCTATCAGAGGTGAAATTTATAATAACCATTTGCTCAACAAACCTAAACCAGGCTCACATTAATGAATACTTTTAGAATTTCAAATTCTCACAACATTGCCTTTGGATTTAAAATTCATAAAACAGCACAACTTTGGAGATTTCAAACTACTCAACCTAACTATATCTAACTGTGAAGATATAGTAATTCAATTTTTAAAACATCTTAAAAAGTTAAATGGATTGCTTGCAATTTTCTCCCAGTTTCTAAACTCAACTAAGATAGTGGTTAATGTACCTTTGCAACATAAGTCTTAGGTTAGAGGGGAAAAAAGCCCAGTTAATTGGTGAATCCCTTTATCTATTAACCAGACAAGATTACAACTCCAATAGCTAGGAGGACATCAATGAAGCATAAAGGGCCTGGAAATTAGCTGGTAGAATTTGTTTCCGAAACCAATTTCAAAGTTGCGTTTTTTTCTCTTTTTTTAGTGCCAGTGACTGAGGAATAGCAGGAGAAAGTGGGGAAAAACAGTACTTTTTAGAGTGAACTCAATTCTTTTGAAAACGTTTGACTGCACTGCTTCCATTTAACAAACAATTCTGTGGTCCAGAGAGAAAACAGCGGAAGTCAACATTATCTAACTGTTGTGACAGTTTAAACATTAGGCACCCTAATTTCCCTCTTCAATTTCTTGTGCTCTTGCTTCCCCCACTATCTTGAGGTAAGCCATGAATGTGCCTCCCTTTCAATAATGAAGCTGAACAGCTCTGGAATCCCTATCTGCTGGCCACAGAACTTCCATTCCTCAACCAAGGATATAGATCAAGGGGATACAGAACAATGATCTACGTAGACTGAAGGGTGGAAGCTTTGGTGGGAAGAGTATAAGTTTTGCTTTTCTTTAAATTAGTTTTTAGGCTTCTTCCTGAGCTTCCACTCTCTAGAGCAGAATATTAGAGTGAAGAGGCTTAGGGCTGGGTTTGCCTCAGCTTGAGAGAGGCTAGAAAGGATCAGAGAGAGAGACCAGAGAAACAGAAGGCAGATAGATGCAGGCTGCGTGGGCCTGGCTGGGCCTCAGGGTTAAGAGAGAAGGGTAGAGAAGGGCTGAGGTCACAAGGACAGCGGAGCAGACAGGGCTTTGTAGCAGAAGCCAGGTATAAAGTGCATACATTTGGTTGCCTAGGAATCTGAGCATCACAGCAGGCTGCAAAATGGGAATGGATCCTGCCAGAGGAAGGGGAAACCTTTTTACAAGGCTTTATGGTACAATGGTTTCTTTCATTCTTTGCAAAGGCTACAACACGTAGCTTTTCATTTCAGTACAAAGGCTGTAAACAGAAAAGGTATGACTCATGGAAAAGGGTGGTTTGGATCTCACTATCTGGTAGGGTTTCACTCAGGATTCCAGTAAGAATAAGGAGCTAGTAAAATTGACAAAGCACATGGAACATGTGGACACATCTAAACATGGGAGGAACTGCCCAAGGAAACAGAATGTGCTTCCCTTCCTTCCTGAAGTTAATCAGAAGGCCAACAATTAAGTTAAAAGAAACCAGGAAGAGATATTAGCAATCAAATCAATGGAGAGGAGATGAAGGAAACAAAGTATAGAAGGGGTCGGTTCAATGATCCAACATATCAATAATCCAATTGTGTTATTCTAAAAGTCTTCATTAAGGAGATTAAATCAGGATCCATTTCGAGACAATGAAAACAGACAACTTAAGAGGTAAGGATAGAATATTTCAGCTAGTGGCTTTAAAGTGGGTAAACAATAATAATAGCTAACATTAAACACACACCATGTATGATGTCCTGTGGTAAGTGCTTTGCATACATTTTTTCTTTTAATCTTCCCAATATCCCTTAGAGGATTCAAACCTAGGACATCCTGCTTGCAGAGAAAAAGCTCTTAAATACTACACTATACTCTCTAAGAGATGACTCCTGTCTGTAAGCAGAGGGAAATGTGTGGTTTGGTTTAACTGGAATCCTGACCTTTAACGCAGGCCTTAAGGATACAGGATCACTTATGTTAGAGTCTATCTAGAGATATAAATCAAAGCCTACCATTGAGAACTTCACCAACATTCCAGAGGCAATTGGGTATGACCTCAGAGTTTGGACAATTATATATTCAAACAACCTAATAACAGATGAATGTTGTCCTGCATGAGGCATATTTGAAGTGGGAAAGGACTGGGAGATGAAAAGGAGTTGGGAAAGACATGTAGCCAACAGTTCAGCATATCATGGTGAGTCAAGACCACATCTATGATGGTAGGAAGGTCAGGGACTACATGTGAAAAGTCAGAAGGTCAGGATTAGTTTGGTATTTGTTTATCCATACTGAGGGCAAATGCAAGCAAATTAAGGTAACAGGACGCATAGGGAGAAAGAACAAGATACACCATGGTTACCAACTCTTCTATTCACAGTTAATAGGCAGAAAGAAAGGAGCAGGGCATAATGGATTTGTTTGTGATCCATAAGAACTTAAAAAAATGCTAGCCTTTAAACAGAGCCTGGAGTAGCACTGACTCAGAAGTATAATGTGAATCATGAATGAAATTTAAATTTCCCTAGTAACCATGTCAAAAAAGTAAAAAAAAAAATTTAATAGCATACATTATTTATCCCAATATATCCAAAATGTTATCATTTCAACATGTAATCAATATGAAAATTATTGATGGGTATTTTACATTCTTCTTATTGGGCCAAGTCTTCAAAATACGGTATGTTCTTTACAATTACAGCACATCTCAATTCTAGTGGTATACTAGGTTCATGTCTAATTGTCAACAGCAACATATGGCTGCTGCCTCCTGAATTGGACAGCACAGGTCTAGGGTAAATTTAATGACAAAATGATGGTCACTGGTATCAAGAAACACCGAAAGGTTTAGAGTAGAACTGGATTTGGCTGGAAGTCTACCAATGAATTCCACAAGATGTGTTCTCTAACAAATAGCAGCTCTACTATCTTACTGAGGGGGTATTGAAATTAAACCATTTTATCCATGGACAATCAGGAGAAGTGTGTATATATATACATATATATACACATATATATACGTATATACACATATATATACGTATATACACATATATATACGTATATACACATATATATACGTATATACACATATATACGTATATACACATATATACGTATATACACATATATACGTATATACACATATATACGTATATACACATATATACGTATATATACATATATACTTATATATATATACATATATACATATATATATATATATATATTTTTTTTTTTTTTTGAGATGGAGTCTCTCTCTGTCGCCAGGCTGGAGTGCAGTGGTGCGATCTTGGCTCACTGCAACCTCCGACTCCCTGGTTTAAGCGATTCTCCTGCCTCAGACTCCGGAGTAGCTGGGATTACAGGCACGCGCCACCAGGCCCAGCTAATTTTTTGTATTTTTAGTAGAGACGGGTGTTTCACCATGTTTGCCAGGATGGTCTCAATCTCCTGACCTTGTGATCCACCCGCCTTGGCCTCCCAAAGTGCTGTGATTACAGACGTGAGCCACCGCACCCAGCCGAGAATTGTAATTGTTTTGTGGGAAAAGAGAAGACAAGCATACATAGTAGTTCCATGTTGTATTTCATTTCTCCTGTCTCGTGTGAGTCTTTTAGAGATTCTGCCCTCAATAGTAAGTGCTCCAAGTGTCTTGTTTGTTTAGTGGTAGATGCAGGACTTTGTCCAAAGCAAAGGGCCATCTGCATCAAATAAAACCCAAGTTATCTCTCCAACTCTAAGGAGAGGGAGGAGGAAACTGACCTCACCACTCATTATAGTCTGAAGCGTTGCCACATGTGTGAGTTGGAGGTACTTATGGCTCTCACTGAACTGAATGACAAAGCTCTGTCTACAGTGGTTTTCTCTTTGCGGTCAGTTTGGTCTAGCAAGATGTGCAAGGCTCTGAAAAAAGAAAGGCGGTTTGAATTTAAATTCTGGTTCTCCTAATTGCCAGGTGATCTGGACTGCAACAAAAATATCTATATTCAAGGTGTTTTTAAAAATCAGTCTTAAAAAACAACACATTCAGTTCAAGAAACAGCTTACTTTATTTGAAGTTTCTTTATATCGATTAAAGCACATGACTGCATACTTTGTTTTGCTTCAATGTGGGTCTGAATGGTGGATAAGAACAAACAATATTCACCAAGTTTTTGTCTACTGACCAAACCTAAAGATGTCATTATTTATGCTATGCAATCTATATATGCTATATAATGTAGTATATACTATATGTTACTAGTACAATACTATGTACCTCATACGACTTATAGTGGTATATATTTCAGTTCCTCTCTGAACAAGCACACACACATTTTTCTTCACATGCCACTGCAATCAGCATCACTTTCTTTTTTAGCCAACTTCAATGTGTGAACCTGTATGTTTGTCAATAATGTTGCTGCTCAAAGCCAGCCATAGGCAGCGAAGCATGTTTTGTTTTGTTTTTGTTTTTTTTTTTTTTTTTTTTTTTTTAGACAGTGTCTTGCTCTGTCACCCGGGCTGCAGTGCAGTGGCGCGACCTTGGCTCATTGCAAGCTCCGCCTTCCAGGTTCACGCCATTCTCCTGCCTCAGCCTCCGGAGTAGCTGGGACTACAGGTGCCTGCCACCATGCCCGGCTAATTTTTGTATTTTTTTTTTTTTTTTAGTAGAGATGAGGTTTCACCGTGTTAGCCAGGATGGTCTCGATCTCCTGACCTCGTGATCCGCCCGCCTCGGCCTCCCAAAGTGCTGGGATTACAGGCGTGAGCCACTGCGCCCGGCCGCGAAGCATGTTTTTATTGGACCTCACTAAAAATTGCTATTTATCAAACTTATTTCCACAGAACAGTCACAAATCCAAGCATCATATTTGTCATGTGATTTTTAGCTTGCTTTTTTTTTTTTCTTTGAGACAGAGTCTTACTGTGTCACGCAGGCTGGAGTGCAATGGCACAATCTCAGCTCACTGCAACATCCGCCTCCCAGGTTCAAGCAATTCTCCTTTCTCAACCTCCCGAGTAGCTGGGATTACAGGCACCTGCCACCATGCCCAGCTAATATTTTGTATTTTTAGTAGAGACGGGGTTTCACTGTGTTGGCCAGGTTGGTCTCGAACTCCTGACTTCAGGTGATCCACTAATCTCGGCCTCCCAAAGTGCTGGGATTACAGGCGTGAGCCACCGTGCCTGGCTGATTTTTAGTTTTCAATAACAACTTAGGAGTATGAAGACTTGGTACCAAAGAACAAATTCAGATTATCTTTTTCGTTTCAACAAGAATAGAATACATTTTTTATAGGGAGTTATAAGTACAACCCTATCATAGCATAGGAAGACATACCAGAATGTTCATTGAGCATTTTTAAAGTTAGGGAGTGAATAGACAGAAAAACAAAGGGCTGATAATTTCCTTCCCAAACAGACAAACAAAAAAAAGGGCTTGGAACGAAAAGTGTAGGGAAAGTCAGCCAGCCCATACACTCACCTGCATTGGAGCCAGTCAAGTTATAACGTGCATTCAGCTTTTTGATGATGTTCTCATGGATTTGGTACCACTCACTCTCTGTGTTACACCTATGAAAACATTAACACTCTGTTAAGCTTTAATGATGCATGCAGTCAAGCAGTGATCCTCATAGTACATCTGCCCTTTTCGTTATAACCACTATAATGTACCTCCTTGAGGTCCCCATCAACCTGCTGCAACTGACTGTCAGTTTTAGCATGGTTGTCCCAGGATGAGCAAGAATGTCCGTATCTGGTAATGCCTGACCACCTACCTCATGACAGAAGCAGCTGGGATAACACTTCGCAGATTACAAGTGGCCCCAAAACAGACAGAAATCTCAGAGAACAATGTATACAGGGGAAGGCAGCCCCAACTGAGTTCAACTCCCCAGATTCAAATTCTCACTATTAACCAAGCTATGTTCTTTAGGTGAGTTTATTTACTCTTGTCTTAATTTCCCCACCTATGAAACACAGATAATATACTAGAACTTTAAACTAACATGGGCTTAGGGTAATTCCTGGCATATAATAAATGCTCAGTAAATTAGTTCTCATTAGCAAGTCTCTGCCTACTGTAACATGACCAGGTTTGTCCAGAATCAAAATGCAGCAAATTAAGCAAAATGAAATTGACATTAACACAGCTTGTACTGGCAAAAGACTGGCAGGATTTACCAAAGAATAATAAAATTACTCTTTCAGATCTTCCACATGGGGCATCTCTCCGTCTTTTCACAGCAATCTGTACCTCTTTCTCTTAGCTTTTATCACTCATTAGGTCATGTTATCTTTGTTTACGTGGTGTAGTTCACCTGGGAGACTGTTAAGGTTCTTGAGGACTGGATCTAGGACTGGCTGATATTTGAGTTTCCTTTAGTACTTTGAATGCTGTGGATGCTTAAAAACTGTCAGTGGTATGAATGGATGGATGGATGGATGGATGGATGGATGGATGGATGGATGGACGGATGGATGGATGTCCCTCTGCCTGGTAACTCATAATGATTTGTAAGCATGTGGTTCTGTTATCCATCCTTACTGCCACTACTCTCCCAGATTGGCTGGGGAAAAGTTCCTTCATCTGAACATATGTGTAAATTCACTACTTTATTAGCCATGAATGCATCCTCCCAAGAGGCCTGAACATCAAGATTCTGTACACTATCAATCAAAATCTCCCACAGCGCAGGTTCTGTTTCCTAGTGATCAAGTCTGAGGCAGATAATTCATAATTGTTTGCTCACATTTTTATTTATTTTATTGCCACAGGATTTTGCAGGATGAACATGATGGAGGTGATTTTTGAGCCAATTAACAGTGGGATATCTAAATGAGCGCCGAATCTTAAGAGGGCTGGAAAATTAAGATGGAATGAAACCATCCCACCTGTCTAGTTGTAAGACACCAAACTGCCATTTAGCACATTCTGCCTCCAGTTTTCTTATTTCAGCCCAGTGGGGAAGAAAGAAAGATGGCTTGCTTCCTATTAGATAGTTAAGTGATTCCAGAATTCATGCTTTTAACCTACAAAACTCAAAACTCAAAACAAACAAACAAACAAACAAAAGCTCCTAAAGTATGTGACTAAAGTATCTTCCAGGCTCAGGCAGGCATTTGCTACTGTTCTTTGAGTCCCAGAAGGGCTGGGGGTTCAGTCACCTTATCAAATAGAAATTTCTCCCCAATTTTTTCTAACAGGCACTTTCCCATGTTTGACTAAATTCACAGTTCCTTCCTAATCTACAGTGACTGTTTTGACTGGTTAGTATTACTCTTGAAACAGCATCACTATTTGCTGAATGGGCATTTTTCAGGAATTTATCTTCTATTAAGAATTACCCAAAACCTTATTTGATGCTTATGGAAAAGCAGACAATAAAAAAAAACACAAAGAGCAGAACAATTTGTCTTCATGAGTGTGACTGTCTCCCATTGGCAGGGCTGGAATGCATAGGTCTTATTCCGCTGGCTGCCTCATAAAGGGTGATGATGGGACTGTCTGTCCCTCTGTTTTCCCACTGACAGGATAAATACAATACTTGCTACTCACACCTGGAAAGACTACTTTAAGAAATGATGAGAGTGTGTTTGTGAGGAATTTCAGTTTGCTTAAAAAGCCACATAACAGCAGCATCATCACCTTACTAGACTATGGTGTGAAATAACACCTGGAAAAATACAAATTATTAACTGGAGAGCTCAGATGCTGGAGCAAGACAGTCCTGACCTCAAATCTGCTTCCTTTTCTTATTAGCTAGGCAACATGGGGCAAGTTATTTAACTCTCGTTCCCCTATGAGTAAAACTGAGTAGGAGCGTCTGTCTGCTTCATGGGTTTGTTGTGAGGACAAAAGGATACGACACATGCAAAGTGCTTAACACAGTTCCTCACACATAGTAAGCACACAGTAAAGGGTGGTTATTATCAGTCATTAGCATTTCAAATAAACTACGTTTTATGACCACCAGTTAAGTATGGAAAGAAGGGTATCATGGATTTAAGCTTAACCACTGAAATTGAGGGTTGCTATGTGATAAAAAGAGTAGCAACTTTTACCACCCACTAATTTCACCAAAAGTTTTCAAGTTTAACATCAACATCACAGGTGTTTTCCTTTTTAAGAGGGATGAAGAGAGTTACCGGTCCTAAACCACAGACTATAGATAAATCTTTGTCAATGAATTATTGAATGTGTTACATAGGTCCCATTGGATGGAGAGTAGAAAAATCCATGAAACCCTGCAGCAGAGGTCAAAAAGGCAATTTTAAGTATATGTCCCATAGGCAGTGGGCCACTTGTGTTACCATCACCTATGAAAAATCTACTGGCACATATTAGGTATATTAACACAACCTCCAGAATGGAATACGAAAGCCAGTTCACTCATGGAGGTAGCCAATGGTGTGGTCCTCAAACCAGGAGTGTGGAAACCCTAATAAGTCTGCTCTGAAGATGTTGCTGTATATTAGGCCTCAACGTCCAAGCCTGTGGGGAGGTGGCACGGTGGTGTGGGCCAAACCCATGTGCATTTAAAAAAATCATTTAACTTAGGATTTGGAATATATCAAGTAACTGTCTTAGTAGAGAACCATGGGTTAAACTGTATCCCCCAACAAAGGTAACGTTGAAGTCCTAACCCCCAGTACCTCAGAATAAGACCTTATTTGAAAGAGCGTCTTTACAGAGATAATCATATAAGAAGGTTATTAGGGTGAACCACACTCTAATATGACTGTATCTTTATAAAAAGGAGAAATTTGTAGCCAGGCATGGTGGCATGCGCCTGTAATCCCAGCTACTCAGGAGGCTGAGGCAGAAAATCTCTTGAACCTGGGAGGCGGAGGTTGCAGTGAGCCGAGATTGCTCCACTACACTCCAGCCTGGGTGACAGAGCGAGACTCTGTCTCAAAAAAAAAAAAAAAAAGTTGGGGGGGTGGGGGATTGGACCCAGAGAAAGCCATGAACACCATGTGAAGATGAAGGCAGAGATCAGAGTGACGCGTCTACAAGCCATGGATCCCCCAGTGACTGCCAGCAAAGCACCGGAGGCCAGGAGAGAGGCACGGAGCAGATTGCCCTCACAGCCCTCAGAAGGAGCCAACTATACTAATATCTTCATCTGGGAAATGTGAGACAACACATTTCTATTGTTTAAAATCTATTTATGGGCTGGGGGTGGTGGCTCACGCCTGTAATCCCAGCACTTTGGGAGGCTGAGGCAGGTGGATCACAAGGTCAGGAGATTGAGACCAGCCTGGCTAACACGGTGAAACCCCGTCTCTACTAAAAATACAAAAAATTAGCTGGGTGTGGTGGCGGGCGCCTGTAGTCCCAGCTACTCAGGAGGCTGGGGCAGGAGAATGGCGTGAACCCGGGAGGCGGAGCTTGCAGTGAGCTGAGATCACACCACTGCACTCCAGCCTGGGCAACAGAGCGAGACTCCTTCTCAAAAAAAAAAAAAAAAAAAATTTACTTATGCCTAGTGTTCCATTATTGGAATGCTAAGCATGTGGAGTTATTTATATCCTACTGCTCAAGGTCATCGCCGAGATAGGATTGCAAAAATTTCAAAAAATTGCAACCTCAGGCATAAATGGGTTAAGCCATGCAGTTTGTGGTACTTGGTTAGGGCAGGCCCAGCAAACTAACACCTAGAGTAGGATGGAAGTCATCTGGGCTTCCCTTCCCCAATTCTAATAAATTTACTTCAAAAAGTACTTTCACTTTCCAAGAACACATTGACTGTCTGAAGGTAAAGACGTGCTAGGTTTATAAATTCAAAGGTGGTATCCCACATAGTAGACGGTCTACCTAACTGGTAAACTGTCTGTACTCATTGGTTCTTAATTCAGTAATTCCTCTGACTGGCAAATTGTGGCTTGTAGGCTCACTTGCAACAAGTCTACAGATTACTGGGTTTTTGAGGAATGGCTCATAAACCACCCATTGTTCTTCTCTACCCACCTAAAGTAGCATTCGCCCAAGTAGGACCCACATGTACCCCTGTGCCTACCCCAGCCATCACCACGTGCATGTTTCTTACATGTATACTTTCAGAATGAGGTCATCCTTTGTCTCTCCTGTTAGCAGGTCAGCGATGCTAAGAACTGCACAGCCAAAGGGTCGTCGGTACTGGACACTACAGGCATTCTTTTTTTCTCCTGCTCCCATTCGACCTGTTCAATTAAAGAGCAATCATTAACCCATGGAGCCATTTGATTAGATGCATCTTAGGTAGCGAAACATACAGCTATAAGATAGGCCATTGAAATGTAATTGGGCAATAAAGAGCACCCAGGTTGGGCGTAACAGAAGATATTGCTTCAGTTCTGGATTCTCCTCTCCAGTCACCTAGCTGTGTGACCTTGGGTAAGCAGCTTAAATTCTGGGCGTCAGTTGCCATCTGTAAAATACAAAGACTGGAACAGATCCCATGTTTGGGAACCATCCCCTGGCCCCTGAGATTCATGAAGGCATCCCAGGAAGTTCACGTCACTAAAGGCAGTAATGGTGACTCTTCCATTTTCTATTTTTAAACAAATTCCATATTCAAAAAAACTATTTCAAAAATTTCACCTGTGACTAGAGTAGTTTGAGGTTGTCTGAAGTACAGCAAGTAAGCACAGGTGATCAAATGTGCATGCTCCTGCCTCAGCTCTCAGGCTGTTCAGAACTCAGTTGTCACCAAAATGGTTTTAACTGTTGTAAAGTTTTAACTTGTTTAAATTGTTACATGTTTAAAAATATGTTATTAATACATTGTTTTAATGTATTGTTGGTATTTAATTATCAGTGGATTATTTTGAAGACAAAAAGCAAAAAGTACACTGAAGTTGAAATATAACAAGTTAATGTGGGAAAAAATGATTTTAAAAATCTGCAAATTTGTCTCTAGGTGCTTTTCAACACAACCATAAATTGTTTCTATCTGAGCAAAATTCTCCTATAGCACATCAAGATATCTCCAGCAATTCCAAAATCCAATGTTAAGCAGGAAAAAATGGGATGACAATATCCAATTTGGCTTTCATTCATCAGTAGTAAAGGAAAACTACCTCTGCAAGATGTCACTTTCAGGGAAACACAGCCCGAAAACCTCTTATTTTATCAGTTAGAATCAAACTA
The DNA here is from genome assembly GCF_000001405.40 of Homo sapiens. Lineage (NCBI taxonomy): Eukaryota > Metazoa > Chordata > Mammalia > Primates > Hominidae > Homo > Homo sapiens. The sequence continues at coordinate 111,941,192 of NC_000007.14, forward strand.
AAAAATGGCCCAAATAAGCCAGCTGCTTTTCAGATGTGCAAAATGTAAGAATTTAAAATATCAGGTTGTCATGACCTGATGCCATATGTATGGCCAAATTTCACTCTACATAATTTTAATATAAATTCTGTCTGAAAACCGAACACTTTATGTCATACTTGAATTTAATTATCAACCAATCCTACTTTTACTTACACAACTGATTTAAACAAATTTAAAACTTTGGTCACTTTTTTAAATGAAAAAAAAGGTCTCAATTTATGTCTATTTTGAATAATATTACAGAATGTATTAGGATGAAATATTAATATGTATGGCAGTCTTTATCAATATCGTGGTTTAAAACATGCTTTTTTCTTAATCATTTCCTTGCAAATACAAGATGACAAAAGGATAAGATTTCTGAGTGGAGCACTTCAAAGTTATTTAACATCAGAAAGAAGCTCCTTATTAAAAAAAAAAACTAGAAACTGCAAACAAGATTATTCCTAATGACTCTGCTAGCTCCTACAGTTTACACAAGGGCATGCACACATTTCAATCCTTTTTTGTTTGTTTGTTTTTAAACAACCCCTTCATCTAAAGCTGCACTAAAGAAAAAAAACTGTAGGGGACAGAAGGAATGGCAAAATAAGGGAATAAGGTTGATGGGAGAAGTGTAGCTCTCACAACCACTTAACACTCTCCAACAAGGATTTTGTCACTTGTGACCCCTGGGAAGCTTATCTCCCAAACCTCCACCTGACTCATGTCTTCAAACATGCAAGTTTAACGTTAAGCCACGGCTTTAGACACCATTCTAATTACTATACTGGAAAGATGTTTTGGTGCCAGATCAGTGGCACCAACCCTAGAGTTAATAAGAATTCACAGTTCTGACTGGGCTTTGGGAAACCCGATCAGATTTCTAGCACATTCTCTAAGTAGGAAGGAAGGTAGTGGGAGTGGGGGAAGGGAAAAGTACTGAGCAATCAACCAAAAGTCAAAAGGGAGGCATAGAGGTTGAAGAAACTTCCTGGCATGAGCAGGAAGATATAAAACTATTAATTTCTCTTTTTTTTTCCTCTCCATCTTTCTAAAGAGCTGGACTTAAATTCCCAGAAGTGAGGTACTGTTGCTCCTGCTTTCTGCAGCCAGTGATGGCCAACATGCCCTTTTCCTACTAAATAGGTACAAGAGACATTCTGTAAGAAGTATGTGTCCCTTGTTAAATATAGTGAACGCCAAGTTTCTCTTCAAATAATCAGTATGTCAGCATGTTCAGCTCTCTTATTCTTTGATTCTCCATTTTAAAGTTTAACTTCCTGGTTCTCTTCACCGCCTTGCCTCTAGTTTCAATAAAAAACTTTCCTGCCAGTTCTGATCAGTAGTTTACATCTGTTCCCCTGGTCACCTGCTCTGTCCTGACTCATCCCGGTCACCTGCTTTGACCTGAGTCACCCTGGTCACCTGCTCTGACCTAAGTTACCTTTAGTTACCTGTTTCTAACCATCCTTCCTGCCAAACTACTCACCCCGCCACTCTGGCTTATACTCCTGCTCTTTTCAACATAGTCAATCAGAATTAGCTTAGACTGTGCGTCCAACCCTAGCAAATAGGGGAACAACAGAGCAGTAGGGGCTACCTGCGTCAGGAATAAGAACTCCTTCCCCTCCCCTGTCCAGGTGTGCTCTTACCATTGTTCCACCTGTGAGAGGCACCCTTTCTGCAGAAGGTAAAAATTGCCTTGCTGAGAAAATTAATGTTTGAGTGCTATTTCTTTGTGGCACTGAGGAACAAGCATTTTGCATTTCTAACACCCTGAAAGACAATGATCTGCCACCAATTTCACTCCATCAAGGGAGCTGGCAGACTAAATCTTAACCTATCTTAGTGTATTTTACCTTAATCTCACTTCTCCTTCGGTCTCAAAATGTTGAACTGGTAAATGTTTTTTGCAATAATCCTAGAGAAGTATTCATTTGCCCAAAACTGAAGACAAAGATAGGGAGGTAATTTCTGACTCAACATTCATTTTAATGACTTAATGACCATAACAATGTTAATAAAAAGTGCAATTACAAATCAAACACCAAGCATTTGAAAGGCTGCCCTGTGATGGGCAGTACTACTGAGGCGGCTTCCTTGGCAATAACACTGTGAGTGAAGTCCATGGGCCAGAAGGCACATACTCACTTTGCTGCATGTTTTTTTACCACCCCAAATCCATAGATATCTTGGAGAAAGTTCTGAAAGCAAAAGTGGTTTACTTTTTCTCTTACTGCTGTCAGAGATTATATTAAAATTTTAGCAATGTTTACATGAAGATATATAAAACCACATTTTACTTTAACCATTGGTATTACATTTGAATTTAAAGAAACACAGACTAAATGACAAACTACCTCTGCCATCCTGAGAACAGACAGGCTTTATCTCATAAGAAAACAGCAGCATGGGTTCTAACTATTCCAACCTTTTCAAAGATTCTTTCCAATTTTTTTCATAGACTCATTTATAAAAAGAAAAATGAAAACAAAACCAAAAACTGTCTATTTTTTATTTCTACTGTCCTTCAAATACAAAAATAGCATAAAATGAAAACAGGTTTTCAGAATAGATTTTTATGAGAAAAAACATACAGAAAATCTATGCGGGAATAAAAGTATGTTTTTTATAGTCTCACTCAATGCACAATGCAGTTATCGTGTACATAAAACCAAAGCCTATAAAAATAAATCACCTTGCAGGACTACATGGCAAGATATTACTATCTCACAGAAGTATTCCTAGGCAAGTAATGGAGTACAGTTAGTGAAGAAGTGGGAATGAATTCCCAATAATGACTGATTAGACTTAACGGAAAAACTGTGTAGGTTACACCAGTCCTCATTTCACCTAATTCCTCTGCCATAAAATGCCTGTTTTTAGAGGCATTTTATGTGTAAAAATGAGGGAACACATTCTGGCTTCACTGAGCAAGTTCATCACAGAACATTAAAGTGGGTTCTGCAAGATGTTAATAAGTGCTACATTATATAAGTGTTTTCATAGTCAGATCAAATTTGAGGAAAACTAGGGTCAACAAAGTTAGACAGGCATATTTATTTTTCCCTTTAGGACTTCTCAGACCCTTTAATAAGCTGATGACATTATATAAGTTAAAAAAATTCAGTATTCAGTATTTCACAGGCTTTTTTTTTGTAGCACCTTCTGGAATAACGCTCTGAAGCATTCTGCACTTTGGAAAATGCCAATTTATACAGAGCCTTCATTAACTTATAGGAAACTCAGCTCTGAAAAATTCATTTATGCTAACAGAAATTAGAATTTTAAGAGACAAACACAGAATTTTTGAATCAAATATGTTTAGGAAGGCTAGCAGAACAAAATGAAACACAACAAACTTCTTAATTACTTATATTAAAAGAGACCAGAATCTGTTTATGGTAGGTGAGGAGGTCATATGTGGGGTTGGGAAGGTCTGGGGACAATTCACAACTTCTGTGATTCTTGGATTCAAATCTGGCTTTGATATCTTTCTGATTCAGACAGCAATAAATCACAACAACATAGAAACCTCTTGGCATTTCTCCTCTCTGTTCCTTGCCCCTACTGCACTGACAAGTGTTATACCTACCGATTCGGATAATGTGCACGGTGATATAAATGTCCTTTCTTAGCTCACTGCTGCCCAAATCCTACAAACAAAGAAAGTTTGGTTATTTTGGAAGACATGAGCGGCACTTAAAGGGCATAGCACTTTATTTTCACAAATAAAAGAAGAAAGAGATGGACACAGACATTCTTAATGGAATGTTTGTAGCAGAAGTACATGATTTAAATCCTGTTCTAAAAATATCATTACAATCAACCTTAGGTCAATTGATACCAAGTAATACTTTAAAGAAGAGAGCACTGTTGATTCAATCTCTCACTCATTCATTCTTTAAACATTTATTAAGCACATACTAAATACCAGGTGTCTTGCTGAGTGCAATCACTGGTTTTGTTTTTTGTTTTTTGTTTTTGGAGATGGAGTTTCGCTCTTGTTGCCCAGGCAGGAGTGCAGTGGTGCGATCTCAGCTCACTGCAACCTCTGCCTCCCAGGTTCAAGCAATTCTCCTGCCTCAGCCTCCCGAGTAACTGGGATTATAGGTGCCTGCCACCACGCCTGGCTAATTTTTGTATTTTTAGTAGAGACGGGGTTTCACCATGTTGGCCAGGCTGGTCTTGAATTCCTGACCTCAGGTGATCCACCCGCCTCGGCCTCCCAAAGTACTGGGATTATAGGCATGAGCCACCGTGCCCCGCAATCACTGTTATACTTTGGTAATAGTATAACAGAAGCAGTAATACACTAAAGGAATGAAAGTAATCCTGGGAGGTGATATTCAGAATTCTGGGCACTAATGTAATTTGTGTGTTATTTACATAAAGTTTAAAAGCAAATTCACTATGTTCTCTCACAGTAATTTATTTCTCCTAAATAGTATGAATCATAACTGGATGAATCTGCCTTATGAATGAAACAAGATCCACTCACCACAAAGAGGGAGCAATGTCGTTCCGGTTTATCAGGGGCTTTGGGAAGCCCGTTTCTATTCAGCCTCAAGAAAAATCTCTCACTACAAGAGAAAAAATGTTTAACAATTTGAAAATTATTTAATAGTTAAAGATTTATCCCTCTGTAACTACTCTTCATCACAACAGGTAAGCTAAATATTAGGTTGTTCATTTAACATCAACATTGCTTATATAAATTAGGAGAGCTCCGAAGACAACAAATATTTGCTTCACTTCTGTTAAAACTGGCAAAGCAGCAACTACAAAAGCAGAAAGCACCTATATACAAACAGACATTAACTTTTGAAAGACTTGAATACAATTTTATATCAGTAATATCATTATTCCAAGAGGTAGAAATAAATGCACTAAAAGAGAAAAATATGACATAACATGTTTCATGTGTCTGTAACTAAGATTTCTTTTTCATGTTTTATGTCACATTACTTAATTAACATTAAAGATATTTTGAGTGCTAACTATCTATTAGAAGGCTTCATATTTTATGGTCTTATAAGTCTCCAATCTGTAACACAAGTAGAGATTTCAAAAATGAAACTTAAATTTTCTTTGGTCAACAAACGAACAGAAGATCTCAAACTACCCCCACTAAACTTGCATTTGAAAATACAGTGCCACCGGGAGCTGCGGTGGCTCAGAACTGTTGTCCTTGCACATAAGGAGGCGAGGCTAGGCGTTTGAGGCCAGCCTGGGCAACATAGAAACCTCTCACCTATATAACCAAAAAGAAAATACAGTGCCACCTAGATTTAATGAAAACACAAATAATGCTGTTGATCAGCCACTAATTCATAGCAATAAATACTTATGCATGCCATTTATTTATTTATTATTATTATTTTGAGACAGAGTCTTGCTCTATCACCCAGGCTGGAGTACAGTGGTATGATCTCAGCTCACTGCAATTTCTGCCTCCTGGATTCAAGAGATTCTCATACCTCAGTCTCCTCAGTAGCTGGGATTACAGGTGCACACCACCACGCCTGGCTAATTTCTGCACTTTAAGTAGAGACAGCATTTCACCATGTTGGCCAGGCTGGTCTCGAACTCCTGGCCTCAAGTGATCTGCCTGCTTCGGCCTCCCGATATGCTGGGATTACAGGCATGAGTCATTGCACCAAGCCATGGATGCCATTTAGATCCAAGGTAATGTGTGACACTATTTATGTTCAGCAAAATAAAACAAATATAAACCCACAAAAAATTAATCTACCAGCTACTGTGAGCTTCAAATTTTAACTGAATTTCAATATCCTGGTATCAATGACAGAATTAAATAGTTGGCTGTCTCAGGCAATGAGCACACAACCAACATCTACAGAATGTAAAATGCTGTAGCTTTGGTCAGTGTAGCTTCAGTCTAGGGAACAAGCAGGGAAATGGAGAGCAGGACATTAATAAAAGGCTTAGAACCAAGGAAGCCTCTATGTTATCACCCGATCCTTGCCTTAAATAATGGTTCTGTCATTCAAATACATATAAGAGGAGATATGAGAACCATAAACAGATCTCTAAGGAAGCACATGAATTTGAATTTATGGCTGTTTTGGAACACTTATTCTCTTTGGTGATCTAAGTCTAGATAGATACGTTTAACAGAATCAACTACCTGGCTTATCTCATCTTTTACTTATGTCTATTGCTGACTTCTCATATGAGAAAGGGCAGCCAATACATATTTCTATGGGGTCATTTTCACTCTTATTACCTATATTTTTTCCCAGAAAACAGATGGCCAATAAGGCATGCATGAAGAGAATAAAAATTGCTGTAAGTATCCTCAATTGAAGCTAAAGTTCACATGTGATATTATTCCAAACTGGAGGCTGGGAATGACACCTATACTGAGGGTGCAGAGATAAATTAATGTTATCCAATTGTCATTTACTATAATTCAAGGAAAATGACTATAAGCTCTCTTCACAGTAAAAGAAAATAAAATTCATTATTATTTCAAATTTATCATTTTAATTTTTTTTGGGTCGGGGGGAGGTCTCACTCTTTCACCCAGGCTAGAGTACAGTGGCACAATCTCGGCTCACTGCAACCTCTGCCTCCCGGGTTCAAGCGATTCTCCTGCCTCAGCTTCCAGAGTAGCTGGGACTACAGCTGTGTGCCACCACACTCGGCTAATTTTTGTAATTTTTTTTAGTAGAGATGGGGTTTCACTATGTTGGCCAGGCTGGTTTCAAACTCCTGACCTCAGGTGATTCTCCCGTCTTGGCCTCCCAAAGTGCTGGGATTACAGGCGTGGGCTACCAGGCCTGGACTATTTCAAATTTAAAAACAATGAAAAGGAAATGTGCAAGAATTCATCTTGGGACAAAGGAATTATACTTTAACCATATTATTAGGTAATACATTTTTGGGAATTTACCATTTGACAGGTACTCTGCCAAGGACTTTACATAAATTATCTCATTTTATCCTCACTATGCCTTTAGGAAATAGGTACTATTATAATGACCATTTTACATATGGGAAAACTGCGAAATAGTAAATAGTTTTACTCAAGGTCACAGAGATGATGTGTGGCTGAGCAAGGATTCTATTCCATGTATTAATTCAAAACCCTAGCACTCCATTAGAATGCTATAAGGTAACTTTCTCTTCTTCTCTATAGAAATATCGAGTAAATATTTCCAGAATACTGAGATAAAGGAAAAGCCATCATTTGCCTGACCCACTCAGCAGTCAAGCCTGATCCCAAGAGTTCAAGGTAACTTTCTCCATACCCTTCCTGGGTTAAGAGGAATGAAAGAGGTGAGAATCCTGATTTAGCAGGTTTCAAAGAGGTCTTTGGTTTGAAATTGTTCTTTGGTAGTTTTCTTTTCTTCTTCTTTTTTTTTTTCCCGAGACGGAGTTTCACTCTTGTTGCCCAGGGTAGAGTGCAATGGCGCGATCTCGGCTCATTGCAACCTCTACCTCCCGGATTCAGGCGATTCTCCTGCCTCAGCTTCCTGAGTAGCTGGGATTACAGGTGTGCACCACCACGCCTGGCTAATTTTTGCATTTTTAGTAGAGACAGGGTTTCACCATGTTAGTCAGGCTGGTCTCGAACTCCTGACCTCAGGTGGCCTCCCAAAGTGCTGGGATTACAAGTGTGAGCCACTGCGCCCAGCCAGTAGTTTTCTTTAACGAAACATGCTTAGAAAAAAAAAAAAAGACTTGAGAAACAAATTATTTTATTAAACAAACACAAAACACAAAACTCCAAAAAGATTTAAGAACTCAGCTTTACTTAGTCGAAACTGCTAAGGTTTAAGGATGATATTTAGTCTGTTTCTTAGTAATCAGTTACCTACTAATGTATTTATTGATTACATTTTAGCACAAAACATAAGCAATGTGAGCATTTTCCCTTCTCCTATATCATGGACAGCATGTTCTACTTTATATTTTTTGAGATGTAATGAGGTTTGAAGCTCCTCATTACCTCTACAGAAACATTCAAAGCAAATTTCACATTATCTTGGTCAGTCTAAAAAGATGGACACCAATAAGATTAAAATACAGAAGTCAATAGGGCATTTTCAATATTAAAACCTTAACTTTAACACTGACATAAAATCCAATTCCATATCTGTACATTTCATCAAAATTCTGGAAAACAATGTTTCCTAAAGTATTCTATTGCAGAAACAGATCCTTTTTGCTCTGTCACTATTTTAATTTCACTAGTTTACACAGAATCCTGATTATGCAAGTATTATACTATATCATATCCTGTTTCAGAAAGAATATCAATATGTCCTAAGCCAATGACATATACCTTAGCTTAAGCATGCCTTAAGGGGAAGATACAAACAGACTGAAAATGGGTACTATGGAGAAATAAGTCATGTACAGTTCTTTTAAAAGCCAGACTTCTTTTAAAAGAAAAAAGAAAAAAAAAAGGAAAACATCTATGGCCAATAAAAAAAATTCTTTTTATTCATTTGATGACATGCTATTGTTATGCCAACTCAAATCAATTTATCTTCTGCTTTAGTGATACAGCCACTAATCACTCAGCAAATGGTTTTGGACAAAAAAAGACCTATATTAACGTATTTTGGAATCTTTGGATTATTATTACTCACCCACACTGAAATGTTTGGAGAATATCAGAAGGTATGCCTTCAACGCCCAGAAAAAAACTGAACAAGTCAATAATACTGCATTCTTTTTTTTCCTTTCTTTCTTTTGAGACGGAGTCTCGTTCTATCACCCAGGCTGGAGTACAGCAGCGCGATCTCAGCTCACTGCAACCTCCGCCTCCCAGGTTCAAGTGATTCTCCTGCCTCAGCCTCCAGAGTAGCTGGGACTACAGACGCATGCCACCCCACTCAGCTAATTTTTAGATTTTTTGTAGTGACAGGGTTTCACCATGTTGGCCAGGCTGGTCTCCAACTCCTGACCTCAGGTGATCTGCCTGCCTCACCCTCCCAAAATGCTGGGATTACAGGCATAAGCCACCGTGCCTGGCCAATAATATTGCATTCTGGCACATCTTCTGAAATTCTCCAAATATTTTGTGCAAACTTTTGTGGCCACACAGAAATATGTTTTTGACAGTCTATTCTAAGTCTGTTCTATCGCAACTCTGTGGTAAGTATGATCAGATGACAAAATTAGTTTTTGTAAACTTAAAAAATGTCCTTCCAAGATATGCATACCTCCATTACATACATCATTTAGACTTTTTTCCTAAGTGGAAGAGAAGTTTATATGTTTCTTTCCTATTACATGGTGAGCAACTAGAATACAGGCCCATGAGTATTAACCTTTTTGTATCTTCAACTCCTAGTGAATGATTTGGTATTCTTAGATGTTTGATAAGACTAACCAAATACAATCTTTTAGGACAAAATAGAATAACACTCAAATAACTGGAAAGTTTTAATTCTCTCCAAACTTTCCCATTATGTCCTTTACTTTATGGTAGGGAAATGTATGAAACTCTGCAAAAAGATATTTCAATCCATGATGCCTCACGACCTGACTCGAGATTCTCATATTAACTTCGTGGCACCCCAGATTCCAGATTATTCCATTTAATGCTGTCCTCATGAACATTTTATATCTTTATTATATTCAACATACAGTAATAAAAAACTATACTGATATGTTTTCAAATGAGAATACTGTCTTCCTCTTCTTACAGAATGAATAAGCAAATAGAACATTTCTAGAAACACTGAGAAATGAGAGTTGGTATTATTAACAGCAGAGAAAACTCATTATTTGACTTCCCCATATACTGCCATGTTCTTCCAGAGGCAATCTCTCCGCAGGAGAAATTTAGTGTCCACCTGAATTCCATGTATGAGTCATTATAAATCATGATACTATAAATCAAAAATGACTATTTCTTTGGAAATAAAGAAAAACAAACCACAATTATTTATTATTTATAACCTTTCTTCTTCCAACAATGATTTGATGAAATCAGGATAATGAAATAAGAACATAAATAAGCATTCCTGGAAAAAATCATAAAGGCAAATGTGTACCCTGTGCCAGACCCTATGACTTATGCCTTACATAGCTCTTCTCATTTAATTCTCCTCACCACAGTAGGAGGTGGAAACCACTGTTGTGCCCATTTGTCATCCCAGTGAGAAAGCAGAAGCTAGGAGATATTAGATAAGTTGGCCAAAGTTGTGTGGTCAGTCAAGGATGGGGCCAGGATATTAAATTCCAGAGTCTGATTTGAGAGTCTCACCTTTTAACCAAAATGCAACCCTCTCTTTGAAAGAACAGGGCACCTCAGAGCACCAAAGAAGGCATGGTATGGTAGCTCACTACTGGTAATCTCAGCACTTTGGGAGGCTGAAGTGGGAGGATCACTTGAGCCCAAGAGTTCAAAACCAACTTGGGTCAACATATTGGAAACCCCATCGCTACCAAAAAAAAAAAAAAAAGAAGAAGAAAGAAAGAAAGAAAAAAATTAGCCAAGCATGGTGGCACATTCCTATAATCCCAGGCACTCAGTAGCTGAGTAGTCCCAGCTACACAGAAGGCTGAGGTGGGAAGACTGCTTGAGCCTGGGAGGTCAAGGCTGCAGTGAGCCATGATCGCACCACTGTACTCCAGTGGGGTGTACTCCAGGGGTAAGACCTTGTCTCAAAAAAAAGAAAGAAATGGACAAAGAAGAGCAAAACTAACTATGTCACACAAACCAAGAGTTTTTGTGTGAATATTCTTAATAAAATTAAAACATAATAATTACAAATGGCCAAGCACAGTGTCACACTCCTGTTGTCCCAGCTACTCAGGAGGTTGAGGCAGGAGGATTACTTGAGCCTAGAGGTCAAGTTCAGTCTGGGCAAGATAGCAAAGTCCCTGTCTGCGAAAAAAAAAAAAAATCAACCAAATAAATGAATAAACAAACAAAACTGCATGAAGCCAAATGAAAAAAACAAAAAGCCACAACATATCTGTGTTTATGGAAATTACACCTGTGACCAACTGCTCAGTTGAACTACTGATATTCTGATGTACTCAAAAAGACCTCTAATGATGACAAGTGTGTTTCACAGCATAGTGTGGTAGAAATGTTCTTCCTGGTCATGCAAATAATATAGGAGGCACAGTAGGGATCTGAAGGTCCTGATGGCTTCTCTTCTGTTTCTCAGTAGGATGCTTCTGTCCTCTGTGCCTCCTTGTAAACCACTCAGTAGAAGTAACCCTTCAGTTGGGAAGGCCAATATCAAAAATTTTGACATTTTACATGAAATATATTTTTATATTTCACATAAAAATTGTTCTATCTTTCTGCATGGATTTATATTTATCACTTTTATAGTTCACCTCACATAAGAAGTAAAACTGTCTAGTGATTCAATGAGCATGAAAGTTACACAACATGTACTTTTATCCAAAAATATATGACTGGGTAATATCTTCGGTTGAAACATGTTGTGAGAAAGATTAGCAAGCTAATCAATCCACAAAAAATTACAAAGAACGCTTGTAAAATAATTTTCAACAGTTAAATATCATTGAAATAGATTTATGGTCTCCAAGAAGAACAATAACAACAGAGAACACATTTAGACGGTCATGTTCTATTAAACTAATTGGAAAAACAACTGTCATTTTTTTTATACTCAAACCAATTTTACAAAAACAAAAACAAAAACAAAAATCCCATGTAGCATATCTGAAAAAGCAGTCATTTGTCTTAAATTGAACTATGCTAATCTGGGCACAGTGACTCACGCCTGAAATCCCAGCACTTTGGGAGGCAGAAACAGGCAGATCACTTGAGCCTCGGAGTTCAAGATCAGCCTGGGCAACAGGGTGAAACCTTGTCTCTACAAAAAATTTAAAAAATTAGCCCGGTGGGGTGGTGCATGCCTGTGATCCCAAGTACTCAGGAGACACAGGTGGGAGGATCACTTGAGCCCAGGAGGCAGAGGTTGCAATGAGCTGATATCTGGGATAACAGAATGAGACCTTGTCTTAAAAAAAAAAAAAATTAACTACGCTGTTTGAAGAGTGTGAGGATAACAATTAATACCCATTCTACACTGAGTAGGTGTGAAGGGAGACACACCAGAAGCTAAGGGGTGGTAAGATGGACGAAGGAATAATGAGAAGAGCTAAGAGGATGGTTCCAGGGTGCAGTGCTGACCCTAGAGCCTCTCCCTAAAAGGCAATAGAATACAAACGTAAGGTGATCTGAATTGTTTCTATTTCACTGCTTCTCCTGCATTCTGTCAAATGTTTTCTGATTGCCTAACAGTGTAAGATATGTCCAATAATCTGCTGTGGGAGACCAGAATACGGCACCCCAAAATATACTTCTTTGGCATAAGAATTGTTGAGCTAAAGGCAATTAAGAAGTAGGTGCTGTAAAGCTCTCTGCCTTCCCTCTAATTGCCTAAAGGCAATGCATAGATTTACAAAAACAAAAAGAATCTTGCCTCTCTTAGACCATGTAAGTACTAACAGGCCTGGCCTTGCTTAGTTTCTGAGATCAAACAAGATCAGGCACATTCAGGGTGGCATGGTCATGGGCCTGCCCCTTCTTCTACCAGGGAGAACAAAGGTTAACCACAGATGACAATTTTAAACGTTACAGGCCTGGAGATGGCACCAGAGGTATCCCTACCAACACTCTTTATCAACTAGCCTTTGTCTGCCAGTTATTTGCCTTCCTAGAAGTTGCCTCCCTAGAGACTTCAAGTCCTGTTTGGTCTTGTCATTTCTCCAAAATGTACTGTTCTTTCTTGAAGACACTATATAAGCTGGAATTCAAAGCCACCTCTTTGAGAATTTCTCATTCCCTATGTATTAATATATCTCATTTATGTATGAAATATACATGTTAGTAAACTTCTGTTTTTCTCTTTTTAATTTGTCTTTTGATAAAGAGGACCATTCCAACTAAGAATGTATGAGTGTTAAAGAAAAAATTATTTTCCTTCCCAAAACTGTGAAGAGAGCTGTTACTGTGGTCTCGCCTAGAATAACAAAGGACAATTCAGAAAAGCTCAGGCCGCACTATAAATTGCTCTATTTATGCCCCCAAGAAACCAGTGCTACCTCTGTCCAGGCAAGATACTTTGGGAAGCAGCTGGAAGGTGTGCTGGCAGTTCTGCAGTGGCCGCTGGACTACGGGGCTTTGGTGCTTATGATGGCAGAGATGAAGGACATTCGAATAGATGCCCTATGTACAGGGAATGATCAGTGGTAAACAGAAGAGACCCAAGGGCCTTCTAATTCAGTGGTTCCCAACTGAAAGATTCTCCCCAGGGCCTGAAAGCTTAAGGGAATGAATAACTCCTCCCTCCTCAGGCCCAGTCCCAAGGCGCAAGACCCAGCAGCGTGCGTCAGCAAGATAGCAGAAGCAGGAAGAGAGGTGGCCGGAAGACACATACCCCCTGAAGATGGAGAGGGAGACTGTCCGGGTACTACGTAGCTGTCATGTCAGACTGGGACACTTCCTGTTTACAGAGGGCTATAAAACCCCTGCCCCGTCCTCACATGGGGCTGATGCCATTTTAGGCCTCGGCCTGTCTGCACCCAGGCGCTCATTAAAACAGGGTACTGCTCCACACTGCCTTGTGTTGTTTGTTGGCGTGCTCTCAGGGTTCGAACCGATACAAAGAGCCTCGCACCAACCTGATTGTGTACAATATTCTCCTGGTGAGCTGTATAAAGCCCAGGCCCCACCCTGGAGATCCTGATTGACTGGGTCAGGATGGACCTAAAAGCTTCCTGTTTGTTTAAAGCCCAGCCATGTTAAAGGACCACTGTTTTTACCCAAAAGCCCTAGTCTTAATTAATCAGAATTGCTGACTGTTTTATGATAGTCATGTATACCAGAAAACAGGCAATGTACGCCTGGTATCTTAGGGTCGAAGACTTTTCCCCTCTTCCTCCCAACCACATGAGAACACAAATGACAGAGTTTTTCCTTGGCAATAAATGAAAGCAACTTCTCAAGCAAGTCTTCCTAGATAAGATTATTAATGTGCTTTCTAATTTTAAAACTAAAGCAAAGTTAGAGTCATGAGCTCTTCTGATTAAAGGGAAATGGAAAGAGGAAGATCTCTGATACAACTGTTTCCAGAGTTTACTTAAAGAGGAGATAGATGATGTTTTCTTTTAAAAATATTAATGCTCAAGCCCATATTCACCTTACAAATAATTGAGTGTTGAGGACTATGCAGCCAAATGATGTGATGGCTTTGTTGGCACATAAAGAATTTGGGTTTAGTTGAATGACACAACAGGAGACATATTTTTAAACTATAGCCAATTCCATTGCCAATTTTGAATAACAAGCCAATTCTTTCTTACTAGTCAGGATGATTATTGTGTACAATATTCTCCGTCACGCTATTTGTCTTTGCAGAAAAATAAAGATATCTGAAACAAATATCTCTGTTTTTAGGAAAGGTAAAATTTTAGGAAAGAGTTTTTAGGAAGGTAAAATTCAATAAAAAAGGAATATAATACTCTTTAAAATTATAAATAATGTTCAGATCAGCTGCTGTTTCACATCTTCTGTGCTGTTACCAGATTAAGCAATTGGTGAATTAAAGAAATGATTTTGACTGACTGTTGATTTAAGAAAAACAGCTGTGACTTTAAGTTCAGAAGACTTGAGACCTTAGAAATCTTGAAGTTCGTTTCAAGTAAAATCCTTAGAAAAAGGCCTGCTGTATAACTAAACTGAGAAAAATACTTGCTTGAGTCTCTCTCTGGAGAACTCATTAAGAATTTCACTAAAAAATGAGTTCCTTAGAGAAGTAACCAAAAGTAGGCACAGAGAGGATCTGGTCAACACAAACAGGGACCATGAAATGAGAAAGCCTCTATGTAGGCAGAATGCGTTCTGCTTATCATTCTGGGAATTTATATCATTTGATCATTGTAAACACTGTATCTTTGACATTTCGTGAGAAAAGAATCACTCTGATCTATATTCAGAAATTATTCTGACCTTTCTAACATCTTTTCATTAGGAATGTCTATAATAAGGAAAGTTAAAGTAAAGTAAACCTGAGCTCTTTATAAGTACTCTGAGTTGAAGCATGCAGTTTCTTAAAAAGGCAGAAAAGCCATAAATAAACACAGAATAAGTATAAAAATCCATGTCATTCAAGCCCTGCAAAAACAGTAAGTATAATAAATCGTTCATGCATTTACTATCTTAGAGAGATTTTCTTTTTTTCATGAAATTATGTCTGTGAAAGGAAAATAAAAACTTGGGACCCCCAATTCACTCTGCCAAAGGGAAGAAGATTAAGCTGAAAGCTGAGTCACGCAAGAAGCTGCCTTTCCTTTTGCTCCTAAGCAGAGAGCTACAGATAAGAGGTTAAATATCTCCACAGGTAGTTACTCTATGTTCACCTTATTGTCTGTAAAGTGTTCATTTACTGAGCGTGAGATGAATACATAATTGACTATTCCCCTATCTATTTCTTTTCTCTTGCAACATGTGGATTCAGTAATGTGACCACCTTCTTCTTTCCCCTCCAGCCTGCCTTTTCCCTTTAAATATGAAGTCTCAATATTCTCATCTTCAGAGAAAGGCACAGACCTGTCTCCTAGGTGCATGCCCTTAACCTTGGCAAAATAAACTAAATTGACTGAGATCTGTTTCAGATACATTTTGCTTTACAAGCCAAAATCAAATTTCCATTCCAATAGCTTTTACTGATGGACACAACATCTTACTGATAGATTCTTTATATTCATTATAACTTTTAAAAATGAAAATGATCTAAAGCATCATTAAATACTATTTATTAATTAGATGACTCATTCAACTGTATTTTTTGAAGATCAGGTGCTTTTTTAACCTGGGAGCTACAAAGCTTAACTGATAGGAAAATGTTAATGCTTATGAGAACAGGTATATTATTTTCTGTTGAAGTCTATAGTTTATATACTTCTAAAAAGAAATCTTTGGTACTGAAAAAGTTAGGAACCATTGCTTTAGACATGTGAAATAAAAATCGCATATTGGATACCATACAAAGGGCTGATACAGAAACTGGTGAAATAAGGAAATGATTTTGATTTATTGTTAAGAAATGTGAAATACTTTTGTAAAATAAAAATTGCATATTGGGCACCATACAAAAGGATGATAAAGAAACTGGTGAATTAAGGAAATGATTCTGACTGACTGTTGATTTAAGAAAGATAGCCATGACTCCAAGTTCAGAAGACTTTAGAAATCCCAAAGTTCATTTCAAGTAAAATCCTTAGAGGTATACTATATAACTAAACAACCTGGAAAAAATACTTGCTTGAGTATTTTGAACATCAGTAGACTACAAGCTGTGTCTACTAGCAAAGTTTTATCTTTGGAAAAGGAACTAACAAGGACTGCATCAATGATAATTGCTTTGTTAATCTCGAATCGTCTTACAACATATTAATAAATGGCATGAAGGCAGGAATTTTTTGTTCCTGTTTTATTCAATGATGTGTTCCCAGTGTCCAAATGAGTGTATGGCCCTGAGAAGGACAGTAAGAATTGTTTGCTGAATAAATAAATGAATGAACGAATGAACATCAGCAATTCCACAAGAACAGTGTGAACTTCATAAAGCTCAACTGAAATAAAAAGAAGATGCAGTCTCTATTTAATTTGTAGTCCAAAAATCTCTACATGGAAATACTTAGGGAAAGATGCTACACATTTATCTGACAATTTTTATGTACTTTTTTTAGCATGACAGTGTTTGCAAATGATGTTTCCCCAGAGACAGGGCTGAGAGCACAGTTCTTATTAGCACAGTGTAACATGAAACAACTCTATAAACATTTTTGATGCACTCAACACTTTGAGTACTCTCTCTTCTTAATAAGCACATCCCCACTGCAGTGGAAAGATGATAGCAAAAATTAAGATAATAATAGCATGATCTCTTAATGCTTTGCCTCAACAACAATCTAAGACTTGTAAGCTTCCTCTAACTGCATCAATCCCAACCCTGTGTCAGGCGCACTACAAGGTGCTGAAAACATCTAGATGATGAGTGGGCAAAGTCTTATCTTTGGAAAAGGAACTAAGAAGAACTCATCATTAACAATTCCTTTGTTAATGTTGAACCATCTTACAACACAAATGGCGTTGAATACCAAAGAAGTCCTTGTGAGGTGGGTTGCTAAGTGTGACCATAGCTTATCCTGTAGGGAACTTAGGAAAACTAAATAATTCTGAATACCTTATGGGTAGCAGACATAGGGCAAAGGAAAAAAGACAGAGATGACCCGAATCCTAGTGAAAAGAACATCAATCTGGTTATCTTTTAAAACACAGGCATAGGTGTAAGAGGACCTTCTGGTCACTTTCTAAAATCCTGCACTATTTAAGTAAAAAGAGACAAGTAGCTTGAATAATCACAGCTTAGAGTGAAAGGGAAAGAGAAAGTCAGTTCTGAGTTCACACTGACTCTATGAGTTTTTGGTTTTCTGCAACTTGGAATTTCGGGCCACCTATTATTATAATAACACATTATAATGATGCAGTAATTTACAACTTCGAAAACAACTAGAATTGTATGGCTCTTAAAAAGCTACAGAGAAAAAAGTGAATCAGTTCTACCCTGGGTGCTCTCAGTATGAATAAAGCATTTCTTTGCTTGTTGTGTATTAATTTAGATCCTCCTCCTTGCTCATTTCATATTTAAAACTCTCCCATTATTGACATAACAACATCTCTAAAGCAATTATTTGTGATTTTCTTTTTTATGTGACACAGAATTGTGACCAAAGGGGGAGTAAACCGCAAATCTGATTAACTCTGAAGTGACAACACTCCCACATTTCATGCACCTGCTGGAACAATCAAATGATGGAGAAGAGGGAGGGCAGAAAGCAGGAGTGCCTTTCAACAGGAGGCCCGAGGGAAGGTCGCTGTGGGTCACTGACAGGCAGGCAGACACCCACAGAGAAATCTGTGCCAGCATGTCTAGACATGGCAGGAAATGCTCTGGGCCATATGGAATAGATGATATTGCCACAATCCAAGGAGGGTGTCTGAATGCCGTCTCCATCTATTTTTGTTCTCAAACAAAGTTGTACTCCCTGCACGTCTGGCCGGTCAGACATTTTCCCTACATTACTGCTCTGCTTTGGAGACGTCACATTTTTGAGCTGATTTTATAACATGAAGCTACAAAAAGGGATCTATGCCCATGATTGATGTTCAAAACAATATATGCTCCTAATTTATATAACAATATAGATGCTGAACTTCTGCGATCATGCTATACATTTTAAATGATGTATGAGACGAGAAATACTAGCACAGTGCAGGGAGTGAAAAAGCCATATCTGCTCTCTTAACTATGTTATGCACTAGCATACATACACAAAAATATTAGCATTTTTTACTAGTCTGGGCCAAATAACAATTCTCCCTAACAGTTCTTTCTGTAAGCTCTTGAAAAATTTTCCTAACAACTCAGTCTTTTCAAAAGAAGCATAATTCTTTCATTTCCTTTTAAAATTGAAAAGGCTATTAGATTGTATCAGCCTCACCCATTGGAAGCTATGATGGTAACTTCTTAGATTTTCCTTGTGACACAGAATTCTCAATTTTCTCATTCTTTTCCACCTATGATGTTTCAGTCTCCAAACTTACCACCTGCTTCTGATCCCTATTTGCTAAGCACATCCAGCAAAAGCTAACCTGGGAGTCTGGATGCACTAGCAATTTCAGACGTCTCCCATTGGTGCGGCCATCACTGCACTCAGCAATTCTATGAGCCCTCACTCACTCCCTATTACACTTTTCTTTTTTACACTTAATTATTTATATATTTTTAACATTTTACTTATTTATTTATTTAGAATTGATAAATAAATGGCCTGGGTGCAGTGGCTCACGCCTGTTATCCTAGCACTTTCGGAGGCTGAGGTGGGAGGATCACGAGGTCAGGAGATGGAGACAATCCTGGCTAACACAGTGAAACCCCGTCTCTACTAAAAATACAAAAAATTAGCAGGGCGTGGTGGCATATGCCGGTAGTCCCAGCTACTTGGAGGCTGAGGCAGGAGAATCGCTTGAACCCGGGAGGCAGAGGTTGCAGTGAGCCGAGATCGCGCCACTGCACTCCAGCCTGGGCAACAGAGCGAGGCTCTGTCTTAAAAAAAAAAAAAAGAAAAGAAAAAAGAATTTATAAATAAAAATTGTATATATTTATCAATTCTAAATAAAACATGTTGTTTTGAAATACGTATACATTGTGGAATGGATAAATCAAGCTAACCTACCATGAGGTAAAACACGTGCTTTACCTCATGTGCTTTTTTTTTTTTTTTTTTTTTTTTGGTGATGAAAACACTTAAAATCTACTCTCTTAGCAATGTGCAAGTATATAATACATTGCTATTAACCATAACCACCATGTTGTACAATAGCTGTCTTGGACTTATTCCTCCTAACTGAAATTTTGTATCCTTCTTTTCCAAAATTCCCTCCCCTAATCCCTAGTAATCCCCCTTCTTCTCTCCACTATGAGTTCAACTTTTTTACACTCCACATGCAGTGAGATCATGCACTCTTTGTCTCTCTGTGCCTGGCTTATTTCACTTAACATAATGTCCTCCAGGTACATCCATGTTGTCCAAAATGACAGAGTTTCCTTCTTTTTAAGGCTGAATAGTATTCCAAAGTGTATATATACCACATTTTCTTTATCCATTCATCTGTTGATGGACACTTATGTTGACTCCATATCTTAGCTATTGTCAATAGTGCTGCAGTCAACATGGAAGTGCAGATATCTCTTGCACACACTGGTTTCATTTCTTTAGATGCATGCACGGGGGTTGGATTGCTGGATCCCTATCACACGTTTGCTCCACGTCTGCTTGCCTTCCTCCTACAACTCACTTTCAGTCCTCAGCTCCCTCTGTCCTCTCTTTTGCTCTCCAATGGCAGCTGATCTTGTTTCCCCCTTTACTTAAAAAAGATCAAGGCCACAAACCCAAAGTCTCTTGATTCCATCTCAGCATTTTACACCCATTTCACTTCCTTCATCTTCCGCATTAATAAAAGAAGTGTCCTTCCTCTTTTTCAAAGTAGATTCCTTCACTTGTGTCTGGATCCCTTCTGCCGTTGCTTCAGGATTCAACTTTAAACCTCTACAAACACTCAAAGGGTCTCGGACAGCTGGCACACAACACTTCACTTACTCTTACCATGCTTTCATAGTGAGTGAATGAACTAGTGAATGGGTAGAGGTGATGTGCATTCTTACAACTGGAATTCCCTCACCTTTGGGAGGATAAACCTATACTTATTTAGAATTTCCAGGAAGGTGGCACTGATTTTGCCTGTAAGGCAAAAATCCTTTAAGGATTTAAGCATACAAGGTATTTTCTCTCACAGAATCTTTATTAATCTTCTAAAAGCTGCCTATTTTAAGTCTGAATCAAGGCTCGTGCTTCAAGGGGAATATTATTATAACGTATGTGTGATATAACACTCAATGTCCTAGACCATTAAGAAAACATTCCTCTTAAGTTTTGTCAAGTACATTATGAAAAACGTAACTGTCAGTTCATGTAACGAGTATTTTTATTCTAGGCAGAATGGAATTCAGACCATCATCTATGGGGCTAGTGACTAAACCAATCCAATGTTCTTTAAAGACATTGGAAAAAAATGTCTTTTCTCATTGCTTTATGGCCTACATACAGTATGAAAACATTAATAAATTTTAAGCAGGTAATTCATTAACTATATATACTATATGCTAGAAGTTCAACCAAGAGCTCATATACCTATCACAGGGAATTCATAACCAAGAAATTTTGTCATATTTTCTTCACATATTTTGTCATATTTTCTCCTTTTTGCTTTTTCTTTCTCTTTGTTCTTCCATTGCGGAAGTATTTTAAAGCAAATCACACCTCTGATTCCATTTTACCTTTTACTAGTAGGTCTCTCTAAATATTACATAACTATAATACCATATACCTAAAAAAATAAACAGTTGCTTGGAACATATTTCTTTAAGGCTTCAAGAGCAATCAACACATATTATTTCTGGTTAGGTTAGGTGTATTTCCTGTACTGGTTTTTAAAAATAATCATTCTAATAACTAAGATTTACTGACCAATTATCAGGTAGAAAGTATTACACTAAATTTAATCCTCCAATAACCCCATGGGGAAAGTACTATTATTATCTCTACTTATCAGACAAGTTAACAGCCTTGAGAGACATGAATTAACTTCCCAAAACTGATGTAGCTACTAAATGACAAAGCCAGGACTTGAACTCTTGCCAGCTGACTCCAGAATCTGGCCACTTCGATTACCGTGCGGTACACAAGACACACAAAGGTATGTGTCTTGGGGGTGAAGAGATATCCAGATGTATTTCGGAATTCAGTATGAATCCATATTTCCATATTTAAAAAAATCTTTACCTCACCAATTGCATTCATTACTTTCTTTTTCTTAAATGATAGAATGGAATGATATATCAAATAGAAGGTAATTGTAGGCAATACAAAATTTATATGGAAATGAAGTATTTCAAGAAAAATGGAGTTTAATGAAGTGATGTTAGGAAAAATACCTAGAAAAGTATGTGAATAAGTTACAAGCAGACAGGAAACCTCATCTGTACTTAATTAAGACTTTTTGTATTTAATCATCGGGATAACACTTTTTCCAGAAGTACTACCCTGGTGCTATTTTCTCAAATAAAGGCCCACGCCAGCAGCTCACATGCATGAGCAGCCCTATGCCAGCTGAGTACCAACTGGTGGTACTCAGGTCATATGAAATATATTCTCTGATGAGAATGCAATACGTTAATAGATTAGTCCCAAGACAAATTTACAACTTTAACCGATGAAGCCCTAGAGTACATCAGTAAACAAAGTAATGAAAAGTTATAAGGGAGGTAGTCAACCAGTAAACAGCTTTGTTTTCACTGGTCCATAAAAATTTACTGTCTAGGAGGAGGAGCCAAGATGGCCGAATAGGAACAGCTCCGGACTACAGCTCCCAGCGTGAGCGACGCAGAAGACAGGTGATTTCTGCATTTCCATCTGAGGTACCGGGTTCATCTCACTAGGGAGTGCCAGACAGTGGGCGCAGGCCAGTGTGTGTGCGCACCGTGCGCGAGCCTAAGCAGGGCGAGGCATTGCCTCACCTGGGAAGCGCAAGGGGTCAGGGAGTTCCCTTTCTGAGTCAAAGAAAGGGGTGACTGACGCACCTGGAAAATCGGGTCACTCCCACCCGAATATTGCGCTTTTCAGACCGGCTTAAGAAACGGCGCACCACGAGACTATATCCCACACCTGGCTCAGAGGGTCCTACGCCCACGGAATCTCGCTGATTGCTAGCACAGCAGTCTGAGATCAAACTGCAAGGCGGCAACGAGGCTGGGGGAGGGGCACCCGCCATTGCCCAGGCTTGCTTAGGTAAACAAAGCAGCCGGGAAGCTCGAACTGGGTGGAGCCCACCACAGCTCAAGGAGGCCTGCCTGCCTCTGTAGGCTCCACCTCTGGGGGCAGGGCACAGACAAACAAAAAGACAGCAGTAACCTCTGCAGACTTAAGTGTCCCTGTCTGACAGCTTTGAAGAGAGCAGTGGTTCTCCCAGCACGCAGCTGGAGATCTGAGAACCGGCAGACTGCCTCCTCAAGTGGGTCCCTGACCCCTGACCCCCGAGCAGCCTAACTGGGAGGCACCCCCCAGCAGGGGCACACTGACACCTCACACGGCAGGGTATTCCAACAGACCTGCAGCTGAGGGTCCTGTCTGTTAGAAGGAAAACTAACAACCAGAAAGGACATCTACACCGAAAACCCATCTGTACATCACCATCATCAAAGACCAAAAGTAGATAAAACCACAAAGATGGGGAAAAAAACAGAACAGAAAAACTGGAAACTCTAAAACGCAGAGCGCCTCTCCTCCTCCAAAGGAAAGCAGTTCCTCACCAGCAACAGAACAAAGCTGGATGGAGAATGATTTTGACGAGCTGAGAGAAGGCTTCAGACGATCAAATTACTCTGAGCTACGGGAGGACATTCAAACCAAAGGCAAAGAAGTTGAAAACTTTGAAAAAAATTTAGAAGAATGTATAACTAGAATAACCAATACAGAGAAGTGCTTAAAGGAGCTGATGGAGCTGAAAACCAAGGCTCGAGAACTACGTGAAGAATGCAGAAGCCTCAGGAGCCGATGCGATCAACTGGAAGAAAGGGTATCAGCAATGGAAGATGAAATGAATGAAATGAAGTGAGAAGGGAAGTTTAGAGAAAAAAGAATAAAAAGAAATGAGCAAAGCCTCCAAGAAATATGGGACTATGTGAAAAGACCAAATCTACATCTGATTGGTGTACCTGAAAGTGATGGGGAGAATGGAACCAAGTTGGAAAACACTCTGCAGGATATTATCAAGGAGAACTTCCCCAATCTAGCAAGGCAGGCCAACGTTCAGATTCAGGAAATACAGAGAACGCCACAAAGATACTCCTCGAGAAGAGCAACTCCAAGACACATAATTGTCAGATTCACCAAAGTTGAAATGAAGGAAAAAATGTTAAGGGCAGCCAGAGAGAAAGGTCGGGTTACCCTCAAAGGAAAGCCCATCAGACTAACAGCGGATCTCTCGGCAGAAACCCTACAAGCCAGAAGAGAGTGGGGGCCAATATTCAACGTTCTTAAAGAAAAGAATTTTCAACCCAGAATTTCATATCCAGCCAAACTAAGCTTCATAAGTGAAGGAGAAATAAAATACTTTATAGACAAGCAAATGCTGAGAGATTTTGTCACCACCAGGCCTGCCCTAAAAGAGCTCCTGAAGGAAGCGCTAAACATGGAAAGGAACAACCGGTACCAGCCGCTGCAAAATCATGCCAAACTGTAAAGACCATCAAGACTAGGAAGAAACTGCATCAACTAATGAGCAAAATCACCAGCTAACATCATAATGACAGGATCAAATTCACACATAACAATATTAACTTTAAATATAAATGGACTAAATTCTGCAATTAAAAGACACAGACTGGCAAGTTGGATAAAGAGTCAAGACCCATCAGTGTGCTGTATTCAGGAAACCCATCTCACGTGCAGAGACACACATAGGCTCAAAATAAAAGGATGGAGGAAGATCTACCAAGCCAATGGAAAACAAAAAAAGGCAGGGGTTGCAATCCTAGTCTCGGATAAAACAGACTTTAAACCAACAAAGATCAAAAGAGACAAAGAAGGCCATTACATAATGGTAAAGGGATCAATTCAACAAGAGGAGCTAACTATCCTAAATATTTATGCACCCAATACAGGAGCACCCAGATTCATAAAGCAAGTCTTCAGTGACCTACAAAGAGACTTAGACTCCCACACATTAATAATGGGAGACTTTAACACCCCACTGTCAACATTAGACAGATCAACAAGACAGAAAGTCAACAAGGATACCCAGGAATTGAACTCAGCTCTGCACCAAGCAGACCTAATAGACATCTACAGAACTCTCCACCCCAAATCAACAGAATATACATTTTTTTCAGCACCACACCACACCTATTCCAAAATTGACCACATAGTTGGAAGTAAAGCTCTCCTCAGCAAATGTAAAAGAACAGAAATTATAACAAACTATCTCTCAGACCACAGTGCAATCAAACTAGAACTCAGGATTAAGAATCTCACTCAAAGCCGCTCAACTACATGGAAACTGAACAACCTGCTCCTGAATGACTACTGGGTACATAACGAAATGAAGGCAGAAATAAAGATGTTCTTTGAAACCAACGAGAACAAAGACACCACATACCAGAATCTCTGGGACGCATTCAAAGCAGTGTGTAGAGGGAAATTTATAGCACTAAATGACCACAAGAGAAAGCAGGAAAGATCCAAAATTGACACCCTAACATCACAATTAAAAGAACTAGAAAAGCAAGAGCAAACACATTCAAAAGCTAGCAGAAGGCAAGAAATAACTAAAATCAGAGCAGAACTCAAGGAAATAGAGACACAAAAAACCCTTCAAAAAATCAATGAATCCAGGAGCTGGTTTTTTGAAAGGATCAACAAAATTGATAGACCGCTAGCAAGACTAATAAAGAAAAAAAGAGAGAAGAATCAAATAGACACAATAAAAAATGATAAAGGGGATATCACCACCGATCCCACAGAAATACAAACTACCATCAGAGAATACTACAAACACCTCTACGCAAATAAACTAGAAAATCTAGAAGAAATGGATACATTCCTCGACACATACACTCTCCCAAGACTAAACCAGGAAGAAGTTGAATCTCTGAATAGACCAATAACAGGCTCTGAAATTGTGGCAATAATCAATAGTTTACCAACCAAAAAGAGTCCAGGACCAGATGGATTCACAGCCGAATTCTACCAGAGGTACAAGGAGGAACTGGTACCATTCCTTCTGAAACTATTCCAATCAATAGAAAAAGAGGGAATCCTCCCTAACTCATTTTATGAGGCCAGCATCATTCTGATACCAAAGCCGGGCAGAGACACAACCAAAAAAGAGAATTTTAGACCAATATCCTTGATGAACATTGATGCAAAAATCCTCAATAAAATACTGGCAAACCGAATCCAGCAGCACATCAAAAAGCTTATCCACCATGATCAAGTGGGCTTCATCCCTGGGATGCAAGGCTGGTTCAATATACGCAAATCAATAAATGTAATCCAGCATATAAACAGAGCCAAAGACAAAAACCACATGATTATCTCAATAGATGCAGAAAAAACCTTTGACAAATTTCAACAACCCTTCATGCTAAAAACTCTCAATAAATTAGGTATTGATGGGACGTATTTCAAAATAATAAGAGCTATCTATGACAAACCCACAGCCAATATCATACTGAATGGGCAAAAACTGGAAGCATTCCCTTTGAAAACTGGCACAAGACAGGGATGCCCTCTCTCACCACTCCTATTCAACATAGTGTTGGAAGTTCTGGCCAGGGCAATCAGGCAGGAGAAGGAAATAAAGGGTATTCAATTAGGAAAAGAGGAAGTCAAATTGTCCCTGTTTGCAGACGACATGATTGTTTATCTAGAAAACCCCATCGTCTCAGCCCAAAATCTCCTTAAACTGATAAGCAACTTCAGCAAAGTCTCAGGATACAAAATCAATGTACAAAAATCACAAGCATTCTTATACACCAACAACAGACAAACAGAGAGCCAAATCATGGGTGAACTCCCATTCACAATTGCTTCAAAGAGAATAAAATACCTAGGAATCCAACTTACAAGGGATGTGAAGGACCTCTTCAAGGAGAACTACAAACCACTGCTCAAGGAAATAAAAGAGGACACAAACAAATGGAAGAACATTCCATGCTCATGGGTAGGAAGAATCAATATCGTGAAAATGGCCATACTGCCCAAGGTAATTTACAGATTCAATGCCATCCCCATCAAGCTACCAATGACTTTCTTCACAGAATTGGAAAAAACTACTTTAAAGTTCATATGGAACCAAAAAAGAGCCCGCATTGCCAAGTCAATCCTAAGCCAAAAGAACAAAGCTGGAGGCATCACACTACCTGACTTCAAACTATACTACAAGGCTACAGTAACCAAAACAGCATGGTACTGGTACCAAAACAGAGATATAGATCAATGGAACAGAACAGAGCCCTCAGAAATAATGCCGCATATCTACAACTATCTGATCTTTGACAAACCTGAGAAAAACAAGCAATGGGGAAAGGATTCCCTATTTAATAAATGGTGCTGGGAAAACTGGCTAGCCATATGTAGAAAGCTGAAACTGGATCCCTTCCTTACACCTTATACAAAAATCAATTCAAGATGGATTAAAGATTTAAACGTTAGACCTAAAACCATAAAAACCCTAGAAGAAAACCTAGGCATTACCATTCAGGACATAGGCGTGGGCAAGGACTTCATGTCCAAAACACCAAAAGCAATGGCAACAAAAGCCAAAATTGACAAATGGGATCTAATTAAACTAAAGAGCTTCTGCACAGCAAAAGAAACTACCATCAGAGTGAACAGGCAACCTACAACATGGGAGAAAATTTTCGTAACCTACTCATCTGACAAAGGGCTAATATCCAGAATCTACAATGAACTCAAACAAATTTACAACAAAAAAACAAACAACCCCATCAAAAAGTGGGCGAAGGACATGAACAGACACTTCTCAAAAGAAGACATTTATGCAGCCAAAAAACACATGAAGAAATGCTCATCATCACTGGCCATCAGAGAAATGCAAATCAAAACCACTATGAGATATCATCTCACACCAGTTAGAAAGGCAATCATTAAAAAGTCAGGAAACAACAGGTGCTGGAGAGGATGTGGAGAAATAGGAACACTTTTACACTGTTGGTGGGACTGTAAACTAGTTCAACCATTGTGGAAGTCAGTGTGGCGATTCCTCAGGGATCTAGAACTAGAAATGCCATTTGACCCAGCCATCGCATTACTGGGTATATACCCAAAGGACTATAAATCATGCTGCTATAAAGACACATGCACACGTATGTTTATTGCGGCACTATTCACAATAGCAAAGACTTGGAACCAACCCAAATGTCCAACAATGATAGACTGGATTAAGAAAATGTGGCACATATACACCATGGAATACTATGCAGCCATAAAAAATGATGAGTTCATATCCTTTGTAGGGACATGGATGAAATTGGAAACCATCATTCTCAGTAAACTATCGCAAGAACAAAAAACCAAACACCGCATATTCTCACTCATAGGTGGGAATTGAACAATGAGATCACATGGACACAGGAAGGGGAATATCACACTCTGGGGACTGTGGTGGGGTCGGGGGAGGGGGGAGGGATAGCATTGGGAGATATACCTAATGCTAGATGACACATTAGTGGGTGCAGCGCACCAGCATGGCACATGTATACATATGTAACTAACCTGCACAATGTGCACATGTACCCTAAAACTTAGAGTATAATAAAAAAAAAAAAAATTCACACAGCTGTACAAACAAATAATGACTGAAAAAAAAAAAGAATGTTTTCTATTCTTATGGCTCCAGCTTCCAATTCTGTATGAAAGATTTCTAAATCTACATTTTCTGTTGTGGCTTCTGAATGCTCATTCTGTGATTCCAGTTGCCACCAGATATCTCCTTTGCATCTACAAAATTTACTAAAAAATAAACTCATTTTTTCTATTAAAAAAACAAAAAAACAAAAAAACAGTGATTTGACTCCTGTCACATATGTCTGAAGAGCAAAGGGCTACATTGAAAGAAACTGTCTAGAGACTAAGTGTTTCAAATTCTCTTGAAAATTCAAACAATCCTGCAAAGGACAGGCATGGTAGAAAAAGAAATCTCAGGTGAATAGGTTCTGGAGAGTCTATTAGTTTGTAGAAGAAAAAGATGCCAAATGTGAAATAAAAACCATTAGTTGAACCAGAAAAAAAAAAAAAAATTTACTGTCTATTGTAGATTAATTGACATATGCCAAAACAGGAGAGGTAAGAATTAATATACACATCCGTAGCTGCACAACCTATGGAAAGCATAAACAAATACCATGACTCTATCACCATGTAGTACAGAAGCCAATTTTAAATGCAAGCTAAAGGAGACACAGTAGCAAATAATGCTAAGTAGTTTGCTTGTATGTAACAAAAACTCATATGCCCAATCCTACACCTCAGTTTATGCATGTCCACATTCTTCTGTCTCTTCCTTTCTCTGGCCCATGGCTAATCTCCTCACCAGCAAACTCAAATCTGTTTCCTGATGCCTCCTAAGGGACCTTGGACGATCAGTGATTTCCCCTCTCCCTCATTACTGGATCTTTCCTGTCAATTCTTAAGGAGGTCAAGTCCCTCCCACTCTAGTTTCCTAAAACTACAAACCCTCGACAGACCCCTTATGACACACTGGTGAGTAAAAATAGGTTGATGAAGAATATAGAATCTTATAGATACTGTACATGATGAGTATGAGTGTAGAGCAGTGATTTAGAATACAGATTCCTACATAAACTGCCATGTTAGAATACCAGCTCCACCACATGTGAGCTGTATGACCTTGGGCAAGTTATTAAAAAAAAAGAAAAAAAAACTCTCCGTGCCTCAGTTTCCCCATCTATAAAAATGTGGATATTAGTAGTATCCACTGTATAGAGTGTTACAAGGGCTGATTAAATTAATATTTCTTAAAGAGCTTAGAATGGTGCCTGGAATATAATAAGCATTACATAAGTGTTAAATGAATGTAATAAAATTACAGATGATTTGCAGAGAAATGATTCCCTCCCTTTCCCAGTAATACCCTTGAGGGCTGGAGAAGCCATAAACTTTCAACCAGATAAATATGCTCTAAGAACAATTGGCTCATGTAAAAACCTGGAAAACTCGTTTTATAAAACTAATAATTATCTTTTATAGAGAGAAATTGTGTCAAGACTGTATACACCTCAAATAAAAGTATGTGATTTTTGCCTCTCCAATGTGGCTGTGCCTTCAGGAGACGCTGGGCTGGTGATGTGACATAAACAAGTGAGGAAGGTAAACTGGAAAAGAGGCCTGGAGTAGGTGTGTTTAAGCAGGATGCCGTGGGAATGGGCCTCAATCTTTAGTCACTGTGAGAGGTGCCCAAAACACACTTTGCAGGCTTAACATACTGGGCCACCTTCAGGGATATTCAGTAATTGTTTAGAAACAAAAGTAATGGGCTTTCTAAATATGGTCCAGCTTCAATGACAAGTTCTTATCAGGAAATGTACTCTTCCTGGTACTAAGGAGATACTACATGCTTCATAATTCTACTGAGTGAACGAGAAAGGGAGTACTTTTACATGCTGGCTCCTTCTGTATTGGACACATCTAAGTACTTAATCTAAGATTTTGATCACTAGCATAAAGTAAGAATTGATGCCACTTTGCTATTTTGTTTTTTGAGGAGATTATTTTTATGTACAAAAAAACTAACAGGGCACATTTAACCCAGTCTAGTGGTGGGTTCTTTAGCCTTTGCCTTTTCCAGCTTGGGAATGTGAGCCAAAGATTTTAGACTCAGGAAATTGCCTCCTCAGTGATGTTAGATGTCATCGTATCTATTGTTGTAATTGGTCCTGATAGCTTCCACTGGCTTAACCAAAGCTCTTTTGTCTTCCAAGCTAACCTGTGTGAAAGCGACAGTGGTGCAGGTCTTCCTGTGGACTAGACATTCTAGTCTTGCCTTCCCCTTGATAATGCAGTGAGGGATCCTCATTTTATGACGCAGGGCAGGCAGGAAGACGATTAGTTCAATGGGATCCATGTCATGTGCAGTTACCATCAGTTGAGCCTTCTTATTCTCCACCAAGGTGGTGATAGTGTTAATCCTGCTCAAAGAACAGGTAGTCTCTTAGTGGACACATCCCCTTTGCCACAGCTTTCTTCTCAGCCTGGGCCAACAGCCTCTTCTCTTGCTTTGTCTCTGGTCTGTACTTGTGGGCCAGCTTATGCAGCTGAGTAGCTGTTTGGTGGTCCAAGGCCTGAATGAACGGGTCAATCGCAGGAGGCACTTTCAGCCACTTACGGGGGATGGCTCTTTGCCACAGCAACCTGATATAGCGGGGCCATTTCACAAAGCCAGGGAGGTCCCTTTTGGGCTGGATGTACTGTCTAATGCCAACATTCTTAGGCCTTTTCTCAAACGGGATTTATCACTTTCTTGGCCTCCTGCTTTTTCAAGACAGCAGGGGTGAGGGCCACCTTCTTCCTCTTGGCCTTCTTTCCTTTCCATTTCACGGGTAGCTGGAGGAGCCACTTTGCTATTCTTGAAGTATTTTGAGAAGGACTCAATTTAAAACCCAACTTCTATAGCATAGACAATTTCTGAGGCCCTATATCAGTTTCAGTATTACCATTATCAAGAATTCATAACAATTTATTATTAAGACTTTCAGTCTCTAAAGCTCCAATTCTGGCCAATAAAATCCTGTTTAACTATGGAAACTTTCAGACAAATACTGAAGTGCTTAGGCAGTGATTCTGATGCGACTGCTGGTGGTGTGGTTCAGAGGGCAGGCCTTGGGCCAGAGCACGGGGTCTGCAGCTCTACTCTGCCTTTTGCCACTTAGAGAAGCTTGGTCACCTTCTCTAGCCTCTCGGTGTCTTGGCTTCCTCATCTGTAAAATTGGTGCTAATAATATATTTAAAGCACTTAGAACAGAGTATGGCAGATGGTTAGTGCTCAATAAATACTGGCTGTTTGCTTCTTAAAGGAGGAATTTTTTTTTTAAAGTACTAACCACTTATCTGTCTTATGTGAGGAATAAACACCCTGTTTCCTAATCCGTCCTCTACAGGTTTTGCACATGTTGGTCCCTCCACCTGTACCTGGACAAGGTAACGTTCTGTGATCAATGGCCAGACTGAAGCCATAAAGATTATGTAGACTACATTCTACCCTTTTTTACGTTTTTTAGCATTTATTATGGAAGTTTTTAAATATAAACAAAATTTCCAGTGAACATATATATACATACTACCTAGATTCTATCATTAACACTTATCATATGTTTTATCACATCTCTAGTTCTCTGTCCTTCTATCTTTAATTTTTTTTTTAATTTTTTACATGAAGAAGTTCTTTAGTAGTGATTTCTGAGATTTTGGTGCACCCATCACCTGAGCAGTGTACACTGTACCCAATGTGTAGTCTTTTATCTCTAATCACCCTCCCACCCTTTCCCTGGAGTTCATAAAGTCTATCGTATCATTCCTATGCCTTTACATCCTTATAGCTTAGCTCCAACTTATGAGTGAGAACATACAATGTTTGGTTTTCCATTCCTGAGTTTCTTCACTTAGAATAATGGTCTCTAATTTCATCCAGGTTGCTGCAAAAGCCATTATTTCATTCCTTTATATGGCTGACTAGTATTCCATGGCATATATATATATATATATATATATATATATAATATTTTCTTTATCCACTCATTGATTGATGGGCATTTGGGCTGGATCCATATTATTGCAATTGCAAATTGTGCTGTTAAAAACATGAGTGTGCAAGTATCTTTTTCGTATACTGACTTCTTTTCCTCTGGCATTTTACTTTTTGTAAATTATAGCACTAACCCTCCTATTTAATAACACAAGCATTCACTTAACTATACCATCTTTTGTCCACTGATTTTAAACGTTTGCAATTAGACTTTGAACTCTCAAGAAGAAATAAACCAAATGACACATAAGTTGCAGGAATTTAAGAGGAAGAGGGAAGCTAGAGCTGAAATTTACTTATAAGACTTATCTGCAACATATGGACTTTATTTGGATCTCAATTTGAACAATTTGTAAAACAATGTTTATGAGTCAATGGGGGAATCTGAATCCAATGGCAAATGAATATTTGATGATGTTAAAGGAATATTAATTTTTTAGATGATAATTCCTTTAGAGTTCCTTTTTTTTTTTTTACATTTGAAAATGTTATGAGGTCAGGAATTTGCTTCAAAATAATCTGGGGGTAAACACAAAAATTGGAAAGGAATGTGGTTAAAACAAGATCAAACTTTTGTTGATAGTTGTTGAAGCTGGTGGAGGGTACATAAGGGTTCCTTACAATAGTCTACTTCTATATATGTTGGAAATTTTTCTAAAATAAAAAGTTTAAAAGAAATACAAAATTTTAAAACACTCACAAATAAGAAGAAATATAACAATGCCTTAAAATCACACCTCACATTCACAGTACTTTTTTCTGAGAAGATGCGGACATTTGATACTCATTACCTACACCAGGTGGGATGAAGGCAGCAAGAACTGTTAGGAGTTCCAAGATGAAAGAAAAAAATAGAAGGAAGTAAAGGGGTCAGGGCTGCAGAGTCACCATCAACTGCAGAGACAAGAGCCAAGCCCAGTCTTCAGATCTGTGCATCCTAAGGCCTCTTCATGCAGGGACGGTGAACTGCCCTGTGTTCCCGGCAGTTTGAACCAAACTGACTCATTACAAGGTTTTGAACACTTCCTAAAAGAAAACAATCACTGTGTGGCCTAAGGCCTCAGAAACACCAAGAAGATAAATCTGAGGCTGTTCCAAACATCTAGTAAGCATATATTGTGATACTTATTCATTTTTTTGCCAATCACCTTTATGGTGATTGTGAGTTTGAGAGGTGAGAGCCACAGATAACCAAATGCATTGAGGAGAAGCAGTGGGAAGGGACTGACTTGATTTCTCCGAGGATCATTACAGATCAGGTGGCATATTGAAGAGGGATGTGTGTGTGTGTGTGTGTGTGTGTGTGTGTGTGTGTGTGTGTGTGTGTGTGTATGATGGGGGTTGCAGAGAGAGGAGGAGGAAGGAAAAGGGATGGGGAGGAGGGTGACAAAAGGGGAGGGTGAAGGCAGAAGTGAGAGGGAAAAGTGGAGGGAGAGACCAGGGGGAAGTAGGCAGGCATGGCAGCCCAGCCACATTACAGACCAGGAAAACTACACAGCTCCTGGCTTGAACTTGGGGAACACAAACACAACATTTTGGCAGACCCTGTACCCGGGTTATTATCTTACTTTTGCTAAGGATATAGGAATAAAATAAGGAGCACTCTGAAGATCAATACCTATTTAGAATGTTTGAGAAAATTTGAAAATGTTTATAATGAGATGATATTTAGAGACAACCTAATATTAATCCCAAATTAGTACAATCCTATGATAATGCGAAGTGGCAAAGGGGAGTTTGTATTCCACAAAAACTTTAGCTTAACAGGCGACCAGGCACAGTGGCTCATGCCTATAATCCCCAGCACTTTGGGAGGCCAAGGCGGGGGGATCACTTGAGGCCAGGAGTTCAAGACCAGCCCGGCCAACATGGCGAAACCCCGTCTCTACTAAAAATACAAAAATTAGCTGGGCGTGGTGGCGGGTGTCTGTAATCCCAGCTAATTGGGAGGCTGAGGCACAAGAATCACTTGAACCCAGAAGGTGGAGGTTGCAGTGGGCCGAGAATGTGCCACTGAGTTCCAGCCTGGGTGACAGAGCAAGACTCTGTCTCAAACAAAAACGAACAAAAAAAACTTTAGTTTAACAGAAATGAGCAAAAGAATAACTTCAGTTCTTCCTTTTACATTCCATATAGTTTATAAAGCATATTAAAGAGATCACATATTATACAGACAATGTTATAAAGATTTTGTAATCTAAACTACCCGTAAACCAGACACACTCCGACATATAAACAAATATTATCTCTAAATAATCTTTCACATTTCTAAAGTCTAACTTGGATCAGTTTTTCACGCCTTTTACTTCCCTTTTTAGTAGTGCTGATTTGTAAAGAGGCAAAGTTCTTTTAACACACTGATTCAATTCCTCTAACAGTGTAGAAAGTAGATTCTAAAACTGTATTACCACTGTTATTTCCACACCTCATAAATTTTGTCCCTGGTGCACAAAAACACCACCTTCTAAATTCTATGGACATAGTCCACTGTCAAGAAATAAAAAGTACACTTACTAGTAGATAACGACTAAGATATAAGTTAATTCAACAAAGATTTTATGCCTGTAACTGCATTAAAAATAAACTTCACACATATTCCCTAGAAAAAGAAAACTATTTTACCAGAAAAGAATTACTCCAAGATTATTTTCTGTTTATAAAATAATAGGCCAGGCGCAGTGACTCACGCCTGTAATCCCAGCATTTTGGGAGGCCAAGGCAGGCGGATCATCTGAGGTCAGGAGTTCGAGACCAGCCTGGCCAACATGGTGAAACCGCATCTCTACTAAAAATACAAAAATTAGCTGGGCAAGCTACTCAGGAAGCTGAGGAAGGAGAATCACTTGAACCCAGGAGGTGGAGGTTACAGTGAGCCAAGACCACACCACTGCACTCCAGCCTGGGTGACAGAGCAAGACTCCATCTCAAAAAAAAAAAAAAAAAAAAAATATATATATATATATACACACACACACACGCACACACGCACATATGTGTGTGTGTGTGTGCGTGTGTGTGTATATATATGTGTATATATATGTGTATGTGTGTCTATTATATATATATATATATATATATATATATATATATATATATATATATATGAGACTCGGTATTGCCTAAAATTGTTAGTGTTTATTGAAAAGTATTTTTTTAAAGCATGGTACAGTTGGGTCATTGTGTGTGATTTGTGTGATTCAATTCAAATTCTCAATTTATCTGTGAAATTTTTAATTTGAAAGACGGCAAGTTTTGTGTTTAACTTTAAAACAAATATTAAAAATTTTAGACAAAAAAGTTTTAATAGGAGTTGAGACTTTCGAATAAAAACCAAAACATACACCATATATCTTTTCTAAATACTGAAAAAGAGAACCAAAAGAGAATTGTAATAGGTAAGACTCAGAGAACTGCGAAAGAAAAAGAAATATGTGAAAATTAGTTATCATCTCAAAGCTCTGAGACTTTAATGGGAAGGTTTCTAAGTATTTAGTTGTCTCTTTAAACCATATGATCCAGATAGGATAAGAATAACAGAATGGTTTACTGAAAATCTGAAAGATACAGCATGCTGACTGTGATAAGCAAACTTCTCCAGAGAATCTGTATCTTCTTTATGTTACCAATACAAAATAATTAAAACAAATAACAGATTTGATATCCATGCCATACTTCCATTTAATATCAATTATTCTGATTCTATAGCCCTTATGAATTTTTCAAAGAATGCTGCATTCATCATCCCTCACAGAAACATCCAAAGAACAGGCAGCTTAGAAACTCAGAGTTCTACTGGTGAGAAAATTGAAGCTGACGGAGTAAAAAATATACAAGATATATATCTTACAGCTTGCCAATCACAAATATCCACCATTCTAACATTAAGACATTGAAACCCTATCTCCACGTGCAGGTACCTGATTGGCCGGTTCTCTTTACTGTCAAAGAGTGAGAAGATGACCTCCAGCTCCTCTCCCAGGTTGGAACACATGAGGCTCTTCATCTGGACAAAGAGGTGGTGACTGCTGGCCTGCACCGGGGTGTCTTTCTTCCGATGTCGATGTTCCATCTGAATGACACCCCCCAACAAAAACATGATCAGCATGGACTGAAGGAAATAACAGGACCCAACAAACTAGTTAGCTATGAGGTGACTGTGATGTCCTACGCCATAACTTTTTATTTTGCTGTGGATTTGGTATCTAAATCCACAGCAAAATATACATTCTATGTCTTTCAGACTGTGGACATAGAAATAGTCTGGAAGATATCCAATTTAACTTTGGATGTTAAGTTCCAAATTTTCTTCCAACTTCTAAAATAAGAAACTGTGAAGTTTATAGATTATCAAGGAACCTTGCTTGAAGAATTTTTAAAATCATTAATGTTAAAATAACAACTCACTGAGTAGATTCAGGAAGCAGGAAGTTCAAAGGATTCTTTTGCTCCCTTATCAACTCCCAAGATGAGAACAAATTATTAGTCATCTTTTTAAAAAGCAGACTAAATTATATCTAAGTTATAACTTCTCATTACTCATAATTAAAAGTTCTTTTAGGTTATACTAAATTGTAAAGTTGTGGTAGTTGTCTGAGACAGGCTGTGGCAAATAATAGTTTCTAACTTGCTGTGGCGCTATAGGGAGAAACCTAGGAAAGCCAGCAAGGTGTCTAAAGCTAAGAATAGCATCTATGTCCACCTTCAATCCCTTCCTCAATACAGCCAGTCCAGGCTCAACTTGGGCAACAAGACAAGATGTGAGTTCCCACAGGTTGAGGGAGAAAAAGAATCATTCACGAGTCCAGGAAGGAGGATAACATGGGGATGATCATTCATCCAACATACATTCAAGTATCTCCTATGTACCAAGCCCTGGGAACACAATGATGAGTAAAATCAGAAACAGTTCACACCTTCACAGAGCATCTATCTACTAGGGGAAGCAGACATGAACAAAATTGTCACACATACACATGTAAAACTGCAACTGTGATGAATGGAAGCAAAGACCCAGATTACTGTTATTATTATTTTTGAGGCAGTATCTTGCTCTACTGCCTAGGCTGGACTGCAGTGGCACGATCTCAGCTCACTGCAGCCTCTACCTCCCAGGCTCAAGCGATCCTCCTGCCTTGGCCTCCAGAGTACTTGGGACTACAGGCACGTGTTACCACACCCAGCTAATTTTCATACTTTTTGTAGAGACAAGGTTTCACCATGTCGCCCAGGCTGGTCTTGAACTCCTGGACTCAAGTGATCCTCCTGCCTCAGTCTGCCCAAGTGCTGGGATTACAGGTGTGGGCTACTGAGCCCAGCCTAAAGATCCAGATTATGATGAGAGTATAAAAGTGGGGATTTGACATGAGACTGGGCAGGCATCCTGGGAAAATGGCACTTTAGCTGAGAGGTAAGGAGGGTGCAGGACTTACCTATCTAGGTTAGGGCTCACACTGCTTGCAGTGAGGGACCAGGTTGTTTCTCCCCATAATTCCCTGCAGACTGATTCTTTCATGAAATACAATAAAAATGCCATGGCAATGTCAAAATGCCCTAAAGGTTTCTAATCATTTACTTGTCATTTGTATAGTTGGACCAACAGTTCACGGTCCAGCCATTTCTTGGACCACACTTCAAGTAACACTGATTCAGGATAAGAGTACAGGAAAAACACATGGCTAGGCTTGTGTATTAATAGAACGGGTGCTAAAAATGTGGAAGATTATCACTTTCATAGCACAGACTAATAACAAAACTACCTCTTTTGGATCACTTTGACAATTAAAAAAATAGTTCAGGGATTTCAATTTCATTGTAACAGAGCCATAGCCTGTGTTGAGGGATAAGGTAAATGACCCTACGTCTACATTAGCCATCTTTTTACGCCTTTGAGTTGAAAAACTGCCGAATGACCAAATGAAGCCAAAATGTCATGTAAATTTACAAGTGTTAACACAACATAGAATCACTAGAATTTTTTCGTGCTTAGAAGTTAAAACTTTTATTCCGAACTACTTGAGAAGCAAAGGGTGGAAAAAATTTAGCTAAATTCATCTACAATCACTGTATACTCAACAGGTACACTGGGAATCTCTTCGTAAAAGTGGAGAGTAAGTAAGTTGTTTTTAAAAGCAGACCTAAGCATTGAGGCATGTGTGGGCTATAATTACTAAACACAGGTTCCTGAAGAAAAATATTCTAACTGTAGGAAAAAAGAATGATTTTGCCTTGTTTTCTATAAAGGTTGCTCTACTTTGTGCTTTAACAATTTTTTTTTTTTTTTACTGTGGCAAAAGTGGCATCATTATGTTCATAAAAATACACCTCTAACTAACAAGGCTTCACCATCCCCCCTCCACCCCGCCAGAACTGCTAACTTATTTACTGATTTACTTAAAAGAAAAACATATGCTTACTTAAAAGGGTAACAGAGCACAAGCTACTATGAAGAACCGAATGACTACTAAAGGCCAGAGCTACAGAAATAGATGTAAAAACCTCATGAAAAGAATAGGCCTTAAGGAGATATCCTCTCTTAACCTCAAATAGTGCAAAGTTCCCTGCACCAATCATGACATTCACAAGAATTGAGGAGAAAAAATTAGCTCCTTTACCGATGCAATGAATCCAATATATCTAGATCAGTGGTTCTCAACCTTGGCTGCAGTTTAGAGTCCCCAAGAGAGCTTTTAAAAAATACTTATGCCCAGGTCTTATCTCAGAACAATTAAATTAGAATTTCTAGGGGCTGGGGGTCCAGAGACTGGTAGTTTTAAAAGCTCCCCAGGTGATTCTAATGGGCAATGAGGGTTGAGAATCACTGATCAGGATCATGTGCAGACAGATGCAAATCACAGCAAACTAAACAATGTATTGTTGCATCTTTCGAGTAATTATGGGCTTGAACTTTTGTTCTTTGAATACATGCTAGTAATAAGCCTGCCTGACTCTACCCTTTGCACATTTAACATGGGCCTTCACATCTGGCACACTCTGGCACTGAAAATACCCCTCTTCCCATCCCCACTATTCTTTCAGGTCTAGGACCCATTTGGACTTAGTAGGTTATGATTACTTTCTTTTCTCTTGGTAATTCAGTACTTCCGCAAACTGCTAAAAAATTTCTGTGAAAGTATTATTACAATCAAATTAAAAAGTCAAGTTCACACTTCAAGGGCTTGAGATAATTTGTGGCTACAAATGCACCTATCAGTTACTCTAACTGTGCTTAACAGTTGAACTAGCTCTTTGATTAGGAGAAGAAAGAGATTCATCCCAAAGATTTATTTAACTGACTCAAATTTTTAATCTTCAAATAATGCATTAATTATTGAATGAACTGTCTACACCAGGGTTTACCAACCTCAATGCTATTGACAACTAGGCTGAATATTTCCTTGTTGTGGGGGCTGTCCTGGGCTTTGTAGGACATCTAGCAGCTTTTCCTAGCCTCTACCTACCAGATGCCAATAGTACCTCTCCTTCCCATCTCCTGTTGTGACAACGAAAAATGTCTCCAGACAATGCCAAATATCCCCTTGGGTTGAAATTGCATGTGAGAACCACTGTGTTCCCTCTGAGATCTGCTAGTCTAACCTTCTAAGAATTGCAGAGTAAGCAGATGCATGATCTTACAAATTCTAAAAAGATAGAAACCTGCAGGCACAAATAGGAGAGAAGCTGGCTAATAAGGCTCCCTTTATTTATAGAAGGATTGAAATCTTGCCTTTGGCACTAAACCAAAATATCTAAGTGGACATATGCTAACACTGTGCGGTTTAGCACTTTTACTGCTTAAATGAACACAATTAGGTGAGAAAGATCTGCTAACAGGGCTATCAAGAAACTAAAGTGAGACTTTTTTTCTAATGATGCAATATGAATTTAGTAAGATGCAAACACTTGTGTTTCAAACATGACACTGACTAGGAAGAAGTAAAAAAAGAAAAGCAGCAACAATTAATCAAATGTCCTCTGTGTTGGGCCATTTAACCTCCATGCTGAGGTCCTTGACCCAAAGTGACAATAAATTGCCAAACAACAACAAGGGATTGGTGATGGTGCCTCCCAGCTCTCCCTGGTGAAATCAACAGTCAGTCACTTTCATGTTGAATGAGAAAAACACCAGGGCTACAGAGAATCTTATTATTGCTAGGCCAGGATACAAACAGAAACTTGAAAAAGAAACTGCCTTATGGAAGCTGGGCTTAATACCTGGGTGATGGGATGATCTGTGCAGCAAACTACCATGGCACACATTTACCTATGTAACAAACCTGCACAACCTGCACATGTACCCCGGAACTTAAAATAGAAGTTGAAGAGAAAAACAAAGTAAAAAAGAAAAAGAAACTGCCTTAAAGAAAAGCACATGCTCTTCTGAAGCTTATAACTATTTGAGTTGTTTTTGGGCTATAGTCTTTGTTTTGGAAATAGTCAAGTGCAACCAGCACTGAGGAGAAAATAAGTTTTCATGTCAAATCACATTTTCTTTTCTTCATCTGTAAAATGAAGACTTTGGACTAGGATCTGAGCTGTAACATACTAAAATATCCCCTGCTGTCTTTCCCACCAACGGCCAACATTGCTAATCAATGAGACCCTAGATGAGACCCTGGAATCTTAGCAACACTGAACTCTAGGCAGCCACCCACCAATAAACTGGAATGCTGAAAGAGGTGAAATCAATTTGCCATCCCATATATAATGTTACATGAAAAGAACAGAGACAAAATTACATACGCACAAAACCAAACTCAGGAAAATAAAATATATTTGTGTCACATCAGTTATTTATCTGATACCTGACATACTCAACTAAATACAGGGGTGTGCCTAAGCTCTGCCAATGAGATGTAAGTGCAAGTGTTGTGCGGAACTTCCAGGAAGGTTCATTAAAGTATTTGAATCAACTGAGAGAAAGCTGTCTCCTTCCTACTGCCTGGAATGCAAATATGATGGCTAGAACTCTTGCAGCTATACTGCACTTAAAGGTGTTCTTGGTGATGGAAGCCATGTTCAATGTAGCAGAAAGATAAGGATCTTTTCATACCATAAAACCACAACCAAACCCAGAAATTCCTGTTTCTAAACTTGCATACTTTAAGAAATAAATTTCTATCATGTTTTATCTTCTGCTTTTTATTTATTTCATGACACAGCCAAATCTAAGCCTAATATGAGGCATCAATTATTTTTACCCTGTTGGCTCTCCAACGTAGATGAATAAAGATAAGAAAGGAATGAAAACTGACTAAATGCTTACATGTTGTGCAAATATTATCTGTCAAGGAAAGGCATTTTACATATATTTCTTATCTAATCTTCATAATAAACATGAAAATAATTATTTCCCTATTTAGTAGATGAATAAACTGAGGCTTTGACAGATTAAATAATAAATCCAAGACCCAAATAACTGGTAAAAGAAAGAGATAGATTATAAATGTAGTTGTTTGGAGCCAATAATCCAGTCTTTTCATGATACCATAATGATCTCCAAAGCATTGACTGGGTGCTTACTAAGTGCAAAAGCACTGTACAAGACTATCTTGAACATATAGAGGTATACACAGTGTGTTCCCTAAAGGAACTTAAAAATTAAGTGAGAGATGTTCTTAAAAGTGAAAGAATATGATGTTCAATAAGTTAAATAAATGAACAAAAGTAAAGATGCCACATCAGAGGATATGACAGACAAACTATACGGATTATATTTGTTATGTAAGCTAAGAGGCAGTGATGACTTTAACTTGGAATGCTCTTATTTTTCTTTCTTCGCCTCCCACTAACTGACCTCTATGTTCTCCCTACATGCCAGATACTCTGTTTAGTACTGATGTCATGAAGGCAAGCAGCACACAACACCACTCTGAAGAAATTCAATATACAATTAAGAATATCCCCTAAAAAATGGAATTGATTCCAACTGACACAATGAAGTGTAGATAATCTGAACATCAATTTGATGATCATGGAAAAATCTGGAAGCAATATTAAGAACTGCCTTCTCAAATCAGATACATCCCCAGTGGACTTACTGAAATTTTCCTCCACATTTTTCAGATATGGATAATCTTCAGGTTAAGAATATCTCATTATTCTCAGAAAAATAAGCTTGAAAAGATATGCCAAAAGAGGCAGGATCATCCAAAAAGGAGTCTACTATTTCCAATAGGCAGTCCTTCTTGGAACTTTATGGTAAGAAGCAGCAGTAATGAGATCAAAGTTCAATTATGCTTAGGGTGATGGTCTTTGAAAGCCCATCCCAACCACCCTCTTCTCTGATTTTGGATTTTCAGAACTTAGTTAATATCAAGATATTAGGTACATTTCATACAATTTTAAGAATACAAGGCTAAACAGAAGGCAGATTGGACCAGACTTGGGGAACCTGGATGCCAAGCAAAAAAACTGGACTTTAACTTACCATGTAACTAGAAAAAAAACTCAAGTCATAAGTGAGACCATGAGGGGCAATATGATCAAATATTTTAGGATGATTCACGGGCTTCAGTACTTAGGAATGGATTGGGGTCTGGGAAGGGTGGGTGTAAGTCCAGCAGTTGAAGACTAAGGAGGAGACCGTTTCAGTAGTTGGTGTATATAGTGCTATTATGTATGTACACACACACGCGCGCGCGCGCGCGCGCACA
Source organism: Homo sapiens (assembly GCF_000001405.40). Lineage (NCBI taxonomy): Eukaryota > Metazoa > Chordata > Mammalia > Primates > Hominidae > Homo > Homo sapiens. The sequence goes on from NC_000007.14 coordinate 111,983,867, forward strand.
CACACACACACACACACACACTATATGTATATAGAGCTAATGGGGGCAGGAGGAGGGTTAACATGCTGCTGAGCCAAGACGAAACACCCATTAGTTACAGCATGGTCCTCAAACACAACAGATAAGTATGCGTGACTTGTAAGCATTTCACTACACTAGACAAAAAGTAGAAAGATTTGCAAAAGAACTGAAAACATCTTTGTATTGACTTCCTGGTGCCTGGGCGTTGAGGGCCCACTGGAGAGTATCATGTTATTCTTAGACAGGTAGTGTCTCAGTACTGTACTGAGGGCATGGTCACCTCAGCTCTCAAGTCTTTTTACTCTCTCTAAATTAATCCTGGAACATCCTGTTCTTACAAAATCAAGCAAGTATGAGGAGTGCCATGGAAACCAGAAAATTAGCAGGAAGACTGGAAGCCAAGATTTCCTGTACCTACCAATCGGTAGAGCTCAGTAATGCTGATGTCTTCCGGATCCACCATTGCGTACTCTTTCCTAGGCACCAGGTCCAGTCCCAGTTGTCTAGAAAACAAATTGCAAAAGTTTGGGGGAAAAGTTACCTCCATGAAATATGTTAAAAACAATTGGTTTTTTACTATATCACTTGGAAATTAGGTATATCACCCACCATGCTTCTCTCACCTTGTATGACTTGTTACCACAGTTGGGGTAGACAATATAACTCCGCTGGACACTGGGCAAAACTTAAAACATAGAAGGTGAGAAAGACAAGCAAATCCAGGAGGGATGGGTTGGCACTCTCAGTGGAGTGCTCCTGCCACTGGGGGCCTTAGCACCACATGGTGTGGAGCCTTCAGCGCCCTTCAAATTATCACGAGAAGGCCTTCCACACTGGAGTGAATGGAAACTAGAGCTAGACATCATTTGGTTCTAGAAATTGGAGTTGAGGGGAAGGAAATTTGGTCTTTAGAATTTGACCTAGCACCAGTATACCTAGCTGTGCCCAGAGTCAACATGTTTCTTATATGAATCTCTGGCAACTTGTGCATGGTCCTTATTTACAGCAAATTCTGAGGTCAGTCGTTAGGAGAAACTCAGTAAAGGCAGGAAATGGAAATGGGGGAAGAGTTTTGGGCCTGGGCTGGCAGAATAGTTTAACCCTTTATGTCAGATTTCATTGTGGCTGACATGTGGCTTGCTGTGCTGAGAAGTATTCTAAGGTTATATCCAGCCTCAGAGGTATCAAGTATGGTAACTGACTTGTGATGTCTTCCCATCAACAGAGGAACACGAGTCTAACTCTATTCTGGTTAGCTTCCCTCTAGCGACCTTCCTAGCATGATCCCCTCCAGGGCACCCACGGTACAATGCTGACACCAATGCCACACAGTTCTGTTCATCTCCTTAACCCTCCATGATCATCTCAAAGGCTACACAACGCCTGTGTAATGCCCTATCGATCAAGGCCGAGATGATACCCTCTTCTCTAGCAGAGCCCCCTCAACCACCACATCCAAGGCCGAATGCTCAGTTCTCTGAGGATCACTTGTTCTAAATCCTTTTCACATCACCACTCTTTCTAACACAGAAGGCTTCTGGCATCACACTTCCAATTATAGAACCACAGCTTTCTTACTTTCGTATTTTAAAAAAATCTGAAATTCTTCCATGCCCTCCCCCAAAATCTCATTAAGGTTTCATAAGTAAAATTTATTAATTCAGCACCTACTTCAAGCCAGGCACTGCCCCAGCCACCCTGAGGGCTATTTGTTCTTAAGAAGATTAGAAAGCTGTCACCTCCTTGACAGTAGGAGCTGTCTTTCAGATAGTAAAACAGTTTCTCAATTTTCCTAAATGATGTTTCTCTTTGGGAAACCTAGAAAAAAATTCACACACCCATTATTTAATGTTAGTTGAATTTTTAACTCACAATAAACACTGTGATTTGTTTTCAAAATGTCCATGTTCCCCCTTGCTACATCTCACCAGGGATTCTGATAGGGTCTGTTTTCCATTCTCCATTCCCTTCTGAAAGAGAACCACCGTACTACAGTGTAAGTCAGCATCTGACACTGGGTCAATATTGCTGATGAAGATCATTTAGCAAATGAAAGAGGGCATATAACCACTGTGATACTTGTCTTACTCATAGCTCCTTCTATGAGAAGCTGCTCTATCCACTTTCTCTGCTGGGAGTGGTGGTGGCAGACAAGGTAGTCATCTGACCATCTCCCCTTCCTGAGCCACACCTGATTGTACCATGGGTAAGCACCTGACCTAAGGACAAATAACCCAAAGACTGGCCAGCAGCTTATGAGAGGCTGGTATAAAATGCTCAGCCCAAACAGGAATATTAGACATTGGCTGTCAATAAGATTCCTTCCTTGAGAATCTGAACTTGGAAATTCAGACATCAGTCACATGCAGGAGGAAGATAAGATACGTGAAGACAGGTGACCTACATGGCTGCAGAATGAGTGCAGAAATTCTGCAGCCTCAGAAACCTGTAATCTACAAGCCTTTTTCTCCCATAGTCTTGATTGTTCAGCTTCTGTTAGCTTCCTGGCGTCCTGGTTATGTGAAGAGTCTTATTTATTTCTATTTGGTTTTGTTAATTCCTAGGTACATCTTCCCATGGTTTGAGGTTTCCTAGCCCACAGAGTAGAATCAAGGAAGTGCCTTACAAAGAATAAGGAGAAATGAGGCAAGTAGGGAAGAGAGAGGATGAGAGGAGATCACACAGGGAGAGCGTCATGTTTTCTATCAACTCAGTCACTAAACTACTCTGTGACACCAAGAAGAAAGGATTAACTGATTGCCTCCTCCCACATAGTATTAGCAGAAAAGTCAAAGAACATCGTGTTGTAGGACTGTATGGGCAACAGAAACATGTACCATTATTTTAGTGCTGTCTGAGGTTCCCAGGCAAGAACAATTCTTTTGCTGGCCCTGTTAGGAAATGAGATTAATGATCTCTTCTTCCTAAGCTTCCCACATCAAGAGGGCTTCTCTTCACTACTCTTCAACAGTTTGATATACAACGTGAGATGGAACACATTCTTAATTTATGTTCATCCAGAGATTTATGTGCTGGCAGCTTATTTTGCAGGACAATTTCATCTGGTTTAATAGGCAAGAGATTATCTTAATTTGCTTTCCATGAGCACTATTCAATAAGAAAACAAATGTATACTTAAAGGAATAAGGTAAATTCATAATCTCTGTACTGTAAGTTATTTTAAAATAAACAGTCAAAGAATTTCAAAGAAAACGGAATCATAGCTCAGAAAATTCATGAAGTTGAAGATGATCTAAATAAATTATACTGCTCATTTTCATGCATCAATGTTTTACCAACTTATCATAAATTAGCCACAGAACTGCCCAAAGTACAAGCCAGAACTTACGTAAGTCAAAAACTGAGTCATGATTCAGTCATAATTAATGTTTTTCCTTCCTTCCCCTTTTCATTCTGCCATCATTTTCTTTCATAAAACTGAAGAAGTATCATTTTCTTGCCTGATCTACATTCCTGTGTTATTTTGGATAAGCTAACTTCCTCCAACTTTCTTCCTATTTACAAACTAGTCCTTTAAATGAGGACCAGCATAATGACTAAGACCCAAAATAATTCAGAGTCCTCAAAGGTTTTTCAAAACAATAAAGAAATAAATATTAGGCAGCATAGGTTTCGCTCCAACGGACCCCTCCCACTCCACAATAATGGAGATTCGAGATAATCTCCTGTGAAATTCATTCCCACGGCAGGATAGGAAGTTCCCTGTAAATGGCTGGCAAGTCTAATCTGTTAGGAGGTGCTGTGTGTTTTAAATGTCATCCTGGAGCTGAAAGCGCCCTTGTGCTTTTTCTAGTTCAACTTCCTCCTTCAACAGATGAGGAACTGACATGAAGAGGGTTAAGGAATTTGCTTCAGGTCCTAAGAAAGCAGAGCTCCCAGTCCTGTGCTCTTGCTGCCCCTCCACATTTGTACCTGTTTTATTTCTCACAGGAATGAATCTTCTAGAGATAAATGAATTGGGCTCTTCTATTCATTGTCTGTAAAAAGATGAATGGCACATCCTATTCAACAAAATACCGGAAGTCCTCTGAGTGAGATGGAGGTTTAAAAATCTGTTAGTAGGTCTGGGTATTCACATTCAGAGTGTGCAACATCTTGGGAAGAATCAAACCTGGCTTCTGACAAAGTGATTTCCTATGGTAATGGGAAGTGGCATTCTGCTTCAAATTGGTTTTTCCACATTCAGTAAGAGGCAAATTTACCCATGGTTCACTTCCTGTCATTTTCTTCATTTCTGTCTGCTTTCCTTTTTTTTCTGTTGCCCTAAGATCCTCTGAAGGTCCAAATAGCAAATGGGGATTTGGAGAAAGGAAAGGAAGGGAGGATAGGGCCATGTGGGTTATTAAGGAACCATGTCACTGCTTTAAACCTAAACCTCACGCAACCCTAGGGTCTCAGTCAAAGGTGGCTTATTCTAATTTCTCACTTCTATGTTAATATTCACGTTTAGTAAAATATCAGCCTCGGTCAGAGCTTTCAGTGATTAGATTTACCATTTTAGTACCTGGCTGGTATTTTAAATTAGTCACTTATGGTTTTGTTTAAAAATAAATCTCGGTCAAGAACAGCTTTTTACTGAGTTCTCTCAAGCAGCTCCTCAAAGTAGCTAATGTGTATGTACAGGACTAATCACAGCAATAATAAAAGGCCCCACCAGTGCACCTGTCATAAGACTTTTCACAGAAGCTGTTAACATTAGTGTCTCCCTCCGGATTACACTGGTGACCTATTACCATGACATGGAAAAGATATATTTTAAAAGCAAATCCACATGCCAAACCTAAAGCCTATTTGAGAACAAGATCCATTTTAGTCAGACGCCACATCTAGTTCATTGCTGTGAACATTTCATTTTCCATGAGCATGTCCACACCATCAAGCCACATACGATACTAGACAACAAACGACATTTCAGTGCCTACACCAGCTTGAGAAGAAATGGTTCTCGGCTCTATCAATGCCAGTTCGCACTAAGCCTCCAAAAACAGGAAACATGAAAAAGCCCATAGGATTGCTTCCAGTGACATTACCACGTTCTGGCTCAGGCCTATGTCACTTCCATTGTGTTCACCTACTAGAGGCCGCCCTGTGATGCTCAATACTCACTCATTGCCCCAGTCAAGCCGGGCAGTAATGTGGCGCTTCACGTCCTTCATCCGGTCGTGGGTGAGGTGGCCCACCAGCACCTGCCGCCTCAGGTCCAGGATTTCATTCATGATGTGCCACAGCCGGTGGAAGAGATCGCCTTCATTACGCTAAGAAATATACAAATGTGGAGATTTGGCAGTCAGTACCTATACTGAGTTGTGGGGTAACCAAAAAGGAAAGGGAAGAGGCCCATTCTGGTTACCCACTATGTGCTTGCCACTCTGGACAGATGTCCGTGAACAGACAAACTGTTCGCTCACTATCCTCAAACACACTCGCTGCCTTCTCTATATGCTTCATCTAAGTTTCACAACACTGCTCTCATGTCCAGAAATGCAACTTTACTTCTCACGTGCTCCTTTTATTTATTTATTTTTTAAACACTACTCAAATGCTACTATCCAAGAAGACTCGGCTTGACTTCCACCTCCATCAGGAAATCTTCCCTGATCACTTTTGCTCACATTCTTTTCTCCCTTCTCTGTGCCATGGCTGCATGCAACTAAAGCTGATGAAATGGAAGACATTGCTTTCCAATTATATTTCTTGCACATTGGTCTCAATACTTTATTGGATCCCCTATCAGAAGTTGGGCACAAAATTCATTCATTGATGGATATGCACTGCTATTATCGGGCCAGTATTTAGACTTTTAAAAAGGTAATGCTTTCTTCCTTACTTTTAAAACAATCATGGAGATTCAAGATAATCTCCTGTGGAATTCATTTAAGCTCTGTGGTTTACTGGAAAGAAGACAAGTTAAAATCCTGGTTTTGTCACTTACTAGTGGTACAGACTTTAAGTACCAATTTTGTCATCTGTACATGGGCAGCACATTCTTTCTGCAAGGCTGTTTTATGGATTAGTGGTAGCAACTGTGCAGAGAGCACTACAGCACAGTGGCAGAGAATACCAACTTATTTAGAGCCAAACAACTTCAATCTGAATTTCAGTTTTGCCATTTACTGGCTGAAAAAGCTTTGACAATTCATTAACATTTTTGTGCTTGTTTTTTTCATCTGTAAAACGGGTATTATAGTACCTACTTCTCAGGGTTGTTGTGAGGATTAATGAGTTATTAAAACTCTGAGAATGATGCCTGGCCCAGAAAAAATATGTAAGTATTAGCTGTTATTAGTACTAGAGTACTGTTATTGCTTTGGGCTTGGTCCAGAATGAGCCCTCTACAAATACTGTTTCTTCCCCAAAACCAAAATATATATCCCTTACCCCAGAGACAATAGAGTAAATCTTATCTAAGTCTTTACCCTTTGTCTTTCTTAACCAGCAGCTATGCTTTTACTTTCTACAAAAATTATGAGTGGACCTCATGAGTAGTGATATGAAAGTACTGAGGTTATCATCCATCTAAAGTCTTCTACAGCTGTAAGCTGCCAGAAATATCAAATTCTGGGTGATGGGTAAAGACATTCTGTCATCACGTATTTTTTATTTTAAAAAGTAGTGACGTGTTATCTGCTTTTTCGGTACTTGGTGTCTTGAATTTTTCACATGATGTGCAGGTCAGACAAATTTGCCAGAGGAACAAAAAGCATTCTCCAGGATGCCATCCCTGATCCTCCTCAATATAAATCATCTTGCTTCTCTCTCAACTCCGAAGGCACTCTATTGAGCCCATTCTTCTATTGCTTCTCACTCTTAACTCATGTTATACACTCCCATACAAGCCATTACAAGGCCACTGTAACACAATACTCTTGTAATTAACTGCTCAATGTCCATGTCCTCCCTGTGGCTGTAAGTGCCCAATCACATGGCTGTCTGCCTGTGTATCCCTAACAGCCGGAGAATGCATGAATGAATAGCTTGATTTACACATGTTAATTTTTGTGGATCTCAAGAGGTAGATTCTGTACAGGCGATACAAACACTTGAGGAAGTCAGTGTAGGAAGGAAAAGTCCACCCAAGTCAATAAAATTATATAAGCAAGTTATTAAACAAGTCAAATCTCATGTAGCAAAGAAGAGACACAGCGCCTTTTTGAACTGATTGTCACAGGGAGAAAGTCACCTGCCTGCTCTTGGGAAAGGCGTTCTGTAGTTGTTTAGTAGGATGGACTTGATTTTCTGTGATGTCATCTCTAGTACTTAAGTTTAAGAGAACACTAATAAGAAAAGGTTGCAGGATCCCTTATAAAGCTGAAAATCAGTTGGTCAGCTCTCCATTAAGGGAAGAAAACCCAGGTGTGGCAAGAATGCTGACATACTGCAGGCCTGGCCAGCAAACCTACTCTACTAGTGTAAGAAAAAGTTCTAAAACTGAACATCTGGTCATAAAATCATGATTCTTTAAACACTGGATAGTTATGAAGGCTATTCAGATATATGAAAAATGCTTTTGATTTAATGCTAAATGAAAACAGTTAGGGTACAATATTAAACACTTGGAATAAAACAATATCAAGAGATTCTGGAAACATAAAAAAACAGCAAAAGTTAATTGAGAGTATTTTAGTGTTTTAGAAAGCGATGAGCTTTTATTTGCCTTAAAATGAAAACAGTACAGGTTTTGGCAGCAGCAGACTTAGATTTAGATTCAGGCTTCAGCATGAGACCCTAGGTAAATTATCATTGATAAGATTCAAGAATAAAAAGTGCCTGGCGCTGGGCGAGGTGGCTCATGCCTGTAATCCCAGCACTTTGGGAGGCCGAAGTGGGCGGATCATGAGGTCAGGAGATCGAGACCATCCTGGCTAACACAGTGAAACCCCGTCTCTACTAAAAATACAAAAAAATTAGCCAGGCGTGATGGTGGTAGCTGTAGTCCCAGCTACTCGGGAGGCTGAGGCAGGAGAATGGCGTGAACCCAGAAGGCGGAGCTTGCAGTGAGCCAAGATTGCGCCACTGCACTCCAGCCTGGGCAACAGAGAGAGACTCTGTCTCCAAAAAAAAAAAAAAAAAAAAAAAAAAAGTGCCTGGCAGAGCCCCAGGAAAAAGAGATGTAAAATGTCCAGCTCAGGGACAGGACAAAAGTACTCAGTAAAAGATGGCTGCTATATTTCTCCTAAACTTTTTGTGGTTACATTACTGATTATTAAGTGGTATTTTTAGAGACCATTATTTAGGTCCTTGGCAACGTTATTTAAAGAGCAACTAGCACTTTTCAAGCATTCACCATGTGCTTTTATGCTAAGCATTGTCATATAAATTGCTAACAATTTATAAAATATTATGGCCCCCATCAAACATCTTCCAGTAGAGAAGCTAGGTGCCTTAAAACTGTTGGAAAAGACGATGGACAATAACCTAAACACACTTGAGCATGAGGAACTTGAACCAAAACATTTGGCACAAAACATTTACATTAGGAAAAGAGAAACCAAAGGTCTGACATGGCCAAGGTAGCTTCACTCCTAGTATCAAAAATCTAATACCTCTGAGTTAAACTTAATATTTGTTTCTAATGGCACTGACTACCATTCCAGTGTCCAGGGAAACATTTAGATAATTTTCTCTTTCCCAGTTACTCAGAACACTAGGAGGAAAGGAGTTTACTTATAGAGTTTACAACACACAGATTTTCAAACCAACAAAGTCTGTCCCCAAAACAGACATTTGAAACCTCGAACACAGGTAAAAATAGCTAGATAAGGCAGAATCCAGAGGAAATTCAACTTTGTTCCCCACTAGTAGCTATATAAAAGGAAAAGTGTTTGTGTTCTAGTTCAGCTAATGGACAACACTCACACTGTCATTATTTTTATAACTCTTATATCGGGTATTTGGAATGCAGTGGTTTGAGCATTTCAAATAGTTTCTTTTTCCATGTTAGTGCCATGCCCAATGTTACTTTAAGTGAAATAATACTTGGATTTTGAATTCTTTCCAACATTTACAAAAAAAAAAGAAAATTTAAAAAGGAGATCTGCATTTCTTTGCACTTCCCTAGCACAGAGCCCTCGAGGTCGGTTATCTTGACTTTGTTATTTACAAAACCTATGCTCCGCCAATTCACCTAAGGTTTCTTGTGGATTTTCATAGTGAGTTCTAAAGCTACCAGCTACAGGAGGGTTTAATCAGAGAAGTCCAACATCAAAGGGTTTTCACTAGTGACTTTGTCAGATTTTCTTGCCTCAGTGAAATATCCTATTGCATTTCAGATGTAACAGACAATAAACACTATCATTCTGCCAGTGTCCCTCACTAATTTGGATTTTTTCCTCGACAGGCTGTTTTAAATCGTTTTGTCAGGATAAGCACACGTTTGTATTTTGAATTAATCCCTTCAAATGATTAAGCTGTTCTACAAATTTCTTTAAAAATAAAAGAAGAAATAGCATGGGGTCTTCCCTAATATTTCACCACCCCCAGACTTCCACAGTTACAGTGGGGTTCAGAGTGACAGCACCATATTCATACCAGAACCCCAGCTCAGCCATTTTCCCATTACTTGATGTGGGGTGAGTACTTCACTCTCTGTGCCTTATTTTTCTCATCTGTAAGCTGGATGTGATCATCATTATTATTTCTTTGAGTAGTAATAAGGATTAAAGAAGATACTGCATCAAAGAGTACTTACCATGGGATTTGCCACATAAGTTCCCAATGTGATTACTTATAGTAAGTAAATAAATATATACTACGTATCTGCAAAACACAGATCCTTTTTCCCCTCAAGAAACATTCTTTTCTCTAGTATATTTAGAATATTCTCATTGATACTAGCTAAGAAGTCTGTCATTTACAGTATACTTGAATTACTTACAGAATTTGAATTTGATAAAATACCAAAGCCACCAAAATTGTCTTGAATTTTATTTTTCCCTGGAAATTAAAAATATTCAGGAGGTTCAACAATAGGTCCATGTAAACCATCCTATTTGGTTAGATGCCAGAAAAATAATCTTTTATATTCCTGTGGTATTGAAAAATAACTTACAAAACCCATGCTCAGTGGACACAGAGATTGTAACAAGACTGTCTTGTTAATATCTATATCCCCAAGGAGTCCTGGAGACTTGCAGAAGGTGCTATATTAGTTAATGCTTACTCATGTTCATGTATTTCTTAAAACAATTCTTTACCCGAAAAATCGTGTCATTAAAAAGCTACTTAACCACATAGAGTTGTTTCCACATGGTTCCCCAGTCTCTTAATGTTGATGTCATTTCTGTGATAACAGAGTCTTCAGTGGGAATAACCATTTCAAATTGTCTGTGAAATTAAAAAAGAAAAAGTATATATGTAAATACCATAGACAACAATTTTGTTTTAAATACTCTAAAAGATAACTAGAAAAGAAAGCTGCCTAGCTATTGTTCGTTCTACAGACAGTAACCAGGATCTGGTTATAAGTTAATGTGAGGAATGCTACATGGGTTGTGGTAGGACAATACCAGAACAACCAGCCACTTCAACCAGATCAAGTTTGAGCAGCGTGGTGAAGAAGGAACAGCATCAGAAGGGTTGCACTCCAGTACCAGTTCACGACTAGGCAGCAACTCATTTAACCTAAGGCCAAAAGCCTTCATCTGTAACATGAGGTCACTGGGCTACATAAACTCTGAGGTGACTTTTGCCTTCCAAGGGCTATGACTATAGGACTCAAAGAGAGTAAAAGGAACACCATTCAATCACCAGGACATGATGGCTGTGGGCATCCAAACTAACTCAGTGTTATAAGTAACTAGACACTGAGATACTAATTGAACACTCTCTTGATCTCGGTAACACTTAATTTTTATTATTTGCAAACTAGGACCATGAGAAATGATTAGTATTCTAAGTAATGTTATCATACAGCATAGAACTTATGGCTTATGACATCACCGATATTTGAATATTCGTTCCAAAATGTTCCTCTTTCTGATTAGAGTAACGTAGTCTTCTCATTTCTTCTCTAAAAGTCAGAAACTATCCTTGGAAAATATTTATATCAATATCTAGTAGGGTGTGTATGGTGGTCCTGAAGTTGAGAATATGCATGAGGAGATGGGGGAAATAAAAGAGAAGTTTTGTGTTTTTTTTTTTTGAGAACAGAGTCTTGCTCTGTCGCCCAGGCTGGAGTGCAGTGGCGCGATCTCGGCTCACTGCAAGCTCCACCTCCCAGGTTCATGCCATTCTCCTGCCTTGGCCTCCCGAGTAGCTGGGACTACAGGTGCCTGCAACCACGCCCGGCTAATTTTTTGTATTTTTAGTAGAGACAGGGTTTTACCGTGTTAGCCAGGATGGTCTCAATATCCTGACCTTGTGATCTGCCTGCCTCAGCCTCCCAAAGTGCTGGGATTACCAGTGTGAGCCACCGCGCCTGGCTGAGAAGATTTAATTTGTCCTCTGTATCCTACCTTTGGCATATAATAATCTTCATCTCCAGTTTCTTTTTTCAAATTCTTTCTTTGTGTGTGTGTGTGTGTGTGTGTGTGTGTGTGTGTGTGTGTGTGTATGTGCAGGTGAAAGTGGTTTAGTGGCTATTACTACCACTGCTTCCCAAAGAATGCTACTGATATATTGATTGAGACTATTTTCTTTATTTCAGTATATTTTTCTCAAGAAAACGTCTAATACATAGAAAGTAATGACATATTAGACACAGAACCATGTTGTCTAATGATCAAGGGGAAATTACTTCTTAGCATGAGACTAATAACTGTTCTGTGATTCCTTTTTCATGTTATGTCCAAAGTGTATATAATTGTCTTTTGTAAAATCTTCTTGTCAGACATATGGAAACTAAAATCTTGCCTTGATTTTTTTCCCAACAGAGTTTCATCTCCTCATTTCGCAGTGCTGCTAAAATACTTGCCCTATGAATATTTTCCTTCTTTCTAGAGCTTAAACACAGCTGAAAATGTAAAACTGGGATTTTAAACTAGAAATAAAAGTAAACAGTAATATATAAACTGTGACAGACACAGAACCTTTTATTAAGTCTGTATATGACATTTTTAAATGGTGGTACATTTATTTTGCTTTTGAAGCAGCGTTTGCAATTTAAATGATGAATATTTGGAGATGGAGATTATAAAATGATCCTATACAAGGTCAAGGAGGAAACACTGAATTTCCAGGGAAACCTGACATACTACTTAACATTTAAAAAGTGACATGACCTCAGTAGGAATTAAACAATACAGAAGTGGCCTCCCTGTCCATAAACTATAATTTAATTGACCTCCAACAGTCCTACATTGATCTGAAGACACAAGAAAGAACATACACGCAATTCAGTCTGTGAGAAGTTGATTGGGGGTTGTCCAAGCAAAATTTAAATTTTTAAGCATAAAATTGCCATTTTAGGCAAGGTGACTGTTTTCTATTAATTATTCCAAACCCAAAATCAGTGTTCAAATAGTCTGTCGTAAGTAGTTACCTCTGAAATTATATTTTGTTCAATTATTCTAGGATGGACTTTTCCATTATTTCATCCTAGTGGGCCATAAATCCACTTAAAATAAGACAGGTAATACCAAAACCCCAAAGATGTTCCTCTCTGGGAAAGCAATTACCTGGCAATACATGCTCTCAAATGTTTTCAGGCCAAAGTTTTTCTTCCAGTAACAGCCCTAGACCTAGGGTCTGAGTCAATTCCAATAAGTCTTTTACAGAAACTAATGTTGGGCTTTTCTGTTCTTCTGCTGCACAATGTCCATCATACCTAGTGTCAGGTGGAGACCCCATAAGAAAGTCTTAAACTTACATGACCAAATTTTTAGGTACTTTACCCACATTTAAACTTCCTGGGGCTCATGGAAGGGGATCAGATATACACCAGTTACTAACCAGGATTTAAAAAAAGGACGTACTTATTTAAAAACCATATCCTACCCCAACTCACTTTGAGGGATAGACTTTGATTAAGTGGAGAGATGCTTGACATCATCTTTGCTAGCACAGCATTCTCTCTTTTCTCTTCCTTGGTCAGAGCATATGATGCCCTTTGCACTGCAGAGTTGAGGGAGGTCAGGGTTGGGCTTGGGACAAAGGCAGCAAAGAGGACTGGTTGCACAGGCTTGCTCAAAAGGACACTTTAAGAAACAGGGGTAGCCCATGGTGTTTTCACATTGCCAAGCCCAGATCACTAGCACAGAAGGATCAGAACAAAGAGTAAGCATATGGCTGGAGTGTATTCTGAAGTATCCTCTGGTTTACTGGAGGGAGGCTGAATGGTATCACATCTAGCTGGGTAGGAAAGTTTCAAAAGGACCAACAACTTGGCTTGATGCTTCTGGTGGATTATAGCTGCACACTTCCAAAGGACACACATTTCTTAAAAGATCAGTAGTAGTAGTGGTAATTATTAGAATTAGAATTATGCTTTTAATCTATTATTCAATAATTACTATTACTGAGTGCTACTACTAACATGCTTAAAGCAGCTCACATATATAAGACATGTAGAGTAATGGTCTCTGAGATTCTTTAAGTTTTACCCATATAGGGAACTCTCAAAGTATTTATACCATAGACTCTTAGCCACATGCATAGGCTGTTTCCCTGAACTGAAATTTAATATCATATCTTTATTGAGGAGGAAATTATTTGAATAGCCTCGTTGGAACTTTTATCTTAAGACTCAAGTTGGAAAATGCCATTACTATGCTTTAAGAATTCAAATAATAAATTGCTATTTATCACTATTTGAGAAAAAATATAATTTCTATGGCTGAATCTGTATTCTGTTGTCCTAAGATGAAAATTATGCAATGATCATGTGAATAGTCCTTGTGACACTGACACCAAATGTTTGTGTCTAAATCCATGGCCCCTTATGATGAATGATCTGCTTATGCTAACTATTTACACAGGCAAGTTCTTCTGTTTTATCCTGCTGTACCTTATTGGAATTATGTTAAAGTGACTGCCACTTCAAATCCTTTTGGAAATAAGACTAGAAATTTTTTTAATGTATTAGAAATACTAGGTGATCAATGAGCTCAATCAAACAAAGTATCATATAAATGACATTCTCTAAAATAGAATAATGGCTTTGTGAAGTGGTCACACAAGAATATGTTATTATGCCCATTTAGAGAAAGACACACTATGCATCTTAGAATCAGTGGTGAACCTAGGAAATTCCTGGGGTTTGAGATAATATGACAGCATTTAATGGGTCTGACTGACATGCTTCCCTAAGTAGCAAGAAACCAAAAAGAACCAACTCCTTCTGCTCAAGCATAGGCTGATTCCCTGATTTGTGGACACTGAGAGACCTCCAGTCTCTCAGATCCTCTTGTCCAGCACACACAGATGGGGTTCTTTAATTTTCTCCACCAACGGTCTTAATGCAATATATCTTTAACAAAGAACACAGACAATGGTATGATCTTCTACAGTTCATTTTTCAAGACAATTACTATGCCTTTCAAATTCCAAAAGAAGCAAAGGCTCTGTGAAAATCCTCCAACTACTAATAAAACTCATTTCTTACCCTTTGTTCTTTACACAGGCATTTTTCAAGTGAACGTAGCTGGAAGGAAATATACCCTGGAAAAGAAAACATGAAGGTTACGATGCCGGCTGTTAAGGCAGGGTTGGTTTCACAAGTCATTTGTATAAAACACAGCCATACAACCATGACAACATCAGGAATAGGGAAAAGCAACATCTCTACCACATTCTCTTGGATGAAATCTACTGTGGCTTAAGATCCATCCTTTCATTTTCTACCATTAACTACTTTAAAAATTTAGAGACATTCTAAACAAATATGATCAAAAAAATTAAATCTTACTCAGAAAACATAATGTTTATTAAACAGAAAATAAGAAAATTTCAGGAATTCTATATAAAAACCATGTTATACTGAATAAGAGTTTACAAAATATGTATTGCATAGTTTTGAAAGGTTCTTCGTTTTGATGGTAGTTCCTTTTTTTCTCCCCAAAACATTCATATTTCTCTTGAAAATATACATACAAAAAATATCACTGCAAATTTAGAGATAATATGTGTATTCTGTGTTATGGAAGATTTTTGATGACAACTCAGCAACAGTTAATCACCATGCTGCCATTCTGATGGAACAGAAATCAAACAAAAGAAGCCATGTTAGCTTGAAGCTTTTTATTGTAGGAAATGACAAGGCAAGGAAATTGTTTCTTTGTTCTAAATGGGAAATTGAAAGAAACAACAACAAAAAAATGAGCATCAATTTGATTGTTCATTAAATGGCAATTATCCTCTGAAGAATTTCTAATGTATAATTAAATGACAAACTCAATTAAATATTTAAGAAAATAAATGTCATTTGAATATATATATCACCATTGTGGATCCAAGTATAAAATAAAATTTAATAGGCAAATTCTTTCCATTCAATAGTAGTAAATATATATATGTAGATTTTTAAAACGCACTTGTTTTCTTCAATATGGTAGGATCAACAAATAGAGTAATTCTAACTAATCAGGAAAAGTCAGACTTGAGGTTTATTAGAAGTGACAGAAATAACAGAGAAATCATACTAAGTTTCCTTCTCAAATATGGTCTAAATGAATTCATTAAATACTGAAGCTATATTTGCATGTGCCTCATAGATATATAAAAACAATGTTAAATGAGGAGTAAAGTATTTAAAAAATTAAATTTATATACTCTTTTGTCCCTTACCGTTCCCCTTTAGGATGACCTAAAATACATGAAGTAATTAAACACAGTTGAATGATCCAGAAAATGGCATATTTAAGGAAAAAGGCAAAAGTGTATTTTGAGAATGAAAATACAAATTTCTTATCTACAATCCCAAAGCTAGAATTAAACCAAAAAAAAAAATGACATATATGAAAATATTAGAGAATGTAGGAAATACAGGTGAAGACTGAGGAGATTAGAGTAAGATAGAAAAACACAGATATTAGTAAGGATTACTGTCAAAATTGCAAACTATACAAATAAAAGATAAAACAAAAATGACATTACTTCTTGCTCTAATTCCTGAGGATTTATAGAAATGTATCAAGGATAATGAATCTTAATTTCTGCCTGAAATGGTAAGAAAGATGGGTTTTTTAATAATATTGTTTTCCTGGCTTCAGCCCCCCAAATCCAAAGGGACTCTTAACATGCCGCTAAGTATACTTGTTTCTCCATACCGATATTTTACAAATGATACCATGGAAAACATAAAGATTAAATACTGCTATTTAATATTTCTTTTGGCATATGTATTTCCCCTGCCTGAATTTTAATTTAGCTCTCTGAGAAACTACCACTTCAAAAAGATTTTGTTTATATATAATGAGCTTATTAAGGTCTTCTCAGTACAATTTTCAAGAGCTAAATAGGATTATCATTTGAGTAGCATATCTTAACTATAATCCAAGTTCAAAGGAATTTCCAAAATTATAAAAATTTGCAATATCATTTGGCATTTCAACTGAGTCCCAACTGTAATTTCAATTGTATAAAGAAATAATTTAAATAACTATCTTTCTTAATAAATTTCATAATTATAGTTAGAAATAACAATTTTTACCTTGATATTTGGGTTTTTTAAGGCAAATCCTCTGTACCAGCCTGTGGAAAAATAATCATGGTCATATTTTGATAAACCATTGTAATATTTTAAAGATAATAACAAATCAATCTGTTCTTTGCCGATGGAATTTTACCATACATGAAAAGATTCTATGGATAAATATGGTAGGTATTGGCCTTAGGCTACAAAATAGCTCGAGTGACCAAACATAAGAATTCTATTAATAAAACCATTTTTAAAAAACTGTATCAAAAATTTTTATAAACAACAGAAAAATACATAATGTGAATAAAGGCTTTAAAATCAGAGCATTGGGCTTCAATTCTGGCTTTGCTTCTTATTGTCTGTTTAATCTTGGCCAGGTTACTTGACATCTCTGAGTACCACTTCTTCCCATTTTATGAAAGGCCACATTATGTCACAGGGAAAGTCAAGAATCTGCACAAGATTTCATACATTTCCAAATTCTACTTGCCTGACTACAAACGCCAGACTCTGCCACCAAATAATAGTACCTGGCCAACAGTCATGACGTGAATTGCACATCCTTAAGCCTACGGTCTTGGGTTAAGATCAGTCTCATATCATACAAAGAGTAAAGCCATCATTCACTGCCAGAATTAACTGGCACATTTTCATCAGCACAATGGCTGACCAAGAGCTCAGCGTAATTTTTATTCTGTAGAATGACTATTATAGTAGGCCCTTCTTATCTGCGGTTTCACTTTCCACGGTTTCAGTTACTCATGGTCAACCTGGGTGCAAAAATACTACATGGAAAATTCCAGAAATAATTCATAAGGTTTAAACTGCATGCCATTCTAAGTAGCATGATGAAATCCCGTGCCTGCCCGCTCAGTTCCACCCAGGACATGAATCATCCTTTTGTTCAGCATATCCACACTGTCAGTGCTACCCACCCATTAGTTATTTACTAGCCCTCTCGGTTACCAGATTGAGGATCACAGTTTTAAAGTCCTTGTGTTCAAGTCACCCTTATTTTACTTAATCATGGCTCCAAGGCACAAGAGTAGTGATGTTGGCAACTGGGAAGTGCCAAAGAGAAGCCATAAAGTGCTTTAAGTGAAAAGGTGAAAGTTCTTGAATTTAATAAGGAAAGAAAAAAAAATCATATGCTGAGGTTGCTAAAATCTAGGTAAAAATGAATCTTCTATTCATGAAACTGTGAACAGAATATTGTTATAATTATTCTATTTCATCATTAGTTCTTGTCAACTGTGGCTAGTTTATGAATTAAACTTTATCACATGTAAAGGAAAAAATGTAGGATGTATAAGGTTCAGTACCATCCAAGGTTGCAGGTATCCTGGGGGTCTTAGGTCGCATCCCTTGCCAATAAGCAGGCTCAAGGACTGCTGGATTTAAGCTCCCAGCAATTCTGAATCAATTTTGCAGCACTATCCTTACATGTCTTTTTATAGTTTAAAACAAATCAGGATATATATTGTATTTTTTCAAGTGTAAAGACCATTTTGCTCATTGGCAAAAAAATTATTATACTATGTAGTAAATATTATGCCTAATAGAATTTTTTCAATGATTAAATTTTAGGCAAAATTTTAATACAAAACAAATATTTGAGCTTTGTATTTAAACATTTTTCCTCCTCATAATACATTTTCTTAAAAGGATATATTGTAAAATATCGTCCCTAACAGTTTTAAAATCAGTCTGAGGAGAGCAGAATGAACTGAAAATCAGAATCTCTATATCTCAGGGTTTATCAGTTGCCATAAAGACAGATCCAAGAAATACATCCATTTGTAAATAATTATTCTAACAAAAAACAAAACTTCTTGAGAATTGCAAAAATGTCATAGAGAGGTCTCTGTCCAATTATACTATACAGAAAAAGTCTTAGATTACAAAACACCTCCTATTAGATATGCAGTCCAGTTTCATGCACCAATTCACAATAAATTTTATATTTATCTGTATACAAAGTAGTAACAGACAAAATATATCTGGCAATAACACAGGAAATCTTATTATATTTTTTAAGGTATCAATCACAGTGGACAGAATAAACATTCCGATATCACCAGCATCTAATGCTAGGGTCTAACTAAATGTCGTAGTTCTGTTTGGGGGAATACAGTTTCATCTATAATAAACCTTGATATGATAAAAATATCATCATAATATAAATTCCTAGTAAGGAAAACCTTAAAAGAGGAAAAACATGAGTATTTTCGGATATACTAACGGGGCTCTAAAATGTAGTCATTTTGTTAACAAGAAAAGCTGGGTGGCCGGGCATGGTGGCTCACACCTCTAATCGCAGCACTTTGGGAGGCCAAGGTGGGTGGATCACCTGAGGTCAGGAGTTCGAGGACAGCCTGGCCAACATGGTGAAATCCCATCTCTACTAAAAATACAAAAAATTAGCTGAGTGTGGTGGCATGTGCCTGTAATCCCAGCTATTCGGGAGGCTGAGGCAGGAGAATCACTTGAAACCAGGAGGCAGAGGTTGCAGTGAGCCAAGATCCCGCCACTGAACTCCAGCATGGGTGACAGAGCAAGACTCCATCTCAAAAAAAAAAAAAAAGGAAACAGAAAAAAAGAAAAAAAGAAAAAGGAAAGCTGGGTGCAGTGGCTTATGCCTGTAATCTGAGCACTCTGGAAGGTCAAGGTGGAAGGATCACTTGAGGCCAAGAGTTTGAGACGAGCATGGGCAATATGGTGAGACTCTGTCTCTACAAAAAATAAAAAATAAAAAAATCAGCCAAGCATAATGAAGTATCCCGGTGGTCCTAGCTACTTGGGAGACTGAGACAGGAGGATCCCTTGAGCCCAGGAGATCGAGGCTGCAGTGAGCCATGATCATGCCACTGCACTCCTACCTGGGTGACAAAGGAAGACCCTGTCTCAAAGAAAAACAAAAAACAAAACAAAGTAGTCATTTGATCAGAAATCTTTTTAAGGACTAGCATTTAAGGATGTTTCATGGAACAGGAATGGAAACATTTGAGAACCATTAGCTATCTTAAATGAGTTGCCTACTACATAAATTAATAATCATCATACAAAGTCAGACAATATATTCTACTAATATTATTCAAGTGCATTGAATAATTTTATTCCAAGTTTGAGGGGAAGAAACTATAGGCCTGGAGCAGAGTTGGCCTGGGCAGGAGCCCTCCAGAGGCATCTGGCTACTCAACCTCAGGTAAGCCATGTCTGCTCTGGGCCTCTGCTTCTTCCTGTCCTGTGGGATCTACTAGATCCTGAGGATTCTGAGAAAAACCTTCTAGTTTGGCACTGAGTCAAGAACTCCCACAGATATGGTAACTTCAACTGCTTTCTCTGTTTGCATCTAATGATTATAAGGAAATAATATTATAATCAGCTTAAAAATAGGAAATGATGCCTTTCCATTAGCCAAACACTGAAAATGCAGGAAACAATTTTGTCAAAAATGACTTGTGGTGACTACTGGAAAAGTTCCAGAGATTAATAGCGGTATGGACAGAATTTGTAGACTTTATGAACAGCCGTATGTTGAGGAGGTTGTTCATAAGGCTACTCACCATCACACTTCTCCAGGATCTGAACTGTATCTCCAATTTCCAATGACAGGCCATATGGAACGGTTCCTCGGAAACTGGCAATAACTGTAAAAAATGATAAAGAATATATGAAGACAATCATGTCCATTACAGCTTATTATTACATGTTATTGACTAGGAAAAATGAATATAAATAGGAAGTATAATTTGATAGCTGGAACCCTCTGTCATATTTTAATTTTATATCTTTCTAAGAAAATCACTAAGTTCACATACTTTGCCAACTTCTTAGATTATTATAAATATGCATTTCACATATATGAAATTTATTAAAATAATACACAATATATCAATGCTATCACTCAATAATAGATATAAACAAAGGTATTGCCTGAGAGCTCCTTAAAGGACTGTGACCCTTTTGTTTCACTGCTTTCTTCACTCCCTCATCCAAATGCCGGGCCCATAGTAGTTAATAAATATGTGTTCAATAATAAACGAGGAATATATTTCCTGCTTGTTATTAGGCTTGGTTTACCTTTCTGCTATATTGTTTGGAGCAGATTTCTTTTCCATAAACTGTAAGTTTCTCAAGAGAAGGGACTGCATCCATTTGCTTACCATTACGTGCCCAGAGCCTAGCATAGTATGTGGTGCATAAAAGCAGTCTTCTTCTGCAGTAATCAACGGAGACACTTTATTTAGTAATGACTGGGCCCTCCCGCAGGTCTAAACACACAGCCACCACAATTCCCACTTGCACAATACCACTTGGAATGGGGAGGGGGATCACAATTAATTATAGATTAATGGTTTAGATTAATTGGTTTCTGAAACATTTTGCAGGGCAGGACAGGACTAGGATGGTGTATCCATACGGAGAAAGTACGCACAGATTAGTCCTTTTCTGGCAACTCCAGGAATTATAGAGAGAATAAAGCTCAGTGATTCTTCCCTGAATAGTAAGTAAAGCTTGAGTCAGAAAGGAGGCAAATATGGAGAAATGAAGAAAATGCATTTCAACACACAAAAAGAAAGAAGACAGCTCCTATGAAATACTATGCACACTGAAATCAACTAACAATTCACATCAAAAGAAAATGATTCTTAAAAGGCCAAAATTTTAGGAGGGAAACTTATAATTTTGCTTCAGAGTGAGATTTAGATATAACTCCAATCCCCAAAATAAGTTATTGCTACTGTTGGGAATGTATATTTTAAAAACCTAAAGGAACACACCAATCTGTCAAAAATGAAAACATGCCAATAAGTAATGAGCTTTTAGAGAAGTCTCATGCCCTTTTATGATCTCAAAACAAAATTAACAGTAGAGGTCAAAACACAGGACAGAAAACACAAGCCAAAGTCCATGAGACAGAACAAACTAACTATATGGATAGAAACCAATTCAGAACATTTAGCCAAGCACTAATTTATGATATCATTTTCTAACTATAACCATGAATACCATTAGCCTCATAATGACGTGCAAGAAGCATTTTGCTGGCAAAACAATCAAGGGTCTATATATCTTGACAGATTACTTCATTTAACTTTCAGAGACCTCTTCTTACAAGGGATCAGCAACTGAACTGACAGTAGATTGACTGCAATTTAAAAGACTTCAAGCCAAACTTATACTCAGAATTGCCTTTCCAAACTCTGCACTACTGATGTTTCTCTTAGAAGTCTTGGTGCATGGACTTCCCAACACAGTTTTGTACACAGCTCCTACCACTCAGGAACACCCTTGTACACCCAGGGCTGCCTCCCGCACTTCTGGCTCTCCTCTCTTTTTCCTCATCACCTTCTTGAACACAGCAGTACTACTAATAGACTTCATTTCTTCACTTTCCTCAGCCCCTGCAATCCAGCCTTTGCTGTGTTTTGAAACTGCTTTACTAAGATCTCCAGTCCCCTCAATGTGGCCACACTCATTTTGCCTTCCAGGAATCTTCCCTTTCTTGAATCTTCTACTGCTTCTGTCACACTCGCCAGCCTTCTCCACACCTTCTTTCTTAGCCCTCCTCTTAAAGGTTGGTGTGATCCAAGTTTCATTCTCCAGACACTCAAGTGTAGGAAAATAGCATCAAGCCTGGCATTTTGACACATGGATTTGAACCCCAATCTCATCACTTATTACCTGTGTGACCTCGGTCAGGATATCAACCTCTCAGAATCTCCACATCCTCACTGTAAATCATCACTGGGTGAGTGAACAAGGGTGTGGCTGGGTGTAAATAATCACTGGGTGAGTGAATGAGGGTATGGTTTAAGGGTGTGGCCATCACCATTAAATGCTCTGGTCTTCAACAGTCGGGTTCTTTTATTATTGAGAATACTATTTTAAGAGTGTGCTTAAAAATCTAAGAACCAAAAACTGCATTACATGGGAAAACTCATTCTTTCATAGGAGTTGTTTAAAACTGGGATGACAGCTTGTCTGAGCCATAACCATGTATTATCTCATTTCTTATCCAAACGGTCTATGTGGGTGAATTCTGATTTGACTATTCAGCTACGTAATATGTAATAAACATTAAAGGTAAGCAAAGAAGTTCCCTAATCTCATTGGCCTTCAGATGGTTCCTCTATAAAACAAAGGAGCTAGACAAATGAACTGAAATTCCCCTGCCAGTCGCAAATTCTGAGTCTGCAAGAGGACTTTCAGCTCAGCAGTGACATGGCATAGTACTTACCAAAGAACTCTGCCTCCAAACCAGCCTTGTCTGTGTAATCACTGCCTGTGATCAAGTGGACACTTGTCTCCACCTGCAACAGCCATCTGATAATGCAGAAGAGACAGCCTGCTCTCAGCATCTCATGAGGCCCTTATCAACTGCTCTCCGACTTTTCTAGGCTCACACCCAACCCAACTCTCCACACACTGCCCTATGCTCAGCCACACACAAATTCTCATTAAGCTTTTTCTTGCAGACCTCAGTGCTTTTACATCTATTATTCTCTATTTAGGGGGTTGCCTTCTTCACTCCTACACTGGGAAATGCAAAGCAGCTTTAATTTAAGGCTTTGCTCCAAGGTTAGGACATTAGAAGATTTCCTGATGTTACTCCTTCCTTTTTGTCATCCGTGGGTCCATGTGGAATACAATTACTCCCTCATCTGTGTTCTCAGGACACTCCGACCACACCTCAAATATAGTAAGGCATCACATAATATTACAGCACTTCGTCTATCTGTGTCTTTCTACTTGGGAAGAGAAACTATTTCTCATTCATCTTTCAAGAGCCAGCATGAACATCTGAGTATAAGAATGGAGTACAAATACATGGAATGAATGAATGAATGAATGAATGAATGAAGCCACTGAGGAATGGTGTCTAGGTTTTAATGGATTCGGACAACCTCAGGGACTCTTCTCGTAACTAAAAGTATCTAAGGAATAAGTTTTAAACTGCGGATCATATTGGAGAGGAATATTTTTCAGGCTATAGTTCAAGGAATGACTTTGATCTTTATCTTCTAAAATGGCAAGTCACTCTCAATCACTGAGTTAGACAAGTAACTCCACCTTGCTGTGTACTAATGAATAGATGGATGGATACTATACTCAGGAAAAATGTTTAGGCTTCAGGTTATGAAAGAGAAAGGCAGTTCTAGGTAAAGAGCGAAGAATTTGAAAATATGGTTGGCTCATGTTTCTCAGTGGTAGCATATAATGTATCATAAACTAAGGAAAACCAGTTTAGCAAAGCAGATACCCATACACCACGTATGCATTAATGAAGCTTCAATATGCAATTCTGTCAAATGCACTTAAAGTATCTGTTATTTTCAAATTCTATTTGGAAACAACTTTTCAACTAAATCCCTTTAAATTTCTCCAAGTGTTTCTGCATGAAATACATCTATAATTGAAAATGCATTGTCACCAGTTATTATAAAGTAGCTATCTCTTTATACAAAAGTTTATTCATGTACACTTCCCAGGGGCATTTTCCCCCAAATAATATCACGGTTTACCAAAGATGCCTATACAGTGTTTTGATCCCTCCATTTCCTTTTCTTGTTTTTCTTATAAATTGAACAGTTTCTTATAAATTGATCCTTAGTAGCTACAGGAAACAATCACAGAAAATGAACCTTTGGTAAAGCTGGGAATATAAATATTCGGTTCTATTATTTTAGTCATACGGGCCCTGAGAGCACAATTTTAAACTGCGTATAAAAACTACTGCTGTGGTGATGTGTTCATCTCTGCCCATTTGCTACTATGGAAAAATTTACTTGGATTAATAAACCCAGTTTATATGTATATAAACCCAGTTTACAGGAAAGTCCTTAAAAAATATCTGTCAGCTGAAAACACTAAATTCATAGCATAACCATTTTGAAAAAGATGTCCTAACCAACTGCCTGTTATTACTAACAGTATCATTCCTTTATATAATGATATCAGTTTAGTACGTATTGACAGTTTATTAAGAATTAAATAGCCGTGAGAAACAGTCTCAAACACAACTCCTAATTTTCTATGAGGAAGATAAAAAGAAGGTAAATGATGCAGTGAAATGGGGACTCATTCCTTGGTTTCAATGATGCTATTTGCTCATGCCAAGAACCAATGGACATTTTAAAACTTTTAAACTGAATACAAAGAAACTCAATCACAACAGTCCATGACTTTTAAAATTTTAAATCAAAACAAAGTATTAAGAATTATTGGCCAGGCACACTGGCTTATGCCTGTAATCCCAGCACTTTGCGGGGCCGAGGCAGGCAGATCACTTGAGGTCAGGAGTTCGAGATCAGCCTTGCTAACATGGCGAAACCCCGTCTCTACTAAAAATACAAAAAGTAGCTGGGCGTGGTGGCGGGTGCCTGTAATCCCAGCTACTTGGGAGGCTGAGCAGGAGAATCGCTTGAACCCGGGAGGCGGAGGTTGCAGTGAGCTGAGATCGTGCCACTGCACTCCAGCCTGGGCAACAGAGTGAGGCTCCATCTCCAAAACAAACAAACAAACAAAGAATTATTATAAGTCAATCACATAGCTGTAAGCCACAGACAATAACATATTCTTCCTCATCATTGTCAAAATAATATTCAAAATGATTCTACTTGGCACAGGTCAATTCCAGCCCAGCACATGCTGCCCTTGCCCTTTACAGGCTGACCATCTAAGAGGAATGGAACATAATGCAGGAAAGAAATCATTAAAATGCTTTGTCTTTTGTGATACAAAGGAAGGAAAACTTCTCTCTTCAGGCCAGATTTTGGCTTCATCTTTCTGCTAAAAGGATCTCCAACTCATGAACAGGTTGTGGTTTAAAAGGTCACTTATGAGTCAACTGCTTACAACACAGAACACACAAAGCTACTCTTCTCAAGTTCTGAGGCTAGCCCACAGAATCCTATTTCATGGCAAAAGGAAACTGTTGTTTTTCACAGCAAAAATAAGCTGACTGCACCAGAATTAAATATAAAATTTTATATCAGTGCTTGTAAAATATTGAACACTGGTCTGAAAACATAGCAGTGTCCATCAGAAGGCAGTGATGGAGCAGGCATCGGTGTTGTAGACATTCTAAAGGAATTCTTAGACCTCTGAGGTCTTCAGACTGGTTCCTTCCTACATCCATGTTCATTTCACATTCGGCTCTGGCGTGTCATGGAAGTATCCATTAAGGTTTATCAACATTTATGAGGATTATTTGGGGGGATCACAAATGGAAAAGAGATAAAGGGGTAGAATTTCTGAAGAACCTCGATAAGATTTGGAAAAAACAGAGAAAAAGGAAAGGGATTAAGGAGAACTAAATTCTTTTTTTTAAAATTGTTTTCATTTCTTTGAGACAGCGTCTCACCGTCGCCCAGGCTGGAGTGCAGTGGCATGAACTCAGCTCACTGAAACCTCCACTTCCCAGGCTCAAGCCATCCTCCCACCTCAGCCTCCTCAGTAGCTCGGACTGAAAGCGTTCGCCACCACACCTGGCTAATGTTTGTATATTTTGTAGAGATGGGGTTTCGCCATATTGCTCAGGCTGGTCTCAAACTCCTGAGCTCAAGCAACTTGCTGGCCTTGGCCTCCCAAAGTGCTGGGATTACAGGTGTGAGCCACCATGCCTGGCCAAGGAGAACTAAATTTTTCTCAGGTACTTTAGTTCATGAAATGGAGAACTATGATGGAAAAGGAAAAGGGGTCACCTCTTCTACATATGTACAAAACCCCACTGTAGGGAAAGATAAAATATGGTGGAAAAAAACACATCAGTAGTCTATTTCAAGGTACTTCCCTGTTTTCTAGCTGTCTGGGACAGGGCTGGAGGAAAGACAGAAGTCATTTGGAGATTTCTTTTGGTACTGTCATTTTGAAAGTATAGCATAGAACTGTTTTTCTTCTTTATTCCCTTCAGTTTTTTCCCTCCAAAAGATGAAGTTAGGAGCAAGCTGGTTATTCCTTACCGCTGGGAACTCCCAGGTGGCTATGTGTGTCACAGTAGGACTACGTGGAGATGAAGTGGTATCTCCTGGATACTGCTCTATGGTTCAAATGAACTCACTGGGAAGAATAGAGAAATGCTGTGTTCCATCTTCTGATCCTCAGACCTGCCACATGTTTGGGATCTGCCTTCATCTGGTAATAGGCTGTGCCCACAGGCCTCACACACCTTGCAGGCTCACCTAAGAGGCACAAATATATGCACACTCAAAAGCAGGACTGCATTCTTATGCCAGTTATCACGGTCAGCCTTTGAGACATGTCACGCAACTCTCTTCTGGCCTATGTGACTTTGAAAAATCAGAAGCATATTGAATGAAAGGTACGTAATTGTTTCTGACGTATTAAAAGGTACCACCTGAAAATATATTGCTGCCTTTGACTGTTAAGAGGATAGCTCTCCCAGGGATTGCAGAATGTCATCCTCCTTGAACCACAAGGCCAAGGCAAAGCATGGTGGTAGGTACTGTGATGCCCCTCCCAGATCCTTCTTTGGAAATCAATGACTCTCCCTGTGGCTGGGAGTGCTGGGGTAGATAGTCCTCGAACCCTAGCACCCTTCTGGGATGGCTTCAGCTGAAGAGAGCTGCTTTGCTCAAGGCTGGGGCTGCTTCCCAGGGTGGCTTACATCCAGTGAAGGCTGGGCCTTGGCACTACAACTTGGTATAACTCTGCAGGGCCATTCCCACTTAACTGACCAAGATTGTCACTAGGCCTGCATCACAGATCAACTTCGCCCTCTGGCAAGTTCTGCTTCCTTCCTCGTCACTGCACTGGGGTGAATCCCGAGAGGACTTCCTGCTAAATACCCTGCAAGCCAATCTCCATCTCAGGGTCTGCTTCCTGAGGGGCTCAGCCTCTTACAAGCTTTCAAGCACTCCCCATTCAGAATTTACTTCTGGCCCAATTTGTTTAAAGTCCTCTTTCTAAGGGAGAAGAAAAAATAACATGATTGCATTACTATTTTATCTTAAGGATTTTGCTAAGTTTTTCATGTGTTAGTTCTAACCTTCTATGACACAGACATTTCAATACTCATTTTAGAGATAGAGAAACAGAAAAAAAAAGAGGCAAACAAGGAAGAGAATTAACAACATCAGGAGGGAATTTTTCCACATTCAGATTTGAAGACATTGTCACGGTGGCAATAAATGAACCCGTTTTATTCTCCAAAGGGTCATAAACAGGCTCTTCACCTTGGATTTCATGTCACAAATGCTAAGGTCCTTTCCTAAGTGGCTACAAGAAGAACTGAAGGTCAAAAAAAAAACAAAAAAAAAACCTTTAAGTTTAAGCTGATTATTGCATCCACCTATCCATACTTCTAAAAACAATGTAATATGATTAAAAGGTTAAGATTTTGGCAACAGCCAGTCAAAAGGAGCATCCTAGATGAGATGAGAGAAAGCCCAATTATTTCAAAAGCCTCCTAGCACTTAGGAAAGGGTAACAATGTGAATTAGATGGAGGCTTGGGATTTAGCTCCACCAATTATGAACCATGTGGTCCTTGGTCCTTTCATTTGCTAGCCCACGATGACACCCCCTGCCTGGCCTACCTCACAGGATGTCACAAGGATCAAACAAATATATGAGAATTTGATGTGTAAGTAAATATGAAATAATAGAATTTTTTCATCATAATTGTTAACTGGAAATTTGGAAGCTAGATCTGAATCTGCTATAGATTCAAAAGCCAAAATAAGCCTTCCATTTATAATAGTAAATAAAAAACCCTTTCTCTATTCTGTTATTACAGTTTCTTGGAAATCGTTATTAAGTTAAACTTAGACAGACGCAGGCTTAAGAACCTCAAGAGGAAAAAAAGCTGATAATACTGCTTTTTCTGATAAGGCAGCAAAAAAAAAAAAAATCTTTGGCAATGAGACTGATAAGGAAAGTAACGGGGTTAAGAGGGATTTTCCAAAAATGCTAAGGCAGAGTTAGGAAGGGAGGCAGATGCAACTTTTACCATTCATTCTGCACAACAGTATTATTTGTGCAAGGGACGATAGACAGCACGAGGCAGGAAAAAATTACAATACAGTCTTCATGTCCCAGTGGAGAATGAAGTTACAGAAGGCAACTGCTTTTCCCACAATCCAAATGAAAAACTGTTTTAATAAAATATCATTTTCCAACCAATTGTACTTAATCCACCACCAATATTTGGAAAAAATAAATGAAAAAAAACCTCCTTTTTCCAATGAGAGATGGTTAATATTCAAATAATATTATTTAAGATTAAGAACTAAGATTATTTAAGATACAGGATTAAGTTTGCTGACTTTTTGTTACTTTTAGTTTTTTTTTATAAGAGAAAAGAAATGTTATATCCCTCTGTTCCTTTTTTTTTCTGATTTCTCTCTTTGAATACTAAATACTCAAAGTCACAAAACATATAACACAGTAGAATTGAAGTGGGACATGCAAATATCACTGCCACCTCCACCTCGCAACCGGAGGGACTCAGCAGGCCAGCCCAGTATCATGAAAGTCACGAAAAAAAGTTAGCAAATATCACAAAAGTGAATTGGAAGACAGAGACCCAGCCTCCACACACACCACTTTAAAATGCCCAGCTTATTTTTGCAGCCTCTTCTATAACGTTCTCTCCAGCATAATATTCGGTCCTGTATCAGCTCCAATCACTCATCTTCCTCATACAACTAAGCATTTATTTTTCTGATTTTTTCTTCTTAGGTATTCTTTTTTCCAATGTGGATTTTGACTCCCATTCCCAGTGCTGACTTCTTAAGAGGTCTGCTAGATTATTACCTACAAATTGCCTTACAGTCAGAAGAAGTCAAAGTCTAAATTCTTACAATTACTCCCCCTTTTGCTCTGATGACTAAGCCAATTTCCAATTTTGAACAAATACCAATTTTTACCGGCTCTGGCCATTGACACCTAGTCAAAAACTATTTCT
Organism: Homo sapiens; assembly: GCF_000001405.40. NCBI lineage: Eukaryota > Metazoa > Chordata > Mammalia > Primates > Hominidae > Homo > Homo sapiens. The sequence continues at coordinate 112,013,415 of NC_000007.14, forward strand.
CAAGGAGATAGGGGAGCCAGTGAACAGTTCAACGGAGAAATAGAGGAACAAAGTCCAAAGTTCTTTCAAAATCTAGCTCCTGCATAGTTTTCCAATCTCACCCTTTACAACTCCCCACTCAACAGTCCCACTGAACCTCTCTTATCTATGCCTTTCCCATTGCTTTTCCCTCCACTTGACATGTGGGCCTCTTACTCCTGTCCCCTTAACAGGTCTTCTTCAAAACAACGCAAGCATCCTCCTCGGTCACACGTGTCCATGTGAAGAGACCAGCAAACAGGTTTTGTATGAGCAATAAAGCTTTTGCAAGTCACAGGGGTTACAACTGCTGAGCTTCGGCTCAGAGGCCTGACATCCTCAAGGAAGGCTTAGTCTGTACCCTAACTCCACTGCACCAATCCCCTTTAAGTCCCTCCATCCTCAAGGAAGGCTTAGCCTGTACCCTAACTCCACCACACCAATCCCATTTACGTCCCTCCAACACTGATTATACTCACTCACCACCTCTACTTCTGCGGCTCCTTTATGTTCCCAATACCCGGCACAATGCATGACACCTAGTGGGTACTCAACAAGTGTCAGTTAAATATATAATGGGATGAAATCACCAAGGTGTGCAGTTGACTTATTTATTAAATTAATATTTAATGGTTACTCTCCATGTGCCAGTATTGTGCTAGGCACTGGGAATACAATGGTGAAGATAACACTTTGCACTGGTGTTGAGTTATTAAGTCATGAGAAAGAAGTTTCCTACGTTTTCTGTTTGCTACAAAACACAGTTCAGAATGTGTAGATGGACAACTCTTCAGGTGCTTGGATTTTGTCACTTGGTCATTCAATTAGCACTTCTTTTATGCGCATTTAATCCATTTTATTAGTTTTTATCAAATTTATCAATTTCTACCATCGGTAGGAATTTTGTTACCTCAATAAGACTAAACACATCTTTAAGGAAGGGACTAGTATTCCAACCAGCAGAGCACCTAGAAATGAGGATCTCTTAATTGTTCAGCAAATACCACAAAAGCGAACTGGAAGATAGGGACCCAGCCCCAACACACACCATCTTAAAGTGCTGATGTACTCTCCTACCAAAAAGCATTCTCAAAACCATGACTCACATGTGCTGAGGTCTGCTTTCAGGCTAGTTCTCCTTCTACACCTCACAGAGTTCTACACCTCTGTGTTTTATATTGCCAGAGATTTTTAAATGTACACAGCAAACAGATACACTTATAGTTAGTTCTATTATTCTTATGTGGAAAAAAATTAAGCCCACTGCCTTTTTTTAACTTTTAATTTTGAATTAATTTCAGATTTATAAGAAAGTTACAAAAATAAGCCAGGCGTGGTGGTGTGTGCCTGTGGTCCTGGCTATTCAAGAGGTTGAGGTAGAAGGATTGCTTGAGCCCAGGTGTTCCAGGCTGCAGTGAGCTATGATCACACCACTGCACTCCGGCCTGAGAAACAGAGTGAGATCCTGTCTCGAAAGGAAGAAAGAGAAAAGGAAGAAAAGAAAGGAAGAAAGAAGAATTGTCAGAGGTATTCAAACCAGAGTGACTCCATATTGAACAGAGGCTGGGAAAAATAAGACTGAGACCTACTGGGTGGCATTCCCAGGAGGTTGGGCATTCTTAGTCATAGGATGAATTAGGATGTTGGCAGGGCTAAAATACAGGTCATTAGGACATTGCTGATAAAATAAGATGTGGTAAAGAACTGAAACCCACCAAAACCAAGATGGCAACGAAACTGACCTCTGGTGGTCCTCACTTCATTATACGCTAGTTATAATGCATTAGCATGCTAAAACACACTCCCACCAGCACCAGGACAATTTACACATGTTATGGCAACATCTGGAAGTTACCCTACATGGTCTAAAGGGGAAGAACCCTCAGTTCTGGGAATTGCCCATCCCTTTCCTTGGTAACTCCAAGAATAATCCACTCTTGGTTTAGCATATAATCAAGAAATAACCATAAAAATAGCCAGCTAGCAGCCCTCAGGGCTGCTCTGTCTATGGAGTAGCCATTCTTTTATCTCTACTTCTCCAATAAACTTGCTTTCACTTTGCTCGGTGGACTTGCCCTGAATTCTTTCTTGCTTGAGATCCAAGAACCCTCTCTTGGGGTCTGGATCAGGACCCCTTTCTGGTAACAGAAGGAAAGAAAAGAAGAAAGTAACACAAATAGTATAAAGATATATTCTTAAATAAGCTTCAGCAAATGTGAAGCTCTTAAATAAATATAGTACATTTACCAAAACCAGGAAGTTAATGTTGAAAAAATATACTGTCTTAGTCCATTTTGTGCTGCTGTAACAGAATATCACAGGCTGGGTAATTTATAAAGAAATTTAATTCTCACAGTTCTGGAAGCTAGCAAGTCCAAGATCAAGGTACTGGCATTGTGCTAAGAGCCTTTCTGCTTTGTCTTCACATGGTGGAAGGACGAAGAACATGAGTGTAAACTACCCAAACACAGCCTGAAGCCTCTTTGAATAGGGCCTTAATCCCATTAACAAGGGAGGAGTCCCCATGGTCCAATCATTTCTTAAGGTCCCACCTCTTAATACTGTCTTTTTGGCAACACCTGAGTTTTTAAAAGGATTACATTTCAACATAAGTTTTGGAGGGGACAAAAACATTTAAACCATAACTTATACTATTAACTATTCTCCAGTTCATATGCAAATTTCACCACTTGTCCAACTAATGTCATCTTTGTCCTGTCCAGGATTGCACATTTAGTTGTTACATTTTCTTAGTCTCTTCCCATATTGGACTGTTTCTCAGTATTTGTCTTTCATGACTTTGGCTACTTTTAAGGATATTGGCCATTTATTTTGCAGAGTATCTCTAAATTTTGGGTTGTTTCCTCACAATTAAATGTAGAATATGCATTTTTGGCATGAATATCACAGAAGTGATGGTGTGCCCTGCTTGGTGTATCTCATCAGGAGGTACATGATGGTGATAGGTTTTATTACTGGTGATATTAACTTTGATCACTTGGTTAAGTGTCCCAGGTTTCTCCACTGTACAGTTACTATTTTTGCCTTTGTAAGTAACAAGTATCTTAAGGGAAGATACTTTCAGACTATGCAAATATACTGTTTTTCATCATATCTCATAACATCCATTGATAATTTTTGCCTTGCAACCTTAGCCATTTCTAATCATGATGTTTGTCACAGGGTTATTCAGACACAGCTGGATTATTTCAATTGCAATCAAAACCTGTAATGGGTTCTTTTTGAAGTGGATACAATATACTTAGTTTAGTCTTGATTTCTTTAACATAAAGTACAAAATTAATACTACTACCATAGGCATCCTTGAAACGACTACTCAGTATATCAGGTGAAATTTCAAGTGTTTCAGAAAATGAAAAACATTTCATTTATTTCAGAAAATGGAAACAAATTAACGTTTTTGTCCAATTTTCATACACGGCATGATCTCTTTAGATATTACTTCCTTAACCAAATAATTTGTATATGGGTGTTTGGTTAAAAGATTGCTTTTGAGCGATTTCAGCCAACATTTTCAAGGAAAATTCGATGGGTCCTACGATTAACTGTAATCATCTTCAGGTTTGAATCAAACTCTCTAGCTTCACTGCAATTATCACTGACTTATAAAGGAATCTAGATAAAATTATATATATTTGTTTCATTTTCTGGCAGGAATCTAGACTTCCTAATTATTTTGTATAATAACACTTATTTTTAACTAAGGTCTTAGGACTTACTGATATTCACAGAAGCTATCACAAGTTATTAATTCTGTGGCATACTGTATGTATGGCTTAACTGATTTTAACTATTAAAATCTTACTTAAAATAAGACACTGGCTTCAAACTACAGTGAGCATCTTACAAAGGATTTACATTTTGGAAATGTTATAAAGTTGGCTAGTTGGAATCAGTAACTAAATTCTGAAGCTACCTCATAATAGCCTACTTAATCGATTAAACAACTGAAATAATAATTACACATGTAATGAAAACTGGGTGATGGGAGGGATTTATACATAGCAGAGGCAATATAGTATGGGAGAGGTAGAGAGGTCTTGGCAAATGTGGAGACACAATGAACATGAGCTGACTCTTCCTCAGTACTGTGTTTCTCCACCTGACCTAGAAAACCTTGATTCCTGAAAAGCCTCACCCTAACTTTGCCACAACCTGGCGATCCATCCATACTGTTCACAGCCCTCAGGAGAGACTGGATAATTATGAACACACCTTGCTTTCTTCCATCATTTCCCTTTTCCCCAAGGGAACATAGCTGCACTGAGAACACCAATCTCTCAACCACACCCTATCCCAACCCCTGTGGAAAATATAGTAGCTACCTCACCAATGGGAGTTGAGGGAATGAAGACTCATGTCTTCTGGGATCTGGGTCAAGCCCAGGTCAGCCATTCTTCAGACTTGCACAGTACTGGGACTAGAAAGGCCTTATAGGAACACTCACATCATTCTACATATGGTACTTGTAAACCTGGCATTCATGGTTCTTCCTAAAAGAGGCAGGTGGATCACGAGGTCAGGAGAGCGAGACCATCCTGGCTAACACGGTGAAACCCCGTCTCTACTAAAAAAAATACAAAAAATTAGCCGGGCATGGTGGCGGGCACCTGTAGTCCCAGCTACTCAGGAGGCTGAGGCAGGAGAATGGTGTGAACCCAGCCTGGGCAACACAGCAAGACTCCAGCTCAAAAAAAAAAAAAAAAAAAAAAAAAAAAAAAAAAAAACACAGGCAACCAGTATTCATGTGGCTTATGTTATCTAGGAAACTAATAAAACTCTGTTATTTCCACTGTATAAATTCTCTATGAAGCCTTTCTGCTTCCTCTCAATGACTATTTTTAAAATGAAAAGATATTAAGGAAAAAAATGCTGCTTGTTTATCATAGAGATTTTAATAACAAGTTAAGGCAAAATTCATGAAACTGTAATAGCCAAATCAGGATAAAAATGAACATTACCAACTCAGCACTTATCAATTATAAATGAACTTTTAAATTCCTCCTCAGGGTTTTTAGAGGGCACCAGGTTCCCCTGGGAATCATGCCCTCTCTTCTTCTGCTCTTCCAATTTTATAAGCTAATGAAATTAGCTTTCCATAACTTTCTTCTCACTGTAAATTTCAGAAACTATTGATTCCAGATGTTGTCTACAATAATTGAAATCTGGGTTGTCTTTGTTTGCCAAAAGCTACATTATTTAAAAGAAACTTGAAAAAAATACTCCCTACATCCCCCTCCCCCACCCCACCCATTTTTTCATGGAAATCAAAATCCCTATGCTTAGCTAGGGTTAAAATCTTTAGAAATATTTCTCCTTTCCCCTCTACTATGAAACTTGCCAAACAAATGAGATAAATTTTCCAAAATATCTTCAAAAACAAACAATAGGTCTGGTGTTAGGGCCAAAAGCAGTCACTGATTTCACAATAGGTTAATTAGGAACAATCCATCTATTGCAGTTCTTTGGTTCAAATGATAATTTTGCATTTGTTTTTATTTTTCTGACCATCAACAGAGGTGACTTGGTCTGTCCATGAACTAAATCTGACAATGTGCATGCCCTTGGTGCTCATATACAAAGTGGGTACCCATAACATTGCGATCCAGCTAATGCAAAGTGAAATAACAAGTGCCCAAAGATAATAAGATTCAAAAGAAAAATGTTAAACAATTCAAAGTATTTCATTTTTTGGAAGACAATTTAAAAAGTTCCAAAAATATATTCAACGTTCAAAAATTAAATTGAGGATGAGACATATTGTTCCTTAGGTGTGCAAGAATTTACAGATAATTCCCATTAACAAAAAGAAGAATCAAGAGCTCAAATGACTAAGCATGGCTAGAATAAGGTGTACCTGCATGAAAGTACATATAAGATATGACTTTTTCTCCTTTTATTAATGACTGTAATTAAAAACTATCTTATTTTATAGCCTCTGCTAACAGTCATTTGTTATTACTAACAAATAGTTATAACTATATTGACAATTTACTAATAGTTTCACTATTAATAATACGTGTTAATGTGAATATAGTTTTAATGAATTCTGGAAGTTAAAAAGCAATCTATATAAATGAATAATTCAGCTATTTCTCAATCTAAGTAAATGGATCAAAACACTGACCATAGGCCATCAAGACCCCAAAGTTATATGCTTAAAAATTCTGAGTTTATCAGCTTCTGGTAAAATGGAAACATAAATAAATAAATTTCCCTGCTGTCTTTCCTATCTTTACCTCTTATAGCTAAAGGAAATACAATTTAAAAATTAAGATACTTTTTGAGAATTTTTTAATCACTGAGTTTTAAGGTCTTTTTAGTATACTAAATGTTTGTTCAATCTTTAAACTTTTTAATAAATCCAGAATAGCAGATTTGCCTACTAGGGGATGAAGTCTTTAAAAAAAATTCTGCATTTTGCTGTGAGTTCTTCCTAAAAACACAGGCAACCAGGAAAGTCAATTTGTTTGTTTGCTTACCTAGGAGTTAAGCCTAGAACTAAGTCATACTATGGCAGAAAATCCCAATTTACAATTGGAGCTGCAGAGTTAAAAATACCCAGCATTATACAGAAAAACTTTCCTACATTGTGTTTGAAGCTGTGTGACAGATATATACAAGTACTGAGTGTTTCTCAATCACCACCTGCTCCGCACCCACCTGAGTTCTGACACAATAAGCAAACAGGACAGGGTAACCAAGATCTCCTCAAAACAGATGAGTTAAGAGCTAATATTTTCCTTTCTTTGCCACAAGACTGAACCTTTTTTATCCTCATACATGTGTAGAAATAATAGATCACCCTGTCAGTTTTCCAAAATCTAGTTGGGTCCTGCTAGAAGTAACTCATATAAAGCTACTCACTGTGCATCAATCCTGAACCCCCCAGGTAAAAAAGTTCACCTTCACACTATTCCCCAGCTGTGGCAGGTCCTTTTGCTTGTTAAAGCATAAAACAAAACTAAACAAAACAAGTATCAGTCTGAACACTTAATGCCCTTCATGCAGTCTGTAGCTTATCCCGACTGGTCTCGTGAAAAACCAATATTTTAGAATTTACATTTGTTTTGGAGAAAGGGGAAATGTCAATCATGTGTTGTAGTCTCCGACTTAAACGATCATACCTTCAGAAACTCAAACCTGAGAGCACCGTAAGACCATGTGGCACAGAAGATAGGCCAAAACTGACTTGGCTTTCTATGCCAAAGAGTCACTGGTACCCTAAAAGTAAAAAAAAAAAAAAAAAAAAAAATTAAGGAAATTTAATAAGTGAACTAAAGCTGGGCTTTTCAGGGAGCAAGAATATAATGAAAAGGTGTGGTCACTGCCAATCACAATGGCCTGGCTTTAGATGTTTCTTTCATGTTATGTCACCATCAGAACTCTGGTAAAACATGATCTAATCCTAACACATGATCTAATCCAAATTTCATTTGGGATTTCTCAGCATAACTCCTTAAATTTTCTCTATACTTATCCAACTATTTGTACTTCGTTTTCCTGCCCATTTCTCCCCAGAGTTCTGAAGGGTCAACAACAACAGCTGGAACGAAGGTGGAGGCCAAGTGAGGATGGGAGATGGCCCATTATCATGTCCAGCCATGCTGGGGGACGAACACTAGAGGGTACACAGAGGACAAAAGCTGACGCCCAAAGCCATTATGATTTTTCTCTTCTAAACTATTTTGCTCCAGAAATCAGCCTTTTATATTTAAGAATAAAAAAGAATCAATAAAATGCTACCAATGAATATGAGGAGCTTTAGCACACTTCGGCAAATCTGTTTTGGTAGTTCAGAAACTTACTTGTTGGTTCTTAGCTATGTTTTATATAGATGAGGTAAATACCAGAGATATGAAATGTTTCATCTATATAGGAGACTAGGTATCTGTTCTCAAAGGGCCTACACCTAGGTGAAGAAAAGGGGTAGATACAACTGAAAGTAAATAGAAAACAATACCTATTTATCCTTTGACTAGCTCAGAAAAGAAGTGCTACTTGAATTTCATCCATAGCTCTACACATAAAGTGGAATAAAAATTCCTGAGGCCACTTACAGTGCAGGAGGAAGTCTAACGCCTTCCCATGGGCAAGTCAGATGGGTCCGCTCCATGAATCTGGCCACCAGCCGAAGCACAGTATTTCATCCAAAAAGGATCCCATCATTTCCATGAATTCTCCCATGTCTCCTCTGAAGCTAATTTTCCCCATCTTTCAACAGCTTCCTTCAAGTTTATGTATTTTAATTTATTTATTGCAAGGGGAGTTCTAGTCTAATATTTCCTCAGAGGGTTCCCAAACCATTCACAGCTGTCAAACACAACTATACACAAAAAGGATCAAGGCCCTGTCTACGGGTTCTTCCAGAGTTTCTTCGCCCTGCGCTTCCCTAGTTTACATGAGCCAGCTGATCTCCACCACTAACAGACTACAGAGTAGGCCCAGTACAAACCCCAGAAAGCTCAGTATCATGTGAAGGGCATACTAAATGCTATGTTGAAAAAATATGCATATGATTATTTATGCTTCCGATTAATGTCAAAATTGTAAACTGCAAAAGACCACTAACCATGAGCAGGGACATTAACTTGGTACTATATTCTATGTCATGACAGTGTGAAAAACACCTAGAACAGAAAGGTTTACCTTTTCCCCTTCACATGCAATCTCCTCTGTCTCTATTCAGTTCCCCCTAGGAAATGCTGTGGTATGTGTTTAGCGCGGTATAATCACTCACTCAATGTTTACTAAACATCTACCGCAGACTGGATACCACTCTATGTACTGAGCCAGAAGTATCCACAAATATAGTACAAGTACTCCTCACAGCAACTCTCTGCAGTAGGTATTCTTATCTGTATTTTATAGATGAGGAAAGCTGGGGCCAGACAAGAGAAGCAATTTGCCAAAGGTCACAAAGCTCGGTGGTGGTACAGGAGAGGGTTCCGCCCCTGACCAGCTGATGGCTGTCCCAGCTGTAATTACTGCTCCTTGAGAGGGAAGCAGGCACAGAGTAGCGGTGAGGAGCATGGCTCAGGCTTCTGCATAGGTGGGTTCAAATCCCATTCCTGCTACTTATTAACGACGTGAGCCCAGCCAGCTATTAACCGTGCTGTGCTTCAGTTTCCTCAGACTGTAAAATTTGGGTAATAACAGTATTTGCCTCACAGGGTTCTGTGGGAATGGAATGAGTCCCATGGAGAACATGGATGGTGTTCAGCACAGTGATGAGCACACCTGGGCAGCAAAGGCATGTGAGCTGTCAATGTTGACCATTTCTTTGACTACTCCTATAATCACCTGGCAAGTAGTTAGCATCAGTAAATGTTTCCCTGATGAAATGCTTATTTTCTTAATATCCAAACTCTGGTTCCCGGGCTGCAATTTCCTGCTAAGGAAGTGAAAGGCCTGTAAATTGCCCCCAGAATTCAAGTACCACTTCAATCAAAGAGGAGCCTTTTCTTCTTTTTTTGTTTTTGAGATGGAGTCTCACTCTGTTGCCCATGCTGGAGTGCAGTGGCGTGGTCTCGGCTCACTGCAACTTCCACCTCCAAGGTTCAAGCGGTTTTTCAGCGATTCTCCTGCCTTTGCCTCCCGAGTAGCTGGGATTACAGGTGCCCGCCACCACGCCCAGCTAATTTTTGTATTTTTAGTAGACAATGGCGTTTCACCATGCTGGCCAGGCTGGTCTTGAACTCCTGACCCACATGATTTGCCCACCTTGGCCTCCTAAAGTGCTGGGATTACAAGTGTGAGGCACCGTGTCCAGCTGAGAAGCCTTTTCTACGTATCCTTCATGAATGATTTCCAGAGTTGCTCTACAAAGCTGAGGGAAGCATGTGTAGGGAGAAGCATTGAAGCTGTGAGATGTACCTGAGTTTGGTGCTGAGTTAATGCAGAGAGCTTTGGCAAAAGCCTCTGTTTCCCCCTTAAGATTTGGTGTTTACTCCTATTCAAGTTGTAAAGAGCATCCAAGGCAGCCAGACAGGGTGACAGAGCACAGTTACACTTCCCATTATAAAAACACATCCTTTGCTTCTCACGGAGCAAAAGCTCAGGAAGAAAGCACAACATTAGATGACATCATGCCTTCCGGATCAGAGACCAGAGATTTTAGGTTATTAGCCTTTCTACTATTTTTTAAATCAGTAATATTGAAGGGCTTTTGTTTGTTTTTAAAAACTCTGTCCTTGGAATCCAACCACTAGAATACTAATGAAAGAGAAATAGGCAGACAGGCATTTTGTGCTCCATCCCTGAAAGGGGGTGCATACCTTGTGCAGCATTATTTCTGCAACTTGAAAATCCATAAAGAAAATCCTCAACTTATCAATTAATTGTATGTCTTTAAGAAATTAACAAAAATTACTCTCAAAAACAGACTTACTCTTTAATCTATATTCTAGCTCTTTTCATGTCATTAAAAAAATAAAATAAAACTTTGATATTTCACATTACTGCCAGCCAGCAGACTAAGTGACGCAGTACAGAAACATGTCTCTTTTCCTTATCAGTCATAAATGCTGTTCAATGCGTGTCCTTCCTAAACTGCTTTGTTCACGGCTTTCCGTGGCAAGAAAATGTTTATCATGTATACGTGAATTCTGTTTTTCATCTCGACTTGTTTTTCAAGAAAGACTATTTATATATGTATCTTTGAGGAGATACAAGGATGCAATGCTTTCAATTTTCACATAAAATGACTTCATAAAAATAATCAATGTGCCTTAAAAATGTAATGATTATACTGGATAATTCAAGCATCACACGGGGCCTGTCTCAGCCTCCTGGCTTTAAATATCATCTAAACGCTGAGACTCCCAAATTGATATTTCTAGTTGGAGCTTTTCCCTTGAACACCAGATTAGTATACTTAGTATATTCAACTTCTTATTTAATACCTCTATGAAACCGAACTCCTGAACTCTCTTTCCCACCCTACTCAACCCACAATCCAAAATCTGCTCTACTGTTAGCCTTCCATCCCAGTAAATGGCCAATGCATTCCCGGCTGCTCAGGCCAAAAGTCCTTTACCTCCTTTCTTGCCTCCTTTCTCTTACATCCTCTACCCAACCCATCAACAAATACTGTCCTCTACTTGTAAAGTATATATCTGGCTATTTCTTGCCCCTTGCACCAAAGCCAACCTAGTCAAATTACCATCATGGGTAGCCTGGATAATTAACAGCCTTCTAAAGCTCTTCCTGCTTCAGAAACCTTGACCTCAGTCAATTCTCCACTGACAGCCAGAGTGGTTCTTCTAAAACTTAAGGTAGATCAAGTCATACCTCTGCTCAAAATAACACTATTTCTTTCTTTATTGTATACTGACAGACATTCGTTATTTTTAAATTTGGGGCTCTAATGAACAATGCTACCAAGGCCTGTTCTTGGTTGTGCATAATGTATAATTAGCAAAGTGATACAAATCTTTCTGAACTAAATGTCTTACCTTTTATATTCTAAGCTACAGAACTTCACAGGAAAGGACAACTTCTTTCTCATTATTTCATGCTACTAAATACACTCACAAAATAACCAAATTCCCAAGTTAAGAAAGTTAGTTTGCATAACACAGCTGGGTCATTGAGAAAGCACTAATCAACAGAAATGTTGAAGACCAACCTAAAGTATTTAGTGACATTGATGATAGTACAGATGTCTTCCAAATGCTGACATAAGCCAAATCCTCAATATTCACTCAGCATCTACCATACGCCGGCACCATGCTGGGTGCTAGGGATTCAGTGATGAATAATAATAATAATAAAAAGCTGCCTTTTCTACCTCATTCTCATTGAGTTCTCTAAGCTCTCACTGAGCTTCCAATTAGGCTCTATGCAAGGGAAATCACCACAAGCTCCAAGATTCCCTGGATGAGGACAAGGAATACAACAGACCCAGCTTCCGATTTATACCGTGGGTTGGAGTAGCTACTCACTGTGCATCTGAGCTATTTTAGCAGTGAGACCTATGAGACTTCTTGCCCTTCTGGTCTTAGTTTAAAGTGCTGACTGGCCAAGGAGAGGATAGCCAACTCTATCAGTGTGATAAGTTCCTTTTTCAGCCACCCTAATGATAGCTCCTGCCTCTCAGCCCCTCTGATTCCTCCTCCATTCAGGTGCCGGTATGACCTATCCAAACGAAGTCAATCATATCCCTCTCACATAAAACCCTTCAATGGATCCTCAAGACCAATGAAATAAAGTGCTAACCCTCTGTGGCCTGGCCCACTGCCTGCCTCACTTGGGGTCTCTTCTCTCACTATCTTTTATTTTCTTTATCAGCAACACCAGATCCTTGTAGTTCCTATCACTCACAATGCTGCTTCCTAACTCCAGGTTGCTCATGTGTTTCCTTCTGCTGAGAACAGCCCCATTCACTGTTTGATCATTTTAGACTCAACTGAGAGAGTGTCCCCTCCACCATAAAGCCTTCCCTGGCTACTCCTACACAAGCATACAGCCAACTCCCCCAACCCTGGGGCTTCACCTTGGAACTCCCATGATACCCAATGCAAGCCCCTCTCATTGCACTTGCCTCTCTATCTGCACAAGCAACAGACTCTTCCACTAAACTTTGAGTTCCCACAACTCTTAACACTAGTATATTATCAAACACATAGGAGGAGCTTAATAAAGGCCTCATTACCACTTGCACACCTGTGCCCTACAACAGGGGTCCCCAGCCCCCAGGCCATGGACCAGTACCATTCCTTGGCCTGTTAGGAACCCAACCGCACAGCAGAAGGTGAGTGGCAAGCGGGTCAGCATTACTGCCTGAGCTCCGCCTCCTGTCAGATTAGCAGCGGCATTGGATTCATAGGAGCGTGAACCCTACTATGAACTGCACATGTGAGGGATCTAGGTTGCACGCTCCTTATGAGAATTGAATGCCCTAATGGCTGATGATCTGAGGTGGAACAGTTCATCCTGAAACATCCCCCCCACTCACCCTTGTCTGTGGAAAAATTGTCTTCCATGAACTGGTCCCCGGTGCCAAAAATGTTGGGGACCGCTGCCCTAAAAGAGGGCCAACAAATAACAGCCTACCAGCTACATCCAGTCTGCCACCTATTTTTGTAAGGCCTGTGGGCCAAGAAAGGCTTTTATATTTGTAAATTCTTCCACAAAATTTTAAAAGAGTAATATTTTGTGACATGTAAAAATTATATAAAATTCAAATTTCAGTGTCCACAAAGTTTTATGGAAAGATAACTACATTCATGCATTGACCTACTGTTTATGCCTGCTTTTGCACTATAATGACAGAGTCCTGTGGTCGGAACAGAGATTATATGGCCCCCAAAGCCTATGATATATACTATCGAACCATTTACAGAAAGAGTTTTCCACTCCTGCTCTCCAACTTCCATTCCCTTGCCTATTACTCTCCCGGTCATCTCACTTCAAGGGCACTTTGAACTTCCACTGGAAATGCAACAAAAGTTCAAATTAAAGAGAGTGGAAATGACTGAAAGTGACTCGAGGTGGGAGGTCGATCTTCAGCTGTAAACAGAAAATGTTGCTCGGCTGGGCCAGGTAAGGACATAATGAGCTTGGATGAACTCATTTGCTACTCAATGGTACTTTATCATTTGGGACAACTATTAAAAAGGATAAATAATAACATAATTCAACCTCACAAATACATTGGAGAAATCTGAGACTCTTACAGAATTCTAAAGTCCCAAGCCTCTAGGACCAGAAAAAGGAACTGTGTGTAGAGACAGGCTACCTTTCTTTACTCCTTTTTTTGTTTTGTTTTGTTTCCTTGTTTGTTTTTGAGAGAGAGTCTCGCTTTGTTGCCCAGGGTGGAGTGCAGTGGTGCAATCTCGGCTCACTGCAACCTCCGCCTCCCGGGTTCAAGAGATTCTCCCGCCTCAGCCTCCCAAGCAGCTGGGATTACAGGTGTGCACCACCACACCCGGTTAATTTTTGTATTTTTAGTAGAGACAGGGTTTCACCATGTTGGCCAGGCTGGTCTTGAACTCCTGACCTCAGGTGATCCACCTGCCTCGGCCTCCCAAAGTGCTGGGATTACAGGCATGAACCACCATGCCCAGTCCTTTACTTATGTTTTTAGTTAATTTCAATTAACTAAATAAAAAATCGTCTGCACCAAACTAATAGGCAAATGATACATATCAGCTCATTTGGCTTTTGTTATTTTGGTCAAAGCAGATTTAATGAACTTAATTAAGTGGAAGACTCACGTGCTAAGAAACTGGGCTGCATCAAAGAGCTTTGATTGTATGGAGCCATCAAGGCACAGGCTCAGAAAATAGAAAAAAGAAAGGGACTGGGTTTATTTTTCAAATGTTTATTTGACATCCTTCTCCAAACACAATTTCCTTCAACATCATTTCTTAAGCACTGATTTGAGTACCAAGAAAAGAAGCTGAGACAAGGTGAGTAAATCACAGTCTTTTTTCCGAACTCACAGTCTAGTGAAGGAGAGAGCCATGAAACCAAAGAGTTACCATTCCATTTGAGAAAGACAGAACTAAAGGTGAGTACAGGGCAGTACATAGAAGAGGATTACCGATACATCTGGGAGAGAGACAATAAAGCCTCCATGACAAAGATAGCCCTGAACTTGAGTTTTAAATGACGAAAAGGATAGCAAGAGAGAAAGGAAAGGAACAGCAAGCCATCTAGGGAGCAACTGGTAGCTAAGTATCACTAGAGCATGAAGTACAGGTCCCAGAGGGATGAGAAGGCAATGGGAAGTGGTAAATCGACTTTTTAAAAAGATTAACCTGAAGAAGGCTCCAACAAAGGAATATGTTAATATGTTCAAAATCCAAGCCCTCTGAGGGCTGAGAATCTAATCGGTAAAAGCAAAGATAAGAAATGGTTTCTTATATCTTCCTTACATATTACTCTGAGAATACATATTCTTATTCCTAAAGGGAAAGTATTTTGTTGGCAGAATGGAGATCAGACCTTGCATCAAAAGGACCTATCAATGCTTGTTTGAAAACAGCTACTCCACTATTGCAAACACAGAACTACATCATCTCACTAGCATAATCTCAGCACTAAAGGTTTATCAGCCCAATGAAATGGCTGAATTGTAATTGTCGAATAATAACTTAAAACAATCTTTCTAGTCTCTTTAAGAATTAGCAAGTAGGTGAAACTTTAACTCCAAAGGAAAGCTTTCTCAACAACTTGGATCAAGCAAAATGGAAACTCAGAGATGAATGAACACTTCTGATCATCATCTACACAGCAAGACAGCAGTGCTCTGCTCTCTGACACAGTCAGCTGCACTGAAAACTGAGCACAGGTTGCTGATGTCTCAGTCTTGCTACAAAAAGTCTCTAATTGCCTCACTGGGTTCCCTTTGTCCATTTCTCTCTCAGCGTTAGACAACAAGCATTTCACACCGAATCATCCTACTGCTCAAACCTGCTCACATGGTCCTGATTATTTTTTAGACCGCTAATTATTTAAACATAATAATTAATGCTGTGGCTAGAACTTTCCTATTGTCTACCTCAAATATAAATCAGATACCCAGTAGTGCTTATCTTGCAATGTTATTTTGCAAGTAAGGTACAATTTTGAGTTTTTCTTCTTCTGTTTCTCAGCATCTGACCCCTTCCAGCTGCGCCTGAAAAATCCATCACTTAGTTGGTGGCACCCAGCTCTGAAATGTGCCTGCTCATTCCTTGGTTCTGTGCTCCATCACTGGCGTCCACTGGATCCAACACATCCTGATAAGTTAATCATTGTGAATGTGCAAGTACAGAAAGGCTGGATGGCCACTCCCAGAAAACAAAATCTCAATTAAACCTTCCGTGTGAAGAATGCACATCCACTCTTCACACCCCAGCATATCTGAGTCTCCTGGCAACCCTAGAGAAGAAAGAATGTTTTTAACCTCTCAAATTATGCAGCATAGAATTGCTTCTTTCAGGCAGGTTCTGGATATGAAACTGTTGTATAAAAATGAAAATCCTAAACAGCCTCAAAGGGAGGAAAATAAAATGGGGGAAAAATAATTCATAAAATGTTACCATTCATTTGCAGTACGAGACCAGCAATTGGTGTTTGCAACATCTTTTGCAAAGTCAAACTGAGGTTGGATGAGAACTGTTAGTAACCCTTGAACCTCCATGCTAATTTAAAGGATAGAACTTGTCACTCTGGTTGAATAATCTAAAATGTCAGCCAGCAGTCACTCTTGAACTTACATGGAAATTCATTAGTTCCAACAGACAGCAGTGTTAATGGAGACGGTAATTGCACTCACTGGGTGGTTTGTTTGCATGTGTCCACAGAAGGAGATACTAATTCGAACCAATCTAAGCCCACTTAATTCTTAGAAGTATAAACTACTGATGCATCACAGAAAGAAATTATTTGTGCAAAATATGGCTAAAATGAAACAGTATCATGATTCATTGTTTTTCTGAATATTCATGACAATTAAATAGCTATAATATCTCAAAAAAGATCTGAATATCTAAATCATTCCAAATGTAACTTTCTGATTCAAAATGACTTGAATTTGCTTTCTTAATAGAAGCAAAGCAGCTCCATAGGAGAACCATTACATCTGCATGAAAACTTCATGGTATCAAGAACCCTGCTACTGGCATGTCACATCTCCAATTCAAATGCTGGCTTCAGATTCCTACTGAACAATATAGAGGATCAGGATCTTCATTTTGCAGAATGCAGAAAAGATGACCTTTTAAGCCTAAACTAGCATTTGGGAGTGTAACAGCAAGCATACAGGAATCTGTTTTCTAAGGAGAACACACCTCAAGACTGAGAAAAGGGCTGGGATGAGCATTCATGTTGGATTTGAACAGCAAATGCTCAAATCTGAGACATACATTCAACTGTACAAACAAAATTCCTGCTCAAAGTCAACTATGAATAACCCACTTGGCTGTGTTAGTGCCGCCTCAATTAATGCAGCTAAATAATGGATTAACATCCTTCAAGTATTTCTAAACCACAATGAAACTACAAAAATCATGAAACAGGAGCAAGGTGGCTGTAGTGAACACACATTGTTGGTGCAGCTTGCCTTTCATCTTTTCTAATAATTATATTTATTTCCTGTAGTTTGAGGGTTACAGGCCCCACACATTCTACACCCTCTCATTTGGGCAATGAGAAAAGTCTTAACAGACTCTTCCTTCAAACTTTAACCAGAGTTGGTGAGAAAGATCTTTCATCTTTTGGGACTTTGAGCTCTGAGACAGACGAAAGCCTAGAGCCACATGGACAAAGCTTGCTAGAAGAAGTCTTCACAGAGGGATGGAGAGAGCTCTGATGATACAATGAACTCGTGGACCCAACAGGTGCTGCAGCAATAGGCTAAGTCAGCTCCTCAGATTTCTCAGTTCATGAACTTTTTAAAAGCAAGTTTGAATTTTGGGCGATTGTCATTTGTAAAAGCACTGGCCACAATCTATGGCAAATACTCAGGAAGAGGTGCAATGTAGGACAAGGATGATGCCTTTTAAGGCAGAAGTCACTGGTCCATGTTCTCTCGTGATTTGCAGTGTAACATAGTGAAGCTATGCCTATCTGTCCTCTTCATGTAGTACTGCCAACCAGAACAGGGCAGAGGGAAAAACAGCAGGAAGATTATACAAATAGAGGAGCATCATACTACCACTATCTATTAACAACTAGATCAAAGAATCAGACACTAGCAATCACAAAAAAGCAAGAAAGGATGACACTGGATCCAAGGATGTGGAAAGAGGGGTTGGTTCAGACACCTAGCAAATAAGGATGGCCTTCAGCCCAGTGCATTGCCTACCCAACTGAGACATCCTTCACATAGTCGTTCCACTCCCTGTCTTGTCTGCTGGGTTTCAGTGGAGTTGAGCATCACTCCTCACCTGGTGAAAGTGAGACACCAAAGGCTTTTGTTGTTGTTTCTTTAGGAAACCTTAATTCCACTTTCTTATCTTCACAGTTTTCTTTTCCTTTTTTCCTTCCTCCCCTCCCTCCCTCTTCTCTGTCCTTCCTCATATAAGCTTTATAGTGTTAAAGACTGATCACATCTTCCTACAAACTTCTCAGAAAGAAAACCAGGCCCAATTCTTATAACCTTCCATTGTGTGCACTGATTCCTAACCTTTAATCAAGTTCCAGCCTCTTCCCTCACTCCCCACCACTCTTTCTTTTCTCTCTCCTGAGCTGCAATTCATCAACTGGCTTTTTTGAAAGAGAATTTGCTATGTGTATTTCATCACTTCAAGCCTCTTCAAATTAATCTTATTGCCACGGGAAGAGTGCTTGCTTTACTCCAGAACATTCTTAAAACTATTAAATGAACCGCTGAAACATACAGGTTTATAAGAGAGATGCTGACAAACCAGAATTACAGTGAGGTGAACATGTCAAAAAAGTGTCTCCTGATGAAATACTGAAAGATACATGCACGGTACCTTACAAAGTCCAACAAACAATTCAAACGGTATTGCTTCCTGGAAATCAAAACAAAAAGCATGTCTACCAAAAAAGAAGGCAGTGGGTTTGCAAGATAAGACTGGTCATTATCTCCATAGGAACAAAGCTGGAAAATACAAGTACAAGCGCTGAATCCACTGCTGTCTGTGGAACAAAATTCCCTAGAATTTTTAATCTTGTTGTAAGACCCTTAAGTAGGTCATAGCAAGCTTAGAAAATTTTGATAGCAAAAAAAATGTGATGGGTGACAATGTGTACATCATCTTGGAGGAAAAGTATTTTGTTATTCTGACCCAACCTCAACTGCGTTAACATTATGAAATATTTAGGAAGAGAATAAACAAAAATATCTAGTCAAACACAGAAACTAAAAAAGTTCTGTGCCATCTTCAACTAAAATGTTTGATAACTAATTAAGTATAAGGTGCTGCTTATTTTAAATTGGCAATCCGAAGTGCATGGCTATCAACTACAAATTAAGAAGTTATTTATACAAATAAATGGATTAGATTTTTAGGAAAACCTTTCACATATCACTATAATGATGTTTCACATAAATGCTCTCCTTGGCTTCCATTTCTGAGGTTGCTTGCTTTATTTTTAAAAAGGGCCTTTTTGTATTTTGGTATTTGTTGTAAGGAACCAATGAAGGATCTGTCTTATTGTGAATTCCTCCCTACACAACAATGTGTTGCAGTTAGATTCCTATGCATGATGTGAACACCATATAGAACAGCAAGAAATTGCTGAAAAGTAGGCCAGATTTTATTTCCAGCCATATCATTGTGATTTTATGTTGTTTATCTTTATTGGCTCATTTTCCCCAAAGCCCCACACTTGCCTTAAAAAGGTGGAGGGATAGGAAAGAGGTGAAAATAAATGTACTACCTTTTATTCTAGCTTGGAATTAGCATTTAAGCATCCACTGAATAATTTTCTCTAATATATTTTACTTTCCATGAAAAAAAAAGACATCCTAATCTCTGAGGAAAGAAAAAAGTATCTTTTTACAACATTCCTAAAGGGGAAAAGAGGCATTAAAGTGCTAATTAATTTAGCTAACAAATGTAAATAAAATAAAGCTCATTGTAATAACTTCTGACTTCAATCACTAAATATGTCTGTTTATTTTAGCAATAATCTGAGTAAGCAAACAATCTAGTAAGAGACACAGTATATTTTAAAATTTCCAATTTTTATACTGCACATATTTCTGAAAAGCTCAATATAAAGCAAATAATTCCAAGTGAAATACAATATGCAGACAGATACATCATAATCTAAAAATAGGCCAAGCTTCTTCATTGTTCTAGAGTAGAAAAAAAATGGGCTAACAAAAACAAATACAAAAATAATCATTTTTATGGCCCATTACCTACTGCTTGAGGCTTAAAGAAGAGAAAGGTGAAAAAGCACAAAACTTCAAATTTATGTGGATTTTTGAATACTCCCAACCCCACCACAAAAAGCAAAATAAAACCAAGCAAAAATCCCTCTTCAGGGAGAGTAGCAGTAAATGCCTTTTATTCTAACAGCACATGCTACATCCTGCTAATGAATTCAGCAGTACTTTTCAAGGTGTACCCTAAATTACTTTCTGAATTTTATTTGCAATAATTTCTCACTTTCATTCAAAACTCAAACCTTACCCTCTTTTAGGCTGTATCACTGTTTTCCTGACCTTTTCAGTTAGGACTGTACTTACCTTTCTTGACTTCATGGGTTATGACTGCTTGACCAGCTTTCATGGTCACAAAATTATTAAAACAGTTCCGCTAAGGAAATGGATGGAGAGAGCCAGCACTAGTTTTCCAACATTCACACTCATTGCCCCAAATAACACAGTCCTTGGAAATCTGAGCCACTACATTCCTGTTGAAGAATCATAATCTTCTTTATTCTTGAAAAAATAAGTCTTAAGAGAACTAGTAAGCTCAACATAAAAACCACATCATCATTAATGTTTCCGTGTGAAATATAGTGCTCAATCTGAAGCAATACCTAGAAATAAGAGTTCTCAAATGATAGCATATAAACTTACAAATCCTGCAAGAAAGGAGCACATTTTCAATTCATGGGCTAATCCATTGTGCTTTTGATTGCGTTTTGGCTCTCAGCTCTCTCAAACCTAATATTTTCACTTGCATACTCATATGGGAAATACAGAGAGAGCTGTTCATGTGTGCATTTTGAGGGCAGGATGGAAGGAGAAAGAGATGATATACAAGGCTAAATCATCTGACTGACTGAGATAACCACAGTTTTACAATGAACCAGGTAACCATAGTGGAATCAAACACGATTCCTGAATCTCCTTCTTCAAATGGCTAATAAAAAATTTTTAAATATCTTTTTAAAGGAACTAAGCAAGAAAATGACACTATACGCTATTTTTTGAAAAGTGGCAGGTGGAGGAAAGGAATAAAACTCTAGCATGGCTCTGAATCTGGCCCGTGTCCTCTGCCCCACACATGGTAATGAGGAAAAAGGATCAGCTGACTAAACCCTGAACATCCTCACTTAAATTCTCTAAACTGGAGAAGTTGAATTGGAATTGAAAGTTATAAAGAAAGAAACAACCCTTGAGACTAGACTCTTGTATGTACGAAGGCACCCTGACCACATTCCAAGATACTAAGCAGAGTTGGAGTCAAGTTGAACCACGCATGGCTGCATGGAGTGGGCAGGGGCCTAGGGTATTCAAAAAATTTTGGCCAGATGCGGTGGCTCACGCCTGTAATCCCACACTTTGGAAGGCCAAGGCGGGTGGATTGCTTGAGGCCAGGAGTTTGAGACCAGCCTGGGCATCATGGTGAAACCCCATCCCTACTAAAAACACAAAAATTAGTGTTTGGTGTGGTGGCGTGCACCTGTAATCCCGGCTACTCAGGAGGCTGAGGCAGGAGAACTGCTTGAACCCGGGAGGCGGAGGTTGCAGTGGGCCAAGATCCTGCCATTGCACTCCAGCCTGGGAGACAGAAAAAATGACTCAGTCTCAAAACAAACAAACAAACAAAAAAAACAACTTAAAGGAGAAAGATGGGGTAACCAGCCATCTTTTTATGCTCTGAACTGAGGAAGTTTCTCATGATGTGGGACTTTGCATGCTTCATCTAGGAAAGTCCTGGACACACGGAGATGGTCAACCCAGACCCAGGACCCCTAACTGTACTCCATTCCAGCTGAGTTCTCCCTACCCTCACACCCTTGGATTAAAAGCACTGCATTGAAGCTAACAGCCAGCCCTTAAATAGTAGGTGGGGATTTGGAAGACAAATTAGTCCCAGATAAAGTAGAAATAAGATCAAGTGAACTCACTTCTGCGTGGTCAGAGCACACAGATGATGTGGAGAGTGGCCTCCACTATGTATGAGTGAGATGAAATGAGGACAATTATAAAAATATACTACAAAAAGAAAAAAAATCTAGCATGCAAAGACATATGTAAACTAAGACTGTAAGAAATATAACCCCAGAAACATAAGAAGACTTTCGGTGAATGTGTCACATTCTATAAAAACTTCATAAAACTATGAATTCTATAAAACAAGGACCAAAGACTAGAAGATAGAACAAAAGACCAAAAGGGAAGACTGTAGAAATCAGGAAATGCATGGAAAACAGAACAATAGTATTATGCAGTTAATAAACAAATTAGAAATAGCAAGGGGCAGAGGAAGTGAAAATCTAATTAATGGCATGGAGTAGAGAGAGAATCACACTGAGTGCAGCAGGAAAGACAAAGAAATTAAAGGAAGGAGAGAGAATGTAATACATGAAGAATTCAGATAAACAAACATAAAGATGATTGTTGTTCTGCACACAGAAGTGTTCATATTAAAAAACAAAACAAAACCAGTCACTACAGAAAATTACAACACTCATTTAAAAAAAGCTCTCCAGAATAAAGGAAGAAGTCAATGTGCAGACCAAAAGGGCATTCCTACACCAGCAAAAATTTAAACATAATTTTTAAAAAATCGAGCTATAACTTGAATAAGTTTTTGAACAAAAGAAAGAAAAAATTGTTCTTTGATCTGGGATCTTAAAAGAATAAAAAAACTTCAAGTATCAAATATAAAAAGGAAGTTATCTACTAGAGGGAGAAAGACAAGAAAAATAGGCTGACCACAGATATCTTCACAATAATATTCAGTGTCAGAAGACCCATGTCTTTAAAAAAGGAAACAGGTATGACCCAAGAATATTAAATCCAGCTAATCTGCAATTCAAGCATAAAAACAAAAGGCAGGCATCTGTAAACATGTAAAAACTCAGGAAATAGCACATCCATGAGTCTTTCCTTAGAATAAACAAACCAAAAAAAAAGGACTTGACGATGAAAATTTGGATAAACAAGAAATGAATAAAAATAAATAATCAGACATGGAAAAACTGTGGCGAAAGGATTAATGGTGAGCACAGAATCCATTTAAATATAGAACTAAGACTAAACAACTGGGGCATTATGATTGCAGATCAGAGAATGAATGTTGTGAAACCTGAAAAAAAGAAAAAATAACACAAGCAACATAAAGGGAGGTGGGAGAAAGCACAAGTGTGTTAATCTCTGGTTTCATAACAGGGAGACAATATGTAATAACTAAAATGTCTAAATTTCATTTGCTTTTATATTTTTATGTTGAGATATATATAACAAAGGGTACGGATCTTAGGGTGCACAGTGTGATGGGTTCTGACAAATATATATACAGACAATTCCCAACTTACAGTGGTCTTAGAGGATTTCTTTTTTTTTTTTTTTTTTTCCGGAGACGGAGTCTCGCTCCATCGCCCAGGCTGGAGTGCAGTGGCATGATCTCTACCCACTGCAACCTCCACCACCCGGGTTCAAACGATTCTCCTGCCTCAGCCTCCCAAGTCACTGGAATTACAGGCGCCCACCACCACACCCAGCTAATTTTTGTATTTTTAGTAAAGAAGGGGTTTCACTATGTTGGCCAAGCTGGTCTCATACTCCTGACCTCAGGTGATCCACCCGCCTTTGCCTCCCATAGTGCTGGGATTACAAGCGTGAGCCACCGTGCCCTGCCTGACAGGATTTAACTTTACATGATGTGAAAGCAATACACACTGACAGTAGAAACCACACTTCAAATTTTGAATTTTGAACTTTTCCCAAGCTAGTGATATATGGTATAATGTTCTCCTGTGATGCTGGGCAGTGGAGGCAAGCCATTCTGTTTTTCACTTTCAGCACAGTATTCAATAAATTACATGAGATATTCAACACTTTATTACAAAATAGGCTTTGTGTTAGATGATTTTGTCCAGCTGTAGGTCAATGTAAGTTTTCTGAGCACGTTTAAGGCAGGCTAGGCTAAGATAAGATGTTCAGTAAGTTAGGTGTATTAAATACATTTTCAACTTAAGATATTTTTACTGTACGATGGGTTTGTCAGCCTGTAACTCCATTGTCAGTCGAGAAGCATCTGCAAACTGTAGCTGTTTAACCAATGCCCCAACTAGGATATAGAATGTTACCATCATCCCAGAAACTTCCTTTTTGCACCTTTCCAGGTAATCTTCCTCCCATTCATCTCATAGGCAACCACTGTTCTGATTTCTATGACCACAGAAAAGTTTTGGCTGTTCTTGATCATTATATAAACGGACTCATACAAGAGATACTCTATTATGCCTGCCTTCTTTTGCTCAATATAATGTGAAATATATCCATGTCATTGTGTATATTAATAGTCCTTTTAAAATTTATTATTCCATTACATGACTATACAGTTTCTTTATATAATTTCTAAGTATTTATGATTAGGAACAAATCTGAACACTCTTGCACTTTTTTGTGGACATAGGTTTTCATTTCTTTTGAATAAATACCAGCAGAATTACAAGATCATTAGATAGGGGTAAATTTAATTTTATAGGAGATATTCTTTCATAGGGTCTATATCATTTTACATTTCCACCAGGACTGTATGAAAGTTCCAGTTGCTCCATATCCTCATATAAACCTTATAGTTTTAGTAGTTTTAATTTCAGCCATTCTAATGGTTATAATAACATTATGGCTCCAACCTCCTAATTTTTTATGATAAAATTAATCAGAAGTCAAAAGGTTATCCAGTTTCATTTTATTAAATGTAAAGGTTTAAACTTTAAAATAGCATGGACAGCATGTTAGCATTGTTATAAAATTATTCATGCCTGTCTACCTATCCATTCATTCATCCTTCTATCCGTATATTTGAAGAGGCTGATATTTCCCAGATCATAACATTTTATATCTGTCAAGTAAGATTTGGAGGTGCTTTGTAACTGTCTTCTTTTTATTTTTCGATGTTACTTGGATTTTATAAAATGAGTACATCTCATTTTTTAAAAATATGTAAAGCCATTATTTGTTGTTTGGGGGACTGGGAAGCCATAAAGCCACATAAATGTGCACAGAGGAAAAAATATGGAGTTGAGGTCAAAGTGCTTTTGAAGAATTAATTAGCAGGCATATCAATAGGTCATCTCTATTTTGGAGACTTTTGAGTCCTCAAAATCTTTTTAGGGAGGAGCAATGAAAGCAGCTGAGTGGTGACAAATACTAATGTCACCCTGCTACATAATTGGATCAGGGCTGAAGATCAATATGCCAAGTGAGGTCAAGAACAGCCTGGAGGTGACAGTACTGTCACTCTTGTGCCACCACTGGCTGTGGAGCTTCAACTGCACCCAGGACAGGCTACCCACTCAGTGTCATTAAGTGTGTGTCTTGACAACCAACACCAGCGGGTCACATTTCTCCTCCAAGTGACCAAAGTAACAAAAAAAGTAAAATGCTAGGAGAAGAAGCTAGATAATTCTCAAAGAAGTCAAACTCTGTTTGGTTCTAAGGAAAGAACATAACCTTTGGAGCCAGCTAGAGCTGATTTAAATCCTTGTTCTTCAGTCACCAACTGTAATGTTTTGTGACTACAAGCTATTCCAACTCGACAGGAACTCTTTTAAAAAGGCAACATATTAGACCAATGTCGCTATCTTCTAGGCCTAGGAAATGGTGCATACCAGCAAATTTATCCATGGCAGTGTTCATGTTCATTTTATGCTGCTCCTTTGCTTCTGAAGAGGTAGTCTAGTTTTTTCACAGTACAAAGTGAATAACAGGAAAGGGACTTAGATGGAGGAGGCAGAACAGAGAAGCCAAGAGTGTTAACATTCTCTTACCATGATATATTATATTGTTTCCGGCTCAGTGAATCTCCAAGATCCCCCAGAATCATCATCCATATTTCAACACACACTTCAGATGCATTCCACTCTTAAGTATAAGTGATGTCGGAATTGTCTCCAACTTTTACATTATTATTTCAATGAAAATATGTTTACTGATTACCTACAGTGGAAGGAACCCTGCCACAATTCCTGCTGATAACATTGAATTACCAAGCACTTACTGTGATATGTAGAAAACTGAAGGTTTTAAAGAGGATTTCATATGGGGGGGGGGGCTTAAAGATGCAGAAATCTAGTTATAAACTGTCATTCTTCCACTTTTTCCCTTAAGTAATTGCCTACTTGAAGTCTTCTGTTTTTTTGTTGTTGCTGTTGTTGTTGTTTTTATACATTATACTTATCCTTAAACTAACCTCGGAATGATGAATGTAGGAAAGCCTTATCTTTCTGAAGGATTTTCTGACTCTCAAATTGCTGACCACTTGCCCCCCGAGCCAGCTTTACCTAGGTATATGGGCTAGAGTAGAGTCGCAGACATCTCCTGTTTGGACAGAACTATGTTTAAAAACAATTATAACTACTGCCAACATTTAAGAATTAGGAGTTTTTCTCAAAAAAAAAATTTAATTTCAGCTTTTCCTAAAAAATCAGAGAACCTAGTTACTCCACGTCTTTATTTCCCATGTTAATAACTGAGTTTGAGTTAAATAATAACACCTGATCCCTTTACCTGGAGAACACAGTCTCAAATTATTCCTATAACTTTCACCTAGACCTCTATACTCGTGCTTGGCCTCAGTTAGCATTTAAGTTTTCAGACCCTACCATACAACACATTTATTCTATTGTAATTGCCTTATTCATACTGCTATTTTTACTAATAAAATGTAAGTGGTTTGGGGCCCAGACTTATAACTTACCTTGCATGTAACCCACTACCTGGGAAAATAGACTCTCTCTATATGTATACTGACCCAATTTTAAGTGAGGTCAAAATGCTTTAGAGAAAGCTTAATGAAACTGATATTAAACAACAAAAAGCAATTGAATGGAAATTCTTCAACAAGATTCTCAAGCAGTAGAGATTACATTTCTAGTTTCTGTACTATGAAATCTTAGCTTCTAACTCATCAGAATTCTAAAGAGAAACACCTTCTTATTTAAGTGATACAGGGGAAATTCTACCACATGTAGACACTGTACTTTGGTTTCAAAATGTACAATAATAATGGCTTAATTAAATAAATCATTCTGCCCCAAACAGAAGAAATACTAGACAGCATTAACAAGGATGTTGTAGGAGAAAATTTAACTGCATGAAAAACTGATCAAGAAGTATCATTTGCCAAGGCACAGTGAACCACTATAGACATTTCAATAGATAGTTGTGGAGGCACAGTGAACCAGAACAGACATTTCAATAAATAACACAGATGCTGAGGTATGGTGAACCAACACACACAGCTCAAAAAATAGGTAGATGATGAGCCACGGTAAACCAACACACACATTTCAGTAAGTACAGAAGATGCCGAGGCACAGTGAACCCACAAATACATTTCAATAAATAGATACATTATTAGGCACAGTGACCCAATACACATTTCAATAAATAGGTAGATGCTAAGGCAGAGTGAACCAAAAAAAAAGTATCATTAAATGAAAGGAGCAGATTCTAAAATAGTTCATGCAGTATTACTCCATTAAAAAAAGTGTATGTAATTACATTGTGCATTAAATTTGTGCATATGTATATGTTTATGAACATGCATTTAAAATGTCAAAATACATGCAATGTCTGAAAAGACTTTAAAAAGTCTAAGTATATGCAGTGTCTAAAGTAGTTATCTCTGGATGACGGATTTAGAGGTAATTTTTTTTTTACGTTTTTGACAAATGATCAAATATAATTTTTTGGTAAGACAATGATAACATATACCAGCTCAGGCTCAGATGCAGCTCTGAGTTGAGATGTCTGATGAACTATTTTTCTTGGGTTTAACAGGGAAATACTGTTGAACACTACTAATAAAAATCCTTCTGGAGTCTCCAATACCCATCTATTGTGACAGGAAGGTCACAGAATGCCCAATTATTATAATTCTTTTCAGAAGAGGTGAGACCCTGAGGTGTAGCTGTCAGAGTAGATAAGAATATGCAATTATGAAGTTAAAAATGTATTTCCTCTGACCTGAAGGAATACGGGAGAGAAGAAAATGGGGTCATGGTATATTTCCATATTAGCCAACGTTTTAATCAAATCACAACCTTTAACAGATTTTTAAGCATAACAATATGCTGTAATTCAATGTATATGAATACACAACAAATTTCAGATGAAGGTTGGTGGGGTCTTTGACAAACTCACCATTCCATGGATAAAAAACAATTTCAAAAATGCTGGAAGTTAATTATGCCAAATCATATAATTACTGTGTAACAATAAACCTGGGCATAAAATCCACATCTTCAGATTCCAAACCCAATACCATTTCTACTCTACCCATCTGTTTCTTGTTCCATTTCACCATGGGGGTAACACAGGATTGAAAAAGACTTTTTAGTAAGTGGTTCCTGTTCTGTTATTAACTTACATTTTGGAAAAGATACTTCCCACTTATGAGTTTCCTTTTCTCATCAATAAAATGAAGGACCAAACATACATTATTTCCATGACCCCATCCCCCCACAACCCTAAAATTCTGTGATTCTATGGCAAAGAGAAGATATTTGCTTGGACCCAGCCTGCCCCTTTTGCATCAGATAGCGTACTTCTGGACAGTCAAGCTGTACCCCACTGGAATGAGAGTGTCAGCCTATGGGCGTATAGGGGAATACAGCTGCCAATGTGAAGATGCTCCAGTTGATAGGCAAGCAAGGTGGCACACGCGTGTAGTCCTAGCTACTCAGGAGGCTGAGGCAAGAGGACTGCTGGAGGCAAGGAGTTCAAGGCTACAGTGTACTACTACCACTCTTGTGAACAGCCACTGCGCTCCAGCCTGGGCAACACAGCAAATCATTTCTTAAATAAAAAAAAAAGAAAAAAGATTATCCAGTCCTTTGATGGAACGAAAATAATAGTCATCTGCAAGGCGACAGAGTTATAATATCTGAGGATGCTTATTCCTCATTTAGTGAACCCTATTCTACTTACTAGAACAGACATCATTGTAGTCCAGAGGAATCAGTGACCAGGAGACGAAGACATTGTGCTCCAAGCTCATGTCTTATCTGCCTAAGGATAGGAAGATCATCTTGAAAGTGTGAACGAGGATATTCTGAGTGTCTTGCAGACATTGAGGAAGGATCAAGAACCTACCAAACAATATTGAACAAAATTCACATCCAAGACAGCAAAGGTTAATAAAAGTCTGAGGAGAGGCTAGAAGACTAACACATGCTGAGTAGAAGTTCCATGAATGCCACCACGAATGACAAAAAAACAGAGCAAATAAGTCGGGAAAAAAATGGTATTTAGTTGATATGCATAATCGATACAAAATTAAATCTTTGCTGTCCAACTGCTTACCATCTGCATGACCAATCATCTTGGGATAACTTGCTTCTGTTAACACACTTGATTTACTTCAAGGTTGACACTTAGCATGTCGGGCAGTGCTATGGTTTGAATATGGTTTGTCTCCTCTGAAACTCATGTTGAAATGTGATTGCCATCATGGCACGGTTGGGAGGTGGTGGGGCCTTCAAGGGGTAATTTGATCATGAAGAGTTATTTATGTCTTTCTCATGAGAGTGTGTTAATCTCATGGGAGTAAGTTAGTTACCATGAAAGCGGGTTGTTACAAAGCAAGCTCAGCCTCTCGTGCTTGTTTCTTTTGCACCGCCCCGCCCGCAAGTTCTCCCACCATGTGGTGTTTTCCATCATGTTATAACGCAGCATGAGGCCCTCACCTGATGTGGCCACTCCATCTTGGACTTCCCAGCCTCCAGAATTGCAAGCTAAATAAACTTCTTTCTTTTATAAATTATCCAGTCTCAGGTATTCTGTTATAGCAACAGACAATGAACTAAGACAGGCAGAGAAAGGAAAATAATCACACACTAACCAGTGAAATAAAGAGAGACTTTCACACTTCTTCACTGACACTGTTACTAAATCTCCTTTATAAAAAAAAAAAACTTAATCAATAATCTCATTATTCTCTCTAGAAAATTAACCAATGTTACTCATAAATTATAATATTCAATTCATCTAGAACCTGCCACAAATCAACTGTTATCCACAAAGAATGGGGTGTTAAAAACAGGAGCTTACTTGTTTTGATTAGTACACAATGATGAATTAATAACATAAACACACAACAATGAGATGTTACAGTGTAGATAACCAAGACATTGCCTAAAATGTTAAAGGCAAGATTAAATCTCTATTAAAAAGACATCCATAAAGCTATTAATGGAGAGAATGAAGTGTCACAGAATCATGAATGTTAATGAAAAAGGCAGATAAGCCATTCTCACAGAAAGCAATCAATTAAAAGAACACACTGTTCCAATAGAGCAGAGCATGCTACCAACCAATTACAAGCACCAGTAGATGCGAATGTCAGGGAATGAACAGGCAACCCTGGATAGAGGGGATTTGAGAATATTTGACCTCAATATGACTTCTCCATAGTATCTAAATACCCCCTAGATAAGCTAATTCTGGGTCCCAAGAAGTTGTAATGAAAGCTCATGGCTTCCACTCTGAAATAAGAATCTTAAAGAGGAAGCAATTGGAAGACTTTATTATTTTGCATCTGAGGTAGGAAAACTAAGTTTAAAGAAAAGACTTTCTGAAGATTTCCCAATGAGTGACTTAGAATAATAATTATTAATAACAATAATAAATCATAGCTGCAGCTTCTCTTGGATAGCACTTAACATAGTGACTTAAATGCTTTACTTATGTCCTGTCAATTAAGTTCCCAAGTACTCTGTGAGGTACATACTATTATTATCAATTGCAGTTTGCAGATAAGGAAACTGAAGCACAGAGAAGCTATATAATTTAACCAAGGTCATACAGTAGGTATGTGGGAGAATGAGGAATAAACCTAGGAAGTTTGTTCCAGAGTCTGTGCTCTTAAACCCTGCCTTATACCATTGCTTACTATCCTGGCTTTTGTACTAGTAAGGTTCCCCCCATTTCTGAACTATATCAGCATGAATAAAACACTGCGTGCTGGACTGGAAATAGTAGAAGACAAGGAATCAAATGACACGAATTCTGCCAAAAACCTGTGTCCTTGGGCACCTCATTCTACTTTTCTGAGCTTTAGGTTCTCCATTTCCATAAAAATGATCTGTATTGGATGATCTTAGATATTTTTATCTAGCACTCATCAAGGTATGTAAGTTTTTCTACTTAAATTATGTCTTAGTAAATTTTTATCTTTAGCCCAAAATTCATCTCTTACTCTAAACTCATAAATCCAAGTGTCTACTTGACATCTCCATTGGTGTCTAACATGTCCTTCAAACATAGCAGGTCTAAAATCAAGTTCTTCCTTCCTCTACCTACCTTTGGGTATTAACCTACCCAAATCCCCTGATCCCACCACGTTCTTACTCACCTCGTGAAATACAACTCTCTTGCACTAGTTGTTCAGGCCCCAAACCTTTTTTTTTCTCATCATACCTTACATCCAATCGTTGAGCAAACTCACTGGATAGGTTCTTTAACATAAATCCTGAGTTGAACCATCTCACACCACCACAACTACAATTATCCTGGCCCAAGCTCTCACCATCTCTCATTTTGTCTATTGCTACAGTTTCTAACTCTTCCCAGCCCTCAGACCATGAGCCTCTTCCCTTGCTTCATGGGGCAATGCCTAGAAGGATCCTCCTAACCCCAAAACCCTTCATGTCTCTCCTCTACTCAGATTCTCACTCAGAATGAAAACTCACATCCTTTTCACAGCTAATAAAGCCCCAGGTGATCTGGTTCCTCAGTCCAGCTACAGCTTCTCCTCACCTCTGCCTTGCTGAGCTCACCTCCTGCCATTTTCCCCTTCCTCATTCTACTGGCTATTCTGGACCCTTTCTGGCTCTTCAGTCACAGCAGGCACACTCATCCTTTCTTATTTTTATATCTGCCTCTGTTTAGAACACTTTCCCCCAGATATTTGAGTGACTTATCCTCTCAATTTCTTTAAGGTCTTGGCTCAAATGTCACCTTACAACAAGAGTTTGACCACTGTAAAAAGGCAACACCCTTCCACTGACAAGCTCCATTTTCTTACTCTAATTTATCTTCCTAGCATTTCTCCACTCTCCCACTCCCTCCACATCATCATTTTTCTCCTCATTAAAATGTTAGCTCTATGAGACTAGGGAATTATTCACTGCTATAAACCCACAGCCTGTATTAATATCTGGCACATAGCAGATTCTCAGTAAATATTTGTAAAACACATGAACAACTCAGCAAATAATTTATCACAATGTGTTATAATGATTATTTGTCACTAAATGCTCCTTGGCTGAGAACAAAGATCAAGTCTTTTCACCATACATGCTTGAAACTTAGCACTTGCCTGAAAGATAGTAATTGCCCAATAATATCTGAGGATATTCTTAAAATAACAAGTTAGGAATGAATAAATTCAAATGTCATGGCTCTAAGTCTGATGTGTGATAGGCTGGTGAGAGCACACCATTTTGTTCAAGAGAGAAACAGTTGACTAACAGTCATCAAAAGCAAAGCCATAGCAAATACTACCATTTAAAAAATGAGGGAATATAGGTCAAATGCCGTTTGCCAAACCCTCCAAAAAAGTTTGTTAAATCCACGCCTCATAACGTGAAGTTAAGAAAATGACAGTACATTTTTAATGGAGTGGAAAGAATGCAAGTTCCCTTTAGCTATAATGTATAAGTTTATACAGTCATGGCATATGGAACTGCTGCTTAGAGAAATCATTGTTCAATACCCTATCCCTTAAATAACAACTGTACAGAAAAGCTTGTCAACTCAAAACATCCTTATCATTTGTGTTTGTTTCTTTATTGGATATACTTGGCATTTACTGGATTCTGTGAACTTTTACTGGCAGGGAAAAAAAGCAATCCTAGCCCATTCTACCTTATAATCTACACAATATAACATAAAAGGTAATAATCAACCAAATTTATACAAGTATACCCACCATCTATACAACTTTGGAATTCTCAAAAGAAAGCATTCTTCATTTGTTCTGCCTTGAATCATTTAAGAAAATTCAGACAATTGAAAAAATAGATTTAGGACAACTGTATTCTTATGATAAAAGATACAGGTCAGTAATAAAAAAGTAAAAACCAAGATAAAAAGAAATACTTTCCTAAAAATGCTGCCAAATTGGAGAAGAAAAGAAAACCCTTCAATGGACATGTCTACCTAATACTTCTGCTTCCAACCAAGATGGAACAAAAGAAACTGGATTTAACCCACTGCCTGAAACAACAAAAAAGCTACTTGGGAGGCTGAGGTGGGAGGATCACTTGAGCCATGATCTCATTACTGCACTCCAGCCTGGGTGACAGAGTGAGACCCTGTCTCAAAACAATGACAACAAACTGGATAATATATGAAACAATGGTTTTTCAAGACAGCAGATTTCAGGCATTGAAGAACATGTTCCTTGAGAGAGGGGCTACATATGATGTGAGCCCTATGATTGCCCCAGCTTACTCCCTTGATAGAGGGTCCAGGCCATGGAGCACTGGAGGAACCAAAATAGAGCCCATCCAACTCCCTGAGCTGAGAGAAAAAGAGTTGGGAGTCTGAGGGGACCAAGGCAGCTTAGAGTTTACAGCAGCAGCGAGGAAAAAGCTACAAAGAGAAAGAATCACAGAAATCTGCAAAGGTTCTACTTTAAGTATCCCAGAAAACATTAACCAGTGCAAAATGTGAGGAAACGACATGACTCTGGGGAAAGAACCACTCTGAAGGATTAGAAGGAACAGTACCTGAAATTCACATGGGGCCTGTTCCCATTAGTCAGACTAGAAAACCTCCTAATTCGTGGGACACTTTGGAGAGAAAAGTTTGCCTCAGTTTTAAGGCAAAAGTAACCCTAGACTAAATGATACTCTGCCCCAACTAACAAAACCTAAAAGCAAGACCCAAGAGAATCAAGTTAACTTAACTGCACCCCAGAAGGAAGGTTAAGAGTATTTACAGATATTCAAAATATTCGCTACCTAAACTGGTAAAATCCACAGATACACAATAAAAATTCTACAAAAGTGCAAATAAGCAGGAAAATATAGTCCTTTGTATGAAGAAAAATCAACCAATCTAAAATGACTCAGAACTAATACAGATGTTAGAATTAGCACACAAAGACATTGGAATAGTATTATAACTGTATTCCATATATTCAAAAATTTAATGGAGACATTAAAAGACATTAGAAAGACCAAAATCAAATTTTTAGAGATTTTGTAAAAACTATCATGTGATATGGAAAAAGCAAACAAAACTACTAATGGGATTAACATTAGACACTGAAGAACAAAAGATTAATGAAGTTGAAAACATAAAATTAGCAACTATCCTAAATGAAACACAGAGAAAATTAATTAGTTTATTTATTTATTTATTGGAGATGGAGTCTTGCTCGCTCAGTTGCCCAGGCTGGAGGGCAATGGCATGATTATAGCTCACCACAGCCTGGAGCCCCTGGGCTCGAGGGATCCTCCTGTCTCAGCCATCTGAGTAGCTAGGACTGCAGGTGCATGCCACCATGCCTGGCTAGGTTTTTATTTTTGTAGAAATGGGGTCTCGCTATGTTTCAGAGGCTCATCTATAACGCCTGGCCTCAAGGGATCCTCCCACCTTCACCTCCCAAAGCACTGGGATTACAGGTGTGAGCTACTATGCCTGGCCGAGAAAAAAATTTTAAACACAACATCAGTGATCTGTGAGGACAATGTCTCGTGGCCTATTATGTGAGTAACTGTAGTCTCCAAATGAGGGGCAGGGACAAAGAAAGCATTTGAATAAATAATGGCTAAAATTTTTCCAAATTCGATAAGAACATAAATCTACAGATCCAAGAAGCTTAATGAAGCACATGCATAAGAAACATGAAGAAAACTATACATCATAATTAAACGACTTAGAGCCAATGCTAAGGAAAAAATTCTTAAAAATATAAAAGAGAAAGGCTGGACGTGGTGGCTCACGCCTAGCACTTTGGGAGGCTGAGGCGGGTGGACTACCTGAGCTCAGGAGTTCGAGACCAGCCTGGGCAACATGGTAAAACCCCATCTCTACTAAAAATACAAAAAAAAAAAAAAAAAAAAAAAATTAACCAGGTGTGGTGGTAGATTCCTGTAATCCCAGCTACTCAGGAGGCTGAGACAGGAGAATCGCTTGACCCCAGGAGGCAGAGGTTGCAATAAGCCAAGATCAAGCCATTGCACTCCAGCATGGGCGACGGAGTGAGACCCCATCTCAAAAAAACAAAAAAAAACAAAACAAACAAACAAAAAGAGAAAAATGCACATTAAGTACAGAGGAAGAAAGGTAAGAATGACATTATTTTTCTCATAAATAATACAATCAAGAATCAATTTCTGCAAGAAAGTAGAGAAACGTCTCTAAACACTGGAAGAAAAAGAAAAAAAAAACATCAACCTAGAATTCTACATCCAGTAGAAATATCTTTCTTTTTTTTTTATTTTAAGTTCCAGGATACACGTGCAGGACATGTAGGTTTGTTATGTAGGTAAACATGTGCCATGGTGGTTTGCTGCACCTATCAACCCATCACCTAGGTATTAAGCCCCACACGCATTAGCTATTTATCCTGATGATCTCCCTCCCCCTACCTCCCCCAAAATATCTTTCAGAAACGAATGTTAGATAAAAACTTATTCAGACATACAAAGGCTGAAAGAATTCACTACCAGCAGAACAGCATTACAAGACATAGTGAAGGAAGCCCTTCAGGCAGATGGAAATGTGGATGTACACAAAGCAATAAAGAGCACCAGAAGTCGTAATTACATGGGTAAATATTTTTTTTTGAATTTGCTATTATTTAAATCACCTTAAAAGTCAATTGACTGTTCTAACAAAAATAATAATATATTCTGGAGCTTATAACTTATATAAATACAGTGTACGACAGTACCACAAAGGCTTGAAGGAGAGAAATGGAAGTATATTATTGTAATCTTGTTATGCTACATGTGAAATGGTGTAATATCACTTGAAGGTAAACTGTGACAAGTTAAAGATGTATGTTAAAACCTTTAAGTAATCATTAAATAAAAGAGACTTACAGTTGATAAGCGAAGAGAGGAAATAAATTATAATCATTAAAATAAAATTGTACTAAAGAAGACAGAAAAAGAAGAAAAGGTACAAAAAACAAATAAGACAAATAGAATACATATAGCAAGAGGACAGATTAAAATCTCAGGACATCAATGATCACATTAAATGCCAATCGGTGTAAATACCACAATTAAAAGGCAGAGATTGTCATATTGGATTAAAAAAGCAAGACTAAACTATATGCTGTCTACAAGGAAAGCACTTCACATATAAAGGCACAAGTTAACATGCTAACATTAGCCAAAAGAAAGCTGGAGTAGTTATATTAACATCAGACAAAGTAGATTTCAGGGCATAAGATAGTAGCACAAAGATTATTGCACAATGATAAAATCATCAAGGGGACCTACCAATCCTAAATATTTATGTACCTAAAAACAGAGCTGAAAAATACATCTAATAACGTCTCTATCAAGTCAGATGTGCTGGAAAGGTTTGGTATTTGGAGACTTGGTGACTTAAATCTGAATATTAGCTTCACCACTACTGATTTTGTGACCCAGGGCACATGGATATAATCCTTTGGAGTTTCATTTCTTTTTCTATATGATAAGTGTACTCAAACTAGGTAGCTATTTTAAGAATTTAAGAGGATCTGTCTCAACACCTAGCATGATGTCTGATACAGAGCAGACACTCAAAACTGGTTATTTTCCTCTCCTTTTATTTGTCACTGTGTCTGTTTTAGCTTTCCTTCTAAAAGGAGACATTCAGCAGCACAAATAAAATCTGGCACTTTCCCCCAGAATTTAAAGAGGCCTCTCTTAAAACACTTTAAAATACTGGTCATCTTTGAACCAGTCTTGTTTGTATTTAAGTTTTAAGGGAGGTCTCCAACTGAGATAAACGTTTCCCTGGACTATGGAGGAGGCTCTTTTGCTATCCAATGTTAAGGTCACTGGATTGATTCCCTGACTTTAAATGAACTATACACAAATCAGCACAATCCTAAACATGGTATTTACTTGCCCAACAACCTTTTTAGTATGCTGTAGTAATCCACATAGATTACATAACATTATACTAGCCCAGAAATACTTTTAGGTATTGAATTTCAATTAGTCTTCCACATTGGTAAACAATCATTTAGATAGAAAGATTAAAGGTAGTCATTGATATAAATGACTAATAACAGTAGCCCCAATAATACGTTTTTAGACAAAATTCAAATGTTGGATTTCATTGAAGAGTCTGACAGAGAGAGAGAGAGAGATAGCAAGCGTGCAAGAGAGAAAGCTCTAGCTTCCAGCTTCCAGCTTCCAGTGTATACTTAACTCTTTCAAAATCAACTTTTATATTAGGAGAATTGCTCATTTCAATCCCGATTTTTTTACTGATTTGAAAGTCTGCATAAGTTTTCATGTTGTCAAGACAAATTGAAATTGCCAAGTATTACTAAAATCCAAATTCTGAAGCTAGAACATCTATGTATTGTTTTTGTTTAGCTTAGTATTTCAAAGTTAATAATTTCTGATAATGGCATTATACAGATAAATTCATGAATTGCAAAAATGTCTTGTGACCTGGCAGTATGGTCCATTGGGTGCACAGTTCTAAGAGTAAAATATGGCCATTGCTCACAGTTAAAAATAAACAAAGAAGAGAGTATTAGGCACACATATATGTTAATACTATATAATACCACTGTACTATACAATACTGTGCTTACACCTAGAACAAATGAGTGGAACACTAAAAAATACTGTGTTACTTTTAAAGTTTACAACGTAAAGGGAAATGGAATGGCACAATCTTGGTGGCTAGGCATTGTCAAGAAAAGTTTCATGCATTAATTAGAAATGTATCAAGACTCTGGGGTGGAGGGTTAAAAACTCTCTCAGAGGATGAGGATGAGGTAGGACACTTCAACAGCAGGATTTACTAATATGATGGAGGGTAGGTTTGGTGGCACCAGATTACAAAAGGCCTTAAAATTTCTGCATATACATTAGTTATACTTTTTAGGTGGAAAATTATAATGATACTAAATTACAGATTACTTTTAAATGACTTCTTTTATCGAAAAGAAGAGCCAGGGAGAAAAATGGAGTTAGGGGAAGAATTAGTAGGCTCAACAACTTTTGATGCTGATTTCTGAAGTAAGATATCTAAAAATGATTGCAATCATTTTTGGAGAAGACATTAATAGGTCAGGAGATCAGAAAAAAGAATGACATTTTCTAATAATAAAAAAATTAATTTTCTCTTGGCTGCAAATATATTTTCAATAAAAACTTGGAAGCATGAAGGGAAGAACCTTTGGAGCTGCTCAAATGATATTATATTATTATATGAGATGATTTCATGTTGCTGTAGAAAATATTCAGGCATTTTAAAAAGGCATGAAAAGATACTCTTAAATCTTCCAAAGACTATTCCAATTTATTTCTCAGAAGACTTAATTTTAATTAAAACCTTAAAGAAGTCTAGCTAAATAGCTAGACAGATATCTATCGATATTTATAGATTTATGTCTATACATATTTATATACAGTCATCCCTCGGTATCTGTGGGGGATTGGTTCCAGGACCTTCTGCAGATACCAAAATCCACAAATGCTCAAACAGTTCCTTATATAAAATGGTATAGTATTTGCATATGACCTATGAACATCCCCCCATATACTTTAAATCATCTCTAGATTACTTATGATACCTAACACAATGTAAACGCTATGTAAATAATTATTGTGCTACATTGTTTAGGGAATAATGAGAAGAAAAAAGACTGTACATGTTCAGTACTGATGCAATTTTTATAAAATATTTTTGATCTGTGATTGAATCCATGAATGTGGAACCAATGGATATAGAATGTTGACTGTATGTGTGTGTGTATATACATATATATGTAGCTAGACACACACACATATACCTATATATTTTAAATCCACCGTTTAACCTCCAAGTCCCAAAACTCTTCTTATAGAAAACTCTATAGATATAAGTAATGTTGCATTTGGTAGAATTTTGGAGTTTCATTGAATATTCTTTCCTGTTTCCCCTTCTTCCCCCCCTCACTTCGGGCATATAATGTATTACAGATTTCTATTCTATATTTCTTTGAAATTCATTACAAAGTTATGTTATTTCAGTGAAGGATCCCCAGGCCCATGTTGGGTCAGACTTGTTTCCAACATACCAATTTACCATCTGTATCTTTACATTATGTTGTAATGCCCCAGACCCATCCCTGAACTATTATACAAAAAGATTTGCTGCCTCCCACTCACCCACCCGCAATAATGCTGTTTCCTCATATAAAAGCAGCTGGGCTTGTACATCCACTCCCTCCCACCATCCCCCTTTGATATGTCTCTGCATTTATTTCACACTCCTCTCCAATATCATTATTAAACTCTTAATTCTCCTCTCAACATTCTTATTTTACAGCTTTACAAACTAAGGCCCAAGGAAAGTTGAAATAATATATATCAAATATAAAGTCAGTCTGTTTTCAAAGCAATTGACAGAACACACCAATATGATTCCAGTTTGTAGTTCTGGTTTCTAATTCACCAAACTCCCCGGAGTTAAAAA
The DNA here is from genome assembly GCF_000001405.40 of Homo sapiens. Taxonomy (NCBI): domain Eukaryota; kingdom Metazoa; phylum Chordata; class Mammalia; order Primates; family Hominidae; genus Homo; species Homo sapiens. The sequence goes on from NC_000007.14 coordinate 112,052,989, forward strand.
AGCCAAGTGGAAAACCAGTTAAATGCTAAATTTTCCCTTACCCAGTGTTTATTCATTCCAATCATTCTTTCAAAGAACAAACACATAATATGATTCTGTTCTCTTAACCATTGAAAACCTGGAGCTAAAAAAGCGCTAATTCTTACTGTCCAGCCATCATTCAGGAAAGGCAATGACAGGCCATAACTCTTACTAATTATAGTACAATATTTGGCCACATGCAAGACCTTGGGGTGCTGTTTATATCCTACTCCTCAGATCAGGTTCAAGGATTTGAAGTTCAAGGTAAGGACAAGCAAGGTGCCACAATCAGACTTCACTGGAGTAGATCATGCTGCAAGACCAAACACAAGGCAAAGGAAAAACAGTCTTGCCTGTCTCATTTTTGTGACTCAGTGCATACAAATATCTTTAAAAGGGTTTTTCTGTAAGAAAAAAATTATTCCACTCACTTCTTCCCCACTTTGATCCCTACTTCTCAGAAGTCCAAGAAGTAACTCTGTCCATTCACATGAAGATGAATACCACTAACTTGTAAAACCCCAACAAGGCATCATCCAGCTTAATTACAAAGTGTTGCAAAGCATAGTCATAGTTTTAAAAGGGCTCTTTCCAAACACTTGACAATACTCAACTTATAAAACATGAGGCTTTATTTCTACAGTGTATTTAACATTTTGCTTGCTTTCCCACTCAATGGCTGCATGGATTACCAGACCTTTCAAAACCAGCTATGTCTATCAGAACTTGTGGAAGAAATGTCCAAGGGAAGGCATCATCAGCAATGTTGTCATAATTACACCGTCAGCTAATCATATGCGCTGGGACCTTACCTAAGCACACAGGTGAGGAGTAGAGAGTGCAAAGTGGCAAATGAAGATAGGAGCTGTTCCTGGAAGGGGGCAACAGGTTGCTGAGGAGGCAAACAACAAATGTCCAGGAGGTCTCCCCTGAGCTTCTCGAACTCCCACTGTGTAAAGTCTCTGGGCATTTCTTATGAAGCACTCCTCTGAGAAGAGCAGGGACGAAATAACAAAGGAATGGGATTTGGGACTACATGCAGTGGCTCACGCTGGTAATCACAGCACTTTGAGAGGCCAAGGCGAGAGGATCACTTCAACCCAGGAGTTCAAGACCAGCCTGGGCAACATAGTGAGACCCTAACTCTATAAAATATAAAAATAAAATAAAAACCAAAGTAACATATTTGGAACTGTGAGGTACAGGAAATGAGTACCTCCACCTCAGAACTGGGTCACAAAATAATGACTTGCTCAGCATTGAGTTTGGGATGACAAAACTTTATATTCCTTGGATAAAAGTTATTTAATACTGCTCTACAATTTCAAAATGATGAGACCTATCATTATATACCTTTCTAACTCTCCATGTATCTTTACCACAACTGACCCCAATTTCTAGGGAAAAGAACTTTCACTCTCCAAGAAATCTTAGCATTAAAATACTGACCTTGTAGCCAAAGACACCACAAAAATCATGACTATATTAAATGACTTCCAACTTAGAAAGCCCTAATGTTCTTCTTTTCTAAACCAAGCTCTGAACTAGGAATTACTGACAAAAAAAAACAAAACTACAAAATAATGAAATACAACAATGTATTTTTCAGTTCTTGTAGGGAGAAAAAAAGATGTTTCATGCAATGTTGGATTTATTCACCTATGCTCCCAAATCCTTTTAATTAAGTGAAAGTTGTTCACTTAATTTGGAATTAACTTATTTTACATTTATTTAGAAGTTTTATTCCAAAAATCTTAAGGTTCGTTTATGAGCAACAATACAATAGGCGGTATTTTCAAAGCCCTTTGTACTTATTCCAAGAAGGATTAAAGTAATTTAAGACACACTTAATATAGAAAGTTAAAATAAACTTGTTTCATTTAAAAAGAAACTATAAATTGAAGAAACAGGAAGCAAAGTAAATAAAGGTAAGAAAGCAAGGTGAAGCCAAAAGTAGGCCTTGTATTCTAAATTTATTCAATTTCTACAAACAGTATTTGTACAGTCCATGTATTTCTACATACAGTCAGTCCTTACCATCATCAATAAGGTCTTAGAAACTGCGACTTTCAGTCAGTCAAACAATATATAATGAAACCAATTTTACCAAAGACTAATTGACATAAACAAAGGTTAAGTTCCTGCAGCATATTTTCTGGTCACAAAAACATCACCAAACTTCTAAATAATGACCTAAAATACTTCTAATATTCAACACTGAAATAAATGTGAGCTATACATACATTTAAGGTAGATTAATAAAAACAAGGAAGATCATTATTTATCCACTTATTCCACAGGGAAACCCTTGGCCAGGACAGTCATCCCATCACAGGGTGCACTCGCATACCCCCACACTCACTCAGATGGAGACCCTGTAGATACGCCAATGAACCTATCATGCACATCACTGAGATATGGAAAGAAAGGGGAATACCTGGAGAAAACCCATGCAGATGTGGGGAATGTGCAAACTCCACACAAAGAGTGGCCACAGCTGAGAATCGACTTTTTTTTCTTCCCCATCATCATAAGCAGACAACAATGAATGAAACGTTATTTGAGGACCTGTTGTACTGCAAAAGACGAGATAGAATTGGCTTTAAACTTCCCTAGGGCAGGGCGCGGTAGCTCACGCCTATAATCCCAGCACTCTGGGAGGCTGAGGTGGGCAGATCACTTGAGACCAGGAGTTCGAAACCAGCCTGGCCAATGTGGTGAAACCCCGTCTCTACTAAAAATACACAAATTAGCCAGGTGTGGTGGTGGGCGCCTGTAAACCCAGCTACTCAGAAGGCCAAGGCAGGAGAATTGCTTGAACCTGGGAGGCAGAGGCTGCAGTGAGCCAAGATTATGCCACTGCACGTCTCCAGCCTGAGTGACAGAAGGAGATTCTGTCTAAAAAAAAAAAAAACCTTTCCTAAAGAAAGGGAAGAAATGTAATCACTGACAAGAATCTGTGTCCATAAGATAAAAACAAAGGGCTAGCAAAGGAGAAGCACAATGATACCTAATACTATGATCAGAGGAAACTTTTCCTTCTATCTTGAATCCAACTGTGCTTTGCAAGCCTTGATAGGAAGGCAGGAGAGCAGCAGGTGGGAAAGGGATACGGCAGGTGATGAGACCAGGTAGACTTCAGCTCTACAACCCCCTTTCAAGAAGAGCAGCTCAGCTTATTTTTACATAATTAGCCCCTCTGTAAGATGTTATTTGGAAAAGGGGTTATGTGGCTTTATTGTAAACAACAAACTGACAATGGTTGATAGAGTTAGGTCCACAAGAAGAGCCACTGAGGCACAGGAGAACATATTAAAATTTCTCTGTAAAAAATAAGTGTATGCTTTTAAATATGCTAAATGTACTATACAAAATAGATAACAGATATTAAGTATATAATAATATATATGTTAAAACTACTAAACTATATTAAAAATGTGTAAGCTCTCCTAATGTTTATTATATGAATTCTCATGGCTGCCTTTCCTGCATCACAGGGTAATGGAACCATGACGCATTCAGAAAGAAGAGGGGAATTCCTCCCAAGGGAAGTGTTCACACTCAGTTCTTCACTTTCAGCATATTGTGAAAGACTGGAGTGCACCTGGGCCCAGCTAAGTGGATTTACAAACAAGATTATCTTGGTTTAACTGAACTCATTTACAAAATGGACAAATGGCTTAAAAAGATCCCTGGAAAGAAAACGTGGATTAAAACAGCACTAATAATATAAGCATGTGCAAACAAAAACTAGTAAAATGGACACTTCTGTGGTTTTACTTTAGTCAGCCATATAAGTAAAAACTGAAGATCTAATCGGATCTTAAAAAGAGCTGACAAAAACAAATTTTATATACAAGGTTGAAATAATCAGGAAAACTTTTTAATATATAGTTTTAATATTTTATTAAACATAACTATATATTGTATATTAGACATCAGCTATTAAAATATCAAAATAAGCTACTTAGGTGAAAATTCTTCAAACTGTATACTTTAAAATGGTTGCAATTTATTGTATATAAATTATAACAATGAGACAAAAGATAATAACTTACTTGGAAACTTAAAATCCCTGTATCACAAAGAATTAAGCTAAGGTTAAAAATAATGGAGCATATTTGCTGGGCAAGGTAGCTCACTCTTGTAATCCCAGCAGCTCAGAAGGCAGAGGCAGGAGGATCACTTGAGCCCAGGAGTTCGAGACCAGCTTGGGCAACAGAACAAGGCCCCATCTCTTAAAAAAAGAAAAAGCCAGGCACAGTGGCTTAGTCTGGAATCCCAACACTTTGGGACTTTGGGATGCTGAGGCAGGTGAATCAACTGAGCTCAGGAGTTTGAGACCAGCCTAAGCAACACAGCGAAACCCCATCTCCACCAAAAATACAAAAAATTAGCGAGGCATTTGGCAGGTGCCTGTAGTCCCAGCTGCTCTGGAGGTTGAGGTAGGAGGATCACCTGAGCACAAGGGTTCAAGGCTGTAGTGGACCATGATGGCACCACTGCACTCCAGCTTGGGTGACAAAACAAGACCCTGTCCCAAAAAATAAAAAAAAAAAAAATGAATAAGCCTTGGAATATAGCAAGACCTTATCCTTGCAAAAAAAATTTAAAAACTAGCTGGGCTTGGTGGTATGTGCCTGTAGTCCTAGTTACTCAGGAAGCTGAGTTGGGAAGATCGCTTGAACCCAGGAGTTCAAGGCTGCAGTGAGCTATGATCACATCACTGCACTCCAACCTGGGCAACAGAGCAAGACCCTGTCTTTATAAAATAAATATATAAAAATAATAATAATGAAGCACATTTAATCACACTGCTCTCACTAAAAGTACATAATCATATTTAAAAGGTTTTATAAAACTAAAAAAAATTAAATGATAGTTTATTTTTAACTTTATCTCATCCTATTAAAATGTCTGTTTTTGTAAGTGCTTTATTTTACGCTTAATAAGAATTTATAGTACATGGATATAAATTGTAAATAAAAATACACATTTTGGAAGTACAGGTTCAATTTTTTTTTTTTTTTTTTTTTTTTTTACTAGTAGAGTTTCACTAATATAGAAGAAACTGTATGAATGGTGTAAAGTCAAAATGTTTGGAAAATATTTAGAAAATTTTTTGGAGAGAGGGAATTCTAGTAGCAGTGACAAGCACCTTATCTTGGCTTTTCTATTCTGCCCTATTTTTATTCGTTTCTCTTTATCCACACCATGGGAAATGTACTTTTACAATGTACATAACCTAGTAATTATTTGTTTTTAATAAATCATTAAAGCCTCTGTTATAAGGAACAGCAAACATTGCCCCTCTACTCCAAGATGGCTCCAAAAGCAATATGAAGTGATGACATGATGTAATATGCTTAAATTATATTCTTAATATGAACTATATTAGCATAGTTCACATTAAATTTAATTTGTGACCTTTCATCTAAACCACGCTGTTTGATGAGAATCTCTGATATGTCTTTCCAGCCCTCTCAAATGCTCACTCTTCTGAATGGGGCTTCCATAGACTAAATTTGTCACCTGCTCCCTGTTTTATTAACCCAATCATGAACACATTAAATATTAAGTCCCTTGAGCAAAGGCCTCATGTAGCCAATTCTCAGGGCTTCAATGAAGCAAGAGCCTTGATTGTGGGTTTGTTTGCTGTCTTATAAGGGTCATAGACAGAATATGAGCAGGAAGACAATGAAGTCAGCTAGACAGAAGAAAGGGAGAGAGAAAGAAAAAGGAAAAAGAATCTGGGAGTGAGTTCTATGGGTACACAATGGCAAAGATCAAAGCCTGCTTCCTCCCTCTCTTCCCATATCTCTAGGATCACACTGTCCTGAAAACTGGTCTTTTGGGAACTGGGAAGTGAAGGCAGAAAGAAGAAGGAAAAGCTCTTGCTAAGTCATATGTCAAAGCTCTGGAGGAGAAGCTGATTTGAGTCAAGATTAAACTCAACTCTAAGGACATCTGTGGCTTCCTAGTGCAAGCTGACTTAAATTTGCAGAGATTCAGGAAGACAACCTTGTTACAACCACTCGGGAAATTCAGAGGCAAATGAAGCTACAATAATGCTTTTAAGCACATGTAATAATTTCACATTCATAAAATTATACTGCAGCATTTCCTTTTTTTTTTTTTTTTTTTTTTTTTGAGACAGAGTCTCACTCTTGTCGCCCAGGCCAGAGTGCAGTGGCACGATCTCAGCTCACTACAACTTCCACCTCCCAAGTTCAAGTAATTCTCCTGCCTCAGCTTCCCGAGTAGCTGGGATTACAGGTGCACACCACCATGCCTGGACAATTTTTTGTATTTTTAGTAGAGACAGAGTTTCACCATGCTGGCCAAGCTGGCCTTGAACTCCTGTCTTCGTGATCCATCCTCCTCGGCCTCCCAAAGTGCTGGGATTACAGGCGCGAGCCACCACCCCACCCGCGTTTCCAAATTTTTTAAATGCAATGAATATAAAATCATCATGGCAGAATTTAGAAACGTACTCTTTCACCTGTCAAATCAAGGTATGATAATATTCATCCTATATTTCCCTCCATTTTCATTTAACAGTAAAAGTGATATTTCACCAACTCATGACATGATAAAATCAGAGAATTTTAGATATCCAACATTGTTTCCTCAAAGAACTCTCTCCAGTGAATTTAACAGAGATAGTTAACTAATGCAATAATTGATTCAAGATTTTAGGAAAACATGGACATGTCAAAAGAGGGGGGAAAAAGTCATGGAATGTGGAGACTGATAAGCAGTTATAGAGACATTTTCCAATAGCTTTGTCTAAAACTTAGAGACATTCCTTTTCAGATAGCATATCTAATTGTACAAATACCATCACTCAAAATTACTGCTCTCAAAGTCTATACAAACTCAGAACAAGAAGAAAGATGATACATTTAAGAGCCAATAAAAATATTTTAAAGTAGTTTATATGAAAAAACCTTAGAAAACACTGGTATAATGGAAAACGATTAGAAGCATGTCCAAGGTGGCAGCTAGAAGGATCATGATATTCATTTTTGGAACTCCAAGAGCTTGACACCAAGTTCATAGGACACACTTTATACTTAGGGCTGCCAGCTCCTAGAGCCAGCTAATTTCATTTCTAGCACCTTGAAGAGAAAAAGAATAGATAAGCTTTCATCTTTGATTTTTTAAGACATTTAAAGGTCAAAAGCAAAATCTAACAGGAAAAGAACAGCTTGAGTTCATCAATTTAGGGAAATGCAAATCAAAACTACAATGAGACTCCACCTCATACCCATTAGAATGGCTTCTATCAAAAAAACCCCAGAAACTAACAAATGTTGGTGAGGATATGGAGAAATTGGAACCCTTATGCACTGTCGGTAGGAATGTAAAATGGTATAAAGTTCTCTAAAAATAGTATAATGGTTCCTCAAAAAATTAAAAATGGAATTGCCATATGATCCAGCAATTCTATTCTGGGTATATACCAACAATAATTGAAAATCGGGTCTCAAAGAAATACTGGCACACCCATGTTCATGGCAGCATTTTTCACAATGGCTCAAATGGAGATGCAACCCAAGTGTCCATCAACAGATGGCTGGATAAGCAAAATATGGTACATAACACACACCAAATAATAATCAGGCTTAAAAAGGAAGGAAATTCTGACATATGCTACAACATGGATGAACCTTGAGAACATTCTGCTAACTGAAATAAGCCAGGCACAAAAAGACAAATACTGTATAATTCCACTCACATGTGGTAATCAGAGTAGTCAAAAACACAGAAAATACAATGGAGGTTGCCAGGGGCTGGGGCTAGGGAGAATAGGGAGTTATTTTTAATGGGTACAAAGTTTCAGTTTTGCATGATGAAAAGAGTTACGAAGATGAATGGGACTGATGTTTGCACAACACTATGAATGTACTTAATACCTCTGAAATGTATACTTAAGAGGTTCAGATGGTAAATTTTACGTGTATTTTACCACAGTAAAAAATTAGAAAAAGAGATGTATTTGAGATAACTTATAATCCCTCATGTCCTACTGTTTTACTTTTATATTCCTTTTTTTCCCACATGAATATTTGCAAATATAAAAGGGAAATGATGGTGTTAAAAACTACTCCCCCTCTTCTCTCCATCTATGGAGATCTTTCCCATAAAGCGATGAGGACCACAGATGTGTAAATCAGCATTTCCAGTAATTACCACATTGGATGAATTCATGGTTACAGCCCCACACACAGAAGTGACTATTGCCCCCCACTGCAAATAGCCTCATCCTGTCCCGGCTGCCCTGCCCCACACCCTTGAGGATTGCAAAGGTGGGTCACACGACCAGGTAGTCACAGAATTAAACCACACAGACATTCACTGCCAGCAAGAGAATGACAGCCACATTAAGAAGACTGTCCTAGAGTGTGAGGCTTTGGTTCACAAGGTAGCTCAAGACAGATGCCCAGGAGCAAGATACAAACCAGGCCTTCCTTCACCGACCTTGGGCCTGCTACACATGTCTTTCTGTCACCCGCTTTCTAACACTCCATCCTTACATTTAATATGGAACAAGAGTCGGCACACACAGCAAATGCTTCATAAGCTCTCTATGGCCACATTATAAAAAAAAACTCTTAAACACACCCAATTTTTCCTTTAAAAAGAATTATAAACGTAACTGATTCATAGCAGCACTTGCCAAATTCTATTTTGTGGAAAAATATTCTGGGAAGATATTAACAATGTCACACACACACACACACACACACACACACACACACACACACACACGATGTACATGGTTTTAAAAATGTCAACAGGTTCCTTTGCTGGAGGAATTCCCAGTGTCTTTGTTATAGGAATCTTCACTGGGAATAAAGTGATAATAGCAGTGGTAATGGAAATGTTTTATTGACTGCTTAAACTGAAGTCAGACAAGCATTATCTCACTTTTTTTATAAACATTATTTAATTCTCAAAACAGACCTGTGCAGTAGGTACAATTATGTGGTACACAGATGAGAAACTGAGGCTTACAGAGATGACGATAACCCAGCTAGTAAGTGGCAGAGCAGAAAAGGAAATCCAGATCTGACTCCAAAGTATGTTTTTTCATTCATTCCTTCATTTATTCATTTGGTGAGCTAGTTAATACTTACCATGTGTAGGACACTCCTAAGATATAGGATGTCCTAATAATAATACTGATAATTATGACCACCACTTTTCCTCCCACCAACCTCAATATTTTTAAAAATTTTAGACCTAAACAGCTTCAAGAAAAGCACAGCGATTTTCACTTTGTGTAAAGCAAAGTAGGTTTAAAAACAGGAGAATATAAGTCATGGAGTGGGAAAAAGTACTCCGAACATTAATAAGACAATTCTAAGGGACGGTTCATTCTCCAGTAAAAATAAAGCTAATTTCTTAAATCTTATATTCCAAAGTGAAGGCAGCTGTCAATGTTTTTATATTTAACTAGTGACTTATATAGCATCTCTTGATGAACATATTGTAGTGACCATCAAGATGTGCTAATATATCTTTATCTCTGCTGTATCTCCAGTACCAAAAACAGTGATGAGTGATAGCCAAGGGCCGACTTAAAACAATCCTGTCTGCATCAATAGAAGCACATATTCTATGATTTCTGCTGTGTCCTTCTAGATAGTACAATAGCTTTCATTACTTTTTTGTTGTTGTTTAGACAGAGTCTCGCTCTGTCACCCAGGCTGGAGTGCAATGGCACGATCTCGGCTCACTGCAACCTCCACCTCCCGGGTTCAAGCGATTCTCCTGCCTCAGCCTCGAGTAGCTGGTATTACAGGCGTGTGTCACCACGCCTGGCTAATTTTTTGTATTTTTAGTAGAGATGGGGTTTCACCATGTTAGCCAGGAAGATCTCTATCTCCTGACCTCGTGATCCGCCTGCCTCAGCCTCCCAAAGTGCTGGGATTACAGGCCTGAGCCACCATGCCCGGTCACTTTCATTACTTTTACATCATGTGAATACTCAGTTGTGGCTGTGTATCTACACACAGTTGCCTCCCAAAAAGAGAGAGAAGTTATAAGCAGAAAATTCAGGTAGAGTCCTCCTGAAAGATACAAAGCACACAGAATCTCCCAGTTTAAAATAAACCACACTAGGTGAAGGCATCTCCAATATCTTGCTTTCTCTTTGACCAAACTGCAAAAGACCATCCTGAAGATTAAAGCTACTGTTCAAGAGACAGAAGCACAGGGAATCAAAAATGCCATGTCGGTACTTGCTATACACCAGTCTGTAATTCGTGGCCTTCTATCATCCTTCCACCACATATAATACAGATGCTCCTCATTTTATGATGGGGTTCAGTCCTGATAAACCCATTGTAAACTGAAAATACTGTAAGCCCAAATGCATTTAATACACTTAACCTACTGAACATCATAGCTTAGCCTACCTTAAATGTGCTCAGAACACTTACAGTAAGCCCACAATTGGGCAAAATCATCTACCACAAAACCTGTTTTATAATAGAGTGTGGAATATGTCATGTAAGAGTATTGTACCACATATCACTAACCCAGGAAAAGATCAAAATTCCAAAATCTAAGTACAGTTTCTACTGAATGCATATTCGCTTTTGTAGCATCATAAAGTCGAAAAATTGTTAAGTCGGGACTCTGTACAATCATAAGAAAAAAGGAATTTACTGATGGGACTCAAGATTTTTTCATGCTCATCTTCCAATTTAGGGTCTTTGTATCTTATTTGTACCCCTCAAAGATGTAAAAGACAATGAATATAGAGCCTACTTATGTTTTACAGTGTTGTCAGGGTAGGATCGGGACATGTAAAATGTGAGCACATCTTGAAAAGGTGGGTTGCAGAGGACATCTGTCATATGACATTTTTGGGTACCCCAAGTCCTTTTCTTTCTATTTCTTTTTTAAAGGGAAGGGGCTATCTTTGAGACCTCTCCATATTGTGTGTTTTTCCTTCCCAAGTCTCCCTTACAGCTAGAGTACAGCCTGGTGAGACTAGGTTCCATCCATCAGACGTGAGTTTTGATTTGGAAATTAACTATGTAAGGAACCAAGCCAGGTTCAAGGCACCCATTTAGCTGGCACAGGTGCTGGCAGAGGTATGGGGTTTTGGAGTGAGACATGGCAGCAGCTTTGTGGATCACAGCAGAAGCAATGTGGTTCTAGGGTTGGCGGCAGCAGCAGCTCTCTTGTCAGACTAATCCTGTGGGGGTGGTTCTAGGAAATGTTCATGGAAATTTAGCCCAGAGCATGTTTCTGCATCCTTTCAAAGAGTCTATAAACCAACCAATATCCCATAGTAAATCCCACTTAAGCCACCTAGGATGGGTTCTACTGTCTGCATCAAAGGACCTTGGCAGACACAGGACTCTCTGGAAAGGAAAGTTTCTGAAACAGCTAAAGTTCCCAGCCAGGGGAGCAAAAAATTTATAAGCCAGCTCCATATCACTTACAATTCCTCCATCTGTATTAGAGTTTGCAGGGACACTAAGTCTCTGTTTTGTTTAGGGTTATTTCAATCCAAGAAAGTAATACAGATTTCCCTCTTGGTCTCAGTAGCAAGTGGGAAACAGGGATTTGCCTTGTTAGACTAGATCCTAGGACAAATGGGGGATTTTGCCAACTACAAGACAGCAGCTATTATGGGCTGAACTGTGCCCCCCCTTCAAGACTCAGAAGTTGAAATCCTAACCTCAATACCTCAGAATGTGACTATATTTGGAGATGGGGCCTTTAAACAGGTGATTAAGTTAAAATGAGGGCATTAAGGTGGGCCATGATGCAACCTGACTGGTGTTCTTGTAAGAGGAAATTTGGACACACAAACAGACATCAGGGGCATATGTACACAGAGGGAGAACCATGTCAGACACAGAGAGAAGACAGCCATTGGTAAGCGCATCAGAGAGGCCTCTGGAGAAACCAAACCTGCTGGCACTTTGATCTTGGACTTCTAGCTTCTAGAACTGTAAAAAATAAGTTTCTGTTGTTTCAGCCTCCCAGTCTTCGGTATTTTGTTATGGTAGCCTGAGCAGACTAATACAGCAGCATACAGGACATTCACTGGACATGCAATCAGCGAAGCAGGTTCTAGCCTGCATTCTGCCAGTTACCAGCTGGGGTTGTTGAGTAACTAATTAAAACAACTTCGAACATCTCTGTGCATTCTCCCCTCTCTAACCACATTCCAGACTCACTGCTACCTCAATCCCTGACACAAGCCAAGCTTTTCTCACACCAGCATGGCTTGGAGTGCCATTTCTCAGCTGGAAGCCTCTTTTCCACACTTCCTTCAACTGGCTCTTTCTCAGCCTCCTAGTCCTGAGACTGCTTCCCTCTCTGGGAAGCTCTCCCTGACCACCGTAGCGAAAGTTATTCTCCCTCAGTGCCTTGCCTTCAAACCACTTACCACAATTTTAATTATTATTTTTATTTACTTGTTATTCCATTATCTTACCTGGTAGAACTTCAACTGCATGAGGGAAGGTACCATGTCTACGTTTTAAAAATCAGTGAACTGGCTCTCCAATTCCAGCCTACTAGATGGTGCTCAGCTGAGTACAGGAATTCCTGAGGGCACTTATTATTCTCAGGTTCCAGCCGTAAGATTCTGGTTCAATTGGCCTAGGATGGTAGCAGTTTAACAAGTCCCCCAGATATTCTCATGCACAGCTAGATTTGGAGCCATAAGGGTAGATGACTTCCAAGTTCCACTTCAACACTAGTTCATTTCCATGACACTTTTGTGTCATGACAGTTTCTTTTCCTCAAGTTACAAGTTATGCAATAAGACAAACACTGTTGATGGAATTATTAAGGAGGAGTTACAGACATCAATCACCATTTGATGTAATGCCAGACATCCAAAATGGAGCTTCTGTCCAAGGATCAAAAAACATAAGGGAGGGCCATGGCATTACCACATGATATCACATCAAGTGTCCAGAGTGGAGCTTCTGTCCAAGGACACAACCAACATACACTGACTCATACCCAAATGCCCAAAAATGTTAACTCTGGTCGTGATGGCTAATTTTAGGTATCAACTTGACTGGATTAAGGGACACCCAGATAGCTGGTAAGCCATTATTTGGGGGCATGTCTGTGAGGGTGTTTCAGGAAGAGAACAGCATTTGAATCAGTGGGCTGCACCCTCACCCACTGTGGGTGGGCACTATCCAACTGGCTAAGGGTCCAAACAGAACAAAAGGCAGAAGAAAGACTATTTTGCTCACTCTCTCTTTTGGAGCAGGGACACTCTTCTTTTACTGTCCTTGGACATAAGTCCAGGTTCTCAGGCCTTCAGCCTGAGCCTTCCTGGTTCTGAGGCCTTTAGACTTGGACTAAGCCACTCTACTGGCTTACCTGGTTTTCCAGCTTGCAGATGGCCTATCATGGGACAACTCAGTCTTCATTATTGCATAAGCCAATTGCCCTAATAAATCCCCTCTCATATAGCATGCTTTCTCTCTCTCCCTCTCTCTCTCTCTCTATATATATACACACACACATATATATACATACACACATATATACGTATATATACACGTGTGTATATGTATATATACACATATACATATATACACGTGTATACATATATACGTGTATATATACACACATATACATATATACACATATTATACATATACATATACATATATACATATACATATATATATATATATATATATATATATATATATATATATATATATATATATCTCCTATTGGCTCTGTGTCTCTGGAGAACCCAAATTAACATATTGGTCACCTGCAAGTGGCGAGTTCAAAGATGACTTCATGTCTCTTCTTTTTATCTCATTTAAAACTGTTATACAATGGGCTGGGCACAGTGGCTCATGCCTGTAATCCCAGCACTTTGGGAAGCTGAAGCAGGAGGACTGCTTGAGCCCAGGAGTTTGGGACCAGCCTGGGCAATATGGCAAAACCCCGTCTCCACACACACACACACACAAAAAAACCAAACCAAACCAAACAAAACCCAAAACCCACTGGGCATAGTGATAGGCACCTGTGGTCTCAGCTACTCAGAAGGCTATAGTGAGAGGATTGCTTCACCCAGGGAGGTGGAGGTTGCAGTGAGCCAAGATCGTGCCACTGCACTCCAGACAGAGCAAGACTCTGTCTCAAAAAACACCCAAAAAAGTTACACAATAAACATTATTATATTTATAATCAGAAAAAAAAAACACCTTTACTTAAAAAAAAAAAAAAAAGATGGTTCCTACTCCTAGATTTGAACTGGCTACTGCCATGATACCAGACAAACCAACCCATCAACATCCTGACATCGAGGTCCTGGTCAGAAAGGCCATTAAGACAGTGCTTCTTTCTGGATGGCTGGCCAGGGCAATTAAAAGCAATCTGAGATAGGGAAGAGAGAGGAGGATAGGTATGATTCAGCCAGGGTGGTGAACTCTAAGAAGGTACGACTTCAGCTAAGTTTTAAAGGAGTAAAAAATATACTAGAGAGAAGATGAAGTATTTTACATTCTCATTGGGTGATAACTGGAGGGCTAAAAAAGAAAAAAAAGGATAATGTAAATGTCACAGTAAAGTACTGGGGCTGCTGCCTGCTTGGAAGCAGCATTACTTGTAGAAAATGGGCAGAGATGAGTTTCCTGCCAACTCTTCTAGAACTTACGGCTTTGACTTCTTTCCAGTCAGTACCTGTGGGGAACAGGAAAGCTCCCCAGGGCAGGAGAGATGTACAAAACACACCTTCAAAGGCTACCACTTGAAATCCCCAGGAAACGTTTCAATGCTTACCACATTACTGCCATGGAAAACTACAGCAGACATCTATCAGCACAAACCCTGGCTGTTTGTTGCCACTGGCAGTTTAATTATTAGCATTTTTGGTGAAAGATATTGAATAACTTAGACTGCAGGGCGACTACGTCCAATCCCAGACCATTAATCACTACACTTAAGAATGTTCATCTCAAAGCAGGTATGTAATTATATACAGAGCCAAGAAAATTATGCATGTCTCACACAACAAGGGAAAAGAAAAATGAATTGAAGAAATATATAATAAGCACCAGATCTCTTTGTTCACACATAATCTGCTGTTCTTGTTTGTTTACTTGCTACTGGGGAGTTTGCAAAGAAGACTGCACTATTGTACTCATAATCTAGTATAACAGCAGTATGACTTTGGTCCAGGAAAAATCCTTCTGGGTCAGTTTCTTCAACTGTAAAGTGGTGAGAGTACCTGCATCCCTTGTTGGTTCCTTGAAAAGATAAAACAATGTTAGAGCACCCTGTAATGATCTTGACAGTTATATTTACCCAGATTGCTTTGGGTCAGATAGGGAGGTAGCATAGTACTATGATTAAGAGCACACTGGCTTTGGGTGTGAATTCCAGCTCCATCCCTTCTACGTATGTGAATGTGGACAAGTTATTTACCCTCTCTAAACCTCAGTTTCCTCATCTGTAAGACAGAGGTAACAATATCTACCTCATAAACTTATGGTGAGAATTAGACAAAAGAACCCACATTGAGTGCTTAGCACAGTTCCTGACACATTGCAAATGCATATAAATTATTATAATTATGACTCTGCCTTAGGCAATGAGAAGCCTATAAGGCAACCTAAAGAGCAAAATATCTTCTCTGATATTCCCATCGGCTGCAGCGAGACTCATCTTTCTAGAGACAGACATGGTGTCTCATTCATCCTGCATCCCCAAGCACCTCTTGTAGGCTCTGTAGTTAGTGGGTATTCACACTCTGATTGAAATAATGTCCCAAGGTACTTCTTGAGGATTCAGAGAGCCCTGAGATGTAGGATCTCTATCTCTTCTGATTGTCCCCAAGTGCCTCACCAGAGAATAACTTTTTTAATGAGTTAACATGAAAATAACCAGCTGAAACATTTAAAAACAACAAAAAAGAGAAATATTAATGAATGATATCATTAGGAAGAATTTCCAACTTCTATCTCTAATTCTTCACTCCTGTATAAAATGTGCCTCCCTCAAAGAAGTAAATGTGCTTGACATTTAAAATGCACTCTTGCATATCTTGAATAACAGACTGGCTATTCTGAGTGCCCAAATGATTATCTGTTGCCTGACATTAGTACTGCCAGACAGTGATGGCTTGTACACCAAGCCGTCTACGTAACACCAAGTTTGTACACCGAGCAAACTTTTGTCATTGGGTGGATAACAGCTCAGTACTTTTCTCCTGAGAAGATTGAGTTATTGTTGGCACTGCAGGCTAAATGTTTTTATAACACGCATGCCTTTGCTCATCTTCTCATTCAGGCACTCACTCAACCAACTATTAATGAAAGACATAATTCTTGCCTTTAAGGGGCTCTCAGCCTAATGAGGTAAGTAGCATCATGTCATTGTTACTAGATAGGACTCTACATTAAGAATAACTTACTTGAATCTCAATTCTACCTCTTATTGGAAGACTTAGAGAAAACTGGCTAAAACTGTCGTTCTCAGTTTCCTTACCTCTAAGACAAAGACAATGGTACCCACCTGTCTCACAGGGTCGTTCTGAGGACTTAATGAAATAACACATATACAGTACAAAGAGCCTCACACAAGAGCTTTCTCTTTAAAACTTGGCTTCCTTGTTCTTGTTGCTGTTACAATTAGTGGTGGTGGTGGATATACGGTGACAAGAGCATGGACTGGTATCAGAGCAAAGATCAAGAGTACCCAACTCAGCGGTAGAAAATAGAAAATGTCTCTCCATTGAAACAGATCCACTGCATTAAAAAAGAAATAAGAAAAATAAAGGAAAATAGAAAATGCCTCCTAAAACAGAAAGTACCAAGCTAGAAATTGTCAAACAGGCAAGGAAGAGGGAAGAGCAAAGGATGGAAACAAAAGGGCACGTGCAGCCATGGGAAGAGAGTTACACAGTACACAAACTGAGTCATAGTGGAACATTAGGGTGGAAAGAAAAGCTGGTCAGTTTTTGACAGGAGTTCCGATCTTAGCCAGAAAACAATGGTGATCCATTGAAGGATTTGGAGCAGTCAAGGATGAGAATCACAACTCAACAAGTTCATTTTAATGGCAGTGTGGAAGATGGATTAGATGAGGTGAAAGAACAATAGGGCTAGGTAGAAAGCAGCTATAGTAGCAGGCAGGAAATCTTCAGGCCAAATGAATATAATGACAACAGAGTTAAATAGGAGATGACTAATTAAAAGACTATTTAGGATGTGGACTTAGAAGTAGATGGGAACCCTTTAGATACAGGGGTGGGAGGAAGAAGGAAGGGATATTATGATTTCAGCACTTCGGGCTTAAGCAAGCACATGAATGATAATGCCATTCACTGAGAGTAACTATGGGAATTGATATATTAGGTTAGTGCAAAAGTAACTGTGGTTTTTGCCATTAAAAAAAAATGCCAAAAATCACACTTACTTTTGCACCAATTACTTCTGCACCAACCTAATATTTCTCAGGGAAATAGGATTTAAGTTTTATTCAGGCTGAATTTTAGAACCTGTGGAATAACAAGCTGACAGTATTTAAGGAGTAGTTGAATATTTAGGTTCCTGAAGCCCAGGAAAAAGGCCTGCCCAGAGACGGAGATTTGAAAACTGTATTTGAAGCCATGGGTTGTTTTGGTGATAAAGTTTTATTAAAATGAACCACTAAAAAAAAACTATAAAATTAAAAATAAAAATAAACTGAGGTCATGAGACACAGCTCATATTAGGAAGTGAACAAAAAAAGAAATCGCCTAAATCTAAGGGAAAAGGAAAAGTCTTAGGCACACTGGCCCTGCCTTTCTCCTCCTCCTCCTATTCCCTGGAGCTTCATGAGTTTGCTCAGGTGACCGTTTAAGAATCAGCTGGTGTCGTGTACATGGCTGGGTTGAAGGGGCACGAGGTAAGCAGTGACAGTGACCAAAGAGATGTGAGCCATTCAGCTACGACCTCTTTCTACCTAAAAAGCAAAAAACAAAACATAACAAAACAAAAAGCCTTCAGGCAAATGCTGTAAGTAAAGCAGTTGGCAGAAGACAGTTGACTACCCAGAATTCCTTGCCACCAGATCAATAGTGCCTTTGGGTTACCTGATAGTAGGAAAAAACCAATTTGTTCTACAAAATCATTTTGTTTTTAAAATAATAGCATTGCTTATAATATGATTTTATCTTTGCCACAGCCCACAACAGAGCTCTCCTCCTGATATCTTGTACCTTTGTTGATATCTGATGCTGGCAATGAATGTAAAAACTCGGACACAGATTTTTTTCTACTATTCTTAATTATTACTTCATTTCTCCTTCATTTTTATCTTTCAGACTTTTCCCTCATGTATATTCCACAGCACCTGGCAGAGTGTATTAAACATGTTGGAAGACCCAATCAATACTGACCGAGGAGAAACAAAGGGAATTCCTCAGCATCATTAAGATTAATATTAATAGTCTGAAGTTTAACAGACCCTACCTGATTTAAACCGTAAATTGTTATTCTGCCACGAGAATGCAAACATATAAAAAATTAAAAGTTAAAAAGTCCTATTATTACTCGAAATTGAATGATTCTATTCCAATAGGAATGCCATACAAATTGTAAAAGTATTTACGTATTCAGAGCAGTCTTCAATCTTCTGAAAGAAATACAAGTATAATCCTTTAAAATATTTTCTAACCTTTCAATGTATTTTTATTCACAATTACCTGCCAAAATCTTCTTATTTGGATGTCCTTGCCTTAGCAGAGGAAAAACTAAAAGTACAGTAGCTTTAGAAAAATGTACCAACAGCAATATGTAATATTGACAGAAATAAATCTATTAGGAAGTTACCATCAAAATCTTGTCAAAGGAAGGGTAAAGAATTATCTCATATTTCTAGTTAAAAAGATCAAACCAATGAAACTCCAGATTCCTCCTCTATATGTTTACAATTTTAGTGAAATTTCTTGACTATCATAGATTGAAGTAGAATATCCCTCACCTTGCTGAACTCATCTTCCTGCAAACCAATGTGAAAATTATTTTCTGAGTCATAACCTGTTTGAACACCATAGCTATTGGGAATTCAAAACATCTTCTCTTTTCTTTCTCTGAGGCTCTATCAAAAGAGCTTCCATATCCTTTTCCAAAGCTCCAATAAACCATGATATTTCCATGTACTCAGTAACTACAAAGAGCTCACAGATTTATTACCTCTTTAAAAATTCTCACATGTGGAAAAAAAATCTATCTATAACCAGAGTATCAGCTTGCAAAATAACATGACAACAAGAAGTTAGTAAACAATCTATTATCAATTCATGGAATCTTTACTAAACTACACAAGACATTTTGTTAGACCTTGTGATCCTTAATCCCTTATCTGATAACGCTAGGGTCAGATGTGTTGTGTAATTTAGAATTTCTCCAGGTTTGGGGATGCAGACAAAAGGGAATCCTTATATTTTGTTGGTAGGAATGTAAAGTAGTACAGCCACTAGCAAAAACAGTACAGAGATTTCTCCAAAAAACTAAAACTGGAGCTATCATATGACCCAGCAATCCTGTTACAGTAGGCAGTGAGGCAGACATGAGCAGGCCAGAAGAGCCCCTCACCTGGCCCCTGCCACCAGGAATGTCAGGCAACCATCAGGTGATGGTCAGGAGGTTGTTAAACTGTCTCCCTAAAATAGTATTTGTTGCAGCCAGCACCAGGAAGTGGCCATCTCCCAACAGATAGCAACACCTGAAACTGGTGATCAGCAGCTTCCTGATAAGATCTCAGAAGCTGAGCAAGTGGTCTCACAAATGCACACTAAGAGGTAAAATGGCGGAGCTTTACTGGTATACAACCTTCCTCTGGGAACTTTATACTGGTAAGGGAAGAATGCCTCAAGTGAGCATGAGTACAACTCCAGTAATCACACTGCTCATGCAGCCCCTCCCACGTGCTGGCAGGCCACTGCGCATGCAGACAGCCCACCCCAAGGGAAGAATCAGGGGAGAAGGGATCACAACACCCCCAGAAGCATGGGAACATCTAAAACCCAAGGTCAAAGGTCAAACAGTGCCCTTGATCTCTAGGTCGTCTGCTTGGCCCTCTTCCAAGAATTATTTACTTCCTTCCATTCCTACTCAAAAGCTTTTTAATGAACTTCCACTCATGTCCTAAAACCTGCCTAGGTCTCTCATTTTGTCTATGTCCCTCTATCAAGTTTTTTCTTCTGAGGAGCCAAGAATTGAGGTTGCTGCAGACCTGTATAGATTCCCTGCCAGTAATAATCCCACTACTGGGTATTTACCCAATGGAAAGGAAATCAGTATATCAAAGGAATACCTGCATCCCCATGTTTACTGTCGCATTATCCACAATAGCTATGATATAGAATAAACCTTAATGTCCCTCAACACATGAATGGATAAAGAAAATGTATTTTCTTTACAATAATGTAATGTAAAATAATACATGTATTACATGTATTATTACAGATAATAAAATGTAATGTAAAAAAGGATTTCAATCTTTATGGCTGAATAATATTTCATTGTGTATGTATACAAGGAAATATTATTCAGCCATAAAAAAGTATGAAATCCTGTAATTCACAGCAACATGGATAAGCCTGGAAGATATTATGTTAAGCAAAATATGTCAAGCACAGAAAGATAAACACCACATGATCTCACTTATCTATGGGAGCTAAAAATAATTTTGAACACATGGAAGTAGAGAGTAGGACTGTGAGTATCAGAGGCTGGGGAGGAGATGGGGGAGGAGGGTACTGGGAGAAGTTGGTTAACAGATACAAAATTATAACTAGATAGGAGAAATGAGCTCTAGTATTCTGTAGCACTGTAGGGTGAAGGTGGTTAATTATAATTTATTATATATTTTCAGAAAACTAGAAGATTTTAAATGTTTGAGGTATGCTAATTACCCCGATTTATCATTATACACTCTATACATGAATTGAATCTATACACGAATCAAAATATCACTCTGTATCCCATAAATTTGTACAATGATTACATGTCCAGTAAAAATAAAAGAGAAAAAATAGTTGTATCTAAAATGAGTTTTAGCATGCCTTTTGACTACTGTGTAATAAGCCTTTTTGGTTACTTTCACATAAATGACTTTCACGTTAAAAATAAAAAATAATTTCTCCAGGTTTTACAAAATAATTTGGGTTAAATATCATGTATTATAAACCCTCCCAGGCAGATGTGGGTGAGTATCCAGGCAGGATTAATATTTTTGCAGCAACATGAGCAAATATTACATCCACAGGTTAGATTTTTTACTGTCAAATGAGTTATAAAATGATTTAGATTTTAGATATTTGGGAACTGGAAATAAATAACACACAACTCCTATATCAAGGGGCTCATAGCCAAACAGGAAGAAGGCATTTATTCTTCTGTGTCGGTTATTAAACCTTTGTCTACCAACTACAAATTCATCCTCCTCTGTGATGCTGGGCTAACAATTCTGCAAACCTCATTTCTGCTTTGCCAGTTGCTGGCTCCTAGATCTGCCATGGGGATACTAGTGGGGGACTGCAAGGCTGAGAAGGAAGAAGGGACATACTCCTTCCTGTCTATGGATGTTTCCATTTTGCCTCTTGTCTGTCTGTGGTTCCTGTGTTACCCAGGCAACACTTCATCTGGGCAGAAGCAGTTCTCTCTAGCAGCATTTCAATCCAGTTGGCCAATTTTCTCACTTGCAAAACCAGCCTCATCCTGACCCCAGCCTCTACCCAGAGATCTCACCAACAGCTGGCTGGCCAACCCTCCTTAAAGACCTGGATCCCAGGCCCACAGGGATCATCTTCTGAAGTCAGCTACAGCAGCACTAGTAGAGCAGTATTCTCTTCTCAGAGATCTATTTCAGCTCTACAGGGCTCCTCCTCTAAGTTTCTATGTTCAAATAACCCAATCTCTTTCCTGCAGTTGAAACACATTTGATCCCTTAGGGTCCTCTTCCTGCCTTGTCAGTTGCCTAAGTATCACCTTTCTACCTAGCTAACAATTCTTTATATTGATGTATCTCTGTTCAAGTAACTGTTGTGGTTTCTGTCCCTGATTGGACTCCACTGATACACTATCTGTACTATGCTATAATAAATGTGGAAACACTGATTGTGGAAAAATATAACAGTGGGGTCAGGGAAAGACACTGAAGACCTAATAGTTGAGCCAGGCACTTAAAAGAAGGTATTCACCCAGGAGAAAGTACCAACAACATATAAAATGCAGAGCCTGCTCATGAAAATAATTTTTGCAGGGAAAGAGAGGCAAGACTGGAGGAGGGACTTTTTGCTGGTGCTAAGAAATGTTTTCTGCAGGCAACAGAGAGCTATTGGGAGCCTCACATGCAATTCCCTGCTTTGGATGGTGCCACACTGATGGTAATGAAGAGGACAGTTCATAGAGGAATCATCACCTAGAGGGAGGACTTGGAAATAAGTTAGAAACCGTAACACTATGACAAAGTCTTTCCTCTGAAAAGTTACATAACTTAGCAGGAAATTCAGATACAACTCACTGAATACTGTATAGCTAAATACAACTATCTCCCAAATTTTGGGCCATACTCATTGGCAACAAACAACAGAATTTGAGCATATCTCAAAAACTGATACGACAACATTAATTTCTGAACCAAAGATTTTCATTACAAAGTACTTCAACCTGGATGTAAACACACTATGCCATTCACATGCATAGTCACAATGAAACTTTTGATAGTGCAAACATAAGTAGGGCTAAACTTTGTCCTTATTTAAAAAAAAAAAACTTACAGAAATAAATACTATTATGGGAATTAGCTCTTCCAGCCCAAAAGAAGTGTTGACATAATACAGTGACTTCTAATTTTCATTTTCTGTGAGCTTTTACAACACTTAAAATTGTAGTACAATTACCATTTACTCATGTCCTTACACTATCTGATATTTTATCTTATCTTTTAGGCTAGATTATAAAAAATTAGTTTGTCAAAAAGAAGTGCTACATTTGACACTTTTTCTATATTCTCCTAGAATTTGTTACAGTGAAGAAAAAGACCTAAAATATTTGTTGACTTTAATGCTAAAAATATTTTCAGGTAGCCATTTAAAGAACTTTCTTTATAAAATACTACAGGAAACTATTTTGTTGGAATCATTTGCAGTAATTTGAAGGTAAACAGTATGTTTTGTTTTTTTACTTTTATATGCCCTTGAAACAGGTATAACACCGTGTTTACAGTAAACACACAATAAATGTTTGCTGGTTTGAGTTAACTAAGAAAAAGAATTGGGGGGGTTCTTAAAATATTTAAAATCATATTCATTAATTTAGAATCTGGGGAATCAGTTAATAAAGACAAACTGAATTTGGCAAAAAATGTTAAATTTTTTGGAACCCATTTTCATATTAAATGGATTATTTTAAAAACAGATGAGGAAAGCTTAGAACACCTTGGCACACTTCCACAAATTATTTCATGATCAAAGACATCTGGCTTTTTTGATTATTTATGGAATTCCACCCTAAGGCCCACTTGATATTTTCAAAATATGTTTTGCAATATTTGGACATTCTCCAGGTAGCCAGTTTAATTCATATTTCCCCAAAACCTCATCTTGTTGGGAAGTTTGATTATCATTTCTTTATGGTTACAAATGAGTCCTAAATTCCATATAAAGTGTGTTCAGGGTTTTATGAAACAAAATGAGATTCTTTTTAGAAATCATTTTTCATTTAAAATTGAAATTCAGCTTACAACCAATTTGTCATATGTCTTATTTGCAGACTATAATGTAGGTAAGAACTAAACAGAGCACTGGGTTTTATTTTTCAGGAAAGAATACTACATTTAATGAAGCGTTGACTGAATATACTATTTCTTAAGGTTGACAAGTATATTTTCCAATAGCATAAAACAAAGATCGCATCATTTGAACACTTTCCTGCAAGAGACTTGTTACATATAAATGGCAAGGTGTATATAGTAAGTAGAGTACTTAGACGTTTGATTTTATTCAGTATAAAGTCAAAATGGGAAACAGGGAGAGAAAAGCCAATGAGACAGGGAAAGAGTAACTGAACGACAACTGATACTCAGCAAATAAGGTTACTGTCAGCCAGTAGTCAGAAATTCAAAACCCTAAAGCAGTACACTTTTCTAATAAAAGTAACCTTTTGGATAAATCTTTGCTCCACCCCAGCATGGACAATTACGTGGTAAATTAAGTTATCCAAAAAGGAAAAATGCTATAAAAGTTAGCCCAACATCATACTAGCAAAAAACACAACATAGCTGGGCTCCTTCTGAACATTAAAGACAAAAATAGAATAGTATTTACATTAACTACTATGGGAAAGACATCATATAAAATGAAACCCAATTTAGAACATTTTTCATTTTATACTTTTTATACTACAAAAATATTTTAAATATTTATAGAAACTAACGTCTTTTAAAGATATATTATTTATAAAACAAAATTACGCATCATTTCTACAGTGTGCTTAAGAGTGATGGAATACGTATTTAGAAAAAGTCACTAATACATCATTCATACGCATTCCAAAGTGAGTTGTGGTATCATGCATTATAAAATCATGTTTTAAACCATAGTGTGTAATAGATTACCTTCACAGAGCACCTATGATTTATTAATATGTGCGTGTGTGTGTTTTTTAACATGCCAGTTATTTAAATACAGTATCATGGCAATATTCTAGGCTGAATGTTGATGCTAGAAAGCACTGGATAATACAGCACTTGTAATTTTCTGAATAATGCTCTCAAATTTTTATAAAATGTTATTCATTCTAATAAAAATTATAATCAGTAAACTTATCAGTTAATAGGTTTGCTAAAAATATAATAAATTTAATGTATAAAAGGTAGCTAAGACACATCAAAGCGGTCCCAGAAAGAGAATAATAAGTGTTGATCACTTTGTGTTTTGTATTTATTAGAAATACAAGCCTAAGTGAGTAAAATTCTATTATATTTATTAAATGTATTGGCATAGATATTAATTACACTAATTATTGATAATGATGAAAATACAGAAAATTGTTCTCTACTAAATGGTATACTGATACATGAATCAATTCAATATACATAAATTCATCAAATTTCTCATAAAATTTTAGAACTATCAGGTGCATGAATAAGATTTTATCTCTCATGTTTTTTTAAATGTTAGAAGATGCTTAATTAGTTTACATCTAAATCTGAGCTTTCCTTGAAAACAAACACAAAGAAGCCTCTTTTGTCTCACTACACTCTACCCCATTTCTCTCAATACATTCTGCTCCCAGCTACGTCCAAGACAACTAGAGCTGTCATTTTTTATATGAAATACAAATGGTTTACAATTCCCCCAGGTAAATACTTTTTCCTATTATTAACTCTCTTGATTACCAAGAACAAGGTATTATAAGTCTTATTATTTTGGAAACAAACTTTACCAAAGCTACAGCTACAGGCATGGCACATAGAGAGACGATTTAGGAAAAAAAATATTTAACTAGGCAGGATCACTGTGGAATATCAAAGGAAGGTGATTTAAGAGTTTGTCGAGTTTAAGGGAGAGAAATGTTGTAACACAGCTCCAACCTTCTTCCCCAAAGCTGAAATGGTCAAACAATATAGACATGCTGATGTCAATCCCTTGGACATCTACTCAAGCCAACTGGGAAGAAAGCAGAGGCATAGGAACGTCTGGAGATGAGAAACAGGAGGGAGCTCACTCACTTATACACGTATCTCCTGCAGAGTCTGGGTCTCTGCTCCAAACATAGACCAGTACTGCCTTTTTGATATATTATAAAGAAATATAAAATACGGCCGGGTGCGGTGGCTCACACCTGTAATCCTAGCAATTTGGGAGGTCGAGGCAGGTGGATCACATGAGGCCAGGAGTTCGAGACCAGTCTGGGTAACATGGCAAAACTCCGTCTCTACTAAAAATACAAAAAATTAGCCGGGTATGGTGGCATGCGCCTGTAATCCCAGCTACTCGGGAAACTGAGGCAAGAGAATCGTTTTAACCTAGGGGGCAAAGATTGCAGTGAGCTGAGATTGTGCCACTGCACTTCAGCCTGGGCAACAGAGCGAGACTCTGTCTCACACAAACAAACAAAAATAAATATGTAAGAATGATAGCAGGCAGGAAGAATAAGGTAAAATGAGACAATTTCTAAAAGTTATACAAATACAAGTGAATTCCTGCACATCTGTTTAAAAAAGCAAACTGTGCATGTGGAAATTGAGGGAGACTTTGCTTACCTGCATTTAGTACAGATAAGAACCTGGAAGTTTCACCTGACTAAAAGGTCAACCTGAGCCAACTGTATTATGTAAAAGTACATTCCCCATTCAAAAACTAGAACGAAACAAAACTCAGCTAATCCATGGGTCACTATTGGCAATATAACTTTAGTACCAAGGCCATTAAAAATCCTGCTGTACTCTACTTGTAAATTATATGATCTATGAAGTATACTTTTAAATTTTGGCCATAACATATTTCAGGGCACTGACAAGCCACAACAAGCTGAGAGTTGAATGAGGACAGGAAAGGGTCTAGAGACCCTGTACTAAAAGAAATGGTAGAAGGAATTGGGAACTTTAAAACTATGAAAGCTCTGGTACTTTAAGAGTTGACAAAGAGATGTGGTTATGGTTAAGCTAATCAACTACTCTGTGCTTTAGTTTCTTATTTTGTAGAATGGAAATCAGAAAAGCACCTCCCTCACATGCTGTTATAAAGAGTAAACAAATTAAATCCAATAAAATAATGCACATAACTGGTTACAGCAAGCACTGGTTATCATTAATAACATCATCTTCATTATTTTCTACAGCCCCCAGAGGGCAGACTTAGGAACAATGGGTAGAAGTTAAAGAAAAACAGATTTTGGCTGAATAATGGGTATAAATCTTACTTTCCTATTTCAGATTCCATCTCTTCATTTTTAATGTAATATAGCTGAAGTTATTTCTGATAGGTCAGCTTTTAAATTCCTATGGTTCCTTAGTTATCTAAATTAATTTCTATTAGAGGAACTAAAGTTAGAAAAATTTAAAAAAATACATTATTTTCATTCAAAAAAGAATCAGTATTCTAATTTACCTATCAGGTAAATATGGATTATTAGATTTTCTTAAAAGGAGGGTTGCCAGACAAAATATAGGATGCCAAGCTAAATATAAATTTTAGATTAAATAATGAATGAGTTTTTAGTATATATATGTCATAAACATTTCATGGGACCTACTTATACTAAAAATCTATTTGTTGTTTACCTGAAATTAAATTTTAACTGGGTATCCTATAATTTATTCGCTAACTTTAGCAACCCTATGTAAAAGGATAAATGTTAACAAAACTCAAGTAATTTAAAAAAGTTTTTACATAAACAAAATTTTGAGCTTCCTTTTTCATGTAGGATGATTTCTTGCATTGATAGAGAAATGTTACATATCTGCCAGTTTTTGTTTAAACAACATTTCAGAAATTCTTCTTTCCTGACACGTCATTTAGTCATGTCTCAGATTTCCTGTGCCAGCTTAAGTTGCTCAAGAAGAGGTTATGGTTGGCTACGCACTTGTGACAATGTGCAGAAACATCACTTCCCATTTGGCTAAAGGCAGACAGACCTTATGGTAGACTTTTGTTTTCACCTCTGTTAGATGTGGATGACACAGCTCCTTCGTTCAACGCATATTTACACAATGGGTATATCCAAATACGTAAGACAACCACTGTCAAAGAAAACATCTTATGTCATTTTCCTCAGGCTCTACAAATACAGCCACTGTCACCTGAATGCTGTGAACTAGCAACTGGATGCAGACAGCAAGATATTTTGATGTTTCAATAATATTTACACTTATGTCACTAAACACTTGTGTAGATTTGTGGGGTATGAGGAATGAAAATAGACTTAAATAATTGTTCCATCTGCTCAACAATATAAAAGAAATTGTTAAAAGACATGAACAACTGTCGAGGTACATTTCTAGAGGGTCCGCCAAGTAGCCCACAGGCCACGGATAGGAGGCTGACATCTGAGAAGACAAGAAGGATGAGCCAGCAACAAAAATACTGAGACAGGAAGGCGGGTAGTGGTGCAAAAAGCCCATGAAAAAAGAATCGAAACAGGAAGAAGGAACCCGCAGTCAGACAGGAATGCGAATCCTGTGGGCAATTCAAGGAAGTAGTGAGGTTTGGAGGAGACACACAGAATGCAGGCAAGCATGACTCCGTTTCCACATGACAGCTACTTCTCAGGGCTCTAAGACACTATTTCACATGGAAACAAGACAATCCATGTGAAGATATCCCTAACACCACCAACTTTTTAGGAGAAGCTGGTTATTACAGTCACAAATCAGGGTGGCTTTCATCCCAGACTCAGGGTGAGGACAGAGTCCTTGAGGGAAGCCTGACACGAAAAGTGCAGATGAACACTCATTATGTCCCACAGAGCAGGTCAAGGAGACAAAACAAGAACATGAAGAACCACTCTCAAGTGGGATTCTTCTAGAAAGATCCCAGGAGGAAAGTCACTATGTCTTAAAGGTCTTGCAACTTATTTTTATCCCTTTCTTATTTTACGTACTTTGTCAGTTATCTCAAATGTTTTGTAGACAGAAAAATAAACAAATCTTGGTAGTTCCAGTGCCCGTCAATACTCCACACACAGCTGATGTTTAATAAATGCTGATTAAATTAAATAATTTATTTGTAGCTGTTCTCTTGAAGGGGTCAAAAAGAAAGATGGTAAATTGGATCTGGGGCTCAAGAATAAAAAGAGGGAAAACTATCTAAGGTATCACAGTATAAAATGTGAAGACCAAAAGAGGAAGATCACAGAGTAATGCGCAAGATCTCCTAGTGCTCATGAGTCCAGAGACAGACTTGGGTTGGGGCCCTGCTCTGCCTCTTACCAGCTCTGTGACAAATTGGGCAAGTCACTGAAGGTTCTCCCAGCCTCAGAATACTCATGTGACAAATGGATGTCATCAGAGTACCTACGCTGGAGAGGCGTGGGGAATTACATGACATTATACATGTAGAGTTCTTAGCTCCGCACCTGTCATGGAATAGACACATAGTAAATGGTAGGAAGGGTAGATGCAGAGGGAACAGTAGTAATGAAATATTGAACCTGAAAAACTTTTTAAAAATTTGTGTCATGACTGGAGAGGAAATCTATGTTAATGCAATCATGCTTAGTGAAATCTCAAATACACAGTTAACCCTGAGAGTCTCATACATTATTGTAATGTCAGTAGAGGAAACAACAGCCATCACCATGCCCCCATTTGTGGGTCTGAACAATTAGCAGCAAGCCAGGTAGGAAGTTGGTAATTTCACAGGAAAGCCAGAGAAAAAAAGGAAGAATGGCTAGAAATAGCGGGGGTGGTTGCTGTGGTACAAAATCTACCTTCCCTACTCCTTTACTGGGGGATAATAGGATTGGCAACCCATAGGCACGCTGGGATTTCCCAGCAAATCAAATAAATTTCGTAATTGTTGTTCGCTACAAAATTATTTTTCTCTTCCTGTAAGAAACCGGAAAAGCCTACAGAGAATGTATTGTTAATATTAAACCCTCGACTAAAGGAGATGTAGAGGTATTTATGGATAGTAGTCAACTCACTCTCTCTCCTCAGATTACATTACACTTAACGATTTAAGGCTTATAGTTTACTATATAGAAAAAGAGAAAGGAGAGAGAAATACTAATCACCACAGTACTTGCTGAGACATTTTATATCAGAAACAACTGAGATTGGTAGTGCTATTCATGTATCTGAAAAATATATAATTTTTTAAACTTGGTAAAATCCTACCCATATGACTTAGCTAGAAATAAATTTTAAATTAAAGTATCATTTATTCTAGAATGTATTTAAATAAAAACCACTTTATTACTTTTAATGTATTATGGAGATGGTCAATTTAAAGTCCACTGGGTCTACTTTTTGAATAGATTAAGCACACTTGAAATTAGCACTAATTATAATTAGCATTAATTGTAGCCCCAAATAAATATTCTAATTTTAATAATGTACTTCTTTTCAGAGGGTTCACAACATAAATTTTATAAATAATCCCTTTATCCATAAATTGCACTAAGGTAAAGTAAATTTCAATGTAGTTTAGGCAGATTAATTATGAATTAGGAATCAGTAGAATTTTTTATTAATATGATCTTAACATAGTTGAAAATAATTTTATTTGATATGTGAATACCATCACAATTGCCTCAGGCTCTCACATCTATCATCTCCATTGGTTTTACATAAAAGTACCTAGAGATTAGGTAATTTTCCCCTAGTTGTTCTGTGAGTTGGTTATAGATATAAGATTAGAATATAAAATATAGAATTAATAGTATAACGTATGACCCAGTTACTATAACATAATGAATTAACCTCTGTTTCCTAGAAGTTTTTATCTTTACATGTTGAGCTTAACCCCTCATACCCAGAAGTCAAATTTCTGGCAACATCTCTAATTCTTTTTGGAACAAAATGATTAAGGTAAATAAAATAAAATAAAATAAAAGGCCACCAAACATCCAAAATAGCTATGAAAACAAAGCTTCACTCCCCAGAAGGCCTTAAAATCTTCATGTAGAATTTATCTTTACCTGAACACAATTTTTAAAAGACATGGTTTTCCGTGGCACAGAATGAACAAGATGAAAAGTCAGAACTGATGGCAGGGATATTAAAGATATGAATAATAACTACATATAGTATGGAACCTTGTTAGAGGATCATACCAAAGGCTTAGTTTAGTACGGTAAATTAGATTGGTATTTGGCAAATAATCACTTTTCCCTAACCACCTCATGGAATAAGTATACTTCCCTGCTCTGCTGTTAGGCTTAGTGATTGACTTACTTTGACCAACGGAATGGAATCAGATGTGATTCCAGTTGACAGCTGAAGTGCGCTTGCACAGTTGGGCTAACACTCTTGTACTCCTACCACGACCATAGGAATAGCTTCGCTGGTTTGCTTCCTTCAGACTGGGCCCTCAAAATAAACATTTCTGGAACAGACCTAAGCTTAATCCACAGTGAGGACCTAAACCCAGACAGGCCTGCAGCATGAAGTAGAGTCATGCCGTCAGGCCTGGCCCAGAACATGCCCAGCCAATCTCTATCACAGAGAGTGAGAATGAATGAAAATTAGTTTAAGCCACTGAGTTGTGGAATTGATTTTTATGGAGCAACAGCTGACTGATGCAATCATAAAGAAAAAGTGAAAAGATGTTTAAATTGCTTCCGCTTAAAACCATTACATTTCAGTACAATTTATATCAGCAGCTACTAAAATATTTGAATGTTTAGTGTTTGAATTTCAGCTGACTAGAAAATTTCATTTATACAGAGAGCATCCCAAAGCCACTACTTAGCAGCATGATACATGGATCTTAGAAGTTGTGTGTCCAGCAAAAGGGAATGAGCATTTTCTTTAAATAAAGTCTGCTTAGCTTTGCTGAACAGTTCTACCAGACCCTCAGTTAATATACTTTCATCTGAGGTTTCATGCTGCTGACTAGCAATAAGAAACAGTCACATGATGCTTGGGCTGAGAAAATGTTTCAGTTCCCACAAATAGAGCAATGCAGGAAATTTCAAGACATGCATAATGAAAACGAAAGAAAATCCTTGTTTTCTTAGAAAATCTCCCTTCATGTTTGTACAGAGTGAAGTAACAGATATCCAGATTTAATGCCAAATCACAGTGACATGACTTGTTACCATTGTTATGCTACCATTACAAGGCACTTCCCGTGTGACCGGCTTTCTGCTGGGTGTTTTCACCATTATCACTTCAAGTTAACCACACAACTATTCCAAAAGGAAGGTATTATTACCATGTATGTGTACTTTAGAAAATGAAAAAACTAAAACATACAGAACATAAGTTACTTGGCCAAGTTGTATGGCTTGGAAGTGGTCAAGCAGGAATTTGGAGCGAGGGCTGTCTGACTTCAGAACAGTGCTCTTACTATATCCCATTCTATGAGAAAATTGTTCTAGTATATTCACTTCAACATCAGAAACTGCCACACAGATCATATCACAAAGCCATCTTCTAATCTTTTCTCCTCAAAATGAAGAGATTTAACATGGTAACATTTGGCAAAGAACTTCATAGCTTCCCCTCAGTCCCACAATATTTGCTTGAATCAAAGGGTCAGGATGCTCAAGAGAGCAATTTCAAATTATCTTTCATAAACCAGTAAACAAGATTAGAGATTTTAAATCCATAGCCCATCAAAAACTGATTTGGCTGTGTCAAAAAGAAACAGAGGTCAAAGTGACCTAAGATAGGGCAATTTAAGAGGAAAAAAATGCACTAGATTGAAAGACATCTAATATATAAAAACTCATGAGTTCATAATGATACTAATGAGAAAATTTCAATGATTCATTACTGCCGGTTGCCAGGGTACAAATTTATGATTCCAAAAAGTTATAAATAAGGAGAAAGTATCAAGCATTTATCTTACCTTTCCTGTAAAAAGTGTATTTCAAGGTAATCAAGTAGCAGATGGGTAGAAGTTCTTTATGGAAGAATTCACCCAATAAATGTACAAGAAATGACAGAATCACAATGAGAAAACTAAGATTTTCCTAATTCCTAAGATAAATAATGGATCTTGACAGTGATCATCAATGGATGCTAAATCCATCAGGGAAAGCTTGATAGAGAACTTTCAAATGGGATCGGGCTGACAGCATTTGAACTTGCTGATCTAGGTATCTTCAGCAGTGTCCCTGGAAGAGGCACAGGCAGACAACAAGTCTCTCTTGCAGAAAAAAAGACACAGCCCCAGCTATGAGACATTTTTGCCAAAAAAAGCAAATAAACAGACCAGAGTCTAATCAAGTCTCTGGAGCTAACAAGTACATCCTTGAAACATTGTAATATGGGCTGGCTGTATAGGATATTAATTCTTGAAATGATTACTCCTTATGTTACATGTCATGACAATTTGGTTAAAAAAATCCTCGGAAATGTATACTGGAGTATTTTGAGGTAATATAACACCATATTTAGGATTTGCTTAAATGTACTACAGGAAAAAGAAAGATCAGACATGGATAAGATTGGCAAAATGTGGATAATTTTTGAAGTTCAAAAAATACATGAATATATAGTACGTTATCTTTGTACACCTTTGTGTACAAATTTCCACAATAAATAAGGCAGAAAGGGAAATCCAGAAAAACTAGCTCACCACAGTTCATGCCCATTTAAATATAGGGACCATAAGTCGTGCACCAGTTAACGTCTGTGTCTGTCTGTTCTCTCTTTCTTCTCTTTATTCTTTAGAATTATAGTTTCTATATTAAATAGCTAAGTTTGGGAAAGGTTTTGTTTTCTTAACAGGAGAGTCAATGAAACAGAAAACGTTTTAAAATCAGAACCGAGAGCACCAAAATTCATTAACTCAATAAATACTTATTAAGTACCTACCTTCTCCTTACTGTCAAAACTCAAAGCTGTGGCAATACAGCAGTGTATGAGACACAGGTTCCTCCTGTTAAAACAGTGGTTGCCAAAAATCTAGCAAATGTTGGTTTCCCATTAGGATCAGAAGTAAGGATGTGGTAACAGAGGCAATTTCCAAAATCAACTCGGGCATGTAAAATGTCAATAAAACCCAACTCTGAAGTCACATCTAACCGATTCTGACAGAGTTTTACGCTGAGCCAAGGCCATCCTGCCCAAGCACACTAAATGTTGACTCTGAAGCACATGTAGGGGAATTAAACAGTAACCAAGGATTGGAAGGGAATTTTGTCACAGTTTACACAGTCAGTAGCACCAGGATAGAAAAGCAAAGGCACCTAGGAGAATTGGAAAATTCTGTCACTACCAGCACCCCCACCACCCCTGAAAAAACAAATCAGAAAAAGACAGGATTTTAATGAATAACCTTGCATGCTGAACCCTGGGTAAGAAGGAAGAAAAGACAGAAAAACTGAGATAACCCTCAGGAGTCTCAGAGTTCTATATTTTGTGGTGCAGACAGGGCAGCTCACCAGGCTAGGGCTGTGGTGAGCTATTTCCTTTTTTAACATTCCAAGATGCCAATATAGATGATGTCCTTCTCCAGGTACCCATTTCTCTTTTCAACACCTGTAGTTCTTGATTAATTAATTCAATCAGGACAGACTTATGTATTAACTGTACACTTTCTTGACAACCCCTTCTGACACTCAGGTGCCTAATGTAGGCCATCTCTTCTTCAGCTGCTAGGTAATACATACCCCTGTTTTTATGGAATCAATATAACATAAGGATTCCCTGGCCAAACTTGAAAATTATCTTTAGATTTAGATTTGTTCTGTTTTGAAAGACACGTATGGAAATGCTTATTTGCACACAAATAGACATCCTCATAAAACTGCCCAAATTCACTGAAGACGCCTATATAAACATGATAGTCTTCAGATTCAATAATGACAAAGCAAAATATCCTGCAGCTCTGGAATGTACCCTTAAAGTATAAAGTGTCAAAAACAAATAATAAAATGTCTAGGAAAAAAATGAGAGATTTAAGCTTTGAATTTTT
Source organism: Homo sapiens (assembly GCF_000001405.40). Lineage (NCBI taxonomy): Eukaryota > Metazoa > Chordata > Mammalia > Primates > Hominidae > Homo > Homo sapiens. Next base: position 112,087,616 of record NC_000007.14, read on the forward strand.
TCCTTGAAGAAAAGAAAAAAAGATATCGTTATCTAAAATACTATGTACCCTGAGACAAAACTGTCAGACAGCTTCATTTTGGGTTATCTCCTAAATAGAGTCTCACTTTTCCCTAAGCCTTTCTCTCCAGTCCCACTCAGAAATGGGTATCTAACTCCTGAGACCTAGACCATCATATTAACATTGTATTGGGACCATTTGTCAATTATGGGACAAAGGAGACACATCGTGAATGAAATACAGCCCTGTTTAGACATCTCTAACAGATCCATGGAGTGGCATGCAGGTGGGAGATTTGTAATTACTACTCCAACACAAGGTGTTAAAAAATATGATAGAAATAGTCAAAAATACAGTGGTGTCCCTAGCAAGAGGTACATACCCAACAGTGGTGAAGGGGAGTAGATTTTTAAATAAATAGGCTGGAAAGGCAGTAGACAAGCAGGAAACCAGTGGGATCGTGGGACAAGGTCCCGTATGAGACCTCGCATGCAGACAGGGAGCACAACTAGGTGAGTTTTCAGGCAAAAGCATAGAAGCATAAAATCACATCTTCAGGCAGGTCACACTGTTGGCTGGAGGATCAGTTTTAGAGTGAAGTTTTAATACATGGTCATTCTTCTTCAAGTTTAAACACTCAGTCCATGGCTAGATAAACCACCAGATAATAAACAGAATTACAAAGCCTTTTTAAATGTGTTCTTTTGGCAACTGAAATATCCCCTTTTAATTCTTTGAAAGGTTAGATGTTTATAGATAAAAAAATGTATCTCCTATATAATTAATGGATTTTCTTATCCTCTTTTGGAAAACATGTAAGACAATACTTATTTGCACACATATATACATACACATAGAAACACCCAAACTCCTAAGTGAAAATTTCTGTACATATCCAAGTCTTCATATTCAGTAGTGATAAAATCATGATTAAAGCAGCCAGTATGACCTCTTGTTTTTTTTCTATTAGTACTATGGGAAAGAGCACAGAGCTTAAACATGTGCTAAGTCACTTATTAGCTTTGAGTCCCCTTGGCAAGTTTCCACTCATTTAGTTTCCTATCGGGCAGGATTGTGTTAACTGGGGCAGGAGAGCCTTATGGTGAACATCAAACATTCTAGAGTTGCACTGCTGAGAATGTATCCTAGCTCTGCCACTTAGTTGCTCTGTGCCCTTAGGAAGGTTCCTTAACCCCTTTGTCCCTCAGTTTCCTCATCTATAAAATGGGGATAACACTAGTATCTACCACCTCATAGTGTGACTGAAAGGATTAATTAAGTAATGCATTTAAAGAGCTTACAGTAACAGCTGGCAGGCAGTAAGTGCTCAATACGTTGTCAATGCTTGTTTTTATATGTTGTCAACGTAAAAGACACACTGGATTTCGAAGACTTGGGTCCAAAAAAGAATATAAAATACCTAATTAATAATTGTTATGAAATGACAATATTTTAGATATACTGTGTTAAATATAATGTCAAAATTAATTTTGCCTATTTTTCCCTTTTTTTACTTGTTAAAGTTCTTTTTACTGTGGCTGTTATAAAATTTAAAATTATATGTGTGACTTGCATTTCATTTTTATTGGCCAGGGATGCTCCAGAAGGTTGATGCCTGAAACTAGAGATCCATTACCTTTCCTCCTTTCTAGGGCTTCAAATTAGGTTTTAATTTAAGAACACCTTTGCTATATATAATCAATACAAAAAACTTTACCCACTTATTGTACTTTGCCCTGTTGACACTGACCTCCCATTCTCCACCAGAAGAAATAATCAAACCCATCACCAACAAATCACCCATCCATTATTCAATTTTTATAAATATCTTAGTTACAGTTTTTCACTTAATGACCTTTCAAGGATATACAACTTAAAACCAATGACTTTAACTTATATCCAGAAGTCCTTCCAAAGGACATATGAATCAAATACTAAATTACGGTTTGGTGTTTGATATGGTTTGGATTTGTGTCCCTGCCCATATCTCATGTTGAACTGTAATCTCCTAGTGGGAGATGACTGGATCATGGGGATGGATTTCCTCCTTATTGTTCTGATGATAGTGAGTGAGTTCTCATGAGATCTGGTTGTTTAAAGGCATGTAGCACCTCCCCCTTCTCGCTCTTCCTCCTGCTCCAGCAATGTAAGTCGTGCCTGCTTCCCCTTCCGCCATGATGAAAGTTTCCTGAGGACTCCCCAGCCACACTTCCTGTACAGCCTGCAGAATCATGGGCCAATTAAACTTCTTTTTTTAAATAAATTACCCAGTTTCAGGTGTTTCTTTATAGCAGTGTGAGAATTGACTAATACAGTGTTAAATGCATTCATTGAACTAATCCAAATCTTGAAAGCTGGCATCAGTTTTTGCTAACTGAGATTTCCAAATCAAGGTTTATGGTGTCAACTGAAGAATCACAAAATATTCTTAAGACCCTCTTTCTGGAGATTCTAAGTTAGTCTTTCAAGGATAAGCCCCTGGAACTTCTATTTTAGCTTTTAGTCTCAAGGTAAAGATAGCATGAATCAATCACACAAATAAATGCATAATTATCATGGGTGATATGTGCTATAAAGGAAAATTATATGGTATCATTAGAGGTTCTAAAAAGATAAATAAATTATAAAATAAGATATCAAAATCTGAACTCTGTCAGCTAAATTGATTCTAATTATATTTTGAGATTGGGGGGAAGAAATTATGCATTTAGACATTCTGTACAATATAGAGTTATGGATTAAGATCCTGTAATAATTTTGAGATATAAACATATTTTCACAAGTAAAAACTATATGAAAGCTAAACAGAAAAAGTCAATTCACCTCTAACATTGCAAAAATATCTGTTTAGACAAACCATTCTTATCTATTTCTGAAATAATCTAGTCATCTGCATATGTAAGTAACCATATTTTATAACCTGGAAAAACAGGAGACTCTATGATCTTTTTAAAGTTGAAAACTACATTGCAGTAAGGGCAAATTGGTTAGGTTTTGAAAAGGTTAAATATACAAGCTCATTTTTGAAAGATTAGACAGATTATTTTTCATGGAAAGAAGCAAACAACATATTTTGATTCTATAAACTATATTCTGGGTAAGCTATAAACATAGTGCCTGGAGCAAAGAATCACAATAAACATGCACTGAATGGATGGGCAAACTGTGACCATTGAGACAGAATTTCAGAACTGGAGATCTTTTAATTTAACTCTTCATTTTATGGGTAAATCAATTGCAGTTCAGGGTAATAACGTTATTTGGCTCAAAGAGCTAGAAGTGGCAGGGGGAGCACCAGATTTTCTGTCTCCAGATTCCTAGGCAGGGACCCCCTGACTCTACCGGGCTCACATTCACCAAACACCTTAACCCTCAGGCACACCCACAAAGGTCTGTTTACGAATCATCAGTGGTGGCACAAACATTAGACTGAAGAGGTACTGTTCAAATAGAGCCCTCCAAGGTAAAGGAAGGTCTCTCATCTTTGTTATAAAATAAGGGAAAGACCCACCAGGGATTGTGTACTAGGGCCCCACTCACATTGCTTCACAGACTTAGTATTGACTCCAGTGTTCCTACCAACTAATTCGCAGACATAATTAAGATACAACTATCAGCAAATATCCCAGCTTCTCCCCTTAAGAAGAAAGAGAGGTAAAATGAGAATTAAAGGGTATACATGAGATTTGAACATTAGGCCCAGCAAAGATTAGCTTGGATTGGGGGTAGGTCAGGCAGAGAGGAGGAGAGATGTCTGGGCATTCCTAGGCCGTCTTCACTCTGGGAGACTGCCAGCGTTGCCCTACCTGCACACCTAAGGTCTCTCTGAATTCTAGAAAGATGTACAATACACCTTTACTCTTGAACTGAAAACAGGCTTTTAGAATATTCAAGGCTATCTGCTAGAATAGGTACTCCTGGTGCTGGGACATTTCCAATAGAGACCATATCACATTGATGAATGGTTATAATTTCCCACAGACTCAGCACTATACCTGGATGCAGAAACGGACGCAGAGCCCAATCCGAAAAGAATTCAAGATACCAGCCCTGAAAAGAGCAGAGGCAACTCACAAGGGTATTTCTCAGATTTTTCCTCACCTAGAGAGGAAGGCTGTACCCACTGATGCCCCTAGTTAATACTGTGTCCTCCTGAGATTTGAAATGAACGAGAATCCACAACTTACACCCATAATCCTTCCTGCACTTTCTGAAGGCATCAAGAACTGAAAAGTGTCAAACCCATACAGCCTATTTCATAAGCCTGGTGTTTGTTTCTGAGTATCAGAAGCCAACCAAATCAGCCTTCTCTTTATCCCCATTTGACCATGTCAGTTGCACTGCTCCCTGTACCAGGTGTGATGCTCTCACTATCTAACCAGATAACCACACATGTGCAGGTGAGCACTTCGTAAGCAACCACAGAGGCTTTTGTGTGTCAGCGTTAACAAACCCAGGACCACTTTCTCAATATTGAGCCCTGTTCTCAATATCCCACACCCCCACCCAGGCTGGCTGTGTAATAACTTTGTTTGGCAAATGAAGATACAAGGGACTATCATGAACCATTCCTTGTCTGACTATCACACTGTTAATATTCACATCTTCCCTCTTGTTTATCCACCACGCAGTATGTTTGCCACACTGGTCTTTCATCTGCCACTAAATAAATAAACACTTATCAAGTTCCTACCACGCATTAAGCACATTTTAGGGGTTTTCACATTTTATTTTTTAATCCCCTCAACAATCCTGTGAAATATTTTTACCAATACTTCCTAATAGATGAAGATGTTAGAACTCAATTATGTGTCTGCAAAACAGCTCCCTACAGAGCTGACGTGTGCACACTTTTGATCTCAAGTATTAGAAAACTCTTGCTAACGACCTAACGGCGCGACAGGCTCTCTACCTGAACGGAAAGAATCTGGGTTCCTGCTTGACCTCACATGAGAACTCTGGGCCTGAAGCATCAAGTCTCTTCAAAGCAACATCTAAAAGAACTCAAGTGAAAAACAGTTTCTCCAAAGGCTATTACAGTGCGAAACAGCCAAAGATGACCCTGCCACAAAGAGATTGTGATTTGCATTAAACTTCTCTTCCTTTTCTTTTTTAACATGCCCGACAGGCAGCAATAGATCAGAAGGCCATAATCACTATTCCAGTTTTGAAACTGCACTGTCCTTCTTCCCTAAGAAGATGAAATGAAAAGCACAGACAGCAGGCTCTGGGCACCAGTAAATTACACCCTCCCACACCTCAGGATGTCAGAAAGGTTTTGTTCTCTCAGTGGGCGTTTGGGAGAAGTGGGAACAGAATACTGAAATCTTTACCTGCCTAGTAACTGAAAGTGTCATGGGAAATCAAACTTCAGTTTATCAATAGATTTATCCTTTTTGTCTCTCTCATATGGGCATCATTATGGAAGATTTGGGGGCATGTGGAGATAATTATATCAGAATGCAGAAAAGAAAGGACTCCAAACATTGTTAAGGTATGCTGCTGCATCCTTAAATAGGCAGATAGTCACGCTGTTGCTTGGAAGAATACAAGTAGGCACAATGTTACCCCAGAATTGCTTCATGATCACCTGATCACAAATAAACATGAAGTGGCTCTTAGCACATGTGCTCCTTCTCAATGCCCACATTCCCACCTCCCATTCCCCATAAATCTCTGTTCCTGTTAACACTGTTAAGTAATTCTTTCTGGGCAATTAACGGTTTTAAATTATTATTTAAGCTAGTCTACAAATCATCATTAATATACTCTTCACGAAAATAATCCACTACCTAATATTGTGACGACATTTAAAGTCATCATACATTTAAAGGGGGGGGGAAACAATTATATTAATATATCACCACACTGGAGTCCAGTCATGAACACCCCACTGGTGGCTTCATGTGGACCAACAATTCTAAGAAGCAAGGCTGCTTTCCCTGTTTTAAAACACTCCCAAAGTAAAGCTCATAGTCGGCAAAAGTATTGTTCCTTTTAAATGAGAAATGCTGCATAAGCAAAGCGACCTTTCTGTAAAGAAACTCTTATTACTGTGATATATCACCTCGAAAACTACTGCAAAAAAATCCAGCAATTTTGATTCTAGTTTTTAAGGAAGAGAACGTCTTACACCCATCTAATATAAAGTTAGCTTTATAAAGCTTGCCTTTTAAAAATTCTATAGAAATATTGAGATAAAAAATTGATCCACCATAACTTTAGGCCCTTATAAAAAATTAATGGCTCTCTGACATATAAGGAAAAAAAAAAAAAACAGAAAAAGCACCAAAACTGTCTCAAATGGTTATTTTTGAAATTTAAACACAGAAAATCTAGGCTTCATCTTAGAAAAGCATATTGAGCTTAGATATTATGAGACCATTTGACTTACCCAGGGTAAGCATAAAAATACACTAAAATAATGGCAGCTGATTGGCAAATATTTATATTAAAATATATATCAATAGGTTTTTTTCCAAAGCACATCATGCTATCTTTGTCTGAAAAACAAATTTAGCATTCATTTAATCCCACTAAAATAAAACACTCCTTACTTCAATAACACTGGTCTGTCATTGGTTGAATTAACAGTCATCACAAGGAAAAAAAAAACTACAATGGTATCAGGTCAGGGCTCAGGGATGAGCAACAGTGAATTTTCTTTTGTGACACAGTGATAAGCTACACAGAAAAAAGTGGACTATGAGAAATAGAGCTGTATTTCAGCAAGCCCATTCCTTCCCAAATGATAGTTATATCAAATCGACATAGTTTTTAGGTCAAAACATCTTCCAAAAATTTTGAGTTTACATCCAGGGAATCTCTAGTGGCTATCAGTACTGCAAATTGGAAAAGAATACTTTTCAAATTACACCAACTTAGTTGTAGCAAACTTGAAATTCAAAAATGACAACTGCCTATTAAAATATGATGCATACTCAGGGATAAGAAAATTTAATTATATGTGATTGAAAATTACAAAACCAACAACAAAGAAAGTTTTGAAACTGAAAATTGACCATAGCTTAACAGTATATTGCAATGACCAAACTAGGGAGTTAATAGAGTTGGGATATTTGTCCTGGCCCAAATCTCAAGTTGAATTGTAACTCCCCAGTGTTGGAGGTGGGGCCTGGTGGTAGTTGTATGGGTCATGGGGATGGATCCCTCATGGCTTGGTGCTGTTCTCATGATAGATATGGTCGTTTAAAAATGTATGGTACCTCCCTGACCCCTTGCTCCTGCTTTCACCATGCGATGTGCTTGCTCCTCCATTCGTCTTTTGCCATGATTGGAAGCTCCATGAGGCCTCCCCAGAAGCAGATGCCAGCACCATGCTTCCTGTACTGCCTGCAGAATCATGAGCTGATTAAACCTCCTTTCTTTATAAATTACCCAGTCTCAGGTATTTCTTTATAGCAATGTAAGAACAGCCTAATACAGGACTTTTATTGTGAACTTTTGTACAGCAAAAGGATAATTTGCAATCCTGAAAAATTCCTTCTACTTTACTTACCATTGATCAGTCTTTCAATGGTATAGGGCTGACATTTGGCTTCTTTATTTTATATGGATTATGAGCAAGGAGGAGTCAAAGAAAGACAATGAAATTGAGTTGAGAGGGCAATGTTAAATCACTGAGGAACACATAAAGACTTGAAGTTACATAAAGGAAAATAAAAGCCTTAAGAGGGAAGAAGTTGGGGAGGGTAAGGGATTTTAATTGCTATAAGAAATATTTAGTTTAGATTTAGTTTTAAATCAAGAGAAATGGTGAACAGGACACAAAAAGGAGTCAAACCTCAAAATTTTAATCTATTAAGAGAAAGAATATGTAACTAAGTGACCCATGACATTTCTTAAAGTTATTTGACTATGATTCCTATGAATAGAGAATTCAGCAAACATTTCACAGAAGTCTTCTTTCTCATAATTGTTGTGGTGATAACTCTATCAAAAAATGGTATCTTTTCTAATCCATGCATACTAACTTGATATACTTGTATAAAGTTCATTGATGTAGAGAAGGACAAAATAAAAGCAAGAAATTTTAAAACACAACCATGAAATGAAAGCATTTCAGTAAATCCCCTTAAGAAAATTGAATAAGCAATTTTCATGAATTTAAGTGTGCTTTGTAATAAAATAAAAATAAAAAATAAATGGGTATAATGTCTTTTAGGCCAGGTGTGGTGGCTCACACCTGCAATCCCAGCATTTTGGGAGGCTGAGGCAGGCAGATCTCCTGAGGTCCAGAGTTTGAGACTAGCCTGACCAACAAGGAGAAACCCTGTCTCTACTGAAAATAGCCTCTACTAAAAATTAGCCAGGCATGGTGGCACATGCCTGTAATCCCAGCTACTCAGGAGGCTGAGGCAGAGAATCACTTGAACCCGGGAAGCAGAGGCTGCGGTGTGCTGAGATTGCACCATTGCACTCCAGCCTGGGCAACAAAAGCGAGAAACTTTGTCTCGTAATAAATAAATAAATAATTAAATAGGGTCTTTTGAAGAAAGTTCTTCAACTATATAAAATTTGTGTGTGTGTGTGATATTTTTAGGGCATTCTTTTTTTTTAGACAAAGTCTTATTCTGTTCTTCAGGCTGAAATGCAGTGGTGGGAACATGGTTCACTGTAACCTTGACCTCCTGGGCTCAAACGATACTCCCACCTGTGTATCTGGAATGACATGCACATGCCACCATGCTCGTCTAATTTTTTTATTTTTTTATTTTTTACTTTTTGGTAGATGTGGGGTTTCACTTTGTTGCACAGGCTGGTCTCCAACTCCTAGGCTCAAGCAATTCTCCCACCTTAGCCTCCCAAAGTGCTGGGATTACAGGCATGAGCCACTGTGCCAGGCCTTTTTAGGCCATTCTTTAACCCATTATGTAACATGTACTAATTTTATTTTGGTCTTTTAAGTGTGTGGTTCTGGAAGTAACGATCAAGTTTCACTTATTTCTTTGTCACAACACAAAGTATTGCCTTATTCACAGCTAGTACTCAATAAATATTTCATCAGACAAGAAGAATCTAACGCCTTTGAATTCTACCCAGGAGCTAGGACAGTGTTAAATGTAAATGAGGCATTCTAGAATGAGTGAGATTTGGTGCTGCCCAGACCCAAAGACCAAAATGTAGCTGGTTAGTAAAGGTCCCAGTGAGACGATAAGGAATGTCACAAGCCAAGCCAGTATGGAGAAGGGCAACTGGACATTCTGACAGTGGGTTACAGGACACAGTACTGGGGAACACAGAACAGAAAGGTAGCAGAGAAGTAGGCTGTCTGCATAAAAGGGGCCGAGCAGCAAGGCTCAGGGGCAGAACTTCTGTCTCTAGAAAGCAGAGCCTTAATACAGAATAAATGGAATGCGTATCAGATGGAGGACCTTAAAGCAGAGCTTGAAAATGGAACACAGGACCTGGTTACCGCAAAAAGCCAACTATCAGTTCACAGGAAAAGAGAAGAAACTAAGTTAATGGAACCCAAATACCCACCCAGAAGAGAGGAAGTGATAGAGGAGTACTGGTACCCAGCCTCAAGCCACCAAATTAAGGATTTTTAAACTTCCTTGGCTAAGAAAAGGATTGGTTCCAAATCCCAGGGAAGGTCTGAACATATGAAAGTTTAAAACTTTCTAGGAGAAGGATGAAAAAGATTCAGGCTGTTGGCAGGGCGTCATGGCTCATGCCTGTAATCCCAGCACCTTGGGAGGCCGTGGTGGGAAGACCACTTGAGCCCAGGAGTTTGAAACCAGACTGAGCAATGTAGTGAGATCTCATCTCTACGTTTTTTTTTTTAAGTTAGCTGGGTGTGATGGTGTGCACCTGTGCTACCAGCTACTCAAGAGGCTGAGAGGCAGGAGGGTCGCTTGAGCCTGAGAGGTCAAGGCTGTACTCCAGCCTGAGTGACAGAGCAAGATCCTGATCCAAAAACAAAAAAAGACTCAGGTTGTTCCATGGGCCTCTGATACTGGCCTTCTGTAGAATAAACATATGTTTGACTAATATTTTTATAGTAACGTGCTTAGTCACACATACTTTTGTTATTCTGATCAGTATTGTTTGTAATGACCACACAGGTGTGTGTATGAACAGAACTTGGTCATTCCTGGGCCTATGAAAATAGCTCAGTAATGAATTTCCTATTACTACCCTGAGATGCAGGAGATAATGCTGAATGCCAGAATGTCAAAGTAAATCCCAATCCTAACAGAGTTTAGGACACCAGAGTTTTTTCCTAGAAAGCTAAATTCATTGGTAGAATTAAAGGGATTCCACTGTGTGTTTCAGCATCAACAATCTGTTATATAACCAGAGCTTTACAGTGGTATATACAAATAGTACAGTCTTTCAAGAAATGCCTTCCTTCTCTCTCACTCCACGTCTCAAATGTTTCCATGCTACACAATTATCAGCAACAGCAGAAATGTGAGTAAACACTGAAATGAAAAGTCATATGCACTAAAAATGCAAGGATAATCCATATACCTCTGCTCAAATTCTCTAAAAATAAACTATTCACTGCTAAAGAAATTATATCAATTTTTTATAAATTATTTATCTTCTTTTTTTTAGACAGAGTCTCACTCTGTTGCCCAGGCTGGAGTGCAGTGGTGCGATCTTGGTTCACTGCAACCTCCGCCTCCTGAGTTCAAGCAATTCTCCTGCCTCTACCTCCTGAGTAGCTGGGATTACAGGCGTGCACCACCACACCCGAGTAACTTTTGTATTTTTAGTAGAGATGGGGTTTCACCATGTTGGTCAGGCTGGTCTCAAACTCCTGACCTCATGAGCCCCCCACCTCAGCCTCCCAAAGTATTGGGATTACAGGTGCAAGCCACAGCGTCCAGCCTATAAATTATATATCTTATAGTTAAATTATATATATATAATTTCCTTTAGCAGTGAATAGGTACTATTTTATATAATATATAGATAGATAATTTTATAGATTATGTAAGATTATGTAAATTAAGTAATTAAGTAATATTACATGTAAATACTTATGTAATTATATAGATTATGTAAAATTATGTGTAATTTTATGTAATTATATAGATTATGTAAAATTATGTGTAATTTTACATAATTATATAGATTATGTAAAATTCAGTATATGTTAATTTGGGTCTAGTATTTAACAGGCTCATGAGCATAATTTATATCTAAATTATATCTCATGAGCATATATCTATATATTTTATCTAAATTATATCTCATGAGCATAATTTAAATACTAGACCCAAATGAACATATACTGATTTTTATATAATCTAAGAAACATTTTACAACACCTAAAAAGCAAAGGAAAAGAAGTTTAAATTCTGAATACTTAATTATCCCATTTGCAGCCCAGAAAGGTCAATCAATAGTAGTTCAAGAAGGCCAGGTGTGGTAGGTCAGCCCTGTAATCTCAGCACTTTGGGAGGCCTAGGTGGGCGGATGGCTTGAGCCCAGGAGTTTGAGAGCAGCCTGGGCAACATAGTGAAACCTCGTCTCTACAAAAAAATACAAAAATTTATCCGGGCTTGGTGGCACATGCCTGTAGTCCCAACTACTTGGGAGGCTGAGATGGGAGAATCGCTGGAGCCCAGGAGGCAGAGGTGGCAGTGAGCTGAGTTCGTGCCATTGCATTTCCGCCTGGGTGATAGAGCAAGACCCTGTCTCGGATTTAAAAAAAAAAAAAAAAAAAAAGTAGTCCAAAGAAACCCTGTATTGGCAATGGCCAAACCTGATAACCATATCTATAATGCGACCCACCACACACATGCGTCTCTTTGACAGTAGTTCCTTATTCTCTTTAACAGAAAAAAGTTTACCGCATTCCCTAACACAGCTGATAATTATGTATTTACTTGTGTTTACTCATTCAATGCCTGTCCCCAGTACTTCACTGTAAGTCCCATGAGGTCAGGAAGGGTAACAGTTCTGCTGACAACTCAGCAACTATCATAGCACATGGTCAGTATTCATTAAAATTGATAAGTTGATTGACTGAATTCATGAATAAACATTTTTGTATAGGTTCACTGACCTTATACACACATCATTCAGAAAAGCCAAGTATGAAGTTGGTCCAGGAACCTCATAATATGTGCATATAAGAAAACAGATGTAATTAGATAGCTAGCTAAACAGATGACATAGAAGATAAAACTACCCCCTCCCTCATATTTATAAATATATTTGATGGTATTTGAAGCCATTATAACACATTACTAATGACATAACTGTAAGTAGACTATAATAAATTAAAAGCCAATAAAAAATAATGAACAGGTTGTGTTTTTTGTAGATTTATTACACAAATTAAACACTGATAAATATTTGCAAAACAAGAACTCACAAATAGTATTTTATCCTCTTAATGTTCTAGGTTATTATAATTTTACAATCATACCTTTATTTTTAGACCCCATGAAATATTTTAACAAAAATAAATTCTGACAATAAAAATGAGCTGTGTTTCAAACCTACGTATGCTAACTATCATACCTCCTTCCTACTGTGCATAGGAATATTATATTACGCATGAAGCATTTCATGTAACATTTTGATACAGTTGAGGTATTATTAGAAACTACGTAAAGCCATTCATGAAATTAGGTAACTCTAAAAAATAACTATGCATAATTCTCCTCAAAGATAAATTAGTTGAGGTTACTGTTTTGAGATCTCTGGCACTCCCATGAGATTCACTGTGGAATAGATACGCATTTGGATGCTGAGTTAATAAAATTTACCATTCCCTTTGGGAAGAAGATGAAACAGCTATAGAAAGCCAATTCATTACCCAGCAGAGGCAAGTGGACACAGATGCTCCAGTTTTTTACCCAAGCCTGAAAAGACCCCGTCCTTCCCTCTGAGCCTGCTAGAGACCTGTTCCTTTCTTAAGATTCGGCCCAAGGGCCCCATTCTTAGCACCACATCTACGAGAAAGCTTTTCCTGACTTTCCACAAAACAAAAGATGGCGACGTACTTTGAGTAGCTTCCACTCAACATCCAAGATTGCATATATCAAAGTGCATCAGACATGCTGTACACTTCTATCTCCCTGATTAGACTCAGAGCTCAGTGAATTCAAGAACCAAACCACATTCACTCCCATATTCCTCAGGCCTGGAACATACTAGACATTCAAGTATTTACCAAAGGCAAAGATGAGGTCAGAAATTATGAATAATGAAAGTTATATATCTACATAGAGATAGAGATACAGATACACACACACACACATCACCCAAAAGATATCAGGGATATAAGGGAAGCATTTAAAATAAGCTCCACCCTTAAAGAATGGGTTATATTCCAAACTCTGAGCTTTGAATTCAGACTTAAATAACCAAGTGAACAGCCAACACTGAGAAGTTTATAGGAAATAGCCATTCATCTATTGTAAGAGTCTCCTAGAAACAGAATCTGGGGGTGTGTTATGGAAGGAAGGGGTACAGGGGGGACACATAGAGTGAGATTTCCACTTTGGAAACCACTTCTAAAGATGGGAATTATAATGGTCAACAACCCGTCAGAAAAAATGTCATCTACCCAGAATTAACAAGCAATTTTATCACAGGCAGACGGATCCTTGGTATAAATTCAGCTCCATTATCCCAGTGTAAGGTCATGCTGATTTACTATATATTTCACATGCTAGTTAAGAAAGTCATCTACAATACATCACTCAAAATGTCTTTTGAATCTAGACGATGGTCACCCTGTCTACTTCATAGCTCTCGTCCCCGGAGGGGTAAAATATATGCTATAAAGAAGAAAGGCTTGATTTGTATACACCGTTGCTTAGCATCAAGTACTTTTATGGCAAAAGACAAATGGGACCAATAAAAAAGCTTATTACAAAGGCTACCAATCAGACCTAGAAAAGTCATGACCCAGTGCCAGCTTCCTGAAGCAATTCCCTCAGCTGGATTTGATGTTAACTGTTGTTATGATTTTCCACACAGTGAAGCCCCTCAGAACCCTCCCCCTCGGTATTTTTAAACTCCATTACCTCACTTTCCAACCATAACTGTTTTATCTCTCTCAAGCTGGCACATAGACTCATTTTTCCTTTTGCTCTTAAATAGATCTGTAGTTCGTTCTTGAACTTTCTGCTTTCAATACCTGCTGACCAACTTTTCTTATAGTCTTTTTTTGCTCGGCCCTTATCCTCCACCCATCATTTAAATGCTAAGGTTCTGAGACCTTTTCTTTTTCTTTTTCTTTTTTTTTTTTTTGAGACAAGAGTCTTGCTCTGTTGCCCAGGCTGGAGTGCAGTGGCGCGATCTCGGCTTACTGCAAGCTCCGCCTCGCGGGTTCACGCCATTCTCCCGCCTCAGCCTCCGGAGTAGCTGGGACTACAGGCACCCGCCACCACGCCCAGCTAATTTTAGTAGAGATGGGGTTTCACCATGTTAGCAAGGATGGTCGGTTCTGAGACCTTTTCTAAGATTCACATTCCCCCTTTCCCCGGCAGAATGGATGTCTCCCCTCTCCGGCCGACCTCCCTCGGTTCTTGCTATAACGCTCCTTCTGTACCACTCTGGGATTGTTTATGGATCTATCTGTCTCCCACTTCCAGGCTGATGTTTCTGAGGACAGAAAACATATCCGTTAACAACATCTAATTAATAGCAGGTCTCAAGAAATGAAAGATTAATGAGTAAGTGACTAAGAAACACTGTGAATGCTTAAAGTAGGCACACCAAGAAAATAGTCATTAAGAGGAAAAACTCTGGAGCCAAATGCCAGGGTTCAAATCTCAGCCCTGCCATTTTCTAGTTGTGTGGCCTTGGGAAAGGTACCACGATGAACTGAATGTTTATGTTGCCTCAAAATTAATATGTTAAAATCCTAACCTCCAATCAGATAGTATTATGAGGTGGGGCCTTTGGGAGGCGATTAGGCTGTAAGAGTAGAGTCGTCAGGAATGAGATGAATGCTCTTTAAAAACAGACCCCATAAAACTGACCCCAGAGAGCTCCCTTGCCCTTTCCAACATGTGAGGACACAGTGAGAAGGTGCCATCTATGAACTGGGGAACAGGCCCTCACCAGACACTGAATCTACTGGTGCCTTAATCTTGAACTTCTCAGCCTCCAGAACAGTGAGAAAATATTTGTTCTTTCAGCTGCCCAGTCTATGATATTTTTGTTATAGCAGCCCAAATGAACTACAGCAGGTACCTACTTTACTGAGTGTCATAAGAAATAACTGAGTTAATATATGCCAAACACTTTTTTTAAATGCCTTTAAGTATTCTAAACACTTTGTGTCAAAAATTACCATTTACACAATAGGTTAGCCCTTTAAAAATTCTGTTTATACCAATAAACTTTTAAAGTTATGAGTAAAATAAGAAGTTTAAAAAATGTTTAAGAGTTTTCTTATTGAACCCCACAGATGCCTAGACCTCTGTCTCTGGTTATATTGACTTGTCCACATGTCTGACATGTCTGAATTTACCTGATACTACAGAAATCACTTCAAATATCTACAAATAAACTCAAGTCACATGAAACAGTTCCATTTCTTAAACTTATGAATCACTGTTTATCATTTTCTCATCAAGTTATAGGAAAATAGCACATAATTCACTTTTATGTTTTTTTTTCAATTCTCAGATCAAAATCCCCAAACTTGGAGAGCAAATGCAAAGCAAGAAAAGGGTATAATTTTTCTAACAAGACAGTAGCCATGGAAGTACTGAAAAATGAATGAGAACTGGAGCCCGGAGAAGTCCTAACCACAAATCCACAGCACCTCCTTCCTCCTTTCTAGGCCCAACCCCATGTTCCTGAGAGCCAGGGGGAAACCCACAAAGTGTGATCTCCTGGGCCTCAGGAAGCAGCTTTATTTACTTAGGCAAATTAGGGCTGCAGTATATTTGATCCTGGCCCTTAAAATCAAAGGTTCTGTCTTGGGAAAGCATAGATTGGTGAAAGATGATCTATATAGAATTTTAAAAATCATAAACAGTCTGGGCGCAGTGGCTCATGCCTGTAATCCCAGCACTTTGGGAGGCCGAAGCAGACGAATCACTTGAGGCTAGGAGTTCAAGACCAGCCTGGCAAACAGGGCGAAACCCCGTCTTTACTAAAAATACAAAAATTAGCCAGGCATGGTGGCGCATGCCTGTAATCGCAGCTACTTGGGAGGCTGAGGCACGAGAATTGCTTGAGCCTGGGAGGCGAAGGTTGCAGTGAGCTGAGATCATACCATTGCACTCCAGCCTGGGCGACAGAGAGAAACTCTGTCTCAATAAAAGAAGAAAAAAAATCCATAAACTAATGAGTGTTCTTTAATAAGAATAATCCTCAATAATTTTTCCCTTTCTCTGAGACCTAGAACCTGGTCCTGCATATCCTTTCAGGAACAAGATACAGGGCTAACTTCTGGGGGACCACCTAGCAGCCAGAGCTTTATTCCAACAGGGATAGTAAAACCAAGTTCCCACCTCCCATTCTCAATTATATTCTCCCTGCTGAGGACCAGTGTTTGCCCAGCCACACAGAAAGATCTCTTTTTGCAGAGAAATTCATTCTGAATTTTTTCTTACCATAGTGGTCATTAGTGAACAGGGTTAGGTAGGTTAATGCATTCTCAATCTTATAATGGTACTTTGGTACTTTCACAACAGATGTGTTATTGCTACTGTGTGTTCTGGAATATGAATCATACCATTCAGCAATTATTACTGAATTACTTTTAAGTACATCACTGCAATAGAATGCCTCATTAACCAGCCATGCTCTCTCCATTAGCAAACTAATCATTAGAGTGCAGCCCTCTACTCTAACGGGAAAAAAAACTCCCAACTCAGAACATTTACAGCCTCTTTAGGCATAATTGCAGGCCATGGCTTATGAAACTTGGCTCTCTGATTGCAAGGTAAGCGCCAAAACTCAAAATTAACCTTGGCTGCTACCAAGTTCTGAGAATCAGTTTTCAGAAGGAACTGGCTTCCCACCCCGCCTCATCTCCTGTATTGGAGAGCATAATTTGAATGGACAAGTATAAAATACCATTTTTTAGGAGAAAAATATCCAAATGACCTATGGTGTTTTAAATTTGTGCTAAGAAATATAGAAAGAATATAAAAAGCGTAAGGAAGAAGTTTCAAAATGTTTATAATCTGGGTGGGGAGAATGCTATAGAGTGAATGGCTTCAACAACAAATACTTATCTCACAGCTCTGGAGAATAAAAAATAGGTGGAAAAATATAAGGTAGTATATAATTAACCCAATGCTAAATGATATATCAATAATAAGCAGTAAATGAGCTCAAAGATGAGATCAGTCATGCTGGGGGATGATATACATTCAAGAGTAACTATTATGTCTCAAGAAAGGGATTAAAGCATCATTTTAGGTTATCCTCTAAAGACTACTAGCTTAATATGCTGCTGGGATCATAAAAAACAGGAAGATACTGGCCATTGTCAGAAACATGTCAGAAATCATATTGAGTGCATTTTTCTGCTCTTGTATCCAAGTGGAAAAACTCCCAGTCACCATCACCTTGAAAAGTAATCTGAAATATGTTTAGGGTAACTCATAGAGGACAGATTCCTAAGCTATTTTCTCTTATTTATCTGCCTTTATTTTCCATCTTTCTCTTAATAAGTTATGGAAAATTGCAATAAAGAACATAGGAATATGTTTAGGGAAAGAAATTTAAAAATCGATGTGAAAATCCAAAATCCTTTAAAAATAAAAAGTACATTTTTAAAAAATAGTAGCCACCACAAGATAATGGGTAATGAGACCCCTCTGTGCTGTTTGTACAACTTCTTAATTCTTTTTTAAAAATATAAGAAGTTTTTACATCATCATGAGAGTGAAATAAAAATGTGAACATTGTAACTATATGAGTTAACTTGGATAAACTACGTTTCAAATGTGGTTTATGCTTCCTTGAAGCAAGGAACTAAAGACAACAAATCTAAAAAAAAAAAAATTCTTATAAAAGGTTTCTTCTTTCTTCTTTCCTTTTTCCTCTTTCTTCTTTTTCTTTCTTCTTCCTCTTCCTCCTTCCTCGTCATTCCACTTCCTCCTCTTCCTTTTTTTTTTTTTTTTTCTTCGAGGCAGCGTCTCAGTCTGTCACCTAGGCTGGAGTGCAGTGATGCAATTACAGCTCACTGCAGCCTTGACCTCCTGGGCTCAAGCAATCCTCCCACCTCAGCCTCCCAGGTAGCTGGGACTATAGGCATAAGCCACAATGTCTGGCTAATTTTGAAAAAATTTTTGTAGAGACAGGATCTCACTATGTTGCCCAGGCTGGTCTTGAACTCCTGGGCTCAAGCAATGCTCCTTCCTCAGCCTCCTAAAGTGCTGGGATCACAGGCATGAGCCACTGCGCCCAGCCAGAGCCTTTATCTTCTATCAAGGAATGGGAAGGCATGTAAGGGGCAACGGACCACAACAGATTCTGTTTGGCTGTTCCTTTTGTGGCTTGTGGCAAGAGAAGAGTGCACAACATTCAACTAACTACAGTTCTGGGGAGGTGACAATGGAATTTATGAGAACCTGGTACCTGCAGATACGAATAAATACAAGTCCTTTAGGCAGACACTAAATTCTTTCTCTTAGGCAGGTTTCTAATAAAAGCTATTTGTCAGACAGGTTGAGCTTATACTCCAATCTGCCTCAAACAACTGGTATTCTAAACCACGGATGAGGACAACTCTTAACACAGGGAAAATCAGACAACCAGATGGCAGGGCAGCACCTTGTTAGTAAAGCTGAGAATTTAACCAGACCTTTCTGAACAATGCATATACACACAGAGGTGGGGTGCTAAGGAGGCTGTAGCTAAACAAGGCATTCTTTTTAGCATGCAGCAAAGACTCTGCTCTGACATTTAGACATGTATTTGATAGAGCATCCAGGAATCTACACCACGGTGGATGGCAGAAATGCTTTAAGCCTCATATGTTTTCAAAATGGCAGTTACTGCATTCCTCGCCTAGCCAATGTTCACTTCATAAGTATTCCCAAGGAACATCCAATTCTGAGTAGCATGGCTTCCTGATGTAGCCTTTGATGTTACTACCCCAGAGAGCTGAATGAATTGGCTTGTTACATCCAAGCTTTATTTAACATTTGCCAGTTGAATGCAGAGAATGAAGATTCCTGTGCGGATTTAGGAGGTGGACATGTTAAGTTCCACCCTGACCTTTTTTTCGACCTTGAGTTTATAAGAATGAGAGAAGATGTGTATGCAAAAGAACAATGAGTATCACTTAAGTCTGAAGGGGAAAAAAAAGCAGAGAAGCCTAGTATTCTGGCCATGTGTTGTTTTATAAATGACTTGGCAGCATTTTGCCAAATTCATAAAGTAATTTTTTAAGTAGTATGTGTGGCTATAGATCATTTCCATAAAAGTCTAATAACTACACTAAATTTTTGAAGTGTTGATTTAATCAAAATTAACTTCAGATATTCAGAGACTATTTATTATGTATGGGCATTATATTAAGACTTAATAAGCCCATCTGTATAAGGCTCTGCCTTCAAATACCTCACAATCTAATGGGGGAAAGGAAAGAGGAGAAGACATGTAATGTATACAAATAACCACTATTATGGGCTGGCTTGTGTTCCCACAAACTTCATATATTGAAGTCCTAACTCCTGGTATCTTAGAATATGACTGTATTTGGAGATAGGGTCTTTAAAGGGGTAACTAAGGTTAAACGAGGTCACATGGATGGCATGCCCTAATCCAGTCTGACTGGTGTCCTTCTAAGAAGAGGAAAAGACACTAGGGAGGAAGGCACACAGAGCAAAGGCCATGTGGGGACACAGAGAGAAAGCAGCTGTCTGCAAGACAAAACGAGAGGTCTCAAAAGAAACCAAACCTATGGACACCTTTATCTTGGACTTCCAACCTCCAGAACTATGAGAAAATAAATGTCTGTTGTTTAAGCCACCCAGTCTGTGGTATTTTGTTATGGCAATTCCAGCAGACGAACACAACCACTCTGTAAAGGAACTAATAATGCATACTATAAGAGAAAAGTGATGCTTTATTCAATTGAAGGAAATAGGAGAGACAACATGGATGAAGCACCTGGGATGAGCCCTAGAGATGCGTAGAATTCTGAAGAGTGAAGGTCAGGGAAGAACAGAAAAAGTTACTCTAGGCATGACCAAGATCCTCAGGTAGGAAGAAGTACATACAGCATCTGGAAAGCAGCCAGTCACTCACTTTGGTGATGTGCTGATTGCCTGTGACCAAGGAAGACAGGGCCTAGTAAAGCCACAAGCCAAGGGCTGGAAATGTCAGCCTGAGGAATTTATACTAAATTTTGCAGAGGCAGGAGTGCCCATAAAAGAGAAATCATCAACTACCCAGACTTCACATGCAACAACAATAACTATTTCAGAATATGGACAGTACCTTATAGAGAGCAATAGAGCTACTAAAGTTTCTTAGTTTTCCTATTTGTAAGAAAAACACACACAAAAGTTCTGAGTTTAAACTTATTATAAGAGCCTAAGATTAGTATAATACAAACATTTCTGAAATTACATGCTTAGATATATGTTGAAGACATTATTTCCCTGCAAGCTATCCTGAACCCTAAAGAGCTTGCAAAAATAAATACCACTCTCTAATAAAAAAAAATAGTAACCTGAATTCTAAATTTATATTCTTTACATAATCTGTTAGGTGTCAAACAAAACACTATACTAGAGTGATACATATCCTTCTAGGAACTGAATAAAAAGTGACTGATCTAAACAAAGCCCTCATTTTAGCCTGCTCTGATTTTAAACTTCGTAGGACAAGCCAAGGAGACACTCACTCTCCCTCTGAATTAAAATTTCTACTTCAATGAATAAACAAGAGAGTGTAATATTTTACACCATTAATTACACTACTTCTTATTAGACCACTGAGGATACTGTTGGGTCACCCTGCTGGCAATAAGACATTTATTTATACTCCTTTAATTTGCAGAACCCAGTGAAACTTAGATAATTAAAAAGGTATTTAAAACTTAGATCATTAAAAGAACATTGACCAAACACAGCAAGTTTCCACATATACCAAAATAAACTAAAAACTCATTTCAAGATCTGACCTTTAATTACATCCTTTCTATTTATCAAAGACAAATGTCAAAATACCCACACGATTGCATTTCAGTGCCAATGGAAACCCAACAATTGCTAAAGAAACCTTGCAAATGGACACTGAAAGTGAATATTGTAATCCTGCTTCTTAGGGGTATAAGTAGAATGTAGGGGATTTTGGCGAGACCCCTTATTTCTGAGCACTGCCAGGGACCAGGATGTAAAGGTGACAAATCTCTTCCAGTATCTGGCCCAGTTTTTTTTTTACTGGGGGAGGAGGAGAGCAGCCATGGAGAAAAATTTCCCCTATCCTAACCCCATTTCAAAAGATGGATGTAAGAGGAACGTGCCTTTGCCTCTCTTGATGGATTTATCTCAATAAGAGATGTTCTCTTCCCTTAGGGGAAGACTAAAACTCCCCAGCCACATGGTGCCAAGCCAGTTGGCATGGCCAGGGGCTGGGGTTTCCCTGGTGCAGCAGAAGCAGCATGCTGGGTGCTCATGAGTACTGCAGCACTGCCTTCTTCCCATTATTTCCCCACGCAAAACAAAACAAAACAAACAAACACACAAAAAACCTTTCCCAAGTACCACCCAAGACAAGTGCTAACTACACTTCTCCCTCTAGTTAGGTTTCCAGAGGACATAGAGCACTGGCCAACTCAATTCCTCCACAGGCCCCCCAATAAGTCACAGAGAAGAAAAAAAATGTATGGGAAGCTTAAAGTAGAAAAAGCAGGACTGTTCTTTTGAAGAAAATGCTCTATAAAGCAGGCAATCTACCTCTCACATAAATGCAACTAGCTTTCATGATAGAAACTCCTGGGCTACCTGCTCTCTCAAGGTAAAACTACTGAACTAAAAATAAGAATGTATTGATTTTCAGCGATAGTGTGCCCCTGCAGAAAAGGAAAGTCCTCAAGTTTTAACAAGTTCGAAGAGAAGGTAGTTATTGGACAACTGCTACATATTTGTGAGTAGCCAGAGTCCATTTCTATATATAGCACTATTTTTTTTTAAGCTGCAGTAAAATCATCTTTTTTTTTTTTTTTTTTGAGACGGAGTCTCGCTCTGTCGCCCAGGCTGGAGTGCAGTGGCGGGATCTCGGCTCACTGCAAGCTCCGCCTCCCGGGTTCACGCCATTCTCCTGCCTCAGCCTCCCAAGTAGCTGGGACTACAGGCGCCCGCCATCACGCCCGGCTAATTTTTTTGTGTTTTTTAGGAGACGGGGTTTCACTGTGTTAGCCAGGATGGTCTCGATCTCCTGACCTCGTGATCCGCCCGCCTCGGCCTCCCAAAGTGCTGGGATTACAGGCGTGAGCCACCGCGCCCGGCCGTAAAATCATCTTTGAACACAGCATTGTATCCATAGCAAAGTCATTTGTGGATGCCCTCTCAGAGAAGCCAAAGGGCTGCCAAATATGAATAGGAGCTTCCAAGTCTCCTACTATTGTTTTCTTTCATTAAATTGTATTATCCTAACAGATAACTTCCCAATAAAGGTAAAAAATTTAAATACTAAAAAAACTGCTCTTAAAAACATTGCTAACACTTGCAGAATTCAATTTTGATTAAAAGTCCAAGATGAGTATTTCATATGGGTTTGTGCAGTGGCATGCAAACCACCTTTCACATTCATCACTCTGTGGATTGAGTCCAGGGTGATATATTTATAGATCTACTACGTGTCCATCCATCTTAGAGCCATAGTCTTCAGAGACATGACTAGGTATGCCAAAAAACCAAATGGGATAGAATACACTTAAATGTTATTACCCCTGCATCAGTGCCCTGACATTGGGCCTGTCCAGGGAGGAGCCACATGGTGAACACGATCTTCAGGTCACATTCATCAGTGGGCAGAGGCAGGGTAAAGGACAAATCTGGCAAGTGTCATGCATGGGGGAGTCATCCAGGAATCTCTGAGCCAAAGAGGTGGTGGCCCTGCTTTCAGGGGAGACCTCATCTCTGCCTGGAGTGACTTCTGGATTGTAGCCTTTCAGATTAAAGATTCCTCAACCCTATCATGGGCTGCTCTGAGGACCCTCCTTCAGACACTTCCAGTATAGACACAGTATCCACTGCTTGGGGAAGTCAGACTGGTGGTCAGCTGGAGGGGTGGCTTACATGCTGCAGGAGGAGGCTGTCCCACAGGGGCAACTCCGCTCCCCACGGAAATGTGCGGACCCTCACTCCCTGCCAGCGTCTTCCCCATTCAGAATGCACCTGTACCTCAGCAAAAAGAATCCCTGCCCATGTTCTAACGAATCCCCAAACCCCCATTGCCCCTTGGATGTCCACCCTTGAGTGGAGTATAAGGCGTGCGGGTGACCTACATCAGAAACAGGGTGTGATCATTTCTGAAAAGCACCCACCGCAGGTGATGTCATTGAGGTACAGGAAGAGTGGTCTTTTAGTTCATCACATCTGGGGCCTCTGGTCCTGGCACAAGCTCAATAGCTAGTGCCTGACAGCATTCAAGTAGATCACATGACACCCAGGAGGGGTTGTGAGGACTCTGGGGAAGAAAAGCCATCTCCAGTGGGGCAGGGAAGCCTTGAGGTCTGAGAGGTAGGTATGAGGATGCTAGGGGTATGACCCACCTTGTGTGTGGAGGGAGGGGGTAGGGAAGGCCTCAGTTCTCATTATTTCTGCCTTCTTCTCCTTAGGACATAGGCGGGGGTCTCAGGTGTATCCATATCAAGCTGAGAAAAACACTTTAATTTCACAAATTGGTGGAAAACCACCAGTTTATACTGACATCATTTAGCCTATATTGAACTTACACCTATGTTAGGCATTTTCACAAGTCTTTTGTTATCTTGCCATTTTTTTTATTTTAATTCTAGACAGTAATTTCTATTTTTCATATTTAACCATCTTAATGTTCATGAGCTCTAATTCAGAAAATGTATCACTCCCTAACCTTCAGTTCCATCTTTGGCTTTTGCTCTCCAGAACTCATGTGATAGTGTCCTGACCTGCACAGGACCAAGTTCCTAATATAAGGGCCAGGGGCGAGGTCCCTGTTCTGGGCAGAGTAGGACCTGCCGGCCTAACCTGGAATTGTCAGATACTTTAAATAAGTACAGACTTCTTCATTCATGTAAAAAAGAGTTGAGTAGGCTACATAAAATCCACATGGGCCATTTCCAAGAGCCTCTGTGATTCTGCTCAGACCCAACTTGGATGAAGACTTTTCCACACCCATCCAGAAAATTCTGCTCACAGTAAACGGGAAGTGAGTGGAAGTGCCAGGATGCTCACACCCACACAACTGTACCAACACCTGTAGCATCTCTCTCCTCTCAAATCTTTGTTTTTAGTTTCTAGCCACCAGCTTACCCTCTCTTTGCCTTCCCCATGAGAGGTGATATGATTTGGATGTGTGTCCCCTCCAAATCTCATGTTGAAATGTGACCTCCAATGTTGGAGGTGGGCTTAGTGGGCTGGGCTTGGGTCATGGCGGCAGATCCTTCATGAATGGCTTGGTGCCTTCACTGTTGTAATGAGTTCATATGAGAACTGGTTGATCAAAGGAACATAGCATCTCTTTTGCTCCCTCTCTCACCCTGTGAAACGCCTGCTCCCTCTTCACCTTCCGCCATGGTTGTAAGCTTCCTGAGGCCTTCACCAGAAGAAGACGCTGGAGCTGGCTGGGTGTGGTGGCTCATGCCTGTAATCCCAACACTTTGGAAGGCCGAGGCGGGCAGATCACAAGGTCAGGAGTTCGAGACCAGCCTGGCCAGTATGGTGAAACCCCATCTCTACTAAAAATACAAAAAAACTAGCCGGGTGTGGTGGTGGGCACCTGTAGTCCTACCTACTCAGGAGGCTGAGGCAGGAGAATCACTGGAACCCAGGAGGTGAAGGTTGCAGTGAGCTGAGATAGTGCCACTGCACTCCAGCCTAGGCAATAGAGGGAGACTCCAACTCAAAAAAAAAAACAAAAGAAGATGCTGGAACCATGCTTCTTATACAGTCTACAGAACTGTGAGCCCAATAAGCCTCTTTTCTTTATAAATTACCCAGCCTCAGGTATTTCTTTATAGCAAAGAAACAGTGGCTCACACAAGAGGCCTCTCAATCTCATTGGCTCTTGATTCCTCCTCAGGTACCTTTCAGTAGCCTCTCATCTCTCCCAATTGCCCACACAGAAAAATTGCATATTCTATTCCAGTTTCTACCTCAATTCTTGTATCCCTGACCTCAGCACTGTCTTCAAGGACGTGACAGGCTGTTGTTGTGAAACAGCTGACTGTGTACTCAGGAAACCACAGATTTTTTCCCGACTAGGGTTTTTAGAAGGCAGGAGTGGATTACTAATAGGAAAGAGAAATTATACTACTGCATATTCAATAAAAACGAGCATGCAAATAAAGAACAACAACAAATTAGGTCAGAGGCTATGGTGAAAGGAGCCATTATTAGGAAATTCCTGAGGCAAAGTGGGGTGTTGGCCAAGTTCTAGCAGTTTAAAAGCCAAAGAGATCTGTTCGTGAGTTCCCAAATACAAACGCCAGTATTGAAGACCAAGGAAGAAAATTTGTAGTGTGTAGGAACAACAGAAGAACTAGGACCCTGGTAAAACAGCTGGGATGAGGAGGAGAGGGCAACTCTGCACAAGATCAGGGGTTCTGACACTAAGGTCAGTGGGCCAGAGAGGACTAAATTGTAGTACCACAAAAGATTTTTTTTAAAGGGAAATTATGATTATTAAGGCAGGTAAGGAGAGAAAAAAATCACATTGGAAAATTGGTTTCTCTGTATCTTACTCCATAAAAGTCTCCCCCAAGTAGACAAGCTTTAATATGTTTAGCTTCTTTTCCAAAAATTCAATAAAGAATTTTTTAAAAATTAAAAAATATGTATGTATATATTTCAGAGATAGGGTCTTGCTCTATTGCCCAGGCTGGAGTACAGGGGTGCAATCATAGCTCATTGCAGCCTCCAACTCCTGGCCTCAAACAATCCTCATCCCTCCTGAGTAGCTGAGACTTCAGGCATGCACCACCATACTTGGCTGATTTTTTTTTTTTTTTTTTTTTTTTTTTTTTTTTTTTTTTTTTTTGTAGAGACAGTCTTGCTGTGTTGTTAGGCTGTTCTCAAACTTCTGGCCTTAGTGACCCTCCTGCCTTGTCCTCCCAAAGTACTGGGAATACAGGCATGAGCCACCATGCTTCGCCTGGATTTTTAGAAATGTGTATCAGGACCCAGCCTGATATAAATTTAGCAAATTTTGGCAAAGCCATCATTTTTCTTTACCCCTAGCCCCACAAACAGCTCTTGCCTTGAATTCCTTGTTTCTTTAAAAGTACTACTGTTTTTTAAGTCCACTGGCTTGAAGAAGCTATGGTTTTTGGCTTTTCTTCCAACCATCCCCAATGCAGGGGCCAAATCCTGGAAACTCAACCTACTTCATTGTGTTCCTGAAGAAGACATAAACAATGAGCCATCCTGCCTCCTTGAGCTATCCCCATCCTGGTCAAGCCTTCATGACACGGTCATTCCCCACCACTAATACTGGAAAATGTTGGTTCACCTGTAATACAGATCATCCAAATGTTGATGCATTTCATTATACAATATAAAAGTAAAAAGTCTAAAAGTGTTGGTATGCTGTTATGTTCTCAGTGGCAGAAATAACACATTTTCCAAAATTTGCATTTTTGCTTGAAAGTTCAAATTTTATCATTGGCAATAAATGTTGTCAACTGTTTACCTTGAAGTGACAGGCTCTTGTTATTCATTTCCAAAAAAATGTCTGTCAAACACCAAAGTCTGAGTAACTATTGTGTGTCAGTCTACCAAGTAAAATGATATTCCATGAAAAAACTGTCTAGTTCACTTGTTTTCACTCTAATATTTGTGGAAGTGTTTTTCCTCAAGACAACCAGCATTCTCTAGTACACAGCACAAGTAATTTATGTGTGCTTCCTATCTTGTCCCACAGAATATTAAAAAGATGTGAACCCGAGGGACTGAGATTTTTATTGCTTCATCAAGGACATTCTTAAGTGAAACTCCTATTTTTTCTGCAAGAACAAAAAGAGGTAAAAATTACAATCACTACAGTTTGGTGCCAGGGTCTTGATTCACACTAAGTAGCCAGAAGTTTTCCCAGCATTGCTTTTGCACCATTGACACAAACATCAAATCCAAAGTAAAAAGGCGGACAACATCTTACAATTATCATGAAAATAATTTTGCCCTTACAGACTCTCCAGAAGGGTCTCAGGGACCCCTAGACTCCACCTTGAGAGCACCTACTAAAGACCATTAAAACCCATTCCCAACAGGCCTGCCTCTCTCCAGTCTATCTATACTGCAGACATTTTTATTTCTGGCTTACCCTAATATCTAGTCAAGCAGAATTTGGGCTCTCCCAGCTGGGCATTTGCCCCTAAAATTCCCTCTGCCCAGAATACACCTATCAATATCTGACTGTTGTTTCAACCTGTGGTTTGCACCAATGGCTGCGTAAAAGAATCACCTGGCAATCTTTAAAAAATATATACAGAAAAAAATCTATTCCAAAGCTCTTCCCTTTAGAGACTTTTACTTAATTTGAATAGGGCCTAGCCTAGGAATAGATATTTTTCAGTGCTATCTAGGTGACACTCAGTTCAGACGCAGTGAGTCCATCTGATGTGCTACTTCCTGAAAGAACACCATTTAGATTCTTCCAGAACAGGTGCACTCCTGCTTTGGACACCTGCAGCCTACTGTTCTCACCTCCTCCATGGCACATTTCATTTCTGTCTTGCAGTCTGACTATTGTTCTGTTTATCTCATCTTTCAACTACGCTTCAGACTCCTTGGAGGTAGCACCTTGCCTCACTCCTCACTGTATCCTCTGCCATGCTAAGCATGGTGCCATGCCCAGGACAGAGATCCAACATATGCCATCTATCAATCCACCCATTCATCCATCCATCCATCCACCCATCCATCCATCCATCCATCATCTATGTAATCTATTTATCTATCTATTAACAGAGTCTCACTTTTTTGCCCAGGCTGGAGTGCAGTGGTGCGATCATAGGTCACTGCAGCCTCTAACTCCTAGGCTCAAGTGATCCTCCTGCCTCAGCCTCCTGAGTAGCAGGACTACAGGTACAAGTCAAAATGCCCAGATTATTTTTTACTTTTTGTAGAGAAAGAGTCTAGCTATATTGTCCAGGTTGGTCTCAAACTCCTGGCCTTCCTGATCTTCCCACCTTGGCCTCCCAAAGTGCTAGAATTACAGGCATGAGCCACCATGCTCGGCCTATTTTTTAATTGTGGTAAAATACTCATCACAGAAAATTTACCATCTTAATCATTTAAATAGTGTACAACTCATGACACTAAGTACATTCACAAGGTTGTGCAACCATCCCCATCATCTAGTTCTAAAACTTTTTTAACACCCCAAATGGAAACCCCATACCCATTAGCAGTCACTCCTCATACCCTCCACCCTCCTCTCCCCAGCCCCCAGCAACCACTAACCTGCTTTCTGTCTCTACAGATTTACCTATTCTGGATATTTCATATATATGAAATCATATAATGTGTGACCCTTTGTGTCTGGCTTATTTCAATTGGCATAATGTTTTCAACGTTCATTCAAGTTGTAGTATGTATCAGTACTTCATTCCTTTTTATGGCTCAATAATATTCTATTGTATAGAAACACTTTGTTTATCCATTCATCCCTTGATGGACACTTGAATACATAGTTTTACTAAAAAATGCTCACCTTACGATCATACATCAAAGAAAAGCAACTGCCAGCCCCAGCATCCCTGCCCCATTTTCCGCCACAAAGAACATGTGTCACAAGTGGGGAAACCAGAAGAGAAAACCTAAGATTAGCAAATGACTGCAAACATCACTTTGTAACTACAGAAAGAGTGAGCTCTGGCCACAATTCTGTTTATAACATATTCATAACCAAGGCAATGAAGAGTGAAGAGCCTGTTCTTTAGACCAACTAAAGGACTTGCATTTATATTTTTGTAAATATCAAAGAGAATAAACAAAGTCAAAAGAATTTATTGTACAGTTTTCTTTTCTTTTCTCTTTTTTGTAGAGTCGGCTGTTGTTGCCCAGGCTGTTCTCGAAATCTTGGCCTCAAGTGATCCTCCCACCTCATCTCCAAAGTGCTGGGATTACAGGCATGAGCCACTGTACCCGGCCAGTACAGTCACTTCTCTCTAATGCTTGTTTTGAAAATACAAATTTGTTCTAATGCAATTGATTTTAAAAGGGAACAATTTGAGCATAACACAAATTTCATGTTTATTTAGTGTGTTTCCTCTGAAAGAAACAGTAACTGAAGACTCCCAGGTGAACCAAGCCATGCAACAACAAACAAAACACACCTGTGCACACACTTTAAAACATCCAGCAACCATCTCAGTTCACTGCCTGTGTTGTAAGCCACACCCATTGATACCTGGTGTTAACAGCCTTCCTGGGAGTCCCATAGCTTTGCTCCCACCTTTTCACAGTAACTCACAAGCTGCAGCCCTCTAAAGCCCTCATTCACAAATAAACTTCAGGTCTTTTTAAAGTCAAAATGTCATATTTATCGTAGTATTTGTGTATTTCATAACCATTGAACATGTGTACAACCATGCTACCACTTTTATTAGCTTCATACCTTTTCTTTCTTTCTTTTTCTTTTTTGAGACGGAGTTTCACTCACTCTTGTTGCCTAGGCTGGGGTGCAGTGATGTGGTCTCAGCTCACTGCAGCCTCCACCTCCAGGGTTCAAGCGATTCTCCTACCTCAGCCTCCCAAGTAGCTGGGATTAAACGTGCCAGCCACCACGCCTGGCTAATTTTTGTATTTTTAGTAGAGACAGGGTTTCACCATGTTGGCCAGGCTGGTCTCGAACTCCTGACCTCAGGTGATCCACCTGCCTTGGCCTCCCAAAGTGCTGGGACTACAGGCGTGAGCCACTGTGCCCAGCCACCTTTTCTTTTTGTAAAATGTATTGCTGATAAAGTTTTTGGATGTTGCGTCTGTTTGCCTCATAAGTACTGTGGTTTTGTTGTGTTATTGTATGGCATGGTGATTTTTTAGGAGAGCAGCATTCGTGTTATGGCAGAACTGACTTATGGCTTTGATTTCCAAATAGAAGCTTAGGTCTAAGACCAAGCTTCATGACATGCCTCTTCCTTTACCTTGAGTCAATCCTGGACATCCAAAGACATCACTGCACTTTCTAAAAGCCTCTCTCCACTCAACTCTTTAAAACCTTTCTTCTCATATCACCATAAGAAAGAATGGCCTCCTCCTCCAGAGCCAGGAAAATCCATGCACGATTTTCTACACAAAATACAGAGCTATTGTGTAAGGAAATTCATTTTGCTTATTGAACCGTCCCCATTTTCCACAAAAATCTCTGATCTTCTTGCAGACTTCTTATTTATAATATATATATATATATTTTGTCTCCTATATTTTTTTCTCCTCCTCTTGAGACCTTTTATAAAAGAATAACAACAGAACCATGGAGACAAGATTGAAGAAATCATTTCTGTAAAAATCCCTGCTGCTTACTTGGGCTATATTCAATTTTCTCCTTCTTGTATTTTAGAGAATTTATAGGAATCACTAAGTAATTTATTGTCATACTTAACAAGATTTAATTGAACTGCTTCAAATGAAAATCATTCAAAAGAGACAGGCAAGATGATGATAAAGTAAAGAAGTAAGATTTCAGAGTAATTTGAAAACAAGATAAATATTTTGGCCTCTCAATCTACCCAAAGATACTACACCAAAATAAAATTCACATTTCGTATAAATATAGAGTAACTAATACTCAATGACTCTATATAGAAACCATTGCCAAAAAAGCCTTCCTTCTGTACCTCACCGTTGAGTGGCCACTGGGACTTCTCTCCATACTTCAAACTCCCCTTCCTACGTTTTTCCCTTCAGTAATATAGACCAAGATGCTAAGATCATCTTCTCTTCTAACCCCTTCAACCCCAGTCCTGAGCCTGTCTTCAATCTATGAATGAAACAAGCCAGTTTGGCAAACAAGCCTGTTTGGCAAGGGGAGAGGAAGCAGGAGAAACTGTTAGCCCTCCAGCTCACCCCTGCCATGCTCCCAAACTCTCCATCTGTTGTACATACAGAGTCAGAGCCCAGTTTCTTCAATAACCACCCAGAAGACTCAAAACTTCATTTTTCCCTAAATGTAGATGTGCCTTTCCCTATAAGTCTGAATATTCAGTGGCCTACATATAGCTCGTACGCATCTTCATCTTTTTCTAATGAAATTGTGTATCTATGTGAAAAAATGGGGCAGGGATGGGACCAGAGCTAGTCACTTTGGCTCGCTGTTTCCAATCATTGTTGGCAGTAAAAACACCCATAGACAATGGCCAAGTCATTATGTCATTCCATCAAGGACCCAGAGCAGCAGAAGAGATATCCAGAAGGACTCACTCTCCAAGACAAGAAGTGAAAACAGCAGGGTGGGAGGGAAGCAGAGGAAGACAGAGAACTGAATAAATGGAGAATCCCAGAAGCTTTGCCAGATAGAAGCCTCCGCCCCATTCCACCCCACCCTGCCGCTTTTAGCCTCTGCCCCCACCCCACTGTGGCAGTAGATCCCCACCAGTCCAGGCAGTAGGTGAAGGGGTACAATAAAGGGCAAATATGTCCAGGGCAAGACAACACTGAGGAAAGAGTAGTTCTGGCCCGCCAAAGTTAAAAGCCCAACACCATCTCAGGATGGCTTCAGATCTACAGTGCTGTTGGCACTCAGACACCTCTGACACATTAATATTGGCCCAAACGTCTAACACTGATTGAAATATAGGTTCTGTGGCAACATGTGTGCCAAATCCAAGCAACTGTGCCCTAAACGAACATTGGAGA
Organism: Homo sapiens; assembly: GCF_000001405.40. Taxonomy (NCBI): domain Eukaryota; kingdom Metazoa; phylum Chordata; class Mammalia; order Primates; family Hominidae; genus Homo; species Homo sapiens. The sequence continues at coordinate 112,119,595 of NC_000007.14, forward strand.
CACAGCCCTTTCATAAGGAAACAGAACCGGGTGGTTATTAAGTCTGAGTTCTGAAGTCAGAAACCTGGGTTCACATCCCAGCTCCACCCTTCTGTGGCCTTGGGGAACTCACTGATTCTTCTGAGTCTCAGTTCCCTTATCTATAAAATGGGGATAATAATGGAACCCATCTCATGCAGCTGCCGTAAGGATTATACAAAGGCAGGAAGCACAGTGCCTGGCGTATATTTAGTGCTCAATAAATGGGTAGATGGCTTTTTTTTTTTTTTCCGAGATGGAGTCTCACTCTGTCACCCAGGCTGGAGTGCAGTGGCGCGATCTCGGCTCACTGCAACCTTCGCCTCCCAGGTTCACACCATTCTCCTGCCTCAGCCTCCCAAGTAGCTGGGACTACAGGTGCCCACCACCACAACAGGCTAATCTTTTGTATTTTTAGTAAAGACGGGGTTTCACCATGTTAGCCAGGATGGTCTCGATCTCCTGACCTAGTGATCCGCCCGCCTCGGCCTCCCAAAGTGCTGGGATTACAAGATTGCTCTTTTTAATAATTTAAGCTTCACTTAAATTATTACAGAGAATTCCTAATTAGTCCCCTTGCCTCAAAGCCTACATACAAACACCAACATTACTAAACAAATAACAGCTAAAACTCTGAACAGTAAAAACATCTATTAATAATTGCAGAATTTTTTTTCATCCACTGGGCCACATGTCATTTGTTGGAATTTTTTGATAAAACTGTTTAGTAGCGCTATTTTAAAATAATGTTGTAATGCCATGAAAAAGAAATCCGGTCTCAAATTTCACAAATTTTGGGTGAGGTTTACATTGTCTGGATTAGTAATCTAGACAAAAGAGAAAAAATACTTTTTTTGTGTTTATATCCTCAAAATCAGACACTAAAACCCCTATGTTCCTACTAGTCATACTAAAAGTAAATGGACATATCTAGAAGAGGACAAATTTTGGGGACACATCTGAATTCTATAAACCTGGTTTGACATAAAGTCAACTTCTAATTATTCACCCTCACAATACAGACTTCAATATACATAAATAGAGATATATACACATCTGTTTATGAATTTAGGTTGATACCAAGAGCAAATACTATATTATACTATATAAAATTGCAAATCTTTCCTTCCAGGCTCATAAGCAATATATCTACTGAATATTAATGACCTCAGAGGCCTGATTCCATGATCTTGTGAGCTTCTTCAACAAGTCTTTGCTAATTTTAGAATAATTCAACATTTGGAGAAACAGTTGGACATTCCAAGGCCTGAAATACATAATTATCAAAGTTAGGTCACTGCAGTCATTTGACTGTAGGGGGATTGGGAAGTACCTTTAAATTTTTCATTCTTTGAGAACAGAGGATTCAGCCTACGAGACTGGCATCAAGGGAATTCACCCCATGATCTCAGTCATCTTAGCATAAAGGAGACATTTATTAACTAGCAGGTGTCACTTTCTGAGTACCTACTATATGCCAGACACAGTGCTAGATATTTTTGTATGTTATATCCTCATGATAAAACTGCAAAACTAAATAACTCTCTTATCATCTCATATGTGGAAGTGCTGGGATCTGAACTTGGTCAGCCTGACTCCAAATCTCATGCCCCCTTCCCGTCTCATGGTATTTCTCTACCAGATATGATATTTTCTGTATCCTTGGATAAAGACTCTGATCTCCAAGAAGTCTTCTTCCTTCTAGGGAGTAGTAACAGGATGCTATCCTGTTATTAGATTCCCCACATTCCCCTATGTGTTCTGCGGAGCACAGGCTCCTAGTGCTTCTTACAAAGGTCCATCTCCATCAACAAAACGTTTAACATAGCTTTAGACAAATCCACAGGGGCAAGGTTCCTTCTCTCTTTTGTCCACTTTATGTTCTCTCGGTCACTGACCTCTTAGCATTAGGTTCAATTTTCTTTAACTTTCAGAAACCTTCCCTTCTAGGCTTCCCACCTACATTATTTCATCACCCTTGTTCAGGAAATCTTCACCCCACTCTAATGTGAGAGAGAATAGCAACAAATTGAATGCTTTTAACTTTTAAAAATTAGATTTCATTTGCAGACAGCAAAGAAAATAACTCTAGGCAGGAAGGCTCATGGACCAACATACAGATATTCAGGGTCTATGAAATCCCTTTCTGGTTTCCTTTTATTCTTCTTTGAGAGACCAGTGGTTTTGACCCCACTCATGCGCTGAAACTGCTCTTATCAAAGTCATGACCTTCCTGGTGCAAAATTATATCTGATCTCTTATTAAACACAGATGATACTCTCTTCTTTTTGAATTACAGAGTATATAGTATAGAATTCTATATTAAAATCAATTTCTCCAGTCACTTCTATAAGTATTTGATTTACATTTACTCCTGACTATAAAAAAATGCTGCAAACAATATTAGATAATATTTTCCACATTTAAGTTTTCCCTTGGATTCTGCTTTGTCTGATATTAACATTGTCATACTTGATTCTCATTTGCCATTGCTAATAGATCTTACCCTGTCTTTTTATTTTTAATTTTGGTGGGTCATTATGGTTAGTATTTTTATAAAATTGTGGTAAAAAACAAAACATAAAATTTACCATCTTAGTCATTTTTAAGTGTACAGTTCAGTAGTGTTAAGTATATTCATATTGTTGTAAAAGAGATCTCCAGAACATTTTCATCTTGCAAAACTGAAACTCTATACCCATTAACTCCTCTTTCCTCTGTCCCCCCAACCTCTAGGAACCACCATTCTACTTTCTGTTTCTTTGAATCTGACTACTTTAGAGGTGGGTCATTATGTTTTAAGATTGTCTCTTTTTTCTTCTTCTTCTTATTTTTAATAATACAGATGGGGTCTTCTTGTGTTGCCCAGGATGGTCATGAACTCCTGGCCTCAAGCAATCCACACACCTTGGCCTCCTAAAGTCCTGGGATTACAAGCGTTAGCCACCACGCCCAGCCAAGACTGCCTCTTATAAACAGTATTTAGTTGGATTTCTTAAAGCTCAATCTGAGTTTTAACCCTCTAGTGTTTAGCCCAAGTGCATTTATTGAGAGGATGATATATTTGAATTTGTCATTTTTATTTCATCCTTTTGTTGTATGCTTATGTGCTATATACTTTATCTTCTATGTTGTTATAAAGACTAGTTTTTTTGTCTGCTTTAATTAATTTTAGTATTTTGAAAGTTGAAACATTGTTTTTATCTTATGAGTGACTATCTTTAAGTTATCAAATATACACTGAAGCCCATATTTCCCTAATTATGTAGTCAAGAACAAGATCACTTCCAATTTTCTCATATGAGGTGTAGACGCCAAGGGAAACTTCCCCTCTGAAGGTCTGCTGAAAAATTAATTCTCAGAAGGCAAATTACTCAGGGCAAAGGCATACAAACTTTATTAATGTATACACAGGGAGAACCACAAAACCCCAACTAGAGTCAGAAGCTTCTATGCCTTCCTGGCAAAATAGCAGGGAGAGAAGAGGAATTCTGTTAAAGGGATTGCGAGGGAGAATGAATGGATCAGGGAGCAGGGATTAACTCAGACATTATCTTGGGAAAATGTCCATTCAGGTGTGGTTACATCTTGGTCTAATAAGATGGAGAAGATCTCCTTGGTGGGTCTGGATTTTAGGCAGATAAAGAACTTTAACTTCATCCTGTGTTTGGGAGAGATGGTGGCTGAGGAGAAAGGGGGAAGGTCACATAGACCTTGAGGCTTCTTCAGTTCAGCATGTCAAAGTGCCGTATTTGGGGATATGGGTTTCTGAACCCCAACACGGGGATAAGAAATTTAACATATATCACAAAAAAGTAACATGAAAATTCATGGCCTTTATAAAAAGGACCATGAACACATCTTTGACTCAAAGTCAAAATAAAAGTCTAGTTAAGTGATTGCAGTTTACACCAGTCATTTCAATCATTCAAGCAAAGAACAGATTCTGGAATTTTAGCTATCAAGTCAAGAAACCTCTTAGCCCCTGCATAAAAGAGGAAATAATTTTCTAAATGAGTCTATCCAATGTATCAACTATTTGCTCAATAAATTTTCTACTACCAACCCGTGTAATACCCATGGCAACTTGTATATTCCAGAACCATTACAGCCTTGAACTATCTTCTGTCACATTCTTCTGCTATAACTCAAGGCAGGCAAATTAATTTCCATTATCCCCAGAATCAGCTATCATAAGGAAGAAAAACCTGCTTTAAAAACTAAAGAATATATCCTAAATCTTAACAGACAGAATCTATCCAGATAAAAGGGATCTAACTAGAAGTAACAGAAGGACTGTCTATAGTTATATGGCACACCCATTACTCTGCCCTGGCACGAGCTATTAATCAGAAGTTCAGAAGTGTATCATGAGGATAGGGTATTAGTTTTGCTGATCATTAAGAAACTAAAAACTTTTTTTTTTTTTAGAAATAGGGTTTTGCTTTGTTGTCCAGGCTGGAATGCAGTGGAGCGATCATCATTCACTATATCCTTGAACTCCTGGTCTCAAGCGATACTCCCACCTCAGCCTCCCAAATAGCTGGGACTACAATACTGCATCACCACACTCGACTATTTTATTTTTTGTAGAGACGAGATCCTGTTTTGTCGTCCAGGCTGGTCCTGAGTTCCTGGTCTCAAGCGATCCTCCTGACTTGTCCTTCAAAAGTACTGGGATTAAAGGCATGAGTCACTATTGCCTGACCAAACATTTTAAGTGATATAATAAAGCAACATTCCCTATAAGCCATCCTTATGTATAAAGCATAAGTGAGAAATGGTTAACATGGACATACCTTTGTCACTATTTAAATAAGAAATGAATTGACCAGAGTATTCTACCCATGTCCTTACAGCCACATTAAAGGATATTCCACCCAGTCAAGGACCAAATACAAGTTCTTTTTCTCCTTCCTCCAGTGTAATACAGGAAAGAACACAGCTTAGAAGCAGAAGTGTAATAAGTGAAGAGAGGCCTACCCACTCACTGGCCATGTGACGTGAAATATCATTTCCTCATTTATAAAATGGGAATAACATAATTAACTGCTTCATAAGGCCGTTTTAAGGATAAAATAAAATCATGTATTATCAACTGTCTAGCGCAGTGCCTGGCCCATAGTGTTTTAAGAAAACCACTTAGCTAATTGCTTATTTTTCATTGAAGGAACCCACATTCACTAAAGCAATATGTTTACTGATACATTTCATATATAATTCGTTTTTTTAACCACCTTCCTAACAATAACCTGCTTAAACTTTTAAAACATAGGCTGTATTTGAATCTATTCATGTGCTAAGAACTAAATAACAGACTTAGATGAGATATTCATATAAACATGAGTTTGGTTTACTATGTATCAAAAAGATGTTTTCATAAGGATGCTTCAGGGCCCTAAGTCTCAAGCATGGCCCTAAAGCACTGAGTTAACCAAGGCCTCACTGTGAAAACAACAAGCCTAAAATCCCACAGCTTCACCAAATTTGAAATTACATATGAATGAATAAAGGGATAAGTCAGTTTACTCTCAGGTAATTATAATATCCACTATTTTCTATAATATCTTTGTGAATTAAATTACAGTGTGTCGGGAAAATCATATGTTTTCAGAGACAATGCTCCCCCCCTGCCCCATCAGGATGATCCCAAACCCTCTCTATCATGTCATTTAGAGTAATTGTCTTGCCTCTCAAAAATCCAAACCAGCTATTTAAAAAATATCAAAATTATTCAGAGTCTTTCTTTCTGAAACGCAAGGTCATTTTGTTTGTGTGGTTGCTTCCATTGACCTGTAGACAAAGCTCAATTGTACTTCTTACAGGCTGTCTCCCAATGAATGCAGCAGTGTATCTGGTGTTGCTTAGTATAAAGTCACTTCAGTTATAATTTATACCATGCAGAGAACGGCCTTTGAAGAAGCAATCAATACTAAGGAATAGATACAGGTACATGATTAAAACTAGAGACAGACAGACTGGGTTACCAATTTCAGTTTCACAAGATATGTGACCTTCATCAAGTTATTTAACTCTCTAAGCCTTGGTTTTCCTTATCTGAAAAACAGGTATTGTAAGAGTATCTAGTCATAGATCTGCTATAAAGCTTAAGTGAGACAGGTAATTCATACTTAACAAGCATGGCACTGCACTCAATATATTCTCAATAAATGGCAGGCTCATCATCACTATTTTTTTGTTTTTTGTTTTTTTTTGAGACAGGGTCTCACTTGTCACCCAGACTGGGATACTGTGGCGTGATCATGGCTCATTGCAGCCTTGACCTCCCTGTCTCAGGAGATTATCTCACCTCAGCCTCCCAAGTGGCTGGGACTATAGGCATGCACCACCATGCATGACTAATTTTTTGTAGAGACGGGGCTTCGTCATATTGCCTAGGCTGATCTCAAACTCCTGGGCTCAAGTGATCCATCCTCCTTGGTCTCCCAAAATGCTGGGATTACAGGTGTGAGCCACCATGCCTGGCCTACACTATTCTTATTATTGAAGAATCATCAATGGAATTTTCTCTCTTCTGCAAAACGAGTGAAAATATTAGCTATTTCTAATCAACATAAAAATTAATCAAAATGGCATAACATTGAAATCTTCAAGGACAGAGGCTCTCTGGGTGCATACCATAATCAAGAATCATGCTATTTATTTATTTATCATGCTTAGTCCTCACAGCAGCCCAGAGAATTGGGTATTATCATCTCCACATTAGAGATGAAGGTAAAGCTCACAAAAATACCTACAGTTAAAATGGGTAAGAGTGGTGAGTTAAACACCATCTCCCTGACTTCCAATTCCTCATATTAGATCAGCTCCCCGCTTAGTGTCTAGTACCAGCAGTCTCACATTGAATGTCTGCTAATGAAAACATTAAAAACAACAACAACAAAACACCAAAAGCAATGGCAACAAAAGACAAAATTGACAAATGGGATCTAATTAAACTAAAAAGCTTCTGCACAGCAAAAGAAACTACCATCAGAGTCAACAGGCAACCTACAAAATGGGAGAAAATTTTTGCAACCTACTCATCTGACAAAGGGCTAATATCCAGAATCTACAATGAACTCAAACAAATTTACAAGAAAAAAACAAACAACCCCATCAAAAAGTGGGCGAAGGATATGAACAGACACTTCTCAAAGGAAGACATTTATGCAGCCAAAAGACACATGAAAAAAATGCTCATCATCACTGGCCATCAGAGAAATGCAAATCAAAACCACAATGAGATACCATCTCACACCAGGTAGAATGGCAATCATTAAAAAGTCAGGAAACAACAGGTGCTGGAGAGGATGTGGAGAAATAGGAACACTTTTACACTGTTGGTGGGACTGTAAACTAGTTCAACCATTGTGGAAGTCAGTGTGGCCACTCCTCAGGGATCTAGAACTAGAAATACCATTTGACCCAGCCATCCCATTACTGGGTATATACCCAAAGGACTATAAATCATGCTGCTATAAAGACACATGCACACGTATGTTTATTGCGGCATTATTCACAATAGCAAAGACTTGGAACCAACCCAAATGTCCAACAATGATAGACTGGATTAAGAAAATGTGGCACATATACACCATGGAATACTATGTGGCCATAAAAAATGATGAGTTCATGTCCTTTGTAGGGACATGGATGAAACTGGAAATCATCATTCTCAGTAAACTATCGCAAGGACAAAAAACCAAACACCGCATGTTCTCACTCATAGGTGGGAACTGAACAATGAGAACACATGGACACAGGAAGGGGAACATCACACTCTGGGGACTGTTGTGGGGTGGGGGGAGGGGGGAGGGATAGCATTAGGAGATATACCTAATGCTAAATGACAAGTTAATGGGTGCAGCACACCAGCATGGCACATGTATACATATGTAACTAACCTGCACATTGTGCACATGTACCCTAAAACTTAAAGTATAATAATAATAAAAAAAAACTTCTTTATTTTGAAGAACATTCATAGAATTTGCTTAAAAATTAAATTCATTTAATAAAATGTTAAATTTTTATAGCAAAAAAATAAAAATAAAAATAAAAACAACAACAACAAAGTAAACCAATACTACATCACCAATGAGTATGTGTGCTTTGTAAAGAAAGCCTAAGCTTGGCTGGGTGCGGCGGCTAGCACCTGTAATCCCTGCACTTTGGGAGGCCAAGGTGGGTGGATCATGAGGTCAAGAGTTTGAGACTAGCCTGGCCTACAGGGTAAAACCCCATCTCTACTAAAAATACAAAAATTAGTCGGGCATGGTGGTGCACACCTGTAATTCCAGCTACTCAAGAGGCTGAGGCAGGAGAATTGCTTGAACCCGGGAGGCAGAGGTTGCAGTGAGCCAAGATTGTGCCACTGCACTCCAGCCTGGGCAACAGAGCGAGACTCTGTCGGGGGTGAGGGTGGAGGGCAGCCTAAGCTTATGCCTCATTTACTTAAAACAACATTCAGTTAGACAAACAGTACCACAAACACACAATTTAAAGAGTCTCTTAATATCTTCTGGCAAGGGTAGATTCCAGTACTCTCCTTCCCCAATCCTAAAAGATTCTAAGTTCTGTAACCAGATGACCTTCTCAGTGTTAAATTACTCTCCCCTTAAAAACTGATCCCTCTCAGCCCCTCTGCCCGGCCAGCCGCCCCGTCCGGGAGGGAGGTGGGGGGGGTCAGCCCCCTGCCCGGCCAGCCGCCCCGTCCGGGAGGTGAGGGGCGCCTCTGCCCGGCCGCCCCTACTGGGAAGTGAGGAGCCCCTCTGCCAGGCCACCACCCCGTCTGGGAGGTGTGCCCAACAGCTCATTGAGAACGGGCCAGGATGACAATGGCGGCTTTGTGGAATAGAAAGGGGGGAAAGGTGGGGAAAAGATTGAGAAATCGGATGGTTGCCGTGTCTGTGTAGAAAGAAGTAGACATGGGAGACTTCATTTTGTTCTGTACTAAGAGAAATTCTTCTGCCTTGGGATCCTGTTATCTGTGACCTTACCCCCAACCCTGTGCTCTCTGAAACATGTCCTCTGTCCACTCAGGGTTAAATGGATTAAGGGCGGTGCAAGATGTGCTTTGTTAAACAGATGCTTGAAGGCAGCATGCTCGTTAAGAGTCATCACCACTCCCTAATCTCAAGTACCCAGGGACACAAACACTGCGGAAGGCCGCAGGGTCCTCTGCCTGGGAAAACCAGAGACCTTTGTTCACTTGTTTATCTGCTGACCTTCCCTCCACTATTGTCCTATGACCCTGCCAAATCCCCCTCTGCGAGAAACACCCAAGAATGATCAATAAAAAATTAAAAAAAACTGATCCCTCTCATATACTGCTGGTGAAAATGTAGAATAGATAGTCACTGCGGAAAGCAGGTTGGGTGTTGCTTATAAAACTAAACATGCACTTACATAACCTAATAGCTACACTCTTGGGTGTTTATCCCAGAGAAGTAAACACTTAGGTGCTCACAAAAAAATCTGTACATGAATGTTCTTAGCAGCTTTATTTTTACAGTCCCAAACTGCAAACAACCCAAATGTCCTTCAATGGGTGAATGGTTAAATAAGCTCTGGTGCATACTATGGGATACTATTCAGCAATAAAAAGGAGTGAACTATTTATAACAACTTGAATGGATCCCAAGGCATTATCTCAAAAGGTTATATATAGTATAATTCCATTTATATAACATTCTGGAAATGACAAAATTAAAGAGATGGAGAACAAACAAGTATTTATTAGTGGCCAGGGAACAGTGGAGGGATGGGTACACCTATAAAGGGGCAGCATAAGGGAAGATCTTTTGTTTGATGGAACAATTCTGTATCCTGATTATTGTGGTCGTTACATATACCATACGTGAGACTAAATTGCAATGAACTACACACACACACACATTAGTGTGTGTACAAAATGATTAAAACTGAACAAGCCATATAGTCTAACTTAACAACAATGTACCAATTTTAATAAATTGGTTTTGATATAACTGTATAAGATGTCACCATTAAGGGAGCTGAGTGAAGGGTACATAAAATTTCTTCATGTGGAAGTAGACTCTTGTGAGTCTATAATTATAATTATTTCAAATGTAAGTAAAAGAAAAAACAAAAGATCCCAAGCAGCTTTTTAGCTCATTCATATGTAGAAATCTATAAACAGCAGAGGAGGACAACATTCCTCCTTTTATGGGGTTGTCATTTCCCCCAAGTTACTCACCCTAGCAGCAGAACAGAGACTAGATCTCATGCCACCAAACTCAAAATGCAATCCTCTGTCACACCTTTTATAGTGGGATAAAATGAAGAAGCAAATGCATTAACATATCCATAATCTTGGGCTTTCAGTAAAGCCATTCCCCCAGTGACAAGTCCTTGGGATTCCTGATCCAAATGAACAGGGCCTTGAACACATCTAGACACGGAGCCACTTTTAACTCTGCCTGGAAAGGTCAGGGGAGGCTTCCCGCATTCAGGGAAATTTGAGCCGAGTTTGAATGTTGGGTAAGAGGTCACCTGGCAAACCTGGAAGGAAAGAGCAATCCAGGAAGCTGCAGGCCTGGACAGCATCCCAGTCTTGGAGCACTACAGGATGAGGACGGGGGCTGTGTGACAGTACAGGTACCCGTTGGGGAGAGCCAATATGAGCCTGGAATGAAGTGGGTACCAGGTCCAAAAAGTCCCTGGTGCCATCTGACAGGTGGTAACTCTCAAAGCTCAAAGATAGACACCCACTATGCTCACCAATGACAGGGAGTCTCTTAACACTTCTCTTTATATTTTAAGATGCCTACATTATATTTCTCTTCCTCACATGAATGTCTTTTGCTAGTTAACATAAACAAGATGTCATGGTTCTCCCAATAAGTATAATAATGTGATGCTTTTGTCAGTTGTTTTTTCTGTCTAAGCAAAGCAGGGATTCTATGTAAAGCAAGTAAAATTAAGCTAGTGATGATGGATATCAAAATCACTACTCTAAATAATACACAAATTATAAAGGAATCTCAAGAGCAGGTTGAATCAGAAAAAAATACGCTCTGAGTATGTGCCTTCTCAATGCTGGTCTACACTCTCAAAATAAACGTAGGTCATGTTTTAAGTTAGTAAATGTGGGGAAAAATAAAATGTACAGAGGCTGAGTAAAAATACAGACGCGTCCTACCAAAAGGAACCAATAATTCTTGACTTAAATTTAACAACTTTGTTCACTGTGGCAGTAAAATATTAATGGCATTGCAAAGTTGAATTTGCGTGGGCAGTAATTCACAGTCTCTGGAACAGAGTCTTTATTTTATGTCAAGTCATTACCTCAGTAAAAGTTACCAAAAATAAATCCATTTGACTTCCAGTATTTTAGACAATAAATAGGGTCATTTCTCACAATGGTCAAGTTGGCATAGAAATACGGAGGCTGATAATAGTGAAAACCTACGTGACATAAAGGAAATGGCCGGCCGTATGCCATAAATATGTCTTAAAACTAACAAATGTGATCCTGCTTCTTGTAGTTTTTGAGGGGTCTTCTGTTCTTTGAAATAATCTAAAACTCACAGCATGAGATACATGCTGCTCACTAGATGAGATCAGCTCTCCATTCAGCACTTGAGATTGTTTTAAAAGCGCTGTGGCCCATAACTAATAAATCACTCCATGGTGACTACAGTGTCAAGTATATGCAGCCATGTGATTCCCTGTGTACCTGGGAAGGGCAAAAGGAGGCAAGCAATTCAGCCAGGATACGGGGATGCCAACACAAAAACTCCAGGGTAGATCCTTCACCCGTATGTGAAACTTAGTTGCCCTTGGTTTTATAGGACAAGGAGAGAGGAAACCAACTATTTTCTCATACAATAAACCATGGGCTCCTTAAGGGTGCCCATGTCTTATTTCTCCTCATATCCCCAGCCCCAAAGACAATACCTCTCAATAAATGTTTTTTGACTAAATGAATCAAAGATAGAGTGAATGTATGCATGCATTGTACAATGCAGGAAACAGCTAAAATGTGATACATACATTATTTATTCACTTTTTTTGTTACAACATATTTATCAGGTGCCTATAATGAACCAAAAATCATGTCAGCTAATGAGAAAGAGAAAAAAAAATCATATGGCATAGTCTCTGCCCTTAAAGATGTAATAGGAGAGACAGACATGAACACTAATGACACAAAAAAGGAGGAAGGGAAAAGCACAAAGTGGGGTTGTAACACACTTCATGGTTTCAAACTGAACTATTGGTATGGGGGGAGGAGGAGATGCTTTTAAATTCTATCCCTAGAAAGACGCCAGTGTCCTACAGGGAAAATATGCAGGGTCTGGAGGCAGAAGACTAAGTCAGACAGAAGAAAAAAGGGATCCCTTCATACAAGCATCATCATTGTGAGCCTGAAAGGCTTTCAAAAATCTCATTTCGGGCAGATTTATTAATATCTGCATTGAAGGCAAGGATGAAACGAGCATGGGGTGGGAGTTTGGCAGCCCTTAGACCATTAGGAAAACAGTGGACTGCCACAAAGGTTACTTCTCACTTTGATAGGATCTCATAAATCCATGTAAACTGGCCCCCTACTTTAGAGCCGGAGGACATTTTCTCTGTGGTTGCTTAGTCTTAACTACAGGGATTGCTGAAGAGGTTTAAGTCACACTGTTTCAAAGGCACAGTTCTGCTTGAATTTAGGTTCATCACAGTTAATGAAGCAGAAACGAATCCTTTTGCCATCTCAAAAGGATGTCTAGGTATCACAAACAAAAGAGTGGAAATTAACCAGGAAAAATCTGGGATAAAAACAGGACATTTGGTCATCCCAGCCTTGTGGCAGCTCACACAAAGGATGCAATGTTAAAAATAGCATCAACAACATTCACACAGAGATGATATCTAGAAACAACACAAAGATTGATGGCATGCCTGCCCTGAAAGGACCTTAAAACAGGAAGCTATATAGAGACCAGGCATGCATACACACAAGCAAGGCAGTTAAGCAAATGCTTTAATAGAAAAAAGGGGCGGGGGGAGGTGGGGAAAGGCCTTTGGTCTTGCTATTTCACCTCCATTCAATATCCTTGGTTATTGGATATTGAAAGTATCCAATACAGAAAGTAGGAGGGAACATGGGACACATGCAAAAAGGTTATTAAAGGATGGGCAGAATACTCTCTGGCCTTACAGAATTTACTCCTGGTTTAAACTTCTACTTGGGCACCTGGCCCACAGCTTGACAGACCCACTTTCGCTGCAGGATTCATTAAGCAAGGAAGCTCCTACAGGCCAGTCTTTACTCTTTGTCAGGAATTCTAAGTGTCACTCCTGAATTTCAACTGACAATGGACAGAAGTGAAATGGATGAATCCAGAGACTGGTATTCAGGGCTCTTAAAATTTAGAATCTCAAATTCCAGGATGACCAACTGCCTCTAAATTCCACAAGAATTTTCTACTTCTCTAATATTGAAGTCCTTCTGAGACTTCTAGGTCTTCATTCCAACCCAAATCCCAGAATAGGGATACAGGTCATACCGCATCTCTCTAGTGTTTTGAGGAGAGGTGACAGGCTATACTGATGGAGGCCATGTGGGTGCCTGCGGGAGCTTCTGAGACCTTCAAATGCAGAAACATTTTGCAGGGATAGTTCTTCCTAGCCAGAGAGAAACCAAAATAGAGTCCAGGGCTGATCGAGAGAGAATTTACTGTTCCACTCCACAAATGTTCTTATTATGAGCTTTTTCATATAAATGAGCACACTTTCCTGCTTAATCTTTTATTTAGGCTCTTTGATTTTACACCTCTTTGCCTGAATGAAAAAAAGTATGCTATAAAAAGGCTGCTTGGCCCAGGTATGGCAGCTCATGCCTGTAATCCCAGCACTTTGGCAGGCCGAGGCGGGTGTATCACTTGAACTAAGGAGTTTGAGACTAGCCTGGGGGACATGGTGACACCCGTCTCTCCTAAAATAGCCGGGCATGGTGGCGTGCACCTGTAGTCCTCGCTACTTGAGGGCTGAGGCAGGAAGATTGCTTGAACCTGGGAGGTCAAGGTTACAGTGAGCCGAGATGGCACCACTAAACTCTAGTCTGGGTGCCAAAGTGAGACCCTGTCTCAAAAAAAATACGTAAATAGAAAATTTTAAAAATTAAAAAATAAAATGGCTCTTTGGATGTACGGTTATAAAGGACAAAGACTGCTTCTTTGGAAGAGTGCTGTATACAGGTAGGTGGTTATTAAGTGAACCAGTGTTTCTCAAACTGTGAGTTATCTCACATTAAGGCTTCCTCAAATGGTTTGTGAAATAATTTTTTTTTAACAGACTGGAATGGAATGGAGTGGGATGGAATGAAATAGAATGGAAAACAAAATACTGGAGTGTACCACATGTTGTCAGATTAGCTATTATTTGGTAAAACTTGTGCCATGGTAGGAGGCCAGAATGATGTCAATTTGACATTTAGAAAAATGTAAATGCAATGTTCATATTACTTTGAATACTTCACTGCATTACAATGCTTCAGAATCGTTTCAATTGTAATTAGACTAAGTCTCAGAGTCCATAATTTATAGAGTTAAGACAGATTAACAAACAGGGTGGAGCTTTCACTACAATAGCAACACTCTTCCTCCCTGAGGCTCGGAAAGCCAGCAGTGACACCAACAGCTTGCGAGAGGTAAACACCCTATGCCAAACCATCAAAAACCCTATACATCTCAATCTCTTCCACAAGCATCTGATTTCAATATGGCAGGTTGACCCAATAAACTGTGGAAGGTATAAAAAGTGTTTTTACTTATGTCTTTAAATAACTCTAAAAGTGTAAACTTAATGGCTGGGCACGGTGGCTCACGCCTGTAATCCCAGCACTTTGGGAGGCCAAGGCGGGCGGAACACAAGGTCAGGAGATCGAGACCATGCGGGCTAACATGGTGTAACGCCGTCTCTACTAAAAATACAAAAAAAATCAGCTAGGTGTGGTGACAGGCAAGTCCCAGCTACTCAGGAGGCTGAGGCAGGAGAATGGCGTGAACCCGGAAGGCAGAGCTTGCAGTGAGCTGAGATTGCGCCACTGCACTCCAGCCTGGGCGACAGAGCGAGACTCCATCTCAAATAAAGAAAGAAAGAAACAAACAAACTTAATAAAATATCTAAGACCAGAAAAATAAGGAAGTGGATTCTAAAATTATAAGTATATCAAGGTGGGTTTCAAAGTGCCACAATGCATTATCCTATTTAATAAGAAAACGCTATGCTTCAATGAGGCATATTCCATTTCTCAGAATAAAAATAATACATCATAATAAAACACATTTACTTCAGTAATTTCCTTAACCAGTATTCACCTATGATTGCTATAAAATTTATTTCACCATTAAAACATATATGTGTGTGTGTGTGTATATATATGTATACACCAAAAAAAACCCCACAATTTTTTGTTTAATCAATAAAGTCCTTTCTGTATAATTTACTATTTCTAAATCCTTAGTTTAATTTTGCCTTAAGGCATAATTTGTTTTAACTGAGACATAATTATCTGATTGTGGCTCTTTAATTCTTTTATATTACTAAATTGAAAGTTGGTATATTTTTCAAGTAAATATGATTAAGGCTTATTGATAAATATAGATTGAATTTTAAGTCATTTTAAAATAGTTAAAACCATGGAAATAAATAGCTTTTCATTAATATATTTACGCTTTACCTTTTTAGTCTTATGTTTTTGTCAAAACTAAGCATCTATCTATTCTTACTTCTTCTCATTATACTTCCCTGATGCAGTACCATACACACTGTAGGTACTTGAGAAAAAAAAATATTTTCTGAATGGAAAGACTACATAAGACATGATAAATTTATTCCAATACCCAATTATAGTCTAACTTATTTATTAAATTTTATTCCCTAAAGCAAATTCTTATTAGCTATATAATCTATCTCCTTTAATCAACAGAAAGCCATCAATCCAAGCATTCAGTATTACATCCACTTGACTATCCTGCCGCCTTGATTAAGCTGCCTGTAGACTGCTGTGCAAGGAATTAAATACCATCTAGAATAGAAATTCAAACACCAGAAACTTTGAAGAAAAAAAAAAGGTAACCAATAGCTTTTTCTATTTCTTTTTTCCAAGAGTTCCATAAAATTGTTATCAGTCCTCTCACCAAAAAAAAAAAATTGAACCAGTACAAATTACCCCGAAGTTTAATGATAAAAAATTGAATTTTGTTGCTTTCCTGGTGGAATATCTGAAAGGCCAACAGAAAATAATAAGAGAAACCAACCCTTATTGATTTCCTTCCACATTCTTCCTAATTCCAGGCCACCTGCCCCAAATGATAATCTAAATCTTCAGCCAAGCTGAGAAAACCAAGTATTTGGCAACCATCAAGAGCTAATCAGATTTTTCCTGTGTCATACACCAGTGCCATGGGTTGAAAGGGGAATTATTTGGGCCAATTTCCAAAGATGCAGTGAAAATTAAATACCCTCTCAGAAGTTTTGGCCTCAGTGTGGCTTATAACCCAAATCAATAGCTTGTAAAATTTCAAAGCTCTGAAGACAATAAAAACAAAAAGAATGAAACCGGTTTCATTTTATAGCTAATATGTTTTAATATCAAAAGAAACATAGAAACTATGAAGGACTAGCAACACACATAAAGCCATTATCTTGTAGATTTTTCTCTCTGTGGTTGATCTCACATTTGCAATCCCAGAGTAGCTTGTAAATCACTCAGCCTAACATCATGCCAGAATTCCCACTCCCACAGACAAGTATGATGCACTTAGGGAACACAAAATAATTTTTATTACCTTAATCCAGACAATTACGAGAAGATAAATCTGCTACAAAATGCCATAATTCACTCGCTCCCTCACACATGCGTAACACCTATGTGTCAAGCCCTTTGCTGGGGGATGATGTGGCAAACAGAATTGTGTCCACCCTCAGAATTTATACTTAGGCGGAAGACAAAAGACTGGATACAAATAACTGGAGTTCAAGGTCAAATGTTGTAACTACTATCAGGCTGGCATAAACAAAACACACTAGGATTCAGGAAGGGGCAGAAATTACCTCTAGTTTATGTGATCAGGCAGGGCTTTTTGGAAACAGACCACATTTAAATTGGGTCTTGAAGGATGAATATGATTTTGAAAGCAGAGACTGATGGATAATTTGAAAAATGAAAAGAGAGAGAGAGAGGGCTGACATTTTCCAGAAGGCTAGTATGTATGCCAGCACTGTGCTAGGAGCTTTTATTTATGATATCTCATTTATTTTCAATGGGAAAGCAAAATGGTATTCAGCTATGGAATTTGGGAGAGAGGCAAAAAGGTGGGGAAGATGGGTTGGGTGAAAAGGCAGAGTGCCTCCAATACTGAGCCAAAAAATCTGAACTTTACCTGAGGAAAAAATGGGAAACTACCAACCACGTTTAGAATGCCAAAAGAGAAAAAGAGAGAGAAGACAGCAAGAAAGAAAAGGTATTGAGTCATACATATTGCTATAGATAATTGGTACAAATAACTGCCAACCACATTTAAATAATTTTTTTATCATAGCTTATGTGATGCCTGTATGCTATATTTCATTAAAAGTTTTGGAAGGATTCTAGAAGATAATTTATTTCACCTTCTACTCAATTGAATAAATCCCTCTACATCATCCCAGAGAGTTCCTCCAGCCAGTCTCAGCACCTGCACAACAGGGAACCTCACAGCGAGCTCCTGCTATGCGTCAAGGCCTCTGTCAGAGGAGGTTACATTTCTCCACAGCTTGAGAGGTTGCAAAGCATTTCTTTGAGCTAAAATCTCCCTTGTAGTTTGGTCCTTTGGTCCGAGATCACACACAGGACAACATTTTTCCATCTATTCTAAGACATGCTTTTTACCCATTTCAACAACTATAAAATCAGAGGGAGGCTTACCATCAATTCTGCATTATAACTTTAATAGGCAGCAATTTTTCTGAAAGGCAAATAAAATAATGACTCATTTTATAGCCAGTGGTATCTCAGATGCAATAAAACATAGTAAGATAATATTTTACATAAGGTTGGCCTAACCCTTCCTCAATGGCTAATCTCTTTTCCATATTTGAGAAATGTCCTCAAAAGTAGAGATACCAAGCCAAGGTTCTGCAGCCATACACTCCTCAGCCCAGCAACAGTCTTCCATTTACTAGCTCAGTGACCTTGACCTGACTCACACCTCTTTATAATTTTAGTTTTCTCATCTGTAAAACAGGGCTAACAATAATACTTGCTTCATAGGCTTTCTGTGTGTGCATTACACTGGATAATACACATAAAGTATTTGCATAGTGCTTAGCACACAGTCAACATTCAGTAAATGTTAGCCATGATCATAATCAATCATCATCATCATCCACCTCTAGATTAAATAATTTCTTCTCTACAATCATCTCCCATATGACATACTTGCTAAAACTTTTGTCTACTTCTGGGTCCACTCCAATTTGTCAACACCCTCCTAAAAAATGTTTTGTCAGTTCTCCTGGCTCCCTTCAAACCTCCTATTCTGTTATTTCCCTTTTACTCTAAAGACAATGATTTTACTATCTTTTCAGTACATCCTTATTGGTCCCTTTAGTTGTGTCACCTTGACTATAGTTTTTAGGAAAACTCTTAATTATCACTGTTAAACTGTAAAGTACTTACTATTTTGTCACACCTGGCTACTGAAGTATTTTGTTGGAAAATGGACACAATATGCTCTCACTGGTTTGGCATACATATGGTATGGGAGGACAATTACTGCCCTTACTTTTGATAGGCTTTCTCTACTTATAGAGCCTAGGTTACAGTCTCTCAGATACAGATGAAGAAGAATGGCCAAGAAAGTATTTGCAGAAGAAATTTTTACAATTTACATATTCAGGCAGCACATGTTGAGACGAAGTATGAATACCAAAATGACAGAATAGCATACAGGAAGAAGGCAAGGGCAGTTCCCAATTCCAGGAAGTCAGAGCTATTAACAACACACCTGCCCATACCCAACTCCCCCACAATTCTCTGTTCCTGTTATGAGCTAAATGTTCGTGTCTCTCAAAAATCCATATGTTGACTTCCTAACCCCCAATGTGACAGTTTGGAGATGGGGCCTCTTTGGTAGGTAATGAGGTTTATATTAGGTCCTGAGGGTGGGGCCCCGTTAATGAGATTAGTGCTCTTATAAGAAAAGGAAGGCAGAGAAAGATCTCTCTCCATGCACATGCACCAAGAAAAAGCCACAGTGAGAAGGTGGCTGTCTACAAGCCAGGAAGTGGGCCTGCATTATAATTTCAACTCTGCAGGTTGGCCTAACCCTAACCCTAACCCCTCTGCAGGTAGGCAAGAATCAACTGTGCAGGTACATTGATCTTGGAATTCCAACCTCCAGAGCTGTGAGAAATAAATGTCTGTTTTTTAAGCCCCCAAGTCTGTGGCATTTTGTGACAGTAGCCTGAGCAGACTAAGGCAGTAATTGGTACCAAGAGTCAGGAAAGAGATAAGAAACCGGTAGCTTCAACAGTCGCTGCAAATCCTCCTGTAACCAATTTGTGTACATTAAGAACCAGGGCCTCTCAGATCTAGGAAACAACTGCAAATGGTATGGAGGCTGGCTACCACTATATCAACAAAAAAGCTACTTCAAGTAGCAATCACAAAAAATACCCCCAAAAAGGGCTGAGTCTTTCGAACAAAGACATTAATTCCCAAAGCAAATCTGTTTGCTATTTAATACAAGGAAAAATGGGTTCTAGATCCAGTAACCACTAATCCCAACAGAAGGCACTCCCACTGGTCTATTAGGCAGCAATTTCATAAATAGTTATTTTTTAAAATATAAAGGACAACGTGTGACTAAGAGCTTAGGAAAAGGGCAATATCCAAGAATAACCTTATCAAATGTGAAGATGGGATTTCATTTTAGCTAATCTAAAATGAGAGGGAACAGGGAAAGTATCAAATTAACAAATTCAGTGGCAGCCTGATACTTCTGTAGCCAAGCGTGACAAAATAGTAAGTGCTTTACAGATTGACAGTGATAATTAAGAGTTTTCCTAAAACATATACATATAGTCAAGGTGACAAAACTAAAGGGACCAATGAAGATGTACTAAAGAGACAGAAAAAATCATTATCTTTTTTGTAAAAGGGAAATAGCAGAATAGGAGGTTTGAAGAGGGCAAGAGAATTGAGATATTAGCATGCCACAGACTACAGGCCTTCACTG
The DNA here is from genome assembly GCF_000001405.40 of Homo sapiens. NCBI lineage: Eukaryota > Metazoa > Chordata > Mammalia > Primates > Hominidae > Homo > Homo sapiens. The sequence goes on from NC_000007.14 coordinate 112,139,856, forward strand.
AATAAAGAGTGGATGTTAGTTGAAGAAAAAGCAGAAGAATCAAGGGACTGTGAGGAGCTCCAACCAAGCTAAAAATTTTTGCCAAGGTGCAGTTTAAAAAGGAAAATACAATTATCTCTAGCATTTTAGTTACCATACAGCTCAATCCCCTTACAGTTAAGATGAGGAAAAAGAGACATCCCCTAAGGCCTCAAAGCTAAGGCACCAACAGAACCAAGATGGAACAACACAGGTCCCAGGTCTAGATTCATGGCTTTTCCCTCCCAAAAGTTTGCGATCTAGTCCGAGAATAAAAACACAGCGGGAATTACCCCATGAAAAACCAAGGATACTCAAGTAAAAGATTAGTCACAATAACAAACCAACTAACACAAGGCTGTATGCTCTCCCCTAGAATGGGAAACTCTGAAACGTGGAGATGTCGGAGCCCCCAACCCCCACCTGCAGGACCTTGTTCTTCACTCTAGTGCAGCAATGTCCAGACCACACCCAGAGCTGATGATACATTCGGTCTTCAGCAGTTGAATATGTTCCACACAAAAACATGCTTTCTGAGATTAAAACTGTGAGGCTGAGCTGTTGGGTTTTGGGGGTCATTCCTTAAGATTAATATTCTTGGATCTTCTGGCCAGTCTACTGTTTTTCATGGAAACAAACCACATTTCAGTATTTTAAGTTGTAGTGAATTCTCAAAATACATACAGAAATGAAGTCTTGAGGCTTTATTCAGATCTCCTGCTCCCCGACAAAAAAAAAAAAAAGTTAAAAAAATACACATAAGAAAAAATAATCTTACCTGATGCATTTTTTAAATGCAGAAAAAAAAAACATACACGGAAGAATTTTTTTTCCTTGCCTTTCAGCCTCTTTATAGCAGCTCTGCACAAATCTCGAAGAATCAAAGAAGGCTTTGGGAGAATTCCTTTTAAGCCTTGTTGGCAACCTTCCAACACACAGAACCACATGGCAGAGATGTTTTCAGAACCTGCATTAATAGCTAAAGATGGAGATGTTTTCAGAACCTGCATTCACACCTGACCTCGAGCAGGCAGAGCACACACCTGTACACCTGGTTAGCTTGAGGCTCTACAGCTGGTAAAATAAAAACAAATAAAATTTCTTTCTAAATGCCCTGTCTTCCTCCAAAACCCAGAGTCTACACATGACTATTCTCAACCCTGAATGACACACCCGGAACTACCAAACCCAGCATCTCTGGCACCCTCTATTCCAAGAAGCATCTTGCATCAACAATCACCAACATCCTGCCTCTCTAATCAGAGGCACAGACACAGCAGCTTTAATTGCAAAGCTCAGAAGTTCTCCAAGCTTTTTATATTAAACCCCTCTGAAAAATCCTCAATCCCGAATCCCACAGCAATCCTCTACCATAAGGGACAGAAAAGTGTACAGTTGCCACACAGTTACCAGAAGACCACTCAAAAACTTGCAATCTGTGATGGTTCACTATATGTGTCAGCTTGGATAGACTACAGTACCCAATTATTCAATCAAACACTAATCGGGGTATTGCTGTGAAGGTATTCTATAGATGTGATTAACACTGACAATCAGCTGACTTTAAGTAAAAGCAAAATTATTCTTGATAACGTGAGTGGGCCTCATCCAATCAGTTGAAAGGCCTTAGAAGCAAACACTGAGATTTCCCTGAAGAAGAGATTCTGACTCAAGACTCCAACATCAACTCCTGCCCAAGGATTTCCTTATATATAAATGATATAATAGATACATACATAAAATCTCCTACAGGTTCTATTTCTCTGGAGAACATGGATTGATGTATAATCCAATCCCCTCTTTGCAACACTACGACCTCTTTAAATTAGGGTTGCAAACTCAAATGTTAATGGGGGCCTGGCAGGTAATGTCACTGGTGCAAATGTCTGTTGGACAATAAATGACAATGAACAGCCTGCCTCAGGGTCCAGAGGACATGAGAGTGTTTTGGAAACTACACTGAACTGGGGACACTTCCACTTACAGGGGACAGCAGAGTTGCCAGATTGCAATTGGGGCCAGTGCTACTAAATGCTCCATTTGTTCAAGAGAGGCCAGAAATCCACAGTTTTAAAATGTAACATCCCCCCACTCATTGCAATTCTTAACTACTTGCAACTAATTCAAATTTAAGGCACCTAGTAATTTAACTCTATGAAGAGCAAATACACTGAGTCTAGGAGCCAGATGGGAGAGGGAGAAACAGGTTCTATGTGTTCTACATGCATTAACTCATGTGGTCCTCACAATGTCCCTGTGAGGTAGGTACTATTATTAAGCCCCTTTTGCAGATGAAGAAACTGTGGCATAGAGAGAAAAAATAACTCAGGCAAGGTCACATAGCTAGAAAGTGGGGCTGGTGGGATGTCAAACCTGGCAGAGTATAGGGCCACAGACAACATTGCACACCTTTTCTAGGATCATTATTGAAGAGTTTTAGCTCTGAATTTTCACTATTGTATGTTAGGCTTGTAAGGCAGTCATGGAAATTTTACAGGTAGAGAAAATGTGACCCAGGAAACTCAAGACATGTTGACTGTCTAACCCATGCAGAAGAGCCAAGAATTCAACTGAAGCCTTACTCCTTTGCCTTTCAACTCAGCAGGTACAACACTGTCTCAGGAAAGCTCATCACTAATGCATTTCTAATGAATGGCCTTGCTGGGCTTTTGTATTAGTATTATTTACTATTTTTTAAATTAAACATTTTAGTCCTTGAATAGGTTTAGAAAATAATATAATGATCCCCAGAGTGCCTACCACTCATTTTTTAAAATTAAATGTTACAATAGAAAGCTCACATGTATTCTTTACCACTACAGAACTAAACAGGATCCTGAATTTTGTGTATATCATTCACATACATGTGCAAGTTTTTACACTGCTACTTCACATGCATACATAGTATCTAGTATTGCTTTGCATGCTTTTAAACCTGAAGTAGGTGGAAACATAAGGCATATACCCTTCTGCAACTTGCTTGTTTCCTTTAATGCATTTGACATTTATTTTTACTATTGCATAGCACAGGATATTTATCTATTTGTTTTTACTAGACATTAGGTTGTACCTGGAAACAAAGAACTTTGTACATGTGTCTTTTTATGAATAAGTGTGAGGCTTTCTCTAAGGGTGGATAAGTGGGGGTGACTAAAATAATTTTATTATAATTATGTAAAATGCTTACACTGGGGGAAGTGGGTGAGTTAGGTAAGGGACTCTTTCTATGATTTTTGCAACTTTTCTGTAATTCTAAAATTAGTTCAAAACCAAAAGGTTAAAAAAAAAAGGAAAAGAACATCTCCTCTGGGCCACTCCAAGCAATTCACCATAGGATCACAATGCCTTGGGCTGAATCCTAGACACAGACGAGACCTCCACAGCAGTGGAAACAGGAAAAGGCTAGCTCCAGGGCCCTCCATCCCAGAAATGCCACAAAACTGCCATATGAAACTGGTTGTTTAAAATGCCTCAAATAGCTGAGCTTATATACGGTCAAGTATGATTAACTAAAACCAAAGCAATTCTTTGAATATTTATAAACCAAGACAAGCAGACGTCATTTAAATTGAAAAGGCAACAAAGCTCCATTAGTGAAAAAGTCTCTCAAGCTACAACTCTCTATCAAATACATGAAATGACTTGTCTTTTACCTAGGTTTAAATTGTATCTGATATATTTGTTTAATTCTATGCATTTGGGGGCACATCTAAAAGTTCGCGGCTCTCCAACTATAAGGAATGGGAGGGCCTCTTGGAATTCAAGCATCTATTCTTTGTCTTCCTGTTCTTTCCAACCAGTCAGATGCCCTGTGCCAGGAGAAAAATGTGTTTATATAAAGTCTCCTGAGAGTGGGACTAAGAAGAGCTACATGGGCCAAACCCAACCCCAGCCATCTCCTCTAGGAAGCCTGCCAGGGCTAACCTCATCTGAACCACATCATTCATCTCCTCCTCTTTCCCTTTAGACTTACACATTCCCTTTGGTCTCAATCACAGCACTTGCAGATGTTTTGATTCGGATCATCTGTAAGTTCTTGTTACATTTTCTCTTCCTACACGGATTGTAAACTTTTCAAGGCATTATGTCAATCCATCAACAAGTGTGACTGCCAGAATATAGCAGAAAGAAGCTGAAGTGGAAAGAGTATGGGGCTTGGTAATATCTCTGCAATCACAATTTAGGGATGCTACAATCTTTTGGGGGACTCAGTTTCCTTGGCATTCTTCAGTTTCTAAGATACTTTCCTCCCATTAAATTCTACTGGAAGAATCCCTTCATTTCACCTTCCTCTAGTGACAGTATTACATACAAGACACATGGACACAAGAGACATAATCCTTGCCAGTAAGAACCATCTCAGTATTTTATTTTCTTTTTTTGGCACCTCTCACAATATAAGTAGTCCACTATGAACTAAGCACTATTCAGTAAATGTTGGTTAAAGTAGCAAAGTGATAAGCCAGTGGCTGGGGAATAAACAGACTCAGCAGCTTCTTTATCTGAAGTGTGTGTTCTCTATCTAGCCTTCTCCATCATGGCCCATACTCGGGAACAGTTTGACATTTTAGCACCATATGGCTGAGTGAGGATCCAAAGGCCACACAAAAAATTGCCAGCCCACTTGGCATTTCCTACATTTGCCCAGGCAGATGGCACTAGGCATCCAGCTCACAGCTGCAACCTAGGTCAGATCTAGGAGGACCAGGGTATCTCCAGGATGCCAGGTCATCAAGGACCCAGGGCAGTGGCAACAGAGCTTTGCAGGTCAGCACCTCAATGCCAAAGCTAATAATCTAACACTCATTTACCCAGATTTCTGGCACAGCTGAGAAAATATCCTAGTAGTTTTTGCAAACATCTTTCTATCAGAGGTATCCTGTAACTACACTCTGCACACCAAAATACCACATCTCTAAAGCACACTGTGGTATGCACACTCTCCTTGGGATGCTTGGGAACATCAGTCCTACCAGGACTACTGACGCAAAGCGAGCAGAGAGGTGTGATAAGAGGAATCTCATCCCAGAATATGCCTGGATTTCATCATTAGGAATTTTTGTTCCACTGGGTTATGAAACACTCTTGCTTGTTAGAATTTTTTAAAGTACTACACTTAAGCTATAAATGCAGAAATTTTCCGGTGCTTCTGTAAGAGCACTCCCTATATGATGAAACGATATCTATTAATATGTTGTAAAAAGGAGGAAAGTTGCAGGTGGTTCCAAGGCAGGGACCGGACACCTTAGGGAGGTATAAAGGCAGCAGGTGCTAGAGAGGTTAGCAAGCATCAGGCAAGCACCACAGAAAGAAAAAGCAAATGTGAATCAAAGACAATTTGCCTCAAGAACTGGAATGAGGATATTTTATAGGCATAAGTGTTCAGACTTAGGCTGAGATCCATGAACCACATCCCTAAGCAAAGCTTTGTTGTAACTTGCCACGTCTCAGTTCTCCAGACCCTAAAATCTCTCTTAAACAACATAGGAACATACACATACTAATAAACTCCCATATGCTAGGCCTAAGATTGGTTTGGCTCACATAAAACTGAGGCACATGCAGGCATATGTTGTTTGGGAAAAGGGCCGCGGGGCTCGCAGTAATGCAATATTATATATTCAGAGATACAACAGAATTCTTCCCAGTTTACAGTGCTAAAGCTGGCTATTCAGAGGATGAGAAATTCCAAACGGACATACCATTTCTTGTGTAATAACAGTTAATCTGTATACAAACCTAACAGGATCATTAAGCAGGATTTTTATATTTCCTTTAACGCACACCAAATTTCAACCTCCCTCTAGTAAGCCTTGCATTCCACTAGACATACATGCACATGAGGGATGATTCTGGAAACATGATTTGCATGGAAATCTTTTGTCATCTGACTTCACCTCTAAAGTCCAAGTCACAGCATCCAAGTCACAGAACTTAGTTACTTGGAAGAAAAAAAAAAATGGGGCACTGGGTGGGTCAAGGAGGGTGTGAGAGCAAGTATGTAAAAATATATTTATAACAATCTATTATTCAATATCATCTAACTTCGCTTAAACTGCGTACTATATTAGAATGTGCTTATATGTTTGTTTGTGATATAGAAAATGAGAGAAATACACTGGAAGAGATAATATTCTAACAGGATAAAATACCTCCCAAAGCCAGAAGTCCACATAACGAAGCCAAGGATCCAACATCTAAAATCACAACATGGCAGTATTCATCAAACACTTAGCACAAAGATTGGTTTTTGTAGCAAGAACCTGAGGTGACTTTACAGAGGAACTCACCTTTGAAAAGTGGCTGGGTCTTAAATGCTTTGCCAGAAAGACTTCATCGAATCAGCCTTTTTCTAAGGTTGGCATGGGAGGAGTTTCAAAGTCTCCAAGCAAAAGCTACAGAAGTCCCCACAGCATGGTCATCCTAGAAGAGGCTTTCCAAGGCTTTCTTTAACAAGTTGGCAAAACTTGATCCCCTCCTTCCTGGTCACTGTGATTTCAGAAGTGTTAAATAAAATAGAGGAATTTCAAAGCCCCAAAAGCTGCTTTGTTGCCAGTATAACTGAAAGAACTTTGAAGCCAGGTGCAGTGGCTCATGCCTGTAATCCCAGCATTTTGGGAGGCTGAGGCAGGCAGATCCTTTGAGGTCAGGAGTTTGAGACCAGCCTAGGCAATGTGGCGAAACCTCATCTCTACAAAAACTATAAAAATTAGCTGGGTGTGGTGGCGTGCACCTATAGTCCCAGCTACTCAGGAGGCTGAGGCAGGAGGATCACCTGAGTCTGGGGAGGTTAAGGATGCAGTGAGCCCTGATGGCACCACTGCACTTTTGCCTGGGCAACAGTGTAAGACCTTGTCTCAAAAAAGTACTTTGGCAGAGGAAGAACATTTTACAGAGATCTAGGAGGCTTCGATATCTCTTCATCCCATCTAATTTCTTCATTAAGTTTGAAATTAAGAATTTGTAATAATTTAGACGAGTGTAACAGTATCCAAAATTTGATTATATTTTCTCTAAAGAAAGGATATGCTAGGGAAACCAGTAATGCAAATAAAAATGTTTTAAATATTTAAGAGAAGACACTTTCTTAAAAGCCCCAAAGCACCTTATAAATACATCTACCTACAAATGATATATAACTATCATGTATTTATTTTTTAAAGCAGGACTCCTAGTAATATATACTAGGGAACACTTTGTTATATTAATCCAGATATTAAAATTATTTGATGGTAATACAGTTCTTATATAATAATGTTTATAGATATTGTATTGTACCTAATTTAGATTACCTTCAATCTGAATTCAGCATTGTCATTAGAAATATACACAGGTGAACAGTAAATTATTGGGTTTTTAGAGACTACAACCCACGTAAGTCTAATTAGTCACTAAAACTATCTTTTCTAAATGGCAAGTAAAATATGTTTTGGGCGTTTTCAAGGAGATCCAAACCTAGGTTCTACTAGTACCAGAATAGACAATTTTTTAGTCTCTTAGAACCACATTTTAAGCACAGACATTTATATCAGTGCATGTCTACCACCTTTAGCTCTGTCCTGGATCCACCTGACCTGTAACATTTCCCTTTGGGCTTAACAGAGTCAACATTCTTACAGTTAACAGATATTTTGCCTAAAAATATTTTATTTTGAAATTGTTTTCAGCCTTTGCCCAATACCTCAAAATACCCTCAAAGGTATTTCCTATAATTGAAAAGTTTGCCCACTTTCCTGTGTTCAGTATAAAATCTAGAAATCCTGCATCAGAAGACCTGGCCACAACCATCACAAAAATAAGGCGGTTATCTGAGAGGTAAGCTCTGAGTCACAAAACCTCCGTACTGAATTCAAGTAATTGAAGACACGAGTGAAGAATCCATCCTTAACTACACAGGAACAATTCCCAGGAGCAAACGTAGATTTTTTTTTTTTTTTTTTTTTTTTTTTTTTGATAAAGAGAAGCCACCACCAGGAGGAGGCTTGAAAGCTTGAATTTAATTACTTCTCCATCTCCTCATTATTCCACCCAACTCCCTACTTCCCCATCTCATTTCACAGCCTCCACCAGCTCTCCCCTCAGGCCTCCTATCACCCCTCTGCTCAAGCACACATGCTCTCTCCCTCTCCTCCACACTCCCACTGCTTGATGTTCTCTGCTTTCTGTGTCTTGCTTTCACAGCATCCAGCTTTCTAGTAAATTGTCGCTGAATCAACATCTTCCATTGGAAGTCTGTGTAGACGGCATTGTCCTGGAAAGACAGAAAAGCTAAAGAAAGCCTCCTCCTTTAAGACATATAAAGCACTGACAAAAATGGCCACAGAATCTTCATTGCTGGAGTCAAGATTATAATAGGGATTCCAGTGATTGATGCTGGGCCTTTCAAAGCCACATCTCAGCTCTCCAGAGTGCTGGCAGAGGGACAGGGGGAGATGTCAGAAGAATGGCTTAGAGCCAGGACTAACATAGAACCAACCCCCTTTGGAAAGCTGGTGAAGCTTATGGACTCCTGGTCAGAATAATGTTTTTAAAGGCATAAAAATCATGTAATTACAATGAAAAACAATTAAAGTGAAATACAATTATCTAACCCTTAAAAAGCAAAGTTCTGATAGAGTCGTTTTGTGCTTCTCCATTAATAACACTGAATAATAGGACTACTAGCATAAAATCTAGGGGCCAGTAGCATGTTTCACAAGTACAATTTCACATTTCAAATACAACCATTATTTGCTGTCTATATTCATAATTGAAGGAAATGCTAAATTTCAGCTAGGGCACAGTGAAAATAAAGGGTTTTGTTTTGTTTTGTTTTGTTTTTCCTCCCATCCAAATTCAGAGACCCTAGAATTCTAGCGATGGGCTTTTTGGTTAAGAGCCCCTGCCACAGAGTAATGCTTCCCAGATCCTAAAATGATTCAGGTTTCTGAAAGGAATTACCCCGAAGTTCACTGTCAATTCAAATTGAATGTCAAATCCAATTCAGTGAGAAGGGAACACACAAACCACTGGACAAAAGAGGTAACATGAACCCCAACGTTTTGTGGCTACGATAATGCGCCAATAGCCCTGAAATCTGATTTTCTGGAACTCAGGTGAAGTCTCTGGCCACTGAGCACGCTGCTCCCTCCTGCAAGCTCTACTGCTTCATCTTGCTCTGTTCCTAATTATTTGAACTTTTAAAAAATACCATTTTAAGAAGTGCTTTGTTAACACATCTCTTTTTGGCAGGTACATCATAGAAACTCTCCATGGAAATTTTTCAAGAGAGACTTATGATTCATTAATGCCTATGGCATAAAAGATGGTGCAACTGCGCGGCCCTTCCCAGGCTCTGGAAGAGGATGGCGCTGCCATCCCTTCGTCATTATGGTTTCTCAGCTTCCCACTTGAATATACCACTATTTCTATGCTCAAGCAAACAGCCCATAGGCTGACATAAGCCAGCTCTAAGGAAGAAAAAAATGCAGGACAATCATGTTTTCAGCAACTGGGCCTTTCAGAGTACAGATTCTGAGCACACGTGATAATTTTTCTGTTACCACGCCAACATGGGTCTGATAACCCCTCTGTGTATGAGAATACAAGGTCTTCATAAAATCGCTGTAGGAAAGAAAGAAATGACTTATAAAGAGGTTTAAAAAAAAAAGGAGGAGCAGACAACATTATAAAAAACATACAACATATCCTTATTTTACAGAAAATAAAAGAAGACTATCAAAGAAGAGAAGATCAACCATCCCATCATGGACAAGAGAATGCAATTCACATAAGCTATAAAAGGAATAATAAAAGAAAATTCATCTGTCACCAGGAGATATGATTTCTAGTGTCTCTTCTATGAATTCAGTACATCTGGAAAACGGATGAAAAATATTGGCAGAGGAAGCAGCAATGAGCTTCCAGGCCAAAGCACCTGATATGCTTGTCCTATCAACAGGCTTCTGAAGAAGCCCTCAGTCTCTGAAATATGCCCCAAAGGCAGCCCCTAGAAAAGGCTTATGGGCCAGGTTCAATTGCCACATGCTTAAAGGATGGAAAGGATGTGGGAAAGGCAACAGCTGCTGACATTTACTGAACATTTACTGTGGGCCAGGCAAGGTACCAGCTGCTTCCAACACACTGTCTTATCGAATCCTTCCAAAAGCACTTTGTGGAAAGTCTTATTATTGTCCACCATTTTAGAAAAGAAAATATAGGCTTAGAGAAGTAATGTTCCTAAAATAACAAGACTAGTAAGAGCCTAGGATATAATCTGAACTTAGGTCTGACTCCAAGCTCATGCTTTGAAATGCTTTTTTGCCTGAGAAATTTCTCCTTCTAAGACCCCAACTCTACCTTTCTAATCAAAAATCCCCCCAAAATGTCTAACGCAACTGCACTGGTAAATGTATACTGTCTTATCATGGTTGGCAGAAATATCAAGGTACAAATTAGCCAATGACTAGGTAATTTATGGGTACAGCCTCAAGTTAATCAATGAAACATCCGTCAAGAATGAGCACTTGTCTGCCAACATGCCGCTCCAAGCTCTTTGAATCTGCTCATTCTGTCTATGCCCCTCATACTTGGAGATAACCTCGTCCTGTCTTGCTTTACCCCCACACGTAGTCCTGTGTCAAGTTATTTCCTTCAAACACTGAGACAAAGCCCACCTATTCAAAAGCAAGTCAATCCTGGTCTGCTTTGTAAACCTCTTGAGGTTTGGACTGTTCAGCATCCTAATACCATTCACAGATCTTCCCCGAGGTGGCTTCAACATCTGCTCAGCTCATCCATTGCCATCCTTTTCTTCCAGTTTTGAATAAAGCTCCAAGCCCTCCACTCCAGCAGTCCTCACAGCTAAGCACCAAGGTGACTTAATAAACACCATCCTCAACCTCCCCAAAACTTAAAAAGTCCCAATGTTAGACCATGGTCCCTTCTTAGGACTTCTATATATTCAGACACCATTTCCTACCCACATTCTTGGGAACATCAGCAACAGCAACATAATCCCCATAGCTTAATTACAAGATACTACTTGGCCCCAGCCAGACTGGGGATGCTAAAAGGCTTGCAGAGGTTTGTTTGTTTAAGCCACAAGGATCTCTTAAGGATGAGTTTTCTGGTTATTAAGTGGAAGGTGAGCAGCGTTTCCTTATCTCCACTAAGCACAACACACATAAAATAAGTGACTTTCCATGATAGGAGGAGTAACTTAATTCTGTATACTTTTATCATACCCTGGAGCCAGTTCCTAGGAGATATGATGTAATACACAGCTCTGAAGCAGTTTTACAAGGAGAAGGATTTGTACCTACAGCTAGGGCAATTTAGTGGTTAACGCCTGGGGCTTTGGCATCAGAACGGGAGCTGGTGGCCCACCTTCAGTAGCTACATTAGCCTCTTGTGGCTTCAGTTTCCTCATGTGTAGAATGGCAACAGTAACAACATCTACCTCATAGGTCTGTAGGATGCCAATAAAATCATGCATGTTAGGTACTCAATACAGCACCTAACAAAAAAATACTCCAAATATGGTAGATAGTAGCAGTAGTAAAAAGGAGAGTGAGTCAGTGGCATACCCACGGCACCACAGTTGTCACACAGCTAGGGTAAGAAAAAATCCATTTAATTTTTAGTTCACTGTGAAGGCAGGCACTGTGGAAATTCAGAGGGACACCACTGGATCTAGAGCTCGTCACCAGTAAGCATCTCTGAGTCATACACAGTAGTAGCACATCTTTCCCCCATTGCATTTTGATACTGAGGTTAAATCTGGCAAACATGAAGTTCTGCTATTGTGGGTCTCTGAATGCTTTTCTTTCAGAGAGCTCTGTTTTTGTTTTATTTAAATGAATGTCTCTTTTCAATAATGAGGAAAGTTCAGCAAGAAGTAGAGATGTGGAAAAAAAAAAAAAGGTACACATTAACATGAAGATTAATATGACCCAACCACCTACAGAAATCTGATGACCAAAAAACAAAAAACAAAAAACAAAAAACCTGTGCCTGGCTTTAGATTCAGAAGAGGGAAAGGAAGAGCAGCCACACAAAAGCAGAATGTGGAACCATGTATTTTTAACTAGAGCACCAAACTGTTATTAAAAAAAAAAAAAAAAACTAATTCTAGCTAATTGAAGCTAATATGCAATAACTTGATGCTTAGTTGCATTTGAGACAGAGGAAAAAACCAAAAATTCATTAAAAGACATACAAATGAATAATGAATGCTGTTTTCTCAAATGCTCTATTCATAAAAGAATATTTATATAAAGGCACATGCTCAACTTTAATTTTAGAGAAGCTAAAGAAAAAATAATTCTTCCATTTACTATGTAACGAGCTCAGAAAATGGACAATAAGACCATTCCATGACAGAGAGTATTAGCATTCAACTCATCTATAAATATAAGCAACAAACAGTTTCAGCACAGCTGGCTGCTAAGGACTTCAATATTAACAAACAGACTTAATATTCTTGATTTACTACAGATTTTCCATCAAATGAAATAGTCATGGTGATGATAATTGGATCCACATGCCACACAGCATGCCTCCTAAAGATACAGCTCTGTGGTGTGATGGGGTACAAGTCACAGAGTCCAACAGGCAGGCAATGTGCACAGCAATTCTTAGCTTGCAGCACTGAGAAGGTTTCTATTTCCTTGATTCAACTGAAAATGAACAAAAAGGGTATATGCAGTAAAAATGTCCCTGCCATCGATTTTAAATCCCAAAAACAAACTCATCCACCATTCAAAACATACTAAAGTCTTGATTTCTTGATAGTTCTTGTTTGTTTGTTTTTGTAGCGACGGGGGTCTTGCTATGTTGCTGAGGCTGGTCTCAACTCCTGGTCTCAAGTAATCCTCCTGCCTCAGCCTCCCAAAGCACTGGGATTATAGGCTTGAGCCACTGCATCCAGCCTAAAGTCTTGATTATTAAGAGTACCTTTATAATTTACACACACTAAGCCAACAAACGTACCTTAAGTAGTAAAATGTGAAAAAAAACCGAACATTTCTTCAAACTAAGAGCCTGTAAGAGTAAATGTATAATCTATCATGTAATAAAAATTTAAACATATTTTTGTGTTTAACCATTTCAAACACATGTAACAAATAGGATCAGTGGTCACACAGAATGCCAATGTCACTTTCAAAAGTAAATTAAAGCCTAAAAAGTTTGGAGTGGCAAATGAGTAATATTATATCATAGTCTTATATCTCAATATTATTTTACAATAAATTATATTTACCTTTGCAGAATGTAGCACAATAAATTCTTAGATTTATGCCTTTGTTACTACCATGATGTACTGACTTGCTGAGTTTTTAAGTAATTCTCTTTATGACAAAGAAAAACCAGTGTAAATTAATCAAAGAACACCATTGTAAATGGTAATTTAAAATGCACATTGAACATTTTAAAATAGCCATTTAAAAACTACATTTAAGTGGAAGGAAAATACTAAAATCACAGTGTTTTTAATAGTCAGCACAACTTTGACATATAAGTAGACAAAATTAAATTTAGTTCCATGTCCACCAGCTGCTACACTTTACATTTAAGGTTAATGTTCCTATGAAGGGAGGAGGCTCATACTCTGAGATGTAAGAATAACTTAAAATTGGACAAATATAATAATTATCTGAAATTATATTTTAAAAATGATAGGCAATTCCCAGCTTATCAATTTAAGTTTTCAGCTGTGTAAAATTTAGCTCTAAGTCAGTTGTCTGTTTCTCCATCATGTATATTTCTTCATGAGCTAAGCCATATTATGGGTTAATTTGGTGGACCACTCTGGGAACCAACCCATTATTTATAACATTATTCCAACTAGAAAATTAATTGCCAATTCCAATATAGAATGATGGATGTGTGTGAAGGACACATTGTCCCAGCAAAACAAAAGGATCACCCTCCAATTTCTACCAAGCCCAGTTATTGAATAAGCAAGCAATGTGTGCAAGGCATCATACCAGGTACTTCGGAGGATAGAAAGTAGCAATATTTCAGCAACATCAGCCTCTAAGTTAAAAGCTAGCAATAATAAAAAATGGACAACTGTGACAGAGTGGCAAACTTCTTGTAGAAACAATAATGTAGCAATTTTTGTTGTTGTTGTTAGACAGGGTCTCACTCTGTTACCCAGGCTGGGGTACAGTGGCTTGATGTGGGCTCACTGCAACCTTGACCTCCCAGACTCAAGCGATCCTCCCACTTTAGTCTCCCTAGTAGCTGGGACCACGAGCATTTGCCACCATGTCCAGCTCATTTTTTTATTTTTTGTAGAGACAAGGTCTCCCCATGTTGCCCAAGCTGGTCTCAAACTCCTGGGCTCAAGCAATCCTCCCACCTCGGCCTCCCAAAGTGCTGGGACTATAGGCATAAGCACCTGTACCCAGTTGGTTTTTTAAAATACTGTTTTTAGATGAAAAGAATAAGTAATCTTTAAACAACATACATGAAGAAAGCATAGGTCTGAGAATTACAATAACCACTGAACAAGAGACTGCTGCTTTCACAACTAAGAGCACAACTCCATGCTACTTAGACATTGTTTGACTCCTTTTTCTTTGCACTTGCTTTCTGAAATACAGATTAATGTGAAGTTCTACAGTGATGTTTTACATTTGTCACAAATGTCCTTCCACGCTTAACAAGTATTAGACAACTTCCTTCCCCCTTGTTGAATCAGGATGGCAGCTGATACATAGGGTACAGTCTACAATATATCAAGACAACTGTCCTCTGCTACAGATCTACTAAAACAGACACTGATATGTTTTCCTCCATGAGATAAAGACTCTCTCATCTCCCAGGAACACTGGCGTGGGGTTGACAAAGGGAAGACACTTCATGCAGCCCATGGCATCAAGACTTCTCCTACTCAAGGTATTTTTCATCATGTCAATCTCATTACTACTATCCCTCTAGAAAGAACAAGATCCTGCACTGCAACTTCAGCCAGGCTACGGGCATGCAATAGCGGGGAGCATTCTTCAGGAGCTCTGGCCTGACACAATACCTTGCTGTGCCTCAGATTTAAAACAGGTAGAGAAAAGAGAGGATCAAGGAAACAACACCATATTGACATATGCACAGCACACCACTCACTGGCAGTTTCCCAAACACTTCCATATTCATGATTTCATTGAGTCTCTATTGACTTTGACAAGAAAGGAAGATGTTGTTTTTCCAATTTATTGACGAAGAAACTGACAAGGAAATTGATAAAACTCAGAGAGGTTAAATGGCTTTTTAGAGATCAGCAGCATAGCGCTTTTTCTTTTATGTGACACTGTTTAACCGTCAAAATGACCTGTTTTCCCCAACTACTTTTAAAAGCCATAACCAAATATATACACAGTAGGTAAAAATTTGTTTCATGTATCCCCAAAAGAAGTCCTTAGTCTATTCCCTGTATCATTAAAGTTTCCTGAGGAGAATACTAAGGATTAATTTAATATGTTCAAAATGCATCAGAGTATAACCTGAATTTTGATTCCCACTAATTCCTCCCCATTTTGGTTTACCCTTCCCCAACTGAATTAAGAATGGGTGTTGAGGAAACATTAAGAAAATGTGAAAAAAGTAACTTGCACCTGGAAATACATAGTTCATAGCATTCATCATGTAAAGAAACAGAAATCACTACTTTTCTCAAGGCCTGTCATATTCAAAGAAATGTTTTTGGGTAATATTCCATATAAACTAGTATTATGGTTCTGCTGCAATCACCACCCAGTGGGTTATTCAAGTCCTCTTCCCCTCCTTCAGTTAGGAGTCCCAGACTGTGGACAGTGTGGACCCCAGAGTTCAAAAGATGTGAGTCAGAGTCCCAGGGAAGTATTTGAGTTTGTCAGTGGTTCTGCTAATGAAGGTAATGGACGGTAGTATTTAAGGACTTTTCCAGAGGCAGCCTATCATCATCCAAAAGAACTTTCTGTGATAATGGAGATGCTCTACATCTGCATGATCCTATGTGACAGCCACTGGCTACATGTGACAACTGAGCACTGAACAGTATATAGTGCAATGGAGAAACTATAAATTTTTAATTTTATTTACATTTAATTCGTTTAAATTTAAAAATAAAGAGCCATATGTGGACAGCAAAATTCTAGAATTACGACCTCACTCCACACAGGAATCATAGCCCAGTTTGTTTTCACAGGGCTCGCAGACCTCGAGACCCCTAGATGTAACAGAGCATGGGCTTTGGAGGCTGACACACTAGAGTCTCTTACCCAACCTACACAACCTTGAAATTGTACTTTACTGAGCCTCGGCTTCTTCATCTCTATAATGGGAATCTCAACACCAAACTCTCAGGATGGCCTCCCTCACACTGTGTCCAGCACACAGACACTGTAAAAATTAGTTCTCTCTTCAGTCCTCCTTCATCCTTCTCAGTCTAAAAGAACTACATATTTAGAACTTAGCGGCCAATTATGAGATATAATTTCATGAACAATCTATAAAAATGTTTGCATTTCTTAGAAGTAATGAAAAGAAAAATATCACATTGGGGTTACATTATAATTTGGTAAAAACTGTATGGAATTGAAGAATTATAAATTGTATTCATGTTTAAATATTTGGTTAATCAGTGAGCCAGAAAGCTAAAGTCTGCTGTTCTCTTATCTTACCAAGCATGACATTCTATAATAGAGACAAACCCACATAAAATTGTTTAAATGCTACTTTCTATGATGTAGTATTCACAAATAGCAGATTTGGAGACTCTCTACATTCCTGTGTAAGGAGGCGCTACCCAGCATTGTTCTAGTGCTCAATAAATATTTGATTAATGTCAAATAGATGAAGTTCAGAAGAAATTACTGACATACTTAATTATATACTTGGCTATAAAGACTATTAAAAAACCACACACACACAAATTATTCACTATATATTCAAGGTAGTTTTATTTACAAAGAAAGAAAATGGACAACCACCTTAACCTTTCATATTAGAATATATAAGTAAAGACAAATTAATTCAATAAAATATCATGTAGCTATTAAAATATGTATTGAGAATTTATGAGACAAGTTTATAGTATGAAAAGGAAATCAGATTGTAAAATTATATATAGCTTGATTTTAAAAGTTAACATACGTGAAAAAAAGTTTTTTTTAATGTTATCTTCATTAGCAGACAGGGAAACATGTAATTTTTCTCCTTCACACTTTTTCCTATCTTCCTAGATTTCTGTGAGTATGTATGACTTTTATATTGGGAGGTGAGACTCAAATTTTTTTTTAATTATTCACTATGGTTGAGCCCTAGTCATCTTTCTTTCCCGTCATTTGAGAGCAGCTCACAGTATTGTGGGAGGACAACAGCTCAAACCACAAAACCTCATATGTGTTTTGGCCTCCAACAGCCTGGCAACCAAGCAATGAGAGTAATTACAGAGTGCTTATCCAATACCCACCTTGTAGCGGCCATGGGAGACGTCATTTTCCCCTTCCTGCCCTGGACATGGTACACTGCCGGCCAGATTCTACACCAGCTGTTGGCTTACTCTCCAGAGGTATGAACATTTTAAGGGTTAAAAGAAAGCACCACTCTATAGCAACTACATACCTGTGTAATCCATTTGAAAGATCTTCATTTAGCATCAAGGATTTTTAAAATAGGAAATCTGTGGTCAAATAATTTTTATAATAATTATTTGGAGATAATGTAAGGAAAACTCTCACAGTTCAGGGATTAGAGCACCCTAACTCTGCCCTGGTATGCTGATGAGCCTGAATAGAAGTTTACCAGGCAAAGCAGAAACAGAGGGATATTTCAGACGGAGAGAGCTGTCAATGCACAGATTTGGGTGTCCTGGTATAATCAAGGAAGTGTGGCATGACTTCCGCTAAGGCTAAAGCACAGGGCATGTGCTGAAAAGCACAGGAGGAGTTCTTGGAAAAGCAGACAAGGGCCAGGCCATGAAAACACCTTGCAAGCCATCCTAAAGGATTTGGACTTGATCCCGTGTGACCAATGACAATGATTTTAAGCATTTAAATGATTAGCACATAAGGATGGTCTCTTTGGCTATAGTGGAGAGGATGAATCTAGTAAGGCCTATAAATTGTCCTCAAAATGTTTTTAAATGCATAAAATATATAGAAACTAAATATACACTGAAGTGCAGTATATAATACAATACTGACTATAATAATACTGAAATGCAGTTATCTCCATGGAAGCCCAGGTTAAAATTCTCTGGCTTTCAACCTTTAAACTTGTATCAGAATCACTTAGGAGAACCTGTAAGAACAGATGGCTGAGCTGCACCTCCACATTCTCAGATTGTGCTGATGCTTCTGGTCTTGGGAATAATACATTTAGGAACCATTTACTAGGGTGATGCCCAAGTTTCTAGCTAGAAACCTATATGGACTTGGTACTACTCATGGTCTTACTTATCTCTGTATCCCTAGCACCTATTGCTTATACATAGTATGAATTTCCAATAAATACTTTTTGAACAAATGAAGTAGGAATATAGACACAACAGTAAATTTAGCACTTAATCTGTGTGGAAAAGTTATACCTTTCTTTGGTTTTTGTTGTGCTTTTTAAAATAGTCCTTGGAATTCCAAAACACAATGAATTTTGATCAAATACAAGAACTGATAAGGTTCATAAAATAATCTTCAAGATACTAGTTATATACTTACAGTATTGCATTTACTTTTCTAAATAATACTTGGGCAATCAATGCTGTTAAAATGCTAAATCCTCTTTATTCATATATAAGAAGTCTCTCTTTTACTAAGGTTATCAGTGTCAAATACTGAAAATTTCAAAGAAACTATCACTTTTAATATACTTAGCAAATTTCAAAGGGTATTTCAATAAAAGTAGTTAGAGAAGCTTTGTAATAAATGGCTAAAAACTATTTTTAATGAGCTTCTCAATTGTTTGGTTATAAATGGATGTTTCTCAAGCTCCTGACAGCACTTAAAAATCATTTGTTTCCATAAGTATTTTAAATATTCCTTGCCCATTCTCTTTTACTACTAGCACAGTTTAAGGTTTACACGGCAGGTAAAGTTCAGCCCAGCTTCATCTAAGTTACTACAAGCCAACTAAATGAATCCCATTACTGAAGCCAGCAATATTTACCAAGTGGCCTGCTCTGTGTTGGTTGCTATGAAGGATGTAACAGAAGCCAAACAGTTGGTCACAATTTATACTTGTGAATGTAACCAAATGCCTTCAGTATCCTCCCTACCAGTACATCACTGCAAATACGCCCTCCTAGAAATATGTTATTGTCTCATAAAATGATGTTCTAGCATCTTTTCAAGTCTCTACCACTCTACAAAACCCTACCACCATCTCATTACTTGACTGGCGCTGCCTTTCTTCCCTTCCCAATCTTTCTCACATCTGCATCTCTTCTTCCTCCCGCCCTCAACATCCCTGTTCAGGCCCCTATCACGTAGTCTCTGCAGCAGTCCCTCAACCCTTCTCATCCTCATCGCTCCCTGGTGCGTGTCCACCACCTTTATCACCACCACTCCCATTCTCAAATGCATTCATAGCCCAACCTGGTCTGGCATAAGTCCTCCATTATTTGATTCCATCCTGAGTTTCTAACCTATGTTTTTCCTACTTCTCTAAACACACTCCTCAACTACAGACAAACGGCCCTACTTCCTCCTGTCAAAACACAGTTCGTACTTCCGTATTTCTTTTGCTCTAACAGTTGTCTCCCTGACAAGGATGTGTCACGTTCCGTCCAAGTCTTATCCATCTGTTGGGATCTAGCACTTATATGACCCTCCTACCCCAGACGCTTTCCCTATCCCAATAACAATTCTGTCTTCCCACATTTCCACAAAATAGTCACAATTTGGGGTAACTGCATATACCTTCCCTCTGTAGCCAGGATGTAAGCTTCTAAAACAAGCATTTTGTATTATACTTATGTATAATAATACATAATATTATGTATATATATACATAATATATATACATAATGTATATACATATACACATATATATATACACACATAATGTATATAATACATAATAATCCCAAATACCCGAATCCCAAATCCCAAAACCCAAAATCCAAAATGCTCCCAAATCCAAAATTTCTGGAGTACCAACATGACACTCCAATGAGCATTTCAGGCTTATAGATTTGGGATGCTCAACCAGTAAATATAATGCAAATATTTAAAAATCAAAACAAAAATGTGAAATATGAAACGCTTCTGGTCCCAAGCATTTCAGATAAAGACTACTCAACCTGTATTCTCCTCTGTCTATCTCAGTGCACTGCAGTCAGAGCAAGGGCTCCAAGTATATCCGACTCTGTGACTCAGCTCATCTGTAAACAGAGGCTCCTGCTTTACCTCTCTCAGAGGGCTTTTGTGAATATCAAATGAGATGATAAGATGTTTCTTTTGAAAACACTCTGCAAATTGAATTGGTGGGATAATTTAATTGAGAAGGCAAATGTACACTCACACAATGCCAGAGAACAGTATGATATCTAGATCTTAACAGTATTAAAATGCCACAGGAATCCAAAGACAGTACAAACCACATCAGGTTCCATGGGATTCTTGGGGCAAATTTTCCCTGAAGAGAATGATTTGATGCAAGCTCTGAGGGAGGAGCAACTAAGACAAAGGAAACCTATCAAGCTGGCCCAATCTCTGGAAAGTATCTTAATCTATTTAGTAAATCAGCAAGACTCTGAACATGGCAGTCAGAGGTTACACAGAAATCTGAACAGCCCTGGGTTATCTCCTTAAGCAGGCACCCCCACTGCCCCAGCCAGAGGTCAGTGGCCACTGCAGGAAAGAAAACAGAATGTTCCTTCAGCAGGGAACAACAATTAATTTGTCAAACTTTAGCTTTCTATACACTTATCTTTCGAAACAACTTACTTGTACTTGGCTATAGCCTCTATTAAAGATCCTATCGCGGCATTCATCAGTTTACATTTCATCAGTTTTTCCTGAGAATGAAGGCTGAGCAAATATTTTCACGGGCTAACATCGACTCTGAGCTCTATTAAGCAGGACTCGAGGCCCCCCATCAAGATCACCACTGTGGCCCTGTACCTCTTGTTCTCTGGTATAGACATTTAACTAATATTTGCAGGGGGACAGAAAGACTTAACAACTCAAGTGAGTCATAGGCTTTAATAATTAAGTTAGCCTTGAAAGCAGACATGTACTTTTGTAAGTGGCAAATTTCCTACTGATTCCTTTCCTGTTATGATGTCTACCTGGCGACCGCTAGTCAGTCTTCAAATAGACCCCATATACAAATATTTCTAGAACACTGAACATATTTGTTACTACCTATATAAGTCCAATATAAAAGAAAAGGTTGAGAAAAAAAAAGTCTGTGGACTTGTTTTAAAACTTGCTGCACTTGTTTTAAAAACTGAATAGGATGTATGCCCATTGCAAAATCCACGTAAGAAAATTTCATACACTGTACCAGGTAACCTGGATGCTAACAGCATGAAACAATCTGGCCAGACACATAGTAATGGGAAGGAAAGATACATAGATCTTTCATGTCTGGCATGGAAAACCTAATAGAAAGCTACACTTCCTATAAATTTTAATTAGACTAGAAAGGGTAACCAGAGAATTTTGCTTTGACCCTGGGATCTGTCTTTATCATTGTGTCAACCTGTGAAACACAAAAGCAGCATATTCATTCTGCATTCCAATGTCAAGCAGCAAATTTTTTAGGGTAGGAAAAAAAGGCAGTCTGTACTGACTAGAGAGGTTGGGCTGATTTATGTGATGTCAGAGATGCTTTACTTATGGAAGGAAGGTAGGTTAAGCTCTCCTGGGGATGACTTGAGCTCTGGTACAGTCTCTCTGGAACACTTAAATAATATCAATAGTTCACTTATGACATTTACACATCTTGGTTAATGTGGCATAACAAAACTGGAGAACCTTTATGCCAAGGTAATTTTTTTCCACAGTGACTGTAAGTAAAGGATAACAAAACGCCTGCATCCTGAGCATCCTAACTACAGAGAATTCTGAACTCACAGTTGCTACTCCCCATCCAGACTGGTTTCAACTTCCCAAGATCTTAAGATTTGGAGGATAGAAATGGGGGTGTACTGTTACTAATGTGTTTGTATAAAAGCTTGTGAAAAAGTTTCCCTTTGTATGACAGTATAAGTACAAACAATTGATTTAAAAAATGATAATGTAAATTTTTTATATGTGTCACAATTTTTATTTTGCGTATTCCCAAAGAAAGTAAGTAATTCCAAATAGCGTGAAGCCTCATTTATCTGGCATCAAGAGAGCAGAGCTCTGGAGGAGTGGTTTCCTGAATAACAAACACTCTGCCATTCATTTGCCTGGAGTGGAAGTGTTGTCTCTGCCTGCCAGCACTCCTCCCCTGCAGAGCCTCCCCTCCTCCACTCTGCAGGGCCTGGGCTGGGCTGTCACTCTTGGTACCCCAGCCCCCTTGCCTCAGAGGAAACACATGACTCAGACTGGACCAAGCTCTCATCATCCCCCTGGATACAGTGGTACAACCAGAAGTAGGAATGTGACCCAAGCAGGACCTGTGCCCTTTCACTTAGTTTTGTGTATAGATGTTGGGAGGAAGAGAGTGTCTGTCTGTCTCTTTCTTTCTCTCTCTCTCTCTCTCTCTCTCTCCCCCCTCTCCCTGCCACCCACACACCCCACTCCCCTCTCTCTTTTTCTATCCAAAATCCTAACCATGTAAACTTGGAGCAAAAGCAACGGAGTCCTAAGAAACTCCATATAACCTCTGCCCCTGGACTACTTTGAGGAGGGTTTTTATCACTTTCAACTAAAAGAATACTGGTTCACACAATGTACAAAGTTCATCTGGCTAAACTTTACCTGATGTTATAGGAAACCTCAAAATGAACAGCATGCTTCTCTACCTTGAAAAAAGAAGCCATAGTAAACACGATTTTATCTTTTTTATCTAGTCACTTACTTAAACCCTAACATATAATGTTCTCAAGCACTATTGAATTATCCAAGGACACTTGACTTTCCAGTAAATAGGCAGACACTTCTTTGTAACAGATTTCTTTGTTCATTATACTGTATGCAACGTAACACTGCCTGAGTGTGGGGAGCCAGACGTCAACTTATCCTCCTTTGTAGCTGCTACTGCCTCTACTGCCATATCCTACAACAACTTTTAGGTGGGTTTTTCCTAAACAATTAATCATTTACCAAAAAGGAATAAATTAAGACACGGCAAGCTAGTTATTAGGAATGACTAATCACATCATGTCCTTTGTCTCACAAGGAACAGAGCTTCACTCAAGTTATAAGACAAACAAATAAAAAGAATGGGTTTGGGGGAACCACTCTGACGTGGCCTAACCCCCATACCCCAGCATCCTGCCCTCCTCCCTCCCCTCCCCATTTTCTCCCTTCCTCTGTGCACAGCATGCTCCACTCTCATCAATGCCCTGGCCAACAAGGCATCTTTGTTGCCTGCATCCTTTAATGACTACCCTCTTCCCTGGGCTATAAATCTCCTTTCTCATAGCTAACTGACTTAATCTCCAACTTCTCAGGTATAACGTCCTAAAAGAGAAATTTGGCCTAGCTCTTTATGACCTAAGCCAAAATCATGCCAATGTCAGCCAATGAATGGTTGTCTTTCGGTTGTGTGCACATTCCTGGCACAAGTGGCATTTATTGACTTATTATTTATTTAATTATTTATTTAACATTTACATAGAGCATAGTATAGGCAAGGCAGATACTCTTCTCAGCGATTTACAAATATTGATTAATTTAATAGTCATAATAAATCAATGAAATAATTATTACCCCATTTTACAAATGAAGAAACTAAGGCTTAGAGAGGTTAAGTAAATTGCCCCAGACCCACAGCCAGTAAGTAGACTTGAACTGCCTGGTGACAGAAGTTATACTCTCAACCTTTATGCCATGGAAAAATTCATGATCAGTTAGAACTGCAAGGGGCTAAGCAAGCACACACATTGATATGTGTCTAGCACATATTCATCCATCCTTTCATCCAAGTGTTTTGAGCATTTATTATGTACCAAACACATTTTAGTCCCTGAGAAGACAGCAGTAAACAAAACACACACAGACCCTATCTTGGCCAGGCCCAGAGGCTCATGCGTATAATCCCCAACACTTTGGAAGGCTAAGGTGGAGAATTGCTTGAGGCCAGGAGTTCAAGACCAGCCTGGACAACATAGAGAAACACCATCACTACCAAAAAAATTTTTTTAATTAGCTGGGTGTGGTGGCGCATGCCTCTAGGAGGCTGAGGTGGGAGAATTGCTTGAGCCAGAAGTTTGAAGGTGTAGTGAGCTATGATCAAGCCACTGCACTCCAGCCTGGGTGACAGAGTGAGACCCTGTCTCTAAAAAAAGAAAAAAGACCCTGTCTTGAAGGCATTTGTATTCTAATCATATTAATATCACCCTGCACATCTTTACTGGTTATATAGCAAGCTTAGTGTTCTTTAAATATATACATATATAACTGTCTTAAAGTCTGCATATAACCATATTAATAAAGTACACATTTTATAAACATTTGAAAACTGAATTAATAATAATACTCATAGCTGTTATTCTCTAATCTATCTGGATTACTTACTCTGTGCCAGGAACTATACTAAGTATGTACTGCTTCATTTATATACTCTATACACACACACACGACTTTGTGTTCTATCTAAAATTCAACACATGGAAAAGTCTCTCATCTCTCCAATCTTAGAATTAGTCAGAGAGCCTGTTTTACACTCAATACTTACAATTATTTTTAAAAACCTTTCTGGGGCATTAAGTATGCCAGACATCATGCTAAATGCATTGCATGCCTTACTTGTTGAATCTTTGTGACCATCCTGAAGTGGGTACTGTTATTTCATCACACAGATGAGGAAGCTAAGGCTTAAATACCTAGTAAGTGGCAAAGCCAGAATATGCTCCATTTGAGCTCCACTACAGAGTACTGGGAAAATGTCTCTTACTGGTAATGGACATGTTATTACAACCTGGTGAAACATAGAACTATCCATTAAGGAGTAAAAATTTGTTATCTTTCTAAGAACTGGCATCAGCAGAAACTGCCTAGTTAATATTAATATTATGTAGAATATCAAGTTTGGGCTTCAATCTATGGCTAGAAGGAAAAAATTGCCCACTACATGTGTACAAAGTTAACTTCTTTAAAAATTATTTTTATGTGTACAAGTTTATGGGGTATATGAGAAATTTTGTTACATGTATATAACATGTAGTGATGAAGCCAGGGTATTTAGGGTGCCCGTCACCAGAGCACAGTACAGTTTTGTGAAGTACAGTCACCCTACTCTGCTATCAAACACTGAATTTATTTCTTCTATATTTGTGCATGTTTGTAACCTTTAACCTACTTCTCTGCATCCTCCCCTCTCCCTTCCACTCATCTTTCCCAATCTCTCCTATCTATCTATCTTTCCATGCTCTACGTCCATGTGATCAGATTTTTTAGCTCCCACATATGAGAACATGCGGAATCTGTCTTTCTGTGCCTGGCTTATTTCACTTAAGATAATGACCTCCAGCTCCATTCATGTTACTGCAAATGATATGATTTCATTGTTGTTCATGGTGGAATAGTATACGTGTGTGTGTGTGTGTGTGTGTGTGTGTGTGTGTGTGCGTGTGTGTGTGTATCCCATTTCTTTGGACACTTAGGGTCAATCCATGTTTTACATATTTATTTCCCTGGGTTACACATTCCAAGATGATAACTATTACTCCCTTCTTTTATCTTGATATTTAAATATCAAGTACATTTCTTACAGTAATGTAAGGGGAAAAAAATCAAGAAGTACTTAACTTTTGCTGAGAAACTGAATAAAACATAAATTCTGTTAGAGTAGATCAAGGTAAATGAGAACACCTAGGAATCATTCAGTAACACAAAGTTGATCAAAGAACCCTACTGCTTAAACATCCTCGTCACGTTTCCCATCCTATGCCAAGCCTTGAGACCCCTTTGACATCCCTCGCCCCCTCCAAATAACTGCCACTTTCTGTATCTCTAGCACTATCACTATCCTACAAGCACCACTGCTGTTACTGAGGAGTAACTAACTGAACAGGCCATCATCCCCAACCATTTCTGTCACATCTTTTCTCATCTTCTTAGAGGAAAATCCCTGCTAACTGCTGCTGCTTCTTTTTAATGCCATATCTATAAGAGGCAAAGAAAGTGAGGAGCTTTTAAACATCAATGTCCACTATACAATCTGAACTAGGTTTCTTGGGAAACTAAAAGGCATATTTTAAGTATGAAATAACCTAGAACTATGCCATTAAAGAATAAAGAAAAAACTGCCAAGAGTGTTTTGTACTTTTTTTACCAAAAGAAAAAACATGCTCTTGGGGTATGACTGACAAAAAAAAGCTGTACATCTTTAATGTATAGAACTTGGTAAGTTTGGAGGTAAGTATACACACATGAAACCCTCACTACAATCTATGCCACGAGCATATCCACCGCCTCCAAAAGATTCCTCCTGTCCACTATTATTCTCATTACTATTTTGTGTGTATGTGCGTACGTTATTCTAAGTAATCACTTTGGAAGACTTACACATTTACTTTGCCCATATCATGTCACAGGAGGTACCTTCAGAGCCTACAGTGAATCTAATCTAATCTATGAAATCTAATCATTTCATAGAGGATTTATTTTAAATTTAAACCTCAATTCTCTCAAGGGAATTGGATGTAACAACCCAGCTAGAACTATTAGTATTTTTTTAAAAAGGGCCTGACCTCGTTGGGCTGTAAGAAATTCCTAACATGTTTTTACTTGATAATGGTGGCATCACTGAAAAACTGTTAAATGTTTAATGTCACTTCTCTTAGGTGATAATAGTTGCATGGAATAATAAATTCTGATAACTATATCTGTTTTAAATTCTTCTTTTTTTTTTTAAGAGACAGAGTCTCGCCATGTTGCCCAGGATGGACTTGAACTCCTGAGTTCAAGTGATCCTCCTGCCCCAGCCTTCAGAGTAGCTGAGAATATGTGCCAGCTTAAATTTTCATTACTTTAATGAAACCCACTGTATTTGTTGGGGCTGTATAGTGAAGGAAAAGTAAGATAAATGGTTTGTAATTTTCAAGGTTGCCATCAAACACATCTCCAACAGTTCTCAACTACAAAAGAATTCATTAGTGGAGAAAATTCCATTCAGCCAGTGGCCTATAGCTGGACCAATGTCCCAGCATCTCAATTAAGAGATGCTATTCTTCGGGGAACAAAACTAATAACACTGATCAACTTCTTGCCTCCCCTTTCCAACTTCCTCCAAGGAATTTTTTTAAATTGATGTTGATGCCAGGAAAAGAACAAACACCCTCCATTTGCAAGTGGAACAGAAAAACAGAAGCAGGTGGTCAAGTAGCTAAGCTGGCAAAGCTTCTGGCCTGTAGCCGGATGGCCTGAATTCATTCTTGGCTGAGGTCACCAGTGACTCCCCAATGCACAGCTGTATAGTGGTCAGTCCCACCTTTACAAAAAAAAAAATGTTTGTGAAAGACAGGAAAAGGCCATGAAAATACTCACTTGATTAAAGAATCTGTGAATGCCATGAAGAACATTAGGAATTCCGCCTATTACTTTAAAATGCTCATGGCAAAGATACATACTCACATTTGGTGAGGATATTGTCATACATATTCAAGGAACTTATTTTAAGAATTGATCATCAAAACTGCCCATCCCTCATGCTTATTATCATCCTTTGGAGTTTATGCTTTGGGGCTTTGTATTATTTCCTTAATTGCTAATTCAAGCCAACCTCAGTAAGCTTAAATAACTCAATTAATCAGTACATGCCTTGATTGTTTCTTAAGGAAAAAAATAAAGTACTATACTAAATAATCTCTAAGACTTTTTAAGACTTTTAATTTCATTATTATAAAATTGAAGCTTCTTTTTACTTTCTCCTATGCTAGCAAACTTCCCACCAGCTCCCTCTTTTTCTTCATACCTCTAAATAACAATTGTCTACAACTTAAAATGTAGTCACTTGGATATATAAATACAGTGATGATCACAATTACATCTAAATTAAAATTTGAAACTGTATCGATTTTTTGGAATCATTGAATCTACCACATGTCACAATTTCTGGCAAAAAAAAAAAATACTAGTACTCATAAGTATTTAAAATAGTTTCCCAGTTTGAAATAAAGGCTGCCTGGTACTTAACTAGTAAAAATCAGGTATTAATCAAGTTTTAAACTACCTTTACATCATTAATTTTGTTGTAAAACAATCTAAAAGCATGTTTTAAAAATTCTTCAAAATGTTGCATGATTCAAATGTCTTTCATTTGGACTACAATGAATGAGAATGAAATGCTTTGGCTCTTAGATCCATCATACCTATTCTGATATCTGTGCTTTCACCTGGACATGCTGTTTGGAGCTATGTAAATTAAAGTCTCAAAGTCACTCCTTTTGGGTAACCTGTCAGCACACATACAAAGAGTTCCTTTAAAAACACAGTTAACGAGCCAGGCACAGTGGTAATCTCAGCACTCTGGGATGCCAAAGTGGGAGGACTGCTTGAAGCCAGGAGTTCGAGACCAGCCTGAGCAACATAGGGAGACCCCCATCTCTACAAATCAAAAAATTAGCCAGGCATGGTGGCGCATGCCTGGGGTCCCAGCCACCTGGGAACCTGAGGTAAGAAGATCGCTTGAACCTGGGAGGTCAAGGCTTCAGTGAGTCAAGATGCCAAGATCATGTCACTGTACCCCAGCCTGAGTGACAGAGTGAGACTCTGTCTCAAAAAACATAGAGTTAAGTAACATAAGGACTTAGGTCAGGTGAACGCTGACCATGGCTGATGAAGAGAATAATTTTGAATTCTACTTACAGCTATATTTGTCAATCACTGAAGGGGAAAATCAGGCACATCTGTTGTCCCAGTTTGGATCAGAAGTCCATGAAAAATTACATTCTAAGCATGGCCAACTTAAAAAATAGTATCAGCACCCTGGGTGGTCCTTTTAGAAAACTACACATATATGTGTATTATCACTATTTGATATGGTTTGATTTATGTCCCTGCCCAAATCTCATGTGGAACTGTAATCCCCAATGTTGGAGGAGGGCCCTAGTGGGAGGTGATTAGATCATGGGGGTGAATTTGCCCCTTTAGTGCTGTTCTCACGATAGTGAGCTCTCATGAGATCTGGCTGTTTCAAGTCCATCCTTCCTTTCACTCTCTCCTGTTCCAGCCACGTAAGACATGTCTGCTTCCCCTTCACCTTCTGCTGTGACTGAAAGCTTCCTGAGGTCTCCCCAGCCATGCTTCTAGTACAGCCTGTGGAATTGTGAGTCCATTAAACCTCTTTTCTTCATAAATTACCCAGTCTCAGGTATTCCTTTACAGCAGTACAAGAATGGACTAATATGCCATTGCTCCAAAGCTATACCTTTCCAAGCAAAACTGGTGGCAATACAGCTTGAAAAATGAAACTTTAAACACAAAAATTAAAATGCCACTTAGAACAGACTCATTTAATTATCTGAGGGATAAAATTGAGAATTTTGTGACCCAAATATTTGATATTTTAAAGGAAGCATTTTCTATGAGGGTGGGGGAATTATAAATTATTCTTTGACTCACAAAGAAATTTCTGAGAAACATCATGCCACTAGTTAAGGGATGCAGAATTAGGCAGATAAATCCCAATCATGCATCTGTCGACCATCCAAGGCCTTCTTGTTCCACTCCACCTTTCTCGTGTAGCCTTTAGTGAGAATTCTGGCCTCGATTCCAGCATACAAACCAAGACTGAGAGAAGCAGAAATTTTTCTTTCTCAACTGCAAAATCTAAATGTCATGGCTGATAAGGGAGGAGGGCGACAAATCACCTTTGTGCTTCACCAGTCCAAATTCAGGGAGCTGAGCAGTGCTGCCACTGGGGTATAGCTTGCCTACAATAGGCACTCAAGAGAAGTTATAGTCATCTCAACAGTTGTGCAACTTCAACTAGTTACTACAAACTCCACCAACACTTTTTCCTGAACAGAATTTCTTGGGTCTCACAGGTTCCAGATTTTTACACAACCCCTGTAAGTTCAATTGTTATCTCCATTCTCACAAGCAGAGTAAAAGCAAAATTTGAAAGAGGAAAGAGGCTGCAAAAAGCAGCAAACAAAATTATAAGTGATCGTCTTATGACAAAAGAGAAGAGAGAAAAAAATAAAAGGCAAGAAAAATATTGAAAGAGCATATGTGGTCGGGCACAGTGACCACCGGTAATCCCAGCGCTTTGGGAGGCTAAGACACAAGGATTGCTTGAGCCCAGGAGTTCAAAATCAGCCTGGGCAATATGGTAAGACCTCATCTCTACAAAAAATTTAAAAATAAAAAAAAATTAGCCAGGCATGGTGGCACATGCCTATAATCCCAGCTACTCAGGAGGCTGAGGTGGAAGGATCACTTGAGATCAGGAGGGTGAGGCTGCAGTGAGCTATGATCATGCCACTACACTCCAGTCTGGGTGACAGAATAATACCCCGTCTTAAAAAAAAACCAGAAAAAGCATATATATTTAGAGTTAACTTACTATAGGAGCAGACCATACTTATCTCAATAGCTCCAAAGACATCGTTACAAGCAGAACAAGAATTACATTCATAATGATGACCTTCATTAGTTACACAAATGGTCAAGCTATATTCAGAATACTCTAAGAAGGAAAGGATTATTTAACATATTTTATAAAAATTTTCTTTAAAAATATTCTTAATTAGGATGCTAAGAAGAGTTGCACATATCCACAAAACTTGACATAGTACTTAAGTAATCTAAGAAATTTTAAAGCCAAAATGACTGCCTATGAACAATTATCAAGATACTGAGATACTGTACACAGAAATATTGTTAGCTATTGCCTCAGAGAATAGTATACACTCAGAAGTAGTACCATATATGATAAAAAAAATTGCACTTTTAGTGCGATGATCCCAGTCAGACCTTATAACCATTGCCATACATTTCAAATATAATCCAGCAATGTGAAAAATCTCTCAAATCACAACACACACACACAGAAAAGGAAGGCTAAACTAACGTGAACATGAACCAGACTTCTTCGACCAAACATCCACAACTTATTTTCCAGGACACAATAAGTATTTCCAATTCTAAATGTTAGAAAAACTTTCACAAACAGTCCCAACCCTTCTTCAAAGCTTAAATATTTCAGCATCACGCTTCAATAGCTTAAGCTTCCACATTTTCATATCTCATTGCCAAGGCTGAATGGCTCACTTCTGATATTAATTTTCCTTTTAAATGGAAAAATAATTAACCTATTTTCCATAAAGAAATAACTAATGAATACAATTACAATCTGCTTCACAGAATAGACTGGCTATTGAAAGGAAAAGCAATATTTATATGAATTGTAATGAGAATTCTGACCATGTCATATTTTTTTTCATTAAATATAATCCATGTAAAAAAACTGTTTTTTCTTTTTTTATATTTAACTTTTTTCCTTTATCTTTTTTTTTCTACTTGTCAGGGATTTGAAGTTCACTTTATCTTTAATATAATATTTGATCCATGGAAAAATCACATAATGTTACATAGGTGTACTCTATACAGCATAATAATGTAATGGAACATGGTGAACCAACCACATGATGTGGGAACTAAAGCTTTACCAAAAACCTGCACAAATCTGGGTACCCTGCACCCCGATTGCATCCCTCTGTTTGCTAAGGTGTTTTCTTCATATCCACATTGACATTTTCTCCACATCAGTAATTATAGTTGGAAAGTATATTCCCAAATATTTCAAACAATTCTTCTAGCTGCCTTATTAGTTTGCTAGGGCTGCCATAACAAAATACCAGACTGGGTGGCTTATGCAACTGAAATTTATTTTCTCACAGTTCTGGAGGCTGGAAGTCCAAGATCAAGGTGCTGGCAGGGCTGGTTTCCTCTGAGGCTTCTTGCCTTGGCTTGCAGATGGCTGTCCTCTTGCTGTGTCCTCACATGGTCCTCCCTCTGTGCACACGCATCCCTGGTGTCTCCTTGTGTGTCCAATTTCCTCTTCTTATACAGACCCAGTCAGAATAGATTAGGGCCCACCCTAAAGCCCTCATTTTAACTTAACCACCTATTTAAAGGGCCTGTTAGTCACATTCCGAAGTGCTTGGTTAGGATTTATATGAATTAGGGGTGAAGAGACAATTCAGTCCATAACAATGCCCCGATGAAATTTAAAGCAAATATTCCAGTACGTTTCCTGTGCTGTGCATTTTGGGATTCTTAATAGCAATTTGGGGAAATATCCTCTACCTAGAAGGCTAACAATTATTTGGCCATAGGGAATGCCTGCAGAAATAAGAATACTTCTTGAATAAGAAAGCCAGAAGCTTTATCTCTTCTTGGTGGCCACCAGCCTCTCTTTTAGGGTCCTATTTTACCTCCCTATGAGAAAGGAATTTGGGCCATATCTCTCAGAAGACTTGTTCTCTACTTCTAGTGGGAAGTGAACTATTAGAAAATATCTGACGTCAAATACAGGCCAGGTAATTTCCACTTCCTTTGTATCAAGAGAACAAGTGACTTTTAGATATTCACTGCCAGTATTAAAAACAGAGGTAAAAATCGGGCAATAGTTCCCTCCAGAACCAGACAACACTAATTAATCAAAATTACAGTAATTCACATCTTCAAGTATTTATCTTCTGCAATAGAAATAAATTCATGAACAGTATGTCATTATATGGAAAAACCATAATGCCAAATGGTAAATATTATATAATCCTGTTACTGTAAGGATATATCAAATACATAAGTAAAAAATGTAAAGCCGGGAAGAACAGTAGATTATTTCTGGCAGTGAAGTTATAGATACATTTTGATATTTTTTCTTTAAACTTTTTGTTATTTCCAAATTTTCAACCAAAAAGTGTTAAATCTTATTTTCTGCTATATAGATGCATAGGTAAAAATGACAGCCTCATGTAATGAAAGACCCCGTAACTAGAGCAGAACCCACAGGATACAGTCTCAGATCTGAACAAACCAGAAATAAGCTTAATCACGTCGTGTGAGCCCTTCATGACTACCAGTCTGTTCACACAGACATTTATAATTTCACTGGTACCAAAGACATCTGGCATGTCAACAGCTCAAAAGCCACCCAATGATACCCAGAATCCAGTGTAATCCCTCTGACATTCTATACATTTGCCTTATTACTTTAGCGTCAGATTTTACAGACATTTTATCCAAACACCAGGGAGAAAACAAAACAGCTAAAAAGCATGATTTCCCTCGTGCATTGTGTGAGAAAGAAATAGCAAAAGGGATGACTCCCCAACCCCTCCCCAATTTATAATTACTTTTCCATGTTTCAACACAACTGTTTCAACTCAAGGGAAGGAGGGAAATGTCACTTCCGGACAATAGCCCTTGTTGTACTAAATTATTTTCCATTGTCTCTTTCTAAAGACTTAGTGGCGAGGCAGCTGTTTTACAGGCAGCAGGCCTTCTTACCCTGGTTCCCTAAGGAATCATTTCCTAAAGAGATTAATAACAGAGCCAAACAGAAGTGGCTTTGAGGCCTGTGCTGCTCTTTTATGGGCGGTCAGCAGCTAGTTCAAAAGGGTTCCATTGGGATCTAATGTGGCTTTCCAAGTAGGTATTAGTTGGGTAATATTTAGGAATCATCTGCTCCCAAAGACGAGTACACACACTGAAAACAGCATGAAGACCTGCAGGAGGCCGTAGTCACAGCTATGCCAGCTGAGGAAAAACTTGGAAATGCCCAAGGGCAGGTGCTAGCCCAGCAAAACCCCACAGCCAAACATTTTCATTGGCAATTCCACGTGGAAAATAGCCAGCAAGAAAGGCTACCTAAGCAGCATGATGGCCAACAATGCAGTGACCAAAATACATAAGAGAGCAAGCAGAATACCTGTGCGGCCTGACAACAGCAAGGCACTGACAGGACCTGGACCAGCAGACCAGCCCTGGGCAGGTGACCCACAAGGAGGGCTCAGAGATGACCACTTCAGCCTTCCCATGCAGGGTTTTCCTTCCTCATTGCCTTTCCCCACCTCCCCACCTCCCCACCTCCCCACCTCTGCACCAATTCCCTCCTGAGTCTCCACCTGCGTCCTGTTCTGTCCTGGCCTATTCCAGGTATGAACCATTCCATCTGCTGACTTCCACCTGGACCAGCTGCGGACCTTCAACTCTTTGGTCGGCTGTGAGAGTCTGTGGTATCCCATCAGACGTTAGTACACAACCTGAGGTAGCTCCTATCATCCAAAAGCAGAAATCATTCTCTCTCACACACACAATCTGGAAAAAACTGCCACAATCCTCAAAACACACTCTGCCTTTTCTAGCTTGAGCTTTTTTCTCTCAAGGTCTTTAATTCATTCAGAAGCTCATCCAACTCATCACTTAATTCAAGGGTAAGCTGCTGACATTCTATCACGAAAAGGTATGTGGAGTCATCTTGCACAAAATCACAAGCATACTGATTTTCTGCCTTTATCTAGTAAAAGGACCAAAAACCTTCTCTTTATCATCACATCGTAACTACACATGCACATACACAAACACACACATGGAAACACACTCCACATATACACATCACCATATATGTATATGAAAGAAATCATGATTACAGGGAAAAAAGGCAGGATTTTAAATAATAACAGTAAGTATTATTGTTACTATTTTAATTAAAAGTTCTAATCACCACCTTAGGATAATGCAAGATGTTCTTCCCAAAACCCTCCCCTTCATTATGACCCCAAATGGCCCCAGAAACCTGTAATACCATCCAATTTTAAGGCTCTGTCTCACGTCCATATTCTACTCCCAGATGACTGGTCTCTCATTTTCACTAGATGATGTTTTATCTCAATGTTTTAAAAAGTGGGTTTTTTGGTTTGTTTTTTTGTTTTGTTTTGTTTTGTTTTTGCATGCTTACTAAAAGAATTATAGCCACTGTGTTTCCCCTGGAACTTTTTTTTTTTTTTTTTTTGAGACAGAGTCTCACTCTGTTGCCCAGGCTGGAGTGCAGTGGCGCGATCTTGGCTCACTGAAACCTGGCTAATTTTTTGTATTTTTAATAGAGACAGGGTTTCACCGTGTTAGCCAGGATGGTCTTGATCTCCTGACCTCGTGATCTGCCCGCCTCGGCCTCCCAAAGTGCTGGGATTACAGGTGTGAGTCACCGCGCCCAGCCCCGTCCCCTGGAACATTTTTAACTTGACATCTTAATCATTTCTTCATCTGAAGTTTAAACAGTGAAAAAGGATTTCCAAAGTGTCCTATAATGACATTTGAAAATTAAACTATAACATGAGTCTCTAAAATGTATCCACTGAATCAAAACACCAAGCTGTTTGCTCTCTACCATTATACATGTTTTAAAAAACCTGAAAAAGCTCTTGTGTAATAGAAATTTTTCCCTTATTTGCCCTGCCTTTGTATTTCCATTTCACTATCCTCACAAAATTTTATCTTAAGGTAAAATGTTTTTATGTTTGAAAGTTGTATTAATCATCCTATCATATATCTCTAAATTAAGTATACATAATATATAAGCCTAACTTACTAGAAATTGACATATGTATATAAATGTGAAGGTTTAGAAGGTTTTGTGGCCATAAAACTCTCATATTTTTTTTCAGCTGGATTGATTTATATTTGTTATTTGTTGTATACAATTGATAAACACATAAGTATTACATCTTTATAAATGATTATAAGAATAAAAATGTTTTTAAAATTTATCTCTTAATGAGACATATGAGATTCTTTTTCCAATTAAGTTATGCATTTGCAGATGAATACTGCTAAAATGTGCATCAATTTTATTCCTATCTGCCCCCATCCCCTTTTTAATCTAAAAGCTAACAAAACTTATTCACACAAATAACTACATTGAAATTTAAGTGTGCTATAATAACTTTCCTCTATAGTTTGAATTCATTCTGGGACATATGCCAAAAAAATCTCAGGGTGATCTATCATCAACATTATTTTTAATGATCAACTGACAAGTCAATTAAGTCCTTTCTCAATTTTGTGGAAAATAAAGAATTGGATGCCACCTGAATTGCAAAAGTATTTGTTATCCTGTCATCAGAGTCATTAATTTTCATCAACCAACACCATTATTTCAATCATTCCTTTGTTTGGAGAGCAGGTGTTTTTCTACCCCACAATCCAAAGAGCACCCTACTAAGAACAGGGGTGTGTGGAAGACTGACCTTTCTCTTACTGAGTGAAAGAAGATCTATTGGGAAAGGAGAGTACAGGCACTAAAGAAAAAGAACATATGAAAGTTGAGATCGGGAAACAGAATTCCTTAAATCCACCCATATCTCTTATCACCACCCTCACCCAATGTGTACCCATTAGAAAGCCTCTGGGTCCATGAACCCGTCTACAGGTCTCCACTTGACTTCACAATGCTCTATTTGGTTCTGATTCCAAAGACAACATAAAACTGGGAGCTTTGTTCTTCCCTCTACTGTAATGCAGCTGTTGTCTGTGTGACCTCTCATTATTAATAACAATATAAAATTTTTAGTGGCCCATTTCTTGGCACAGAAAAATGTATTGGAAAAAAACTACAAGCACAATGCCCTTATTTGGCTTCTTCAGGATCAAAACAGAAAAACCTATAGTTTGCACAAATCTGCCAATTACTATATTTTAATTACATTAATTTTTACTCCCCAGAGTCTTCTAACACCAAGTCCTACTCAGTAACAATATGGAAACTGACTCATTACAGTAAGCTGTCTCTTGAGTGCCTGTTTCTTTCAACCAACTGCATTTGCTCTGAAAGTACTGTGTTCCGCGTTGAAATTGCACATAATATAAAACTGAAATTGCACATAATATAAAAACAAGTTTGGTGGTGGTGTTGTTTGTGCTTGTTTTTAATGACATCATTGCACAGATGTTGATCATCGACATGTGAGAAGCCTTACCTACCATTTTCAAGATCTTGGCCATGGTGTCCTTTAGTGACATAAGTTCCCTAGGTTACAAGGATAATGAGGTAGAATGAGGGAAGGAAGAAAATAATTCTC
This sequence comes from Homo sapiens, assembly GCF_000001405.40. Classification (NCBI taxonomy): domain Eukaryota; kingdom Metazoa; phylum Chordata; class Mammalia; order Primates; family Hominidae; genus Homo; species Homo sapiens. The sequence goes on from NC_000007.14 coordinate 112,177,024, forward strand.
CTGCCAACCAACTTCTAATTCTAGTCATCACTTCCAAAAATCAAGCTCCAGAGCACAAAATCATAGCTAGAACAAGTAGTTGGGGAGAGACATTAGAAATCTATATGATCCTCGCAGAGTGGTGCCTGTCCCTACTGTTACAGACAGCAGCCTAGGCTGAGGTATTTGTTAAGAGTTAAATTGCAGGAATCAGACAGCCCTGGGCTCAAAGTCTGCTGTCACCCCTTACTATACCTGTGTGATCTTAGGCAAGTAACCTTTCTAAATCTTAGATAGCTCTTCCGAAATACATAGATGATAATGATAGCACCTATTTACCAAGGCTTTTGTGATGAGTGAAGAAGCTAATAATGCATTTAAAAGCACTTAGCCTGATACCTGGCAAACAGAACTGTTCGTTTAATGGTAGCTGTTGTTAAAATATCTTTATGGATTTGCAAACCAATGTAAATTTGCAACCCACCATGAAATAACAGTGCTAGGAAAAGAGCTGAACTGAAAATACATGGTTTCCTCACATCATTCCTCAAAACCAGTCACACACCAACATAGCCTGAGTTCCAATCCGACAGAGAAACTGCCTCAACTGTGATAAGCACATTTTTTGGTTTCTGATAGCTAATCACATGGAAATGACTGGTTTTGCACAACTACGAATTTCTGTAAATTCATAGTTGATATGTCAAATGCTATAGGAGACTACTGATTTTTTTTTAACAGAAATTTGAAATAAGCCCTTTTATAAGGTAAAAAAAAAGAGTCACCTTTTACAGGAAATCTGTATCTTTATCAACTCAGCATTAGGTTTGCTTAAAGGAAAGGACACCTGCTTTGCAGAAAGGCTGTTCTTCTTTATGCTCTATGGACACCATGGGAAATCCCATGGGCATGACTGGCCACGAGCTCTCATCTGCCTAGCACAGGCTACACACCTATACCTATCCCCTGGGACTTTCTTGATGACAGTACCATGGCTGTGGGACCATAATCAATCCAATAAACAAATTGTATTAAGTACCCAGCATCCAGATGTGGAAGAATCCCAAAATGCTTACTAACATCAGTATCACTCTCTCATTCCCTGAGACCTTTCTGAAGGTTGCTCCTGGTCTCATTTTCCTTCATCACAGTTACAGGTGAAATGCAATGTCCTGTGACAGCAGTGCATGCACTAAGAGAGTTGTCGTGTTCTTGCTTCAAGATTTAAGGACTTTGGCTGTATCACTCATTTTGTACTTCTGAAGTGCTGAAGTGAGGCTTACAGTATGCCTTTCTTCTTATTCAATTTTTAATGGTCTCAAGTCATTTTGTACTTTAAATGAATAAACTTTTGCCATAAGAGAGGTAAGGAGAAAAAAAGAGGAGTGGGGAGCTAAAAGAGGGTGGGGAGCTATGAGAGACCAAAAAAATCATCGGTAACAGCCCCTGCTCCAAAGACTTGCTTTGTCAAAGACTACACCTTTGTCTCGGCTTCCCATCCCTACAACCTAGCCAGGAAATACCCACCATGAAATAACAGTGCTAGGAAAAGAGCTGAACTGAAAATACATGGTTTCCTCACATTATTCCTCAAAACCAGTCAGACACCAACATAACCTGAGTTCCAATCTGACAGAGAAGCTGCCTCAACTGTGACGACAAGCACATTTTTTGGTTTCTGATAGCAGCTAGTCACATGGAAATGACTGGTTTTGCACACTTTTTAAAAAAGGGATCCAAAAAATAAAAATATTTTTTCTAAGCCTCATTCATCATATTTCCCTTCATTCCTCTCGTTCATCCTCTATTCGGAACTACCGATGAGCTCAGATACAGAATAAATGTGCACATGATGGAGGCTGCCAAATCAGAAGGTTTTGTACGTATCCTCATAGGCTAACCAAGCCATGAGAAATCAGGACAGTATCTATTACAAAGGTTTCCTGAAAGACAGCAACTTCAGATATAAAATGAACCTATGATGGGACACAGAATGAACATTTTAAAAAACTGTGTTTGAGCTTAGCCAATTCCTCAAAAGTTGTGATGAACTCAAAAAGTTACTTGAGATGCTTATTTATTTCACAGAAATAGAAATGGAGGCTGAACGCATTTGGCTCACACCTATAATCTCAGCACTTTAGAAGGCTGAGGCAGGAGGATCTCTTGAGACCAGGAGCTCGGGACCAGCCTGGGCAACATAGGGAGACCCCTGTCTCTACAAAAAATAAAAATTTTCCCGGTGTGGTGGCATATGCCTGTAATCCCAGCTACTCTGGGAACTGAGGTGGGAGGATCACTTGTGCCTGGGATGTCGAGGCTGCAGTGAGTGGTGATCATGTCACTGCACTCCAGCCTGGGAAACAGGGCCTGTACCTTAAAAAAAAAAAAGTGACCACAGGAAAAAATCTTCTAAGTGAACTCTCTAGTAGCATTGCCTTACAGAAAAATACAATGTTAACATATCATTATTTGTTACAGGAGTTTCAGCAAAGCACCCAGCACAAAAGGTGTTGTTTTTTTGTTTTTTTTTTTTAACCCAGCTACATGCACACAAAAACCCAGAAGTGAATTAAACATGCCTGGCGCTCAAAGAATCCCTTCAAGGAGAACACAGCTGCTTCAAAAGGAAGTTTTTCTAGAATCACTATGTGATTTTTCTGACACATAAGGTCACCTCAAAACCCTTCCTTTCACACCCTACAAAAACCCAGCTTAATTAGAAATATGGAAATAAAAATGGTAGTTATGCTGTCAAGATTTAGGAGATTAGTATAGATTTAAAACCCCTCAAAATCAGAAATACACAGTGAAACACACACCTCAAAGGTATGATGAATATTTAACTGGGGCTCGTATCACTTTAGCATAAGCACTTTTCCATTTTGACTTTTCATATTATGCCAACTTCTGACATGTTGTTAATAAACTGACAAGTTGTCAATCTAGTTTTAAAACGGGGTGGAGTGGGGGTGGGTGCACACACAGCATCAGTTTCTTATTCTGCCGGATACTAAGTCCAAAAGTCTAAAGTAGAACATAAATGGAAAACAAAATTCCAAAGTAAAAACTAAAAATTAATAGCTTCAAAGTCAACTACGGTTTAGCTGTCAGTACCATGTAGGCATAGTTCTTCATTCAGAAAACAGACCATAAAAGAGAAATGGCATTCACTAAGCATATGGTAGGGCAGAGGCAGAACCAGACAAGGAAGGAGGTAGCCCCCCTCAACCCAGAAACCCCCGGCAGATGCAAAACGACTCTGGAGAACCTTGCTCTCCCAAAGAGCCCAACAAGCATCAGAGGACCAAAGACTTCAGAAAAACAGAAGCACAGTGCTCCTTTACATGTAAAAATAACCTCTTCACTTCTGCAGACAACTTTTACCCCGACAGGTCCACACAGCACAACCTGCCATCTGCCAGGCAGATCAGGCTGCAATTCTCCTTTCCCAAGTTTGGAAGTAAGTGTGAGTTGGTCCTCTGCAGCCAAAGTACTCAGAAATGGAATCTGTGGGCATGGACTCAAAGGCACTGGCTTCTCCTTAGAAAATCACCTCAGAGAAGGGTGCCCATGATAAAAGCACAGCCTGAGAGTCACTTAAGGAGCTGTGTCCGTGCCATGACGACAGCATGAGCTCCCTGCCTGTAGATATATATATGTCTGAATGAGGCACTGTCCCGATGATGGCATCCTTCTTTTGAGTAGCTGGGGTCCCCACAGTGCCAACAGCACTTTGTGGCTGTGCACTGCTCCACCACCTTAGGGGCAGGGGTTGGCAAAGCAGGCTGCTTTAGGTATTAAAGGGCTGTAAGTAGACTCCCAATTCATAACTGCCTGCCCCTCTAGGAAGCATCCCCATGTTGGTGACACGGCAGTCATTTTCCTGAAGTTGGTAAAAATGGCTCATGATAGTTGCATTTTTAAGGCAAAAGTTTGGAAGACATTTCTTAATTAAAAGGGGAGGTAGTAGTTGCAGAATGGCTTGCACATAACTTTTCTTCTTGAGCAAGTGAGTATGAGCAAGATTGGATAAGCTAAAAATAACTTCAAATGTTGTTAATTTTGCTCATTTGGTATACTAACATCACTTTACAGACTTGTAAAATATTAGAGATAATATCCAATGTTGGCAAGAAAGAGTAAACAAGTATGTTGGTGGGAATATAAAATGATACAGCCTTTTGAGAAGATAATTTGCTATGATCTAGAAAAATATTTAGTATGCATCCCATTTGACCCAGAAATTCCACACTGAAGTCCATATTCTACAGAGATATGAACCCACGTGTAATTATATGATTGTATATATTTACATATAAGTGCAAAATATTTTGAGGTAGCATTGTTTGGAATAGCATGATACTGGGGCTGGGTCCAGAGGCTCACACCTATAATCCCAGCACTTTGGGAGGCTAAGGCAGGAGGATGGCTTGAGGCCAGCACAGTTCGGGACCAGACTGGGAAACATACTGAGACTCCATCTCTACAAAAAAATTTAAAAATTAGCCAGGGATAGTGGTTTGTGCCTGTAGGCTGAGGCAGGAGGACTGCTTGAGCCCAGGAGTTCCAGACTGCAGTGAGCCAAAATCGTGCCACTGCACTCCAGCCTGAGCAACAGAGTAAGACACTGTCTCAAAAAAAAAAAAAAAAAAAAGCTTGACACTGAAAACCAGAAGAGGAACTATTTAAATAAAGTATGATACGTTCCCACTGTGGAATAGTATGCAACTCTTAACAAGAAAGAGTAACAGGAAGCAGGATCACAGGATTGAAATGGATTGAACGGTACGTGCACTTGCATCTCACAGAATAAAGGAAAATCGTTTTCAGTGGACATATACAACCTCCTGAGGATTCTATGCTATTAAATCCGCAGGACAGCCTGGGCACCTGTACCCAAAGGGATCTGCCTCTAGGGTGAGAACTCCAGGCACTGGGGCACAGGGCCAGGAACCTCAACAATCACCATATCACTAATCTTTTTTACCTTTTGAATTTGATAGCAAATGCTGTCAAGTATAACATTTAAAACTGTGCATTCTAGAGTCACACCACCTGCCTTCAGATACTAGTTTTACATACTTGTCCAGGATGAACTTAGACAAGTTACCTGATCCTTATTCCTCAGTTTCTTGAGCTGAAAAATGCTATTAACACTGCCTACCCCATAGAGTTGTTGTGACACCTGTAAAGGACTTAGAATAGTGCCCGGCATGCAGAAGGAGTCAAATTTCAGTCTTATAGTTATTATTGTTTTCATATACAATTTTTCAAATCAATTTTGAAATACATTAATTTTTAAAAGACAGCTAGATTTATAATGTACTTATATGGAATGATCTCTCCATGATGTAATATTTTTTAAAAAAGCAAGCTACAGAACATAAATGATGTGATCACATTTTTAAAATTATACACACCAACGGAATAGGAAAGGATCTGAGAGGGGTGTTAGCATTGCATTGGCTAATGATCGATTTCAGGAAGAAGAGTGGGAGAAGGAGGCAAAGGAAGACCTCAGTTTCATATGCTACATTTTTCTATACTGTGTGAACTTTTAATCACAAGCATGTATTAATTGTGTGTGTGAGAGAGAAACACAATTAAGAGATTACAAAGGAGCAAAGCCTCTTGTCACTAAGGAAACTATAGGTCCAGAAAAATTAATAAATACCATCCCTTTCACTCACTGGACAGACAGAAGAAGCAGGTCAAACTGAAGTCAGCTTTATGGCCAATAAACTCTGCATGAAAGCACACGGCTAGGTGTGCAGGCATGTGCCTCACTATCAAGACCTAAACCACGAGACACAGAATACAATGAGAACACGATGGTGGCCTCTGGAGCTGTGCAACAGGGTGGCCACAGGACTGGACAATGCACTTGTTCAAATGTGCAAAAGGAACTGCCTGGGCCCCAGCACAGCTGGCTGGGCCCAGTGGAATTCTGGCTGGCTTCCAGCTGCCACTTGCTCCCTTCGTGCAGGACACAAACAGCATCACTGTACACAGGGCCCAGCTACACTCCCCTAGACTAAGTTTAGGTCATAAACATGTAGGCCTCCCACATTGCCACTAACCTTACAAATCAGAAGGCAGCCTCTCTACAGACGGAAGATGTCCATAGAAAGAAGGGAATGAGCAAGGCCAGCTCAGTCTCATCTTCCAAATTTACCAACCAATTGCCAATTGAGTAGAAAAGGGAAGGAGAGAAAGGGCAGAGAAAGGCCATAACTACCTCTTAATGGAAGGTCCTCCATTTGGGAATAGGAGGGGGAGAACTGTGAGCTCTTAACAAAGATACTATCAACAAAAGGCATTATCTAGAATTTTATAAAGCAGGACATCAATAAAACATGGAAACTGAAAGGGCAAAAGAAATTTCAAACAAAAGGTATTGATGAGAAAAGCATTCCAGGCTTTACTGATGGCCTGAAAACTATGTGACCTTGGCTTTCATGCCTTAGCTGAAAACAGTAAACACACTCACTGTCTTGTCACCTCACGGGATTATGTCTGCCAGGATTTAAACCTGGGTTTCTCAAAAAGGATGGCATGGGCATGTGGGGTAGGGCAGTTCTTCCTTCTGATGGTCATGTAGCATACCTAGTCTTGTCCAACAAATGCCAGGAGGGCTGTCCAATCACTCATTTATCAAAAGCAACACATTTCCAAACCCTGGGAGTGGGGGTGAGGGTTGGGTAGTTCAATCAGATTGAGAACCACTGATTTAACTTGGAGTGAGGCGATGTGTCAGCAACAGGTAGCAGTATTTCGATAGTGGTAACATTTATGGGAGTAATCCATGTGCGGTTTCCCAGCCACTCCTGCAAGCCTTTAGGCTTCCTTGCCTTTGCTTTTGCTGTTTCTTTATCCAGGAATACCCTCTCCTATTTCTTTCACCTAGTTAATTCCTACAGTACCTTCTCAACTCAATTCAGGTATCATCTTCTCCAGGATGCACGCACCTGCCCAGGTCTGAGGGCCCCTTCCTCTGTGCAGACTTTTATCACACCACCTTGCCTCTCCTAGGACCATTATCAGTGACCCTTTCTCTGACTTCTCCACACAGGTTTGAGTTCTTTGGAATTCACTCTTCATCTCTGTGCCCACAGCCCCTGCACGTGCCTAATGCACAGACCTGTATTTAACAGATGCATGAGTTTCTAAGCTTTGTGAGATCTGAAAACCTTCCACACTCCAACGTAGACCTAGTACCTACCACAATGCCTGGCACAAAGGAGGAACTCATACATCAGTGAAAACTGCACACACACAGCCACACAGGTGAACACCACTTGCTAATATAACTGGGCAGGGTCAGGTTTTCCCTAACGCACCCCTCTGTATGATCTGCAGGCACCTCTTGCAGATGCTGCTTTGGGCAACTTCTTCACAGTGCAGAGCTGTAGTCTCCACCCCGGCCTCACCCAGGGGCATTACAGTTTAGTCCTTTGGCTAACTCTAACTTCTCTGAGGTTTAATAGTGCATATTCTGCAACTTGTCATTCATTTTTCTTTTTTTTTCCTTTTGGAGCAAAAGGTACAAGCTACTAACCTCCTTTTGACTGCTTCCAAGCAGGATGGCACTGACTCTCCTCATAAAAACCCCGGCCCTTGGAGTCAGCTGGTGACTCCTTCCTGACAGAGAGTCTCTGTTCCTATGGTCACACGCCTTGGACACTGGTTCCCAGAAGTGTGAGCTAAGTCCTTCTCAGTGGGCTTGTGAAGCCTTTCTGCTCTTTCATTTTCTAGCAATAACACCTGTGTGACCCCTACAATCCCCCCCCCTTAGAGCTTGCAGAGGGTGTTGAGAGAAGAGATTATGGATGGTATCACAACCAACAATTTTAACTGCTCCTGACCTCCATGTGAAACTCAAGATCATCCACAGTAATTCCTCATGCTTGGAAAGCACTTTATAGTTTACATGGCTTCACAAAAATAATCTCACTTGATCATAATAATTGCATGGTAGATAAACAAGGCAAAGAGTATCATCCCTCTTTACAGAACAGGAAACTAAAGCTTAGGACCCTTCCCACACTTAAAAGAAAGAAACTGACATGGGCTATTTAAAAAATAAAGAATCTATAGGAAATCAATAATACTGAACTACAGAGCACCCGTTACACACAGCACTGGCAGTGTGGGGGCCACAGCTGGTCTTGGGAGTGCAGCATTGAAGTGCAGGCTGCATGCTGCTGTTCTCATCAGAAGCTGGTGACTGCCTGGCAGGAGCTCGTTTGATCCACTACTTGGTATGGACTATAAATTATGTGGAGGATGGTCACAGTTCTGCAGATGTGGAAAATAAGTACACAGAAGAATAAACTAAGTTCTTCAAACAAATAGCACTGGTCACTTAATTTGCTGTGTCTTAACTGTCTCATCATGAATACAGGAACAACTCTCTCTGTCTACCTTATAAGAGTTAAAAGGATCAAACAGGACAAGTAAGAAAGCATCCAAACAGGAAAAAGTGGAATAGGGTAGTATTCTACAAACAGGAAAGGGATGACTTAAGCATTCAAGTCTGATTCTGTTTATGAGGCCTGATGACTTCAAAAGGAAGTCAGAACATGGGTCACCCTCAGTTAAAAAAAAAAAAAGAAAAGAAAAAGTTCACTTGAAATAAAAGACACCTTCAATAGTCTGACCACAACATTTGAGTGACACAATGGTGTTATAATTAGCTCTCCCTTGTACTGCCACAGATCCATCTCTAAAGGACAGGCAGGTCTCTACTTAACGTGTTCCATTCTCACTACCTGCTCCTTCCCACACCAATGAATGCACAGTCTTAAACTGCCTTTCCTAAGCGGAATCCAGTCTTTTATAGATCAGCTGGCAACTACTGCCAGGTGGGAAGGTGCCTGCCATCACTGGCTGCAGCTGAGGGTAGGAGTCACTTTGGTGGAAGGACCACCACAGCTGCACACTTAGGGCTGACGGCTGAAGCCCCTGCCTTCTGGAAGCACACCATCCTTGGCTGAGTCTCAGACACTACCTTCTGATGAGTTCTGCAAGAGTGCTGGGCTAGGCCAGGGGGCAACTTCACTGGGACATCCTCGGGGGATCTCCATTGGAAGCAGACCGAGCAGAGGTTTCAAGATCACAGGCTGCCCAAACTTTAGCCCTGGCTCTGCACCAACAACCACCTTGCACCCCTGCATCCCAGTGGGGTTGCTTGGTTTCAGGGAACCTGTGCTTCAATATTTACTATGAATTTTGTCAGTTGCTTAGCTTTATGGTAACAGACACCCCTTATTCCCATACCACCACCCCAAACAAAACAAAGAGTAATGAAGACATGACTGGGAAGACACTACAACATACTGACTAAGAAACCAGGCTTCAGAATCTGAAACCAAATCAGAGTTCCACAACTCAATTTCCTTGTGATCCTGGACAGGTTCTAGAACATTTCTGTTCCTAAATTTCTCACTAGTAAAAAGGTGGATAAGAATAGTACTCACATCATGTAGTTGTCATGAGCACGGAATGAAATGATGCATGTATGACCTTGGCATAGGGCCTGACACCTAGTAAGAGTTCAGTAAAGGTTTACTATTATTATAAAACAAGGTACTGCTTATAGTAGTCTGTATCATCACAAAATATGGTAGCATTAACAATTTGAAATCAAATTAACATTAGTACTGAGGCAGAAATGGAAATTAAAGAATCTTCTCATTGTCCTTACTAAGACACCCACAGAGAAACCACTGCATTTGGACCTAATATTCACCAGGTATGCCACATAATTTTCCTATGGGGAAACATTAAAACAAAACATGTCAGTTCTCCTTTAGAGTACTATAAGAACTCTATTTGGAGGGTAACAAAATTTCAGGGACATATAAAAGAAGTTGCTTATTTATTAGACAAACAAAAGTCACCCAGCAAATATGCCATGGCTATTAAAAATAGATTGTCCAGGGAGGAAGAATAAACCACTAATTAAACACTTTTGTTTCTCTTTTTTTTTAAGCCATTAATACTGATACCTAGAGAGAAAAATAAAAACCAGAAATACTTTCAAAAGCCAAGCATGATAGACTAGCATTTATCAGTTACCTTTTTATTTTCAATCCTCAAGAAATGCAATCGCCCAAATAAATTTTAAGTATACCAAAACACTAAGAAATTACAAAACTCAATAGCAAAATAACTCACGTGTTACAACCATAATTACTTCTATAACTAGAAAATTATTATCCTCATAGGAAATCCTGGCAAATTGCTGAAAACATTTCTCTTCTGAGTTAATCTAGGAGGGAAAAAAAATAAAACTTCAGAGTCCAGTCACTTTGAAGTCCTTATGCCCAAAAAGACATTATCTCCATCAATTGTCTACATGCGAATAATTTCAAATGTCTTTGTCTGTGCAACAGCCACATTTCCTTCTCTTATGATGTTTTTCTTCTCTCCCTATCCCATTTTCATTTTCACAGCTGTTTCTGGAGAATAAAAATGAAGGAACACTTTCTTGCTCTGCCTCTCCATGCTCCACTTTTTACAAGTCTTTGTCTGATTTACTACAGAGAACTATAACCAAACCCAAAAAAGAAATGGCAAGCGAAAGTAGGAGAGAAGAGTGTGCTTTTGCGCTCAGAAGCCACCACTTCTCAGGTGGAAAATAAGAATGTCATGCCATGATGACATTCTGCCTTGTGTCACAATGATTAATAGTCATAATTTTTTCCAATTAGTGGAGTAAATGCAACCAGTCGATGGAATCTGACCAATTTTGCACAGTATGGTCAGTGAGTGCTATAATTTGGATGTAGAATGAGATCTAAAATGATTATTTTCCATTTGACAGCTAAGTGCAATATTATATTTTCATCCCTTTTTTTCACAACTGAAAAAGAAAAGAAGACTTTCAGAAAAAATAAGTTATTTCCAAATATGACCCCTTTAACCAATGTTTTCTTTGAATTGGTACCATGTGACTCAAAAATTGAATATAGGGTTTAGTTAATTTATTTAAATAACTTAATAGCTCTGGCAATTCCCTGTTAAGGACAGAAAGACTTAGGGAAGTAGAGTGGTTTTATACAATATTTATCAAATACTTACCAAAATTAACAGAACCAAGTACTATAGGGAATTGCCCAAGGGCTTCAAGATAACACATAATGCTGCAAACATAGTATACTGTCTGGTAGAAGAGACCAGCACAAACAGTAAATATCTCATACACTTCACCTTCAGTTACTTGAACACAAACCAAAACATTTCAGATACAGAATACTTCAGACAGTTCCAATGACATCTAGTCAGAGTGCCCAAGAGACTCTCGAACTTACAATGAATTCTATAATTTCAAGGTAACTTGGAAATCACCTCATCAAACTATCCTTTCACAGCTGAGGCCCTAAGAAGATAAATGCTTTGCCTGAGTTCATACAGTTGTGAAAGAACCAAAATTAGAATCCTGGCCTCTTTCATAAGATAAACTGGAGTTAACCCTTTCAACTAGGTACTTTAGAATGATGATATCAAACAAATGTTTTTCAGATATGAAGAGCTTTATTACATCAGTGGTGCAAACTGTGCTGCATGGCATACGTGTCTGGAACACGCAATAATTCCATGACAATTCATACCCCCCAACCCAGAAGATTTCCCTACCACCACTTAAAGTAGAAGCATGTCAGCTCATTAGGAAAATCTAGGTAGTAACTTCAAACCTTGTTGTAACAGAATTTACATGCAATACTCCAGCCTCATTTTAAGTCAGTGGTTTTCAAACCTTGGTTTTCACAGTAAAGGGTGTTGTTGTTGTTCAAATAAATGCTCATATACACCCTCATCATATAAAAGCAGCATTTTATCCTACTAAACTTATTTTATCTTTCTGAATTTATATTTTCTCAGTATCAAGTCAGTAAGAACAATGACGAGGGTTCCTGGTAGCCCATGTCACACCACTGCAAATGAGAAAGAGGGTATCCTTCTTCCCAGCTGAGACATCCCAAAATCCAGCCACCATATGCAGAGCATACCATACAAGTGTGTGACAGATCACTGCCAACACAATGTTCTAGTGAATAAGCCTATTCTAATGAAAACAAAAATTTGGAATGGGAAGCTATAAATAACAATTGTAGTCTATTTCTTCAGCATGCCATATATTTCTATATTTTGTGTTGGTTATGCTGTGGAGTGAAAATGCTGTTTCTCACCAATGGCTAATTGCATATTTGGTAGGAGTTTTGTTTCTGTCTTTTGATAACAGCTTGCCTTGCTATCTCAAGATACTCTTATTCTGGAAAAAAAAAAAACTGTGGTGGGAAATTTTTGTTACAAAATGCAATCACTAAAAGGTTGGAAAAGCACCCCAAACTTGCAGGAAGCAGTAAAAATGCCTAAGATCCAGTACTGACCGAAGATTTTCTACAACTGACCATTACATGGTGGCCAGAGGATATGACAAGCAGATGTATCTGAGTATCTTCTGGCATTTAAACGGAGTCTAGCAGTCACATGGTGTTGTAAAGACTTCAGGTGTAAATACCCTATTAAAAATTTATACCTACACACACTGACTCAAATAACATGTACATTTTCACTATATGTTACAATTTATTATGTAGCAAATGTTATACTAAGAGCAGAGGATACAATAAAAATAATACAGTCCTATCTTCACTGAAATTCAGCGGTTGGTGGTAGGTTTCTTCATGACATAGCAGCCTAGCCTTCTTGTTTTTATTCTCTGTCTGGGTTTTGTTTTTTTTTTTTTTTTTTTTTGAGATAGGGTCTCTATATTGCCCAGACTGGTCTCAAACTCCTGGGCGCAAGCAATCCACCCGCTTCAGCCTCTCAAAGTGCTGGGATTACGGGCATGAGTCACCACACCCGGCTTTCTGGGTTTTTTCAATGGCAATTTTACATAGTCACAGGACAAACAGAACCACAATGTATGTTTCAGATTTTATGTAACTAATTTCATATACTTTTGACAAATTCTATCACTTCTCTCACAAACACTTGTTTTCCTCTGTGGATGTCGGGGGGTTGCCAGGCCCCAGTCAGGATACCCTCATCCACTCAACAAAGCCTGGATTATACATCCTGGACAACCTTGTATATAAATGTAACAAATAACTACAACACGCTGAGCTTTGGGCTTTCTCCCTCATCCAAGGAACCCATTCATTCATTGATTCAACACTTACTGAACTTACTACAGGTTAGCTCTGTGTTACCCTCTAGAGAAATCAAAGCTGAACCACACAGCATCTCTGGCCTCAAGGGCTTCCCTACACTGTAGCAAAGTCGGACAGTTTCAAAACAGCAGCAGCAAAGGCCCTGAGAGAGGCAGCTGCAGGGCACAGAGCAGGAACAGAGGTAGAGCAGTACTCTACCAGGAGGAGTAGAAAGAGACAGACACTCTCAAAGAACAGACATTGCAGTTAGGTTTTCCAGGTAAAGAAGCAGGAGGTGGATGGTCAGCCCAGGAAGCATTTCAGCAGTTGCAGAGGCAACAGTCCTCAAGTAGCCTGGCATCTCTGAGGAGCCAGTGGTTCCATAGGATGGAGGACAGCGTATGAGAGAAAGAATTGCCCAGCACGGGATGAGATTGCAGACAGGGGCCGATTTAGGAGGGAACTTGTGTACCATAAAATGACTTTGAACTCTATCCTGACTGCAAAAACAAAAAAAAAAAATTAAAGATTTTGTTTTTTACAAGTGAACTACATCAACAAATTTGCTTTATGAAAAAGGTCACTTGTGGCTTAAGTCCAAAGCATGTACTAGAGAAAGGAGAATGCAGAAAAGGAGAAAGATTAGAAGACTACAGCAGTAATTCAGACCAAAGAGGTACCTATTAAGCACACCAAGGAGCATACCAACTCCTTGGACAGGTAGGACAGGGCTTCTCTGAGCATAGATGAAGCAGAATGTGAAGCCCCAGGTCCCAGCAGAGCAAGGGCTTCCAGTATCAGAACCACAAGCCTCAGAGCTCAGGGTTTCTCTTGCTCCTCCAATGAATGGGAATCCTCCCTTTTTTCTAGCCCCCTACCTTCTAGGCATCCCTGTTACTGCAGGTTTCTTGTTTTGTTTAGTTTATTTGTTTGAGGCAGGGCCTCATTATGTTGCCCAGGCTAGAGTGCAGTAGCTAGTCACAGGTGGGATCACAGCTCACTGCAGCCTCAAACTCCAGGGCTCAAGCAACCCTCCTGCCTCCGCCTCCCAAGTAGCTGGGACAAGTGTGAGCCATCACGCCAGCCATGAATTTTATTTTCACTCCAGGGTTCCTCCCTGCTTCTGGTCCATCCTCACTCAAAGACGCACACATTTATTCCCTTCACGTCACTCAGCACTGTTTGGTCCTTGGCTCCCATTTCCCTATTTCTCCCCACCCCTCTAGTACCCATCCCCATCTCCTGAGGCACCTAGTGGCTCCTCTGTCACCACTGTGCCCCACACCCCCACCCACCAGCAGTCAGCATACTGACTGACCATCACTACCACAGACCAATGCTAGAGTAAAAAGACAACGTGGGGACTTATTTCACATAATACTGGTATTAACACTAGTATCTTATTTAAAAAATAAAGTATAGTGAGCAATTTCTTCAGCACTGCCCATAGAACCCCAAAGCCTGGGGCTGTGCCTCCAGATTCTGGCCCTAAGTCGTATGTACAAAGGTGTGATACCATGAAGGGACCACATGCTTCAGGCTGGGACAGATGAGTGCCTGAATCTCAGCCCTTCACAGGTGGGTCCCCTGCAACAAATTACTGGCCCTCTCTAGGTCTGCTGTAAGGCTGGAGTATGTGCACAGGGCCAATCACACAGGCCCAGCCCTTGGTAAGCATTCATCCTAAAGCTGGGTTTTCCTCTGCCTGCCCACTCTTATTTTTCTGTAATTTAAATATGGATATGTTTAAATTATATACTATATAACATTACATACTATATATACTTATATAATATATATTATAATTATATATAAGTATACTTAAATATTATATATTATATAGTATATAACTTAAACATAGTATAATTTAAATATAGTATATATACAGTGTTTGTGCTTGTGTGTGTGTATATATATAGTGTGCATTTATATATAATTATATACTATAGTTTCTATTTATCCTTCCCAAAATCTCTTGAAGGAGAAGAATCGATCCTAAATCCATCTTTCTTCCTCTGCCCAGTCTTAGAAGGAATCACACACAAAAAAAGATAAACCATTTTCCAAGATACTTAACATCGGTCAGGTGACAGGAATAAGAGGGGACAAGGGGGAGGGGAGGGGGAGGAGGTGGAAATTACCCAAAAGGAAGAGGAAGAAGGTTTTCCAGATATTTAAAATGTGATTCCACTCAGCTGTTTATCTTGGGCGATCTTAGCAGCCGGTGACTCACTCCTATGGGAAGTATCTCAATATGAAACTTCTATTCTTTTGTAGAAGTTCTGAGTCTTCCAGGATATGAGACACTCTTTCCTCCTCAGGGCTGTTTCTTCAGGTGCACAAGTGAATAATATCATCACCATCCCAAGTCCTTATCTTCATTTTAAAGCTTGAAGGGGAAATATCTGTCTTAACTTTCACACTGATTTATCTGTGATACTTTATGTACTCCCTTACTGTGTATTTAAAAACAAAATCAGGGTAACATCTATCTTGAAGAAATGTTGTTCAAAGTAAATGAGATAAAACTATGAAACATTTCTAGCTCCTTCACTTGTCCAGTCATCCAGTTCTATATCTCTTTGGATGCTTATCAAGCTAGCATATTGCCTTATACATCATAGGCATATACCATAAATAATCATCCAACAGAAGTTTTTCTACCAACATGTCGTAAAATATGCCCTTATGCTTGTCACTAAGAAAAAAAAATGCAACAAGTAAATCTTTAGAGGAAGGTACTAGCTACTCTCAGGAAACACATACTTAAGGATAGTAGAAAAAGAAAAGAAATTCCTCCAAATATTGCTTCATTCTCTTCAGGGACCTGATATTCAACAGCCAGGACTTTCAAAAACAAAGTACTCCTAACCCAATGCCCCAACCAAAGTTTCATATAATAAAACTTCCATCTACTTTTTAAAAATGCTAACCTATATGATTAAACCTGTCACCCTAGGTTTTTATAAAAAACTGTAGCAAAAAGAAATGAAGCATCTGAAGACTCTACCTCTTTTGGTTGCTTTGAAGGCACCCAAAGTGATGTGACAACTCAAGACAATGTGAGCAACTTTGCAAAAATGCCATTATTCAAATAAACAGATACCTGGAGTTACTAGTCGATATCTACCATCAAAAAATCTAACTCAAATGGGTGCAGTCGTTTATACTTGTAATCCTAGCACTTTGAGAGGCTAAGGCAGGAGGATCACTTGAGCCCAGGAGTTCAAGACCAGCCTGAGCAAAATAGTGAGACCCTGTTTCTACAAAAAATGAAAATAAAAATAGCCAGGTGTGGTGGTGCATGCCTATAGTCCCAACTACTGAGAAGGCTGAGGCAGGAGGATCACTTCAGCCTGAGAGATCAAGGCTGCAGTGAGCCATGATCACACCACTGCATTCCAGCCTGAGCGACAGAGCCAGACCATGCCTTAAAAAAAAAAAAAAAAAATTCTAGCTCAATTAAGTCTGTGCCTCCAGAGGTGGGCCTGCAGAGTCAGATCTCAAATCACAGAGAGAGCCAACACTAACTACATTGATTACACTGAGGTTGAGGATCCTGCTTCTACTTTTTTTATATCCCTCTTCCTACAATCCCTAAAATGTCTTTAACCCTTCTGCTTGGGCTGCCATATAAAGTACCACAGGCTCGGTGTTCTAAAGCATGGAAGTCCCAAATCAAGGTTTGGCAGGACTAGTTCCTGGTGAGGACTCTCTTCCTGGCTTGCAGACTGCCACCTTCTTGCTGCACCCTCACATGGCCCTTTCTCATGCTACCTATGAAGAGAGCATGTGAGCTCTCCAGGATCTCTTCTTATAAAGACACAAATCCTGTCAGATCAGGGCCCCACCCTTATGACCTCATTTAATCTTAGTAACCTCCTTACTCCATATATATCCATATTGGGAGTTAGGGCTTCAACATATGAATTTTGAAGGAATACAAACATTCAGTTTATAGCACCCATAAATAAGCAATTATTCCTATTATTCTGTAATTGCTAAATAAAACCTCTTCAAATTGTTGACTCTCTATGTTGAAAGGTCTGTCCTGCACAAATTATCCCTGGGTCCATAGTCCAACAGGACAGAGTTTATAGAACAAAGGAAAAGTGAGCAGTGACACCAACATCAGTCTTCTAAGCAAACATTTCATGGAGAGAGCAGAATTTTTACCTTAGGTGAATTCATCTGAAGCTGTTTCAACAAATTAAAAGAGCAATTAGAGCTCCCTTTCAAAGGCTTAGACCCCACAGCTATATGAAAACACATCTTCACTGTGGATACTGGAAAATGAACACAGCAGTGACATCACAGGCAGTCAAACTCATATAACAAGGAAAGCTACTTTAAAATTTTGAAACACAGTACTTTCTGCACATAAATGACAAACTAAATTCAGGCTGTCCAGACTCAACTTCTACCAGTCCAACCTCTAATCCTGAAAGGAAACCTCACAAAGGAAATAATGTTTGGCTTATAGAAGAACTTACATAATGATTTTCTGATTATAAAAGAAATGTATGCTAATTTAAGAAATTACTAGAAAGTATGAAATTAAAAATAAGCCATCTCCTCAATTAT
This sequence comes from Homo sapiens, assembly GCF_000001405.40. Taxonomy (NCBI): domain Eukaryota; kingdom Metazoa; phylum Chordata; class Mammalia; order Primates; family Hominidae; genus Homo; species Homo sapiens. Next base: position 112,194,750 of record NC_000007.14, read on the forward strand.
AATAATTGGTTGTAAGAACATTACAGGTAATGTGTATGCCAATTCTTCACCTCTGATAAGTATTTTCCCATTTTAAAACTCATTACAATAATTTCTACATAGTGTATACATGATATTGCCTAACCTGGGGCAAAGAACATAAATATTTAGTCTTCTGAATCAATTTCTATAACTATGGATGAGAGTATTAATGGAGATTTTACATACAATTAATACAAATATAGTTCTCCTAAAAAAACAAACTGGAGGCTGGGCGCAGTGGCTCACGCATGTAATTCCATCCCTTTGGGAGGCCAAGGTGGGCAGATCACCTGAGGTCAGGAGTTCGAGACCAGCCTGGTCAACATGGTGAAACCCCATCTCTACTAAAAATACAAAACTTTGCTGGGCACAGTGGTGGGCACCTATAATCCCAGCTACTCGGGAGGCTGAGACAGGAGAATCACCTGAACCTGGGAAGCAGAGGTTGTAGTGAGCCAAAATTGTGCCACTGCACTCCAGCCTGGGCAACAGAATGAGACTCCATCTCAAAAAATAAACAAACTAGCAAACAAACTGGAGAAGGGGCAAACCTTTACTATGTGTGCAATTTTTTAGGAATCCTCAGATCTTAATGTTTTTCATCCAGACTACTGGAGAAAACCTCAGAGGTTTCTTCTCTCTTCATTCTTTATAGAACTGCCTGTTGATGTTTTGGGTTTTCGTATTTCTTTGAGACCCTGGCTAACCCCTGAGCCTGTTATCAAGGCAGCTTTACAAGCTCCTCAACCAACTTTGGCTACCAGAGGAGAATGGAGAACAGGTTCTCTCCTCTCCCCACAAAGTGAATAATGTTTCATCCAGGATCTCGGTTGGGGCTATTTTCGGTTGCCTTATGTACATGCATCCCCACGTTCCCAAACCTGCCTACTTCTGGTTGCCAACAACGGATGAGATTATTCCATTTTGGAGAAAAAAAAAAATAAGACATAGAACCAAATCTCCACGTTTCTGCTTAAAGACTTCAGGGAGAAATTTTTGGTTAATGTCCAATTGATAGTCTAATAAACAGCAAATTTCTTGGTTTAGGAAAATGTTTCACAACTTGGGAGATAAGTTGTTAGCAAATTCAACCAGGAAAACTTACAAATTTCATATCCAGAAGGGTTCTCACCAACCACCCTCCCACGAGGGGGCACAAATGGGGGAGGAGAACAAATACACATGTGTTAGTAGTTTCCAAAAGCCTCCCATGTAAATGTCATGCTCTCCCCTCTTCCTCACTCTCCCGTTTTCTTGAGAAACAGCCATGTTTTCGTTCATTGCTAAGTGACAGATGCCTGTCCAGATTTAGTTGCCTTCCCGCTTCCATAGAGATGCAAATGTGATCACTGATTAAGGCAACCTGGATCTCGAACCTCTCTACAACGCGAAGGACTGAGCTAAAAATAAAGGTATGGGTTCAATTCCACTTTCAGATCTGCGTTCAAGGCTAGTTGATGTGTACAGCTCCAAGCCAGGTTCCCAGTTGTAAGTTATTATATACCATGTACCACGGTTTTAGGGCAATTCAGATGAAATCATCTCTTATCCCCCTACCTCCTTCTCTGTCACCAATACCCTGCCAGAAAAACTACACTATCCAGTAAGCTTTGTTATTGCAATACTTTCAAAGCAACTACAAAATCACTGTCCTTATGAAGACCACAGTACACTTCTCAATGGTGAAGTGGCATCTTCTATAGACCCCTTTCCACCCACCTACCCACCTTCCTGTCCTGCTCGTTTCTGAGAGTGGTCATCTCTCAACAGAATTAAAAAGATGGGGTGAAAAGAGAAGGATTACAGATGCTTCCGGCAGTAAATGGCGTGCTCCAAGTTGGATGTATTGACCTGGTCTCTAAGCTGGTGACAGAGAGTGGGGAAGGGGCAATGGGTCTTCCTGTCATCTTTCCAGTCATTGAGGCCTCTCTGTTTAATAAGGGAAAGCCAAAAGAAGCCACCAATAGGTTTTTTTCTCTTTTTAATCCAGCTTTATTGAGGTATTGTTAACTAATACAAATTGTATATATTTAAGTTGTACAAACTGATGTTGATATCACCTTAAATATACACACATACATTGTGAAATGATTACCACAATCAAACTAATTAACTATCTAGCACCTCACACAGTTCCCTTTTTTTCCTGTAGTGAGAATACTTAAATCTATTCTCTTAGCAAATTTCAAGTATACATTATTGTTAACTATAATCACCACGCCGTACCACTGAAAACCAAGAAAACATTGGTTTTCTTCAACCAGTTCCACCTGCCTTAGGGAAATTTCACGTGAATTTTGCCAACAGACGTTCTGTCAGACTTAGTTTTCAGTATTATTAATGTTTGCCTCTTTCTGTGAATTTATTGTTATTTCACTGATTAGTTAGGAGAGCCTACATGAGGGGAAGGGAACCTAGTGCCATCATAAGCTAGAATTCCTTCCTTTAAGTCACTTATTTTTCAGGAGTGCCATAGTATAACTTTAAGAATTCTTGTGGTTCCTAAGAGGTATTATATATTTACCAAAAAAAAAAAAAACTGTATGTACAAATCTATTGCTTTATATATTGAAGCATTTTTCCATTTTTAGATGGGTGCGTGTTCTTAAATGCTGTTTCAGGGATGTATAAATCTTGTTCATTGAAATATTATTCGTGCACTCTGTTTTTCAACATCCTTACTGGGAAATCTCACAAACGTGCACAATCTGGCATGAAATATTTGTTTGGGAGAAGACTGTCACAGACATAGAAATAACTAATGCCTTAGCTAGGCAACGCCCTAGAGGGAAGCAAGAAAAGACTGTAAAATGTAGTTTACGACCAACTCTAAATGGACAGCTAATATTTCTTACTTGAGAATCCTTTGTACCCATATTAATAAAATGCCTCGAGATGACTGCTGTTTGAAATTTGGGGTCTGTCATGTTAAAACTTAGAATGAACAGGCAGACTATACATAATCAAAGTCAAAGCAATTAGCGAAGTCTCATTTAGACTCATTACTTCAGCCTTCACTCCTAAGCCAAATAATCTTTAATCACACTCTTCAGCACAGAACTTCTCTTTTTTGGTGCAGACTCACTTTCTACTAGACCTCATCACCTGAATGTTTTGCAGGTATCTCAAAAATTGCAGGTATCTCAAACTCAAGGTGGCCAAACAAAAATCTTCATCTTACATAAGCCTGACCTGCCTAGAAAAAAAAAAAAAAAAAAAAAGTTGGTTCTTTTGTTGAATGGCACCTGTATTCATCCAGGCACCCAAGCCAAAAACAGGAAGACATCTGCTATAAATCACGTTTATATGCCCCCAAAATTCACATATTGAAACTGTAATCCTCAATGTGATGGTATTTGGAGATGGGGGACTTGGGGAGGTAATTAGGCCATGAGGGGGAGCCTTCATGATGGGATTCGTGACCTTATAAGAAGAGATGAGAGAAAGCTTGCTTCCTTTCCTCCCCATGACCCCTTCCCCCTACCCACGTGAAGATACAGCAAGAAGATGTCCACCTGCAAACCAGGAAGAAGGCCCTCACCAGGAACTGACTCAGCCAACACCTTGATCTTGGACTTCCTAGCCTGCGGAACTGTGAGAAACAAATTTCTTTTGTTTAAACTATCCAGTCTATATTTGTTATAGTATCCTGAGCTAAGACAACATCCTAAACTCCTTCCTTACTTTAACTCCTCATATCTGATGACCAAACCTGTTGCTTTCATTTCCTAAATATCTCTCAGATCTATCCACACTTCACCATGACAATGACTGCTAACCTGATTCATGGACTTATCTCTCACCTCAGTTACTGCAGTGCCTCTCTTTACTCATTTTTATGCCACCTCTTCCTTCATAAATAACAATGTGTAATTTAAAATTCAATACTGCTCATATTTCCAAACAGATTTTTTAAAAAAGAACTTACTGATAATCTATATATTCTAACAAAAAAATTGTTCTCATCTGTGCATCGACTGCCTCTTCTCTATAGGCTACACATTTTATGTAGCTCTAATCATAGTCTATATTTACTCTTCTTTTGTCATTTAACACTAGATACCTGGAATATATTTTTGAAATAGTGTTGTTTATGAAAATATTTCATTTCATGATTGTCTGATGCTCCAACGTGCTCATAACCAAAACTGATTTAACGACTACATGGTCATGTAAGTTGTTTCACAGACAACACGGCAAGGGACAACTCTGTGCATAAAGTGTTTTGTTGCTATTGATTTATTTTGTCACATAAACTTTAAGGGGTGGGATTACTGATTCAAACTTCTGCTAACCACTGTCATACTAGGTAACATGGCGTAATGGCTAAGAGAACAGTTTCTATGCAAGACAATTTAGGTTCCAATCCTAGCTCCACCATTTACAGTATGACCTTAAATAAGTTACTTAATCCCTGTATGACTCAATTTCCTGTGAAATATGAGTGATAACTGAATCCTCCTTCATGAGGTATCATGAAGATTAAATGACAATATAAGACAAGCTCTTAGAACTGTGCTTGACATGTAGCAAGTGCTCCACAAATGCTATTTTATATTGCAGTTTCCAATAAAAGTTATATAAAAGTTTCCAAAAGGATCATGATTACCATACATTCCTCAGGGTACTGCATATCAGTTTTACTGCAGTTACGTTACCAAAGGCATTCCACTTTTTTGATGATTTTTATTTACTTAGTAGTTACCCAATGTCATCTTGGCACAATTTTTTTTAAATGCCAGAGAGTCCAAGAGTTGTTCCTGAAGTAAGTTTAAGTTGCTTAAATGAAGCTAGGCTTGGGGAACTTTAATTCCTTATTTTTTTGTCTTATATACTCTAGCCAAATAAGCATATAGTTCACTTTTTTAATAAAACAAGTTATACAAGTTGCCTTGTCTTTCTAATAATGATCAGCAACATAAAAAAAGGTACAAAAGAATAGTGAGTGGTAAACCTACAACTGGCAAAGTACCTCAGTAAACCATTATCTTTACTCTTCTGTTATAGTGACCAGAGAGTGTTGTCAAAGGACATGATACAGAAGAGTCTAATATTGGTCATTATGTAATCCTTGTCAAAAAGGTCCTGGTAGGAAGACATACAAGTACTAAAAGAGAAAACTTACGCAATGCATGTGATGGCTTTAAATATTTGTTCCATCTTTAATAAGAAATACTACAGAAGACAGACTTTGACTTAGACTGAAGGAAAAAAGGATAATTAAATTCTTTGTTAAAATAAACCCACATATCTGACTATCAAAGACAATAACCACCACCACCATCAACTCCTTGCCAATGTCATGAAAGGAACTTCACAGAAACCCAGTAAGATGTGAGTTGCAGTCCTTCTGGTATCACAAATGTAGCATTTAAAGCAGTGTTTTTCAAACTGTGGGTCAGGACCCATTAACAAGTCAATTTAGTGACAAGTATTTTTTTTAACAAAAAAGAATAGAACATTACATAGAGTATAAGCAAGTGCTGTTTTAATTATATGTGTGTGGGGTGGTACTGGGGGATATTTATATATATACTAGGTCAGGAAATTAACTATATTTCTTATGGGTAATAGTCAAACAAGATTAAAAGCTACTAATCTAGAGTAAGTCACTTAAACTCTATGAAACTGTTTTCTCATCTCTTAAATAGAAATTACCATTCAACTTCAAAGGGTAGACTCAGATAAAATAATTTCACTTTTTAAGTAAAACATTGTATTACTGTGTTACGGTTACAGCCTTTTAGAAGGGTTTCATTAGAGTTTAATGTTCCTCTGATGTATATATTCACAGCATGAAGTCACTGTGATAGAAACATAGACATATTGTATCAAACATAACTCAGAAAATGTTGTCTCCTTTTGGAAAAGAATAGAGCTAGAGATAGGAAATCCTAAATTTCTTGAAATTTGTATAATCTCCCTCGTACTAGCTACCATAACAGCCTCTAAAATAAAAAAAAAAAAACAAAAAAAAACAAGATCATAGAGGAAGAGCAGCATCTCTATGTGGCTTCAGGGGCCTTGTGAAGAACTGTCACTTAGGGGAATGACCAAAAGAGGGGAACATTTTTATAGACCATTCCCATAGGAGGCCAGATCAAGAACATAAGCTGCTATCCCACTGTCTGTATGGCCCTTCGGTGGTATTTTACTGGGAGGTATAAATCATTTCTCTTCTATTCCCACTTAAAGTTTAGAATCCTGTGTCAGGCTCTAAATGTCACAAACAATTCCAAGCAGAACATTATTATTTAGCTTTACATGCTATGTAGATACATCATAGGACCACTAATAGAAAACACTTTAAGAAACTGTTAGCTAAGAAACTACAAAAAACTAAGAGTAAAGGAAACACATCCTTATTACGCTCTATCACACACATACGCTATGATTAAAGCATCTTTCTAAGGAGAAAGACACCTAACTATCCTGTATGAATACGAGAAGGTGCATCTTCTTCCACCAACATAGAAGGGGCTTTAAAAAGGAACATGATTCCTACCCAGATGAGTTCAAAAACTCCTTCAAGAAAAATAGAATACAGGAATTTATGTGATGACTGAGTGATACTCGCACCACACAATTTATTTTTTAAATGACACTGTGACTTCAGATCAGCTTGTTCTGAGTTTTGTTTCTTATAAGGTTCATGGATTTTCTGCACCGATCAATCCAGCCCGTGTTCTCCTGTCAAGCTTAACTAAGCTCACACATGTAAAACATCTGGCTAGGTTTGAGGGGTGCAGCCTTCAGCTCAGGAAGATGCCATGACTCATCTGTGAATCTGTGCATAAAAGCCTGTTGGACAAATGAACGCAAAAACAATCTGCAAAGGTCTTAGCTTTCTCCATGAATAATTCCCACCACTTTAAGGCGGGGTGGGGAGGGGGGAGGAATGGGGGGGTGTGCTAACAGATGAGGACATGCAGGAGGTAGAGGTAATCTGAGGAAATTGGTGAGTATGCGATCAAGAATGCTTTAGTCACCATTCTGTGCGATAGATCACTAAAGCATGTTCCCCCTGTCTCACCAAAACTTTGTACACTTTGATCATCATCTCCACTTTCCCCAACCACCCTCTTCCCCCAGACTCTGGCAACCATCACTTTAATCTCTATATTTATGAAGTAAACTTCTTTAGATTGCACATGTAAGCAAGATCATGCAGTACTTATCTTTCTGTGCCAGACTTACACTTACTTCATTTACTATAATACCCTCCACATTACTGAAAATGACAGGATTTTCCCCTTTTTCAAGACTATATAATATTCCATTGTGTATAGATACTACATTCTCTTTACCCATTCATCTGATGATGGACACTTAGGTTGCTTTCATATCTCAGACATTTTGAGAACTGCTTCAATGAACATGGGATAGCAGATATTTCTTCAGCATACTGATTTCAATTCCTGTGAATATATACCAAGCAGTGGAATTGTTGGATCATATGGTAATTCTATTTTTAGTTCATTGAAGGTCCTCCATGCTGTTTTACATAACAGCTGTATTAATTTACATTCCCACTAACATGTGCACAGCGTTCCCTTTTCTCTGCACTCTCACCAATACTTGTTACCTTTCATTGTTTTTATACAGCCATTCTAACAGATGGGAGGTGATATCCACAGAATGGAGATACAATAAATAACAATGCATTGTATACTTCAAAAGTGCTAGAATGGATTTTAAATGTTTTTTACACCACAAAAATGGTAATTATATGAGGTGTAATTTGTTAATAGCCTGATTAATCACTCCAACTGTAAACGTACATCAAAATATCACACTGTACACCATAAATATATACAGCTGGGTGAGAAGGTGCATGTCAGTAATCCCAGTTACTCAGGAGGCTGAGGTGGGAGTATTGCTTGAGGCGATCAACCAGGAGCTTGAGGCTACAGGCTATAGTGCACTATGATGGCGCCTATGAATAGCCACTGCACTCCAGCCTGGGCAACAGAGCAAAACCCTGTCTCTAAATTAAAAAAAAAAAAATGAAAACTTAAAAAATATATTATTATTATTTGTCAAGGAAAATACATTTAAAAAACAAACAAAATGCTTCAGTCACTGCCCATGGAGCTCCTACTAGCCAGAGAGAATCAAACAAATTGAGAAAGAGAGGAACCAGCACCTCAGTTCTGGCAGCTTGCCAGGTAGCGTTTGCTTACCTCTGATCTTACTTAAAAACCAAGTGAGATATGTCACAACAAAAGTGTCTCTGTCATAGCAGTCTCAACACAATGAAGATGTTTTTCTAACCAAAGAACACAGTTAGTTGGAAGAGCTCTACAAAATTAGTACCAGGGAAGGCTTTAGTTAACACTTGCCCCAGACGCTGGGACCCAGAAAGGCTAAGTGATTTACCTAAGGTTACACAGCTGGCAGCAGTGTCTAGCCCAGAATCAAGAGCTAACTAGAATCTCCTAAGGTGAAATTGCCTATCACTGTGCCTCTTAACATGATTTCTAAAAGACAAGGTTCCCTGTTCCTCAGAACTATAACTTCATCACTATACCTTTTCCTAAAATCAGAACACTTATGACTGACTTTTCGTTGTTTTAATGAATTTAATCATTCATTAAATGGGACGGTGCCTATACATCAGTTACGAAAAAGAATTTCCATCTCCGATACATTTAATTACAGATATAAAATTTAACTAATTTTACCCATGTTTACAGTATGCTGCTTAAAATTTAATCATAAGTATATAAAAGCATAATTATCTCATACATAAATGAGGGTATATAAAAAGTACCTTTGCAGAAATATATAATTTATACTAAAACGTCACATATTCTGTTACAAAGACTGATTTATTTCAAAGAATGAAGAAACTAAATTACCACTACACTTGGTAACAAAGATCTGTGCCCATAAGATCTTTTCTTTAACATCTGTAAGAACTACATGAGAAAAACACAAACATTAACCAAGGTTAAAAGAAAAAACAAACAACTTGCAATATAAGCAGCTATAAACAGTGCCCTCCATGGTGAAAAATAAAGTCCACACATAAGTATCCTAGCAAAAATTTCACTACACACACACACACACACACACACACACACACACACACACGCCTAACAGATGGATTCTAAAAAACAGCTAAGCATTCCACAATCCAAATGCTCAAAAATTAATAATAAAGGTTAATTAACATTCTGGCACATGTGATATTGAGAACAACAGCAGTAATTTGGGGCAAAAGACCCTCTCTCTGCTCTCGTCCTTCATCTCATTCAACCTCTTTTTCTCAATTGTGAGCACACCCTTCTGCCTCCCCTACTCTGCAATCAAATCACAACCACCCAAAACCGAGGTGTCTGCTGCAGCCCAAAACATTTGACTGATAATATCCGGTTTGCCATTCCAGGAAATCCCAGAGTGGTTTTTAAGCCTCTGCCCACCGCTTGTAAAGAAAGGCAAGAGAGGAACTAATCGATACCAGCACCCCAGCTGTGACCTGGCACATGAAGAAATCAAGAAAATAAATCCCATCCATAATCTGTATAATTTAACACTTGGAAGAAAGCAACATCTGGGATCGACTCCAAGCAGGACAGTTTTGCCTGGATGGATCTGAGCTTCCTGCACTGAGTGTTAAAGCCGCTTAGGAGGCGATGCCCTCGGGTCCCTCACCAGTCCAGCAAAGGGACTATCTTTTTCCCTAGCAAGGGTTAATCTACCTCCCAAAAAAGAGAAGAGTGAGGAGAACGAAAATAACAACTACTAACATCTACTCCTTGCCAGTAAAGAGGCTGGCAAAGACTCCTCTGACACTTTGAAGGAGGGAAAGCTGGAAACCTTTCCCAAAGGTGGGTTCAGGTCAAACTATTGTCTTGGTAATTAGTCACAATCCAGAATGGAAGCTAACGTGAAATGTGGGAATGATTTTGTTGAATCCTACAGTCCTTTCAATGGACCCCAAAGTCCTATCCCCAGGCAAAGTTGGGAAAAAAAAAAACAAAAATCCCCTCGGACTACGACTCCCTGGGAAGGCTTTCCAGATGTTTTAAATTGCAGGAAAATGAATTTAGAACATAAGCAGATATCTACACATCACCTAAATCACTAGACCTGTCCTCAATTTTAAAACACACACACACACACACACACACACAAAGTACACCAGTCGGCAGAACAGGGCATTATAGGAAATAAAGAGTGTTAGTAAAATCCATAATGCTTTCTGTTAGACCTTCTGGGAGGTTATAATTGCATTTGGCCGGCTGCAGCCTTGTCGGAGAGCCTGGCTTCTTAATAGTCTCAACCCTAAAAGGAGTAACTGTCAAGGGGCGACCCAGCTGAAATCAAACAACAAAAACGGGAACTGTAACCCGCCTGAAATGGGAGGAGGAAAAGGAAGGGAGACTCCTGTATTCATCAGTCAACATTAATGTCCTTTGTTGTTCACCTTTACACAGAACAGCGAGAGCTATCCTGTTCCTTTTTCTCCGAACGCCAGTGTCAGGGTATGCTTTCCTAAAAGCTATCTCCCTGCCCCCAAGAACCAGGCTTTCCGATCCCCCTCCCCATTTATCACTCAGCAGCCCTGTACCGCCACACCGCCCCCACTGCGCTCACCCGGGGTCGAGAGGGTGGCCAGAAGTAAAAACACTGCTGAAATACCCGTTCTTCTCCAAAGACCAAAGAACCGAGCGGCGCAGATGTTGAAATTTACCAATGCCCCCGCCCCGCAACATACACACCCCATAAATCCGGGATCGCAGAGAGGGAGGAGGGTCAGAGAGGGCTCAGCTTGTCAGAGCGGCTCTCTCCAGGACCCTGCCACATTCCACACTCCGGGAATGTCGATCCGAGCCAGAGGGAAGGGTTTGCGCCTCCCTACTGTTTTGGGGGTGTTCTCTCTGCCCGAGTGTTGTTGTCTCCCTCTCCACCCAGAGGAACCGTTGCAGCTCCCTGTCGCTTTGGGGAAGAAGGGTAAGGAAGGAGAGAAACCCCATTCGCCTCCTCTTCCAACTTGACACACACACACACACACACACACACGCCCAGTCGCCACTCCAAACTCCGCAGGCAGAGCCCGAAGCTAGCGGGCCGGCCGCGCGCTCCCCCAAGCTGTCCCGGCGCTTCGGGAACCAGTGCGGGGCGCGCCGAGCAGGCGGTGCGGGGCGAGAGCCTGGTGCGCAGCCCTCTGCCTGGAGCTGGCTCGGCAAAGCCCCGTACCAGCTGCGCGATGCCAGGATTAGGCATTTTCAACCGGGCGGAGCGAGAGGGGCGCGGGGGCAAGGACGAGAAATGCGCACTCGCTCGGGCCAGAGCAGAATAAAAGTTCGCCCCGCGGAGACTCACCCACGCCGTATTTCTCGTGCTCCGTAGGTATCCACATGGCTAAAGGGGCTCCGGGGTCTTCAGGCTTTGTAATCCCCGCGCCCCTTCTCCGGCTCACAACAATGCACAGTCCCCGAGCAGCGCTGCAGTGCCGGAGCCCAGCGGCTTCGCGCGGGCTGCGGGCGCTGGGCAGGATCTGCGCTGGAGGCTCCCGAGCCCAGCGTTGACACTGCGCCGCCCGCAGCTCTCCCGGCGGCGGCTGCTCACAGTCCTCCGACGCGCTCCCGGGTACCCGGCGGCGCAGTCATTGTTCTGATTCACTGAACTAAGCGAACACGCCGGGGCACTCTCCGGCGCACCCCCGCCCGCCAGCGCCTAGTCCAGCCCTCCCGTCCCAGGGCCCCGCAGCACGCTGGGAATTGTAGTTCTTGGCCTCCCCATCCCGGAAGTGGGCGCGGCAAATGTGGTTCGGGGCGGGGATTCAGTTTTACTGATTGCGTCCTATTGGTCCAGAGCGCGGCGTAGGTGTGGAGAAAACATTACGTCGACGGGGAGTTCGCCTCCAGTAGCGTTTCTACTGGTGCCACCCCGCCTCCGACCCGCCCTGCGGCCCTCCCTTTTCTTTTCTGCCGGGTAATGGCTGCTTCCAAGACCCAGGGGGCTGTCGCCCGAATGCAGGAAGACCGTGATGGGAGCTGCAGCACAGTCGGGGGTGTAGGTTATGGGGGTGAGTACGGTGCCCCGGAGGCGCGGCTGATGTGTCTTCCTTTCTCTATGACCGGGTGTGCAACGGACCTCTGGTCTGACCCTAGGAGCCCTTCAGCTCTGGGGCCACCTGGGTTCGACTGGGCCCCACGGGTGGTGGCCCAGCGGGATGGGTTGGAGCCGGTGGCGGCTACTTGGTTGGGGCTGCCCGGGGATGGCGGAGAAAATGCCATGGGATGGCGGAGAAAATGCCATGGAATGGCCTTCCCCTCCGCCGGGGAAGCTCCCTGAGCGTTTGTCTTCTGGTTTGGAGCTCCCAGCTTTGAGCTAGCTGCTGAGTGGGTTTGGTTCAGATCTGGTTCGCGCGCGTGTGTTTATAATTTTGGGATTAGCAGCTCTTTCTCCTCACCAGTACACTGCCTTGGTTTGCTTGGTTTGACCTCGCAGGTGTGTTTTATTTAGCTTCCGGAGTATTTCCAGTCGCAGACTGGTGGTCACTGCTCTCCACTCTACAGATTTGCCCAGTTTGTGGCTGAGGTGACCTCTGAAGGGAAAGTGTGTGTATCTCACAACCTCCCTGTAGATGGTTAACTGCTCTGGGTGTTCTTCAGATTTGTATGTGGAGCCTGAGAGATCTTCCCAGTCTCTGGGTCCTTAGAGAAAGAAAAGGAAAGTGATAGATAATTTGCACTCGTGGCTTCAAAGAACATTTGAAAAGAGTTTTGAAAACCATCACAACTTTGGCTGTACCTGACTTTCAGGTTGTCCTCTGATCCACTGTAGGAATAAAAAACCAAATTTTGAAAGCTGCAGGTGGATTGTGTTTAGGACTCTTTTACCTTTAGTCTATCCCTCCCCCATTCCCCCCACCCCATTTTTGTCTTGATGTGTAATTTAGCACAAGTTGTCTTTTTCTGATGAACATGGTTTGGGGCTTAAATATAGTTCTCAGACTGTTGCGACTTTGTTTTTCGATTTATTTGTTTTTGCTTTCACAGTTAAATTGATATCATCTTAAGTATTTACCTCAGCGGCACAGAGTTGAAGTGCAGTTTTTTCCCACTTCCCAACAGTGGAACTCCCTACTCTGAAATTATTTTAGTACCTCTACCAAACAAATCTTTGGTAGTCTCCTGAGTTAAATATTGAATTTAACACCCTAATGGTTTATTTTTGGGTTGGTTATATATTGGGCTATCTGATGGTAACAGACTATTACGGTTTCCTAGATTTTCAAAGTTCCAGAGGGCTACCAGTTTAAGATCTAAACTGGTGAATTTATCTCACAGTCTAACTTATTTTAAAAAATGGCCGGGCACGGTGGCTCACCCCTGTAATACCAGCACTTTGGGAGGCCGAGGCGAGTGGATCACAAGGTCAGGAGTTCGAGACCAGCCTGGCCAATATGGTGAAACCCCGTCTCTACTAAAAATACAAAAATTAGCCGGGCGTGGTGGCGGATGCCTGTAGTCCCAGCTACTCGGGAGGCCGAGGCAGGAGAATCCCTTGAGCCCGGGAGGCGGAGGTTGTGGTGAGCCATGATCCACCACTGCACTCCAGCCTGGGAGGCAGAGCAAGACTCTGTATCAAAAACAAAACAAAAAAAAAGGATATGCCTTTCAAAAATGTAAAATATTTAAAAATATTTATTTTTAAATTTTACAAGTTTAAAAGTTTTTAAAAGCACTTCAAACCATTCAGAAGTGTATGAAGTAAAAAAAATGAAAATTCCCTCACCTCACAGCACCACTCCCCGAGTATTAAGTGATAAGAGTTTGGTACATATTCTTTCCAACATATTCTTCTTCTTCTTTTTTTTTTTTTAATCCTACAATCCGTATTCTGTTAAACCACCATATTCTTATATGACACACGTCTGTATGATTTGATTTTTTTTTTTTTTTTTTTTTTTTGAGACGGAGTCTCGCTTTGTCAACCAGGCTGGAGTGCAGTGGCGCGATCTCGGCTCACTGCAAGCTCCGCCTCCCAGGTTCACGCCATTCTCCTGCCTCAGCCTCCCGAGTAACTGGGACTACAGGCGCCAGCCAACAAGCCCGGCTAGTTTTTTGTATTTTTAGTAGAGACGGGGTTTCACCGTGTTAGCCAGGAGGTCTCGATCTGCTGACCTCGTGATCCGCCCGTCTCGGCCTCCCAAAGTGCTGGGATTACAGGCGTAAGCCACCGCGCCCGGCCTATGATTTGATTTTTATAATAAAAAGGGATAAATCTATATAAACTGAAAGATCTGCAACCTTCTTTTTTCTTTCAGCAGTCTATCATAGAAACCCTTCCACGTCAGTACATTTGTTTCCTTTTTTTTTAAGGACTGTGCCCATCATATTCCAAAATATGATTGTGCCATTCTTTATCCATTCCCTTATAAATGAACATATAGTGTGACTTTAGTTTTTCAGTAATGTTGCAATGAACAACTTTATGTACATATATTCTTGCCCACTGGTTGTATATTTTGGGAGAAAATTGCTGGATCAAAGGTTATGCAAGTTTAAAATTTTGACAGATGCCAGACTTTCCTCTTAAAATATATTCAGCATACATTGCCACCTGTAGTATATGAGTGTTCTTTCCCCCATATTGTCACAAACTTTGAGGAAATAATCCAGGACCAATGTTTCAATGACTAGTAGATTGAATTAAGTAACTGATAGAAAGCTTAGTTTTTGATTCCAGTTTGTTTTCAATAAAAGTGTTGAGTAGTAGTGAATTTGCGGTATCTATAACATAAAAAAATTTCTCACCCTCGGTGAGAAATACCCAGTATTCTCATTGACTTGTAGCAGTCAACAGGAGAAATTAATGGTTGATTTTTTATGTCATTTTTATAAGATAAAGTTGTCATTAAAAATTCTGCTTAATAACCTATGTATCATTCTGTTACTTTTTCCAAAATCTTTTCAAAGCCAACAAGGTGTGATATAAATTTTAGGTGTAAATATTTATATTAAAAGTATATTTTTTGTTAGGCAGTCATTTAGGTTATCAAGTATGTCTTTCCCTGTAAAAATCATACACCTTTTTGGATGAGTTCATGTCCTTTGTAGGGACATGGATGAAGCTGAAAACCATCATTGTGAGCAAACTATCGCAAGGACAGAAAACCAAACACCACATGTTCTCACTTATAGGTGGAAATTGAACAATGAGAACACTTGGACACAGGGCAGGGAACATCACATACCCGGGCCTGTCGTGGGGTTGGGGGATGGGGAAGGGATAGCATTAGGAGAAATACCTAATGTAAATGACGAGTTAATGGGTGCAGCAAACCAATATGGCACATGTATACATATGCAACAAACCTCCAAGTTGTGCACATGTACCCTGGAACTTAAAGTATAATAAAAATAAAATTTTTAAAAAACATACACCTTTTTGACTTCTTGAAAACTGCTTCTTTTAAGAGATTTTCTTCTTGCTCTGATTAAAATGTTAGTCTGTGTGTTTAATACCCTGGGACAGTGAGGCCTAGGAAGACTTTTTATAGAAATCCTTGCAATTCCTCAAAATCTCTGCTAGAGTGAGTCAGTGGGTGGGGTGCAGGCAGGTGCAACACTCACTGAGACCACTGTGTTGCCAGACTTCTGTGGCTCCATCCTTCTCCAAGAAAGTCCCCACATTGAGGTCAAGGATTTTTTTGCTTTTTTTGTTTTTGTTTTTTGTTTTTTTTTTTTGTTTTTTTTTTTGAGACAGAGTCCTGCTCTGTAACCCAAGCTGGAGTGGAGTGGCACGATCTCAGCTCACTGCAACCTCCGCCTCCCGGGTTCAAGTGATTCTCCTGCCACAGCCTCCCGAGTAGCTGGGATTACAGGCGTGTGCCACCATGCCCAGCTAATTTTTATATTTTTAGTAGAGACAGAGTTTCGCCATCTAGGCCAGGCTGGTCTCAAACTCCTGACCACAGGTGATCCACCCTCCTCGGCCTCCCAAAGTGCTGGGATTACAGGCGTGAGCTACTGCACCTGGCACACTAGGTCAAGGGTTAAAGGACACTGCTTTACATACATCTGAACAGTAACCAGAATTTCAATTTGTCTCCTAAAATTAAGAACAGATAATAAATAGATTCAGCATCCCTCACGTGGTGTCATTGGCATTTGTTCTTTTGCTGTTTTTAAAAATCAGCAAGGTAGCACAATTCAGTAATAATACATTTAGGAGGCTTTTGTGACTGAGGCTATTTCTTCTGAGTATTAATCTGTATCTCCATATTGTAATATTCTGTCAAAGTCAACTTTTTTCCCTCCGAATGGGTGTTTAGTAGTTGATGATTTTGCTAATGCTTGGATTCTGGACCTTATTATCTGATGATTTTGGTAATGTTTATCTTCCAGAGAACTTACTATCTCATGTGTGATGTCTCTGGAAGAAAGAGGGAAGGGTAGCAGGTGATGTAAACTCCTCATTCTTGTATTTCCTATTTCAATAAATGGCATCAAGTCTAAGCTAGAAACCTAGGAAGCATCCTTGATTCCTAACTCGCCCTCAGGTACTGAATTTGATCAGTTAGCAAGCCTTATTTTTCTGCGCCTGTAGTATATTTTGAACCTGTTCCCTCTATTCATAGCTACAGCCACTGTGCTAATTCCATTACTAACCCTCACCATTACTGCTGAATTACCTACCTGCATCTCCCATGCCCCAGAAAGTGCTCTTGAGAACCAGTTGTATGTGTGTTTGTCAGCCTGATTCTGTTCTTGGCACATTGTTAATGTTTAATAAGTGTTTGACCAGAATGGAATTCTAGCCTGAACGATTGCAAAACCTTCCTGTTGATCTCACTGACTCTTGACTTTACCTCCTTTAATCCACATTGTAAAACAAATATATTCATGGATCTCCACTTGAAATCTTCAGTGTAATTCTGCTACATGTATAATTAGGTCCAAACTCTCTGTGTGGCATTTAAGATTCTAATCTACTTGTCTAGCCTCATCTTCAGTCACCCTGCTTCCTTTCCCATATCTCCATTATCCACTTACCATGTCACACTGTAGTTATTTTTTGGCAACTTTGTCTACCCCAGTGGACAGTGAACTTCTTGAGGTCAAGAGTTGCCTTATTTCACTTTTGTACATCCAGTGTTTATCAAAGCTGCATACAGTAAACATTGTATAACAGTCTAATGTTAGAATATGCTTGAAATTTATTCAAGGCATTTAGAGTGGCTACTATTTTGAGCAGAGGAACTGAAGTAGAATAAAAAACTGAATAGATGTTTTATGCTTGTGAAAGGTATGCATACCAACTAAAATGCAAAATATCAGGAGGATGATATTCTGTCAAGGTGATCATAGTTAGCATTTAAGGATAGTATTTCAGTTTTTTAAAATAAAGTTTTAATGTTGTTTAAATAATAATTACATTTTTTAAAAGAATACTTTAGATCTGGCCTTTATAACTTTAAGCCTGTAACTGAATGACCTACCACATGGACCTTGAATTCTGTCTTTCATCATCTATATGGCTGTTACCAATTTTCTACAGGCTGTCATTCTATTTCTATAAACCATTAAGTCCAGTCTCATATATTTGACATGGCAATGGAAAGAGGACTAGACCTTATTTTGACAAAACGGTATTTAAATTCCAATTCTGACATTTAAAAGCTGTGTAACATAGGTTTATTATATGTGCTGCCACATTTATGAAAATATCCGTATAATACCTGTCTTGCAGTTATTGTGATTATTTCATATTTATATATTTATGAAAGCCTAGCATATTTCCTGTTATAAAGTCAGACCTCAGTAAGTATTAGTTGCTTTCATTATAAAGATAGGCCCAATTATAAAGATCTGCCTGCTCTATCAAGAACTGCCTGCTCTTTGATACTGTATTCACTTAGGAAGCAATCTAAATTGTGGAGTAACCCTGGGGAAGCTTAGGAATGTGTTGGTGATAACTGCTTATGCTGTCAATGCTTTCCTGGAATTTGGGAGTTGTCAGAGTGTCTGTTGGTGCTACATACTAGTATTACAACTATGTGCTCTGCAAGCCTTTATATTATCTTCTGTATCCTCTCTCACTTCTATACAGTGCTACTCTACTCACACCCAGCTCCCCACCCGCACACACACACATTGACACTCAAAGTCATCAAGAAACTCAAGTAACATTGTATACTGGGGTTGCCTCACAAGGTATAGGCCGTGGGATGTCAGAGAAGATAAGAATTATAGAAACTACTCTTGTAGGTCTTGTTTGGTGACATGGTTTGGCTGTGTCCCCACCCAAATCTCATCTTGAATTCCCATGTGTTGTGGGAGGGACCTGGTGGGAGATAATTGAATCATAGGGGCAGGTCTTTCCTGTGCTGTTCTCATGATAGTGAATAAGTCTCATGAGATCTGATGGTTTTAAAAAGAAGAGTTTTCCTGCACAAGCTCTCTCTTTGCTGCCATCCATGTGAGACGTGACTTGCTCTTCCTTGCCTTCCACCATGATTGTGAGGCTTCCCCAGCCATGTGAAACTCTAAGTCCAATTAAAACCTCTTTCTTTTGTAAATTGCCCAGTCTCGGGTATGTCTTTATCAGCAGCATGAAAATGGACTAATACATTTTGTATAAGGTTCTGAAGAGGCCTTATTTAAAGCATTCTTTTATTTTCCTATGACAAATCAATGGGACCCAACTTGTAGGATATTTAGAGAAGAGCTCTTATTAAAAGGGATATAATAATGATGATGTGTATGATAGCTAACATTTTTTTGAGCACTAACTGTGCCAGATACTGTTTCAAATGCTTTTATAGGTATTATCTCATTTCATCTTCATAGCAACCCCTAGGTAGTCATATTACGCTTTTTATGTACAAATGAGGAAACTGATGAAAAGAGTAGCTTGCCCAAAGTCACACAATAACTGAGAAAAGACTTTTATCCTATGCACGGTTGTAATGATGTCTCATAGTAACTAAATTCCATTGAATGAGGTCTGAAACAGACTTTTCTTACACATAAATATGCTCTAAAGCCAATGTTACCATAGAAAGGCAGTATGGAATAGTGAAAAGATTTTAAAATCAGGCCAGCTTAGGATCAGATTCTGGTAAACCTCTGAACTTCAGTTTCTCTTCTGTAAAATGAGTAATACTGTATCTATATTGCTGGGATGTGGAAATGATTAGGTGAGATGATATAATAGTCTGGTCTTCAATTGTGACTGTTATTTCAGTCATAGGTATAGGCACATCTTTGGCATATGTGCCAGAAGTGATACAAGTGGTTTTAATATGTCTTCTGCACTTGAAGAGCAGGTTATTATTGAGGGATTTGATGGGTCAGATACCGAATTACATACACTTATTGTGTTGACCTTGACCTTCCCATTCATGCAAAAGAATAGTGCTGCCCTTTACAATACACACTCATACACTTCCATCTGGAAAAACTGTAAAGAGGATGTCGATCAGATTCATATAATAGAAATCATACTCTCTTCTAAATATAAATCACGAGTATATAGAAACAAGCAATGTGCATAAACTGCTGTCTCCAGTGATTAAATCTTCAAATGTTTCTATTAGCTCTTCTTAGAGAACTTTGCCACAAAATTAGGGTTCAGTTTTGACTTATTTGATAAACTTATCAGACTCTGAATGAGTTGGCTTTTCATTGACAGTACCTTAAAGACTTGCCACCTCATGCTGAAACAAGTATGTTCTACTGACCTACTTGACCCAAAGGTGAGCAGGGCAGCTTTTTTCAGAAGTGGTGATAGATTTGACTGATCAGTCTTCTGTTTTTCTTTACTTCTCACTGATCATCTTTGTAACTAGTGGCATTTATTTGCAACATAGGCAGCTGGGGTTGAATGATATCTTTGGCTATAGGAACCAAGTAAAGTTTTCTAGAGCTAAACAGGATTTAAACCTTTGCTTCATGGGGTGAAGGGAGGTTGGGAAAGAGGGAGTCAACAATTGACAAGTGGTAAAATATTTAAAATTTTATAGGATAATGTGGGATAGTATTAAGCTTTCTCCATGAGTAGCATATTTAAAATAATCAATGTACAGTATTGAATCAGTAAAATATGTAGAAGGAAAAACTGGAATAGGAGTCAGAAGACCTGGATTCTGAATCTGAATTTGTAGCTTTTTAGCAGTGTGAACTTGGGGAAAATCGTTTAACCTCTCTGAGCCTCAGTTTCATCAGGAAAAAAAAAATGATGTTGATATTATTGGGAGGTGTGGTGAGGGCAGAGTATGTTAAAGCACTCTATGAATCTTGAGGCACTATGAAAATATAGGGACAAATGATGCTACTGATAAAAGTCTGTCTCAAGAGGCAGTAGCGAGTACAAGCCCAAGCTTTAGACTTGGATAAACTGGAATCAAAAGGAGCTGTCAGCTAAAAGCTGTATGACCTTCAGCAAGTAATAGGACCTCATTATTACTATTATGGCTGCTGCTGCTGCTACTGCTACTACTACTACAAAAGCTTGGATGTAACTTTAAAATGATTACAAACTAATCAAAGAACATTAAAGCTGGAATCAAGACAAATCCCACATTATACAATATATAAACTCTGTAAGGACAGGAACTGTTAAATATACCTTTAACCTCATCCTCTGGGACAGTGTCATGTTGTGATGGCATTTGGTGGTGTTTGGCAACTGTGAATCAGCGCCATGCTGGGCTCTATATGGGATACAAATGAAGAACCCCTAGCCTTATCCATGTGGACATCTCAGTGTAGTTGGTGGGCTCTGCATCCCTGTCTCACCGGAGCTAATAAGAGAGTCTCTTCTAGTTCCATATAGCACTGTGGGATGAAGTGGATACATTTGATTCTGTGATATGCATGCCTTGCCAGAGGCGCTGAGCATACTAAAGCTTTTACATGTGTTTATTTTTAAAAGAAAGGAAATTCTTGTTTTGCCTCCTTGTTTCTCTAATACTGTCCTCATTTCATGTTTTTTTCTTAACTGAAAGAACTCTCCCCTCCCTGCAAGTAATCACAGAGGCCCTGCCTTTAAAAAACTTTTTTTAGTGTTTTTATCCAAATAGAGAGGTTTGTTTTTTTACTAGTAAAGATCTCAGAATTGTAATCGTGGTTATTTAACACAGTCTTCTGTTATGTAATAAGCTGCTATTCACCAGTAATAGCCAATTAGAAAAGAAAATATCCTGTACCCGCTAATCGTAATTACCATTATAAAGCAATTAATAGCAGAAACTGTTGCTGAACTGTAACATAACATCAATCAAGCTGTCTTTGCCAAGGCACTGTACAACTAATTTTCTCAAATGAAGGAGGAGAAGGGAAGGAAAGGAAGGTGAGAGTCTGCGGGCTTATTTGAATTTCTTTCAAACCAGTTTATGAATGACTTTTGAATGCTCTTTAAATATGCATCCACTCACAAAGGTAAGTAATGCTAATAATGTACTGCGACATTGAGTTATTTTTCCAGCAGCAGTGATCATAGACAGTACAGCTTTGCAAAAAGCTCACTGGACAAGGAATCAGAAGAACTAGGTTTTTTTTGGTTTTGTTTGTTTTTGTTTGTTTTTTGTTTTTTAGACAGGGTCTCACTCTTTTGCCCAGGCTGGAGTGCAGTGGCATGATCTCAGCTCACTGCAACCTCTGCTTCCTGGGCTCAAGCCATCCTCCCACCTCAGCCTCCTGAGTAGCTGATACTACAGGTGTGTGCCACCATGCGCAGCTAAATTTTGTATTTTTTGTATAGATGAGGTTTCGCCATGTTGCCAAGGCTGGTCTCGAATTTCTGAGCTCAGTGATCCGCCCACCTCAGCCTCATAAAGCGCTAGGATTTTAATCCCACTTCTCCTTCCGACTGACTGTGATTTTAGAGAAGTCATTAGCACTCCTGGTTAAGATTTCCTGGTTTGTAAATGAGGGAGTGAGATTATGTTAGCATCCTTTCAACTCCATCTTCCAAATATCAGTAAAAGAAAGAGGAGGTAGGTTTACAGCTTGGGAGCCGACATAATTCAGTCCTAGCATCTGTAAAAAGAAAAAGAAAAATCTGGATATGGCCTGAAGAATTAGTTGCACATGTGTGTGTCATTGATCAGGTGTATCAGGTTAGAAAATTGGCTGAGAACCACTGCAGTAGATGTCTTCTGGGATCCTATACTCTGAGACAATATGGATTGATTATTAGGATGCATCCTATCTCACTCTCCTTTCCATTTGTAATAAACAGTGCAAAACTGAAAGAGCTACTGATAGAACTGAGGTTTCGTTCATTCAAAAATTTTATTTAGCATCTGCTATGTGCAAACTTCTTTATTCTGAATGCTGTAGAATACAAAGATGAGAATAACATTGGTCTTGCCATCAAGGATCTTATGACCTAATAGGGAGGATATAAGAAGTACATATTACAAGGTAGAAAGTGCTGGGGAACATTAGAGTGATATACATAGAGTTATGCAAAAAAGAGATTATTCCCAACAGGTGGTACTGGGCCTTGAAGTTTAATAATATTTGGACATGCAGAAACAAGGAAAAAGTGTTATAGGCCTACACAAAGGGAGGGAGCAATAGAAAAACTAAGGGCATATACAACAAGTATCAAGTCAATACATTTTGCCTAGAGAAAATGATAAGTAAATGGCAGCAATGGAAAAGAAGTCTGGAAATGTAAATTGAAAGTAGATCATACTGTCTCAGATCTTAGAACTTGATTATGCAGACTGAAACTGCCTTTGCAAAAATTATAGCAGAAAAGTATTGTAGTGAGAGACGTCTGACCTAACCGACTCCATCTTGCTTCTAACCTCCAAGCTGCCGGTGTTCATTCCTGGATATGGGCTGAACTAACTTTGGGAGGAGCTTAGTTCATAGTTTAACTTTGAAACAAAGAGATAACAGCCCTTTCCCAAAACAAACCCGCTTCTTGCCTGGCGAGTAGACTGCCTTTTGCAGGACTAACTAAATTAACCACCAGATTAAAAATTATGGTTTAGTAGTCATGCAGCTAGAGGCCACAAGGTTCTAAACCTCCTCAGTTGTTCCTAGGGATAACATCACTATTGTAAAACCTAAGATTAGTGTTTGAGATATTTTCCAGACCCTGCACTCAGTGGGTCAGCTGGTACCACCGTATCAATAAACTGGCTCATCCGGTCTTGTGGCCGCCACCCAGAAACTGACTTAGCGCAAGAAGACAAGTTCGACTCCCTACGATTTCATCTCTGACCTGACCAATCAGCTCTTACCACTTTCTGATTCCCTATCCACCAAATTATCCTTAAAAATTCCGATCCCCAAATTTGGGGAGATTGATTTGAGTAATAATAAAACTCCAGTCTCCTGTACAGCTGGCTCTGCATGAATTAAACTCTTTCTCCATTTCAGTTCCCCTGTCTTGATAAATTGATTCTGGGCAGTGGGCAAAATGAACCTATTGGGTCTTGAAACTTTGAAGAAAAGGAATGACAAGATCAAAGTTTAATCAGGTAACAATGTACTGGAGGGGGAAAGTTAAGTCAGGAGTCCTTGCTAAAGCAAGAGTTAATGAAGAACCACAATAGACTTCAGTAACTTGCCGTTGTTTTTTGTTTCGTATTTTAGAATTTTTTAATTGACAACTAAAAGTATGTATTATGTACAGCATGATGTTTTGATATATGTATTAATATACACTGTGGAATGGCTAAAATAAGCTAATTAACCTTGCATACTTACCATTTTTTTGTGGTGAGAACATTTAAGATCTACTCATAGCAGTTTTCAAGTATACATTACAGTGTTATTAATAATAGTTACCCTGTTGTACAGCAGATCTCCTGAACTTTTTCCTGACTGAAATTTTGTACCTTTCGACCAACATCTCTCCAATCTTCCCCTCCCCCTAGCCCCTGGTACCTATCATTCATTGTACTATCTGCTTCTATGAATGTGACCATTTTAGATTTCACATACAAATAAGATCACACAGTATGTGTCTTTTTCTCTCTGTCTTATTTAACTTCGCATTCTCCAGGTTCATTCATGTTATCACAAATGGCAGGATTTCCTTCTTTCGTAAGGCTGAATGATACTGTATTGTGTATATATATGCACCACATTTTCTTTATCTGTTCATCCATTGATGGACACTTAGCTTGATTCTTTATCTTGGCTATTGTGAATAATGCTGCAATGAACATAGGAGTGCAGATATCTCATAGGCACACTGATTTCATTTTCTTCAGTTATGTACCCAGAAGTAGATTCATTGGATCATATGGTAATTCTATGTTTAATTTTTTGAGGAACCTCCATGCTGTTTTCCATAATGGCTATATTACTTTACATTCCCACCAACAGTGTACAGAGTTGCCTTTTCTCCACACTCTCTCCAATGCTTATCTCTTGTCTTTTTGGTAATAGCCATCCTAACAGGGGATATCTCTTCATGATTTTAATATGCATTTCTCTAATGATTAGTGATGTTGAGCATTTCTTCATATACCTGTTAGCTTTTTCCTTTAGTTGCCTGTGCTTTTGGGGTCGTGTACAAAAAATCTTTGGCCAGACTAATGTCAAGAAACTTTTACCCTATTTTTTCTTCTAGGAGTTTTACAGTTTCGGGTCTTAGGTTGAAGCCTTTAATCTACTTTGAGTTGATTGTTATATAGGAGGTGAAATAAGGGTTCAATTTCATTCTTCTTTATGTGGATATCCAGTTTTCCTTACACCATTTATTGAAGAGATTGTCCTTTCCCCCATTATGTATTCTTGGCACCCTTATCAAAGATAAGTTGACCATAAATGCACATATTAATTTCTGAGTTCTCTGTTCTGTTTCATTGGTCCGTGTGTCTATTTTTATGCCAGTACCTGGATTTTTGGATTTTGTTTTCATTTTGAGATAGAGTCTCACTCTATTATTGCTCAGGCTAGAGTGCTGTGTCTCCCACGCTAAAGTGCAGTGGCACAATCACGGCTCACTGCAGCCTTGATCTATTGGGCTCAAGCAATCCTCCCACCTCAGCCTCCTGAGTAGCTGGGATTACAGGTGTGCACCATCACACCTGGCTAAATTTTAAAATTTTTTGTAGAGGGAGATCTCACTATGTTAGCCCAGTCTGGTCTCCAACTCCTGGGTTCAAGCAGTCCTCCTGCCTTGGCCTCCCAAAGTGTTGAGATTACAGGTGTAACCCACCAAACCCAGCTGCTATGCTGTTTAGATTACTACGGTTTGGTAGATTTTGAGATCAGGTAGAGTGATGCCTCCAGTTTTGTTCTTTTTGCTCAACATTGCTTTGGCTATTCCTGGTATTCTGTGGTTCCATATGAATTTTAGGATTGTTTATTCTGTTTCTGTGAAAAATGTCATTGAAATTTTGTTAGAGATTGCATTGAATCTGTAGATCACTTTGAGTACTGTGGACATTTTAATATTCTTCTAATCCATAAGCATGGCATATCTTTCCTTTTATTTGTTTCCTCTTCAATTTCTCTCATCAGTATTTTATAGTTTTCCCTGTACAGATCTTACAACTCTTTGGTTCATTATTCCTAAGTATTTTTTTTTTTGGCAAGATTGTAAATGGTATTTCTTTTTTAATTCGTATGTTAGTGTATAGAAATGCTGATGATTTTTGCCTGTTGATTTTGTATCCTGCAACTTTACTGAGTTCGTTTATCAGTTCTAACAGTTTTTTGGTAGAGTCTTTAGGGTTTTCTGTATATAAGAGTATGTTGTTTGTAAACAAAAAAAATTTAACATTTGATTGTGATGGCTTATCCTTGTCTAACTGTTCTGGCCAGGGCTTCAATACTGTGGTGAATAGAGGTGCTGAGCATGGGCATCCTTGTCTTGTTCCCTATTTTAGAGAAAAAACTTTTAACTTTTCACTGCTGAGTATGTTAGCAAGGCCTTATTCAGAGACAGGACTAGCTGGATTTCCTAGGCCGACTAAGAATCCCTAAGCCTAGCTGGGAAGGTGACCACATCCACCTTTAAACATGGGGCTTGCAACTTAGCTCACACCCGACCAATCAGGTAGTAAAGAGAGCTCACTAAAATGCTAATTAGGCAAAAACAGGAGGGAAAGAAATAGCCAATCATCTATCACCTGAGAGCATAGGGGGAGGGACAATTGTCAGGATATAAACCCAGGCATTCCAGCCAGCACGGGCTACCCTCTTTGGGTCCCCTCCCTTTGTATGGGAGCTCCGTTTTCACTCTATTAAACCTTCCAACTGCACACTCTTCTGGTCCGTGTTTGTTACCGCTCGAGCTGAGCTTTTGCTCTTTGTCCACCACTGCTGTTTGCCACCATCGCAGACCCGCCGCTGACCCGCCGCTGACTTCCACCCTTCCAGATCCAGCAGGGTGTCTGCTGGGCTCCTGATCCAGCGAGGTGCCCATTGCCGCTCCCGATTGGGCTAAAGGCTGGCCATCGTTCCTGCATGGCTAAGTGCCTGGGTTCATCCTAATCGAGCTGAACACTAGCTGCTGGGTTCCACGGTTCTCTTCCATGACCCACGGCTTCTAATAGAGCTGTAACACTCACCATGTGGCCTAAGATTCCATTCCTTGGAATCCCTGAGGCCAAGAACCCAGGTCAGAAAACAAGAGGCTTGCCGCCATCTTGGAAGCAGCCTGCCACCATCTCGGGAGCTCTGGGAGGAAGGACCCCCGGTAACATTATCATATATGGCAGTGGTCCCCAACCTTCTTGGCACCAGGGACTGGTTTCGTGGAAGACAGTTTTTCCACAGACTGGGTTTTGGGATGATCCAAGCACATTACATTTATTATGCACTTTATTTCTATTATTATTAATATTTACCATGATAAAGAATCAGTGGGAGCCCTGAGCTTGTTTTCCTGCAACTAGACAGTCCATCTGGGGGTGATGGGAGACAGTGACAGACCATCAGGCGTTAGATTCTCATAAGGAGTGTGCAACCTAGATCCCTTGCATGCACAGTTCACAGTAGGGTTCACACTCCTATGAGAGTCTAATGCTGACACTAATCTGACAGGAGGCAGAGCTCAGCTTCACTCACATGCAGCTCACCTCCTGCTGTGTGGCCCAGTTCCTAACAGGCCACAAACCAGTACTGGTTGGGGACTCCTGATAAATGGCCTTTATTGTGTTGAGGTAGATTCCTTCTATGCTTTTAATCATGAAGAGATGTTGAATTTTGTTAAAATACTTTCTCCACATCTATGGAGTCATATATTTTTTGTCCTTCATCCTATTAACATGGTTTATCACATTTATAGAGTCATGTATTTTGAGCCATCTTTATATCCCTGAGATGAATTCCACTTGATTTTGGTGAATGATTCTTTCAGTGTGCTGTTGAATTTAGTTTGCAACTATTTTGTTGAGTATTTTGTCTATCAGGGATATTGCCCTGTACTTTTGTTCTCTTGAAGTGTCCTTCTCTGGCTTTGGTATCAGGGTGATTCAGACCTTGTAAAATGAGTTTGGAAGTGGTTCCTCCTCTTCAGTGTTTTGGAAGAGTTTGAGAAGCATTGGTGTTAGTTCATCTTTAAATGTTTGGTAGAATTCAGCGGTGACATCGTTAGGTCTTGGGCTTTTCTTTCATGGGAAAGCTTTTGTTACTGAATTAATCTCCTTACCTGATATTGAGCTGTTCACATTTTCCCTTTCTTCATAATTGAGTCTTGCTAGGTTCTATGTGTATAGAATTTATCCATTTCTTCTAGGTTATCCAATTTATTGCCATATAATTGCTCATAGTACCCTCATGATCCTTTGTATTTCTGTGGTATCAGCTGTGATATCTCCTTCATTTATGATTTAATGTATTTGAGGCTTCTGTCTTTTTTTTCTTAGTTAGCTTAGCTAAGGGTTTGTCAATTTTGTGTATCTTTTCCAGAAATCAACTTTTAGTTGTGTTGATCCTTTCTATTATTTTTCTAGTTGTTACTGTGGGACTGAGTACTGCAAGCCTGCCCTTGGGATATGAATAGGCATGTGTGATGGTTAATACTGAGTGTCAACTTGATTGGATTGAAGGATACAAAGTATTGATCCTGAGCGTGTCTGTGAGGGTGTTGCTAAAGGAGATTAACATTTGAGTCAGTGGGCTGGGAAAGGCAGACCCACCCTTAATCTGGGTGGGTACCATCTGATCAGCTGCCAGCACAGCTAGAATATAAACAGGCAGAAAAATGTGAAAAGAGAGACTGGCGTAGCCTCCCAGCCTGCATCTTTCTACCATGCTGGATGCTTCCTGCCCTCGAACATCGTACTCCAAGTTCTTCAGTTTTGGAACTCGGACTGGTTCTCCTTGCTCTTCAGCCTGCTGATGGCCTATTGTGGGACCTTGTGATTGTGTGAGTTAATACTTAATAAACTCCCCTTTATATGTATATGTTTCATTAGTTCTGTCCCTCTAGAGAACCCTGACTAACGTAGCATGTCTCCCAGCTGATCCCTGGCTAGGCAGCACTACTGTCATTCCACAGCTGATAGAGGCTCGAAGATGAGATTCGGGGCCATTTCAGGATCTGCTGTTGGACTGAGGGTTGCAAGCTGGCCCAGGGGACTCAGAATGGTGTGTCTCCCTCTGTGTCTTTGTTCCAGGAACACTGATCTAGGACTGTAGCTGAGAAGGCCTGGAGCCAAGTTAAAGGATCCTTTTAGGGTCCACAGCAGAGACTGAGGTCAACAGGTCTGTCTCCCTAGGCACTAGTATGTGTGACTTTTCCCAGTCTCCATGGTGGATAGTTTTGGAAGAGGCCCAAATCCAAATGGGGCTGTAGCCAAGTCCACAGGGAGACAGGGTCATTTCCAAGTCCGGAGCCAAGATCACAGTTCATGAGTCTGCCACCTGGTCGTAGGTTTGCCCTCTCAAAATGACCCTTCTAGGTTTTTAGACTCCACTGGGGTTTTAGAAACTCCTGCCTAAATCCCAAGGCTCCCACAAAGGCGCTTTTGTCCAGGGATGGCTGCAAAATTTTTTGAGAGAAGCAGGGATATAAGCAGAGGACCTCCTATTCCACTGTCTTGCCGACCCAGAATTCTCTGGTTAGAATTTTTTAAACTAGGTATTACAGACAACCATAGTCACAGGAAGGCTTTCAGAAGCAATTGGGGTTGCAGTCTTCCTTGTCACATTCAAAAGCAAAGAGCTCTGCCCTTGTTAATAAAGTCAGAGCATAGCTGACTCCTGTAAGGAAATTTCTGGGATTAGAAAAATGTGCTGGGACAGAGCAGGTTGTATATGAAGATTCTGTCTACTTTAATAAGTTGGGTTCTGCTCGGGCACTGTCATTTAGAATGCCCAGATGACTGCAGGCAGAGTATGCCATAGAGATTAGACAGGCATCAGTTAGAATACAGAGAAGTAGAGAGATCTGGTAGCGGGTAGTATTAAAGAAAAACTAGAGCTGGACAGTAAACTGGCAGAAAAAATATTTTATTCAGGAACTCCTACAGTAGAGCAGGGGTGTCCTATCTTTTGGCTTCCCTGGGCCACATTGGAAGAAGAATTGTCTTGGACCACACATAAAATACACTAACACTTACAATAGATAATGAACTTTAAAAAATTGTAAACAAATTTCATAATGTTTTAAGAAAGTTTACAAATTTGTGTTGGACCACATTCAAGGCCGCCCTGGGCTGTGTGTGGCCCACGGGCCAGGGATTGGATAAGCTTGTGAGGAAACAACACCTCAGTATAGAACTGGGCTCAATTCCT
Source organism: Homo sapiens (assembly GCF_000001405.40). Lineage (NCBI taxonomy): Eukaryota > Metazoa > Chordata > Mammalia > Primates > Hominidae > Homo > Homo sapiens. Next base: position 112,224,455 of record NC_000007.14, read on the forward strand.
AATACAACATGGAAAAGTGGGAATTTATAGTCAAGAAATAGGTTGGAGGGTTTGGGAGATGGAAAATCACTAAGAGGAAGCATCAGGGATAAGGGGGGATTCCTGCTGAAGGCAGGCCAGGGTAATCAGATATCACCTGGGGGATGGCAAGAATTTTTTTCAGCTATTGAGGGTGGTGAGTTATTGAGGACGGGGGATTCTTTCTAAACTGATTTAGCAGGATTCTTGATAAAACTGAACTATGCAGGTCTGGCAAGGACGGGGCCTAGTCAGGAAAAGGGTTCAGAGGAACATGACTAAAATATGGTCAATGAGTCTTTGTTCAGTAGCAAGGACACAGCTACAAGTAAACTGGACTTTAGGGACAGGAGTCAAGTTATTAAAAGTCCTGAAAAAAATTTAGGGCTGGGTGTGGTGGTGGCTCACACCTGCAATCCCAGTATTTTGGGAGGCCAAGGCAGGAGGAATGCTTGAGGTCAGAAGTTCAAGACCATCTTGGGCAACATGGCTAGAACCTGTCTCTAAAAAAGAAAATTGTAAAAGCAACAAATATAGAGGAAGATGGATTCTGGATGAGGCATCAAGTCAAGAAGTGATAGAATCAGGGCAACAGATTAAGAGCTCAATTACTGGAAAAAGAATTAAAGTTGAGGTTTGGTTTCAAGAAGTTAGTCATGTGTCCAGTGACTAGCATCCTAGAACCAGGTAGAGATGAGGCCAAGAAAACTGGGTTGATGCAGAGCCATTGGCTTGAGGCTGGAACAGAGCCAAACCAATGGTGGGCTTAGGGACTCCTGCCATGCTGATTAGTGGTATTGGCAGGGGCTTAGTGCCAGGCAAGTCATTACAGTTGCCCATATGGCCACTGAACTTCTAACCTTGAGCTCATTAATCCTGAATAATCAGCCAGTTGTAATATAATTCTCAAGTATAAAGTAATAATACCCTTTCTTTTTCATGACCTCTAAAGTACAAGGGATTTGCTGCAGAGAAAGATCCCTGTTCTTGATTATTTTTCCTTGTGAAATACTTTAGAGTTTATTGATAGAACACATTAAATTATAATGTTAATAATTTTCTCATTTATATTTTTAGATGTCAGTAGTTATAGTTGTTTCTACAAATAGGGCACAATTCTGTTTTTCTTTTCTTTGTGTGAATCCCAGAGTACATCCAACCATGCATATTTACATGTTCTTGGAGCCTAAATGAATTAAAAATTAAAGACAAACTAAGACCTTTAGGTAATGGACTGAAAAGAAATTCATTTCACGCTTTTAAGATATTTTAATAGAAATTCATGTTCTCTTGTTTTTTTCACTATGCTATTGAATTAGGCAAGGCCAATGTAAATTTAGTATACTATTTATGTTTTTAGGGACAGTATTCCAGGACTCCATAGAATTATGAGGGAGAAAAGTATTATGATACTACATGAAGAAAATTTTTTGAGCAAATAATTTGCAAATACTGAGCTAAAGTTACCTGACTGTTTTACTTAGGACTTTAGTGTGCTAATTTTTGTGACTGTCCAAGACATAAATATTATATCCTGTTTCCCAAATAGTTGACTATCACAACTTTTTTCTCAAATAGCATCTATTAACATTTCATGGGTTTCTAGTGTTCCATGGAATTTAATTTGGGAAATGCTAATCAGAGTTATCTCCCCCTTATTTATTAAGAATGTTACCATCCCAAACAGTTCCATCTGTAAATATCTCCAGAAAAGATCCTTCATCCTGTGTCTGTAATAGTAATCACTGTCGTTCATCTTCATATGTTTCCTATTTATGCCCCAGGAGTAAGAAAATAAATATAGGATGCCAAAGCACAGGATAAATACAAGAAACAGGTATTTTTTCTGCCTCAGGGAGATGTAGCATCCTTTAAGGAACATTTTCTCCATTATATACAAGAAGCCAGAGTTGTTTTGAAGATGTCCCAGGTATCACTGAAATTAATATTTATATAAACAAAACCTACCACTTTAGCACAATATGAGAACATTTACTCTTCAAATCAGCATCTTTGTTTCTCTAGTTTAGTGTTCCTTTGATAGTACATTTGAATTAGGATTTGAATATTGAACAACAACAAAAAAGTTTCCTAAGTAACCATTTTCTGACCTACTGTTCCAGAGTACTCAAGCCTGTGCTTCTTATTAAGTCAGGTAACCGTAGCTTTCTAATGCATTATTTAAGGTTATGAAAATTTAATTCACATTCCTCTATCAGCTTTCATTGACTTCAAGAATGTAGGTTAGTTGGATTTTTTTATATTCTCTGTGTGTGGTATCATTGTCAGAAATGTCAGTTTCTGAATTACTGTTTATTAATTAAATGATAAATCTAGGCATCTCTTTGATGTAAAATCCAAAACTAGTATGATATAGAGGAATTTTTTAGTGAAAGCTTTTTTTTTAGACAGCTTCAAAATGATTCATAGGACCCATTGTTATTCACTCCTATTAGCAATATTCAGAGCCAACTGGCAAATTTCCATTTCTTCAGGATTCTCACTTACATTAAATGTAGTTTCAAAGTAGACCAGTTGAGGCAAGCAGAGTTTAAATGACACAGCTGCATTGCCCTCTTTGCTTGTTACTTTTTGCTGAAATTACATTTGCTGATATCTCTTGTGGCAATACGTTAGTGAATCAGACTTTGAATGCATCTTATTTATGGATAGTTATCAAAATTAATTATAACTTTGTCAACATTAGTTGATCCTTGCGTGAAATTAGTTGATCCTGCTGTGAAATTCACTCATACTTCAGAAATTCGAACATATTTTCATATGCTTGCAGGCTGCGTGTTTTTGTTTTTTAAAGTTATGTAAAAAGAAAAACCTTAGACAAATTTAACAGTTTAATTTAGCAAAGAACAATTTGTGAATTGGGCACTCCTCAGAATTACAGCAGATTCTGAGAGACTCCTGTCCTACCTCATGGTCAAAGGAGATTTATGGACAGAAAACAGAAGTGAGGTACAGAAACAGCTGTATTGGTTATCAGCCTTTGCCTAAATGCAATTTAAACAGTTTTGGGCCTGTGATTGGCCAAAACTGCATGATTGGCACAAGAGTAGGTTACCGTCTATTTACACATCCAATTAGGTTACAGTTCACCATGTAGGGAGAAAACTTTTGGCCAAACCTATCTAAGGAGACAGCTTTAGGCTAAACTTAATTTAACAGTTATATTCTTGTAAGTTATATTTTGTAAATATTGTAACCCTCATTATAAATATATATAATTTCTCTTGTAAAGTCATATTCATACTTCAAATCTTAACTTTTTTAAATGTGAAGCCATTCCTGAATGGCTATATTATTATGTAGCTGAATTAGCTACATACGTCTTTGTAGCTTTAATCATATTATCCTATTTAGTTATCTGGAGAAATCTCATCAACAGCTTGTAGAGAGAGAAATTTTAAGTCTAATAGTTCAGCTGTGTATACTGTGTTTGTTTCTTGGGGTTGCCTGTAACAAATTACCATGAACCACATCTTAAAACAAAAGAAATTTATTCGCTCACAGTTTTGAAGGCCAGAAGTCCAAAATCAAGATGTCAGCAGGGCTACGCTCTCTTTGAAAGCTCTAGGGGAGAATCCTTCCTTTCCTCTTCCAGCTTCTGGTGGTACCAAGTGGTCTTGGCTTCTGGCAGCGTGACTCCAGTCTCTGCCTCCATCTTCACATGGCCTCCTTTCCTGCATCTCTTTGTCTTCCCCCTATCTGTCTCTAACAAGGAATTAGATTGAGGACCCACCCTAATTCAGGATGCTCTCAAGATCCTTACTTTAGTTACATCTGCAAAGACCCTATTTCCAAATAAAATCACATTTTGGGGCTCTAGGTAAACATGTTTTGTGAGTTATCAGTCAACCAACTACGTCTATTGAATATATCACCCATATTTCTATACAGTCTTCTATTCCATTTGGCCAACAGGTATGTGCACAGGTGAATGCATGTTCTTTCTGGAAGAGGAGAGGCCTTTTTTTTTTTTTTTTTTTTTTTTTTTCAAGCTGTTGAGCACATGCTGTCCCTTGCTTGACTTTATGGACGTTAGGCCTTATACATTGACCTTGTCATTCCCATAAATATTAAACTCCTCCTAGAAAGTCACCCCGGACGTTTTGAATGGAGCATATTAAATATGCATGGTCTTTTATGCCAGGCTTTTCCAACACTCTTATTTTTTTACTATCTTTTTATTGTTTCAGGTAGTCAGATTGTACATAGTATATGCTAAGTTCCTTTGCTTATATAGTTGACAGATCACTATAAACTTGTTCTTTATGCATACAACCCCTGAAATTTGGTCTTATCCAAAGATCGAGAGCATAGTGGGGTACAAAGATCATTGAACTTGTGGACAAAAGAATCAGGTTGACATATTCATTGTGTGACCTTAGATAAATCACACTCCCTGAACTTCTGTTTTCTCGCAACTAAAATAAATAATCTTACCTCACAGAGTTTTGGTGAGGTATGAAGTGTTTAGGAGATTATTTTACAAAGTTTAAAGCATTATATAAATTAAGCAGTGCTGTATTAACATCCTGCATGAAGGGATGCTTTTTGTATTTATATCATTCAAATATAGAGTGTTTGTTAGTGACATGGAAAGAAGTCAATTAGGGAAATGTTTTAAAAGGACAAGACATAGTTGTGTATTCTTTGAGCTTATAGTCTAATTGGAGAAGAGTAACTAGTACCAATAACTAGGTTAAGCTCTGAGGAATGGATGGAGAACATGTTTGTTTGAAAGAAGTAATTATGGTTGCCCTCATGGAAGAAGTGAGAGAGACCAGAGGACCAGGAAAGACTAACAGGCAGGTAGATGAATACAGAGTAGCGTAGTCTAGAGTAGCAGCTTGCATACAACACTGCAAAGAAGAGTCAGATGCCATACAAGGACATTTCAGAAACTCTTCTTAAAGCTGCAGACTCCAAAGAGAAGCAGTGGTAGATAAAATGGAACAAAATACTGCATCTCATAACCAACTTATAAGAAACTGTCCAATCTGCTAAGCCCTTATTTATATGGCCATGTGGGTCTTTGTTCTCCATGAGGCCAAGTGGTCTTCAAAAGCATTTAGTAGAATCTCTCTAGTAATTGTCACACAGACAGTTTTCCCTAGAAAAAAATGACACCTTTGATATTCTCGAGCTCTGAGTCTCAGCAAGCATTTATTAAGCACTAATTATGTGCTAGGCCCTAAAGCCACCAAAAAGAACAAGACAAGTTCCTGTCTTGAAGGAGCCAATGTCTAGTAGAGGAAAGTAACACAGAAGTGCCGTGAAAGAGTCAACACTGAAGCAGCAAGTTAATTTATCCCAGATTTCTGTATTATTAACCTGTCTAGGCAGTTAGGGTAGGCTTCACAAAGAGATAATTCCTAGGCAGAGGTCTTTGCCAGGTGGCCAAGGATGGGTATGCCTTCTTGATAGAATGAGGTGCTTGAGGAAGGGCTTGGGATGCCCTACACCTGCTTTTTACTAAAACCTAAAATAGAGCAATGGAGTAGGAGACAAGGCTAGAGAAGGGAGCAAGGACTGCATTATAAAGGACCTTGTGGGCCATGCGAAAGAACTTGGAGTTTCTCCTACATGATGAGGAGAGTGCTTTAAGTGGGTGAGTAATATGAATCAGATTTGCTGTATAGAAACAGCCTGTGGCTGGCTGGGCGCAGTGGCTCACGCCTGTAATCTCAGCACTCTGGGAGGCCAAGGTGGGTGTATCACCTGAAGTCAGGAATTTGAGACCAGCCTGGCCAACATGGTGAAACCTCATCTCTACTAGAAACAGCCTGTGGCCGTACTAATGTGAGAATGGATATAGGGGCAGGGCAGGATAGTTAGGAGACTTGTTAATTGGACATGTTCCTTATGTAGTCCAAACTGGATGCCCAGCTAAAAATCAGCTATGATTTTCTTTATGTTAAAGGAAAAAGCCCAAAATGAAAGTATATCTCATGCAAGTCTCCCAGATTGGCCCCACTACTTTAATCTCTTGCAGCTTCTCGACCAGAGAACAGAGATAACTGAGGATTTTATTTTTCTCCCTTACTTATAACCACTTGTGAAGTGTGAGTTCCACACTAGAAGAATCATCTAAGAGTCACAGATCAAGTAATTAAACCTCTTTGTTGAGTGCACACTTGACTTTGTGTGGAAATCTGCACTTTTAAATTTGCTTTATTTTCTAAATGAGAGTACATTTTTCAGAGTCATGCTTTTCTTATTTCTAAGGAATTTACAGCTCATAGCTTTTCCATAATTAAAATTGGCCATATATTAATACTCCTGCAATTCTGTATTTTTGTTTTGATCCATGCCTATTTTTACCAGATATTCCTAATTAAGCTCTGGATTTTATACAAAATTTACAAGAATTTTTAAACAAGACCTCACCTCATTTAGGATTTGGGATAGAGGAGTGATTGTGTCTTTAAAATCGTGTGTTTGTGACCAGGCATGGTGGCTGACACCTGTAATCCCAGCACTTTGGGAGGCGAAGGTGGGCAGATCACGAGGTCAGGAGTTCAAGACCAGCCTGGTCAACATAGTGAAACCCCGTCTCTATTAAAAACACAAAAAATTAGCTGGGCGTGGTGGCAGGCACCTATAATCCCAGCTACTCAGGAGGCTGAGGCAGGAGAATCACTTGAACCCGGGAGGCGGAGGTTGCAGTGAGCTGAGATCGCGCCATTGCACTCCAGCCTGGCAACAATGTGAGACTCCGTCTCAAAAAAAAAAAAAAAAATTGTGTCTTTGTGTATGATGTGTGTGTGTAAAATTTTTTTAAAAAGAAACTCTTAAAATGTCAGTGTGTTAATTGGAGTGAAGTTTAGTGTGATAAACCAGAAAGGGGAAATGCTGGTTTGTCACTATAATTTTTCTCTTATTGAAAACTTACATTCATATCTACTGCAAATCCTTTGTTCTGTGCAACTGATAAATCCAAGGTCACCCTTATCAAAATTTTGGAGATACTTAGTCTTCCACTGGAGTGCTTTTTCATGATAAACTGCATGTTTTATGAGTAGCTCCATTATCTCTGAAGTCTCTGATGAATGCCATCTGGTCCAAATGCTGGGTTGCAATTTTTCAGGTTGTTTTTTGGCTCCTTCCATCTCCCCATCCTCCCTTTTTTTTTTTGGATAACTTTTTATTATATAGATACTCCATTGCCTATGAGTGTTTTTACTGACATTCTTTAAATTTTCTTTAACATGAATGATGTCTCCCTTTTATTTCTTAAAACCAGAGAGGATACCAGCATAGCACTATTTTACATCAAGTACTGTTATCAACACAACCACGGAACTTTGTTAATTCAGAGTATTTCCACTGATCAGTTTACAGTTTATGTATTCTTTCTGACTAGCAAGTATATTAACTTGAAATAGGTCATTTTGAGTGACAAATCTAGCCTGTTATTTCAGAAACAGACAAAATAGTATTTTCTACTTCATGAGGAAAGAAGTATCTATTTAAATTTTTTTGTTTTCTCCAATTACCTCCCTTGGCGAAAACAGCAACAGTATTGGGAACTGCCCCTAAAATAAATAAATACATATATATATATATATATATATATATATATATATATATATATTCCCTTAACTGAAAGTTATCTCAAAGCCCTTCTCTCATAAGTGTCATATGTGAAAGACTGGACAGATGATTTTAAAAGTAGATAATGAGATCTAAGGAATTAAAACAGGGGTTGGGAGTCAATCTAATTGGGATTAGAGTTTCAGGGGAAGACAAACAGAAAGTGAATTGCAAGGAAAAGAAGCAAGGTACCAACTAGACAACCGAAGAAACCCTGTGGAATGGACAAGATCTGTCTATTTGAAGAATTCTAATAAAGTAGTATGGCTGAGATCACTTGCAGATTAACACTTCATGTGGTTTATGTCCTCTCCAGTACCTGTTCTGAGTTGATGGTATACCTACTTTGAACTAATTTGAAAGCTAGATTACAAATGAAGTACTAAGAATTGAGGCCACTTCTCTGAGGTTACTAGAAGTGCAAGCATATGTCTATACCCAAACAATAACACACATTACAGTTGATGATAATCTAGGCATTGAAAGGTATTATAGCAAGGATTGAAACGGTCTGCTCCCTGGGATGCACTTTCCTCAAGATCCCCTTGAGTTGTATATCTGGATGGCAATTTAATATCAGTTTTGTGTTAGCGCAGTTGTGTATCAAATGTTTTTTGCAGTGTCTAAGTCAAAAATATGGTGGTGCACGTCCTATCCCATTGACCTCACTTCACTATGCTGAAGTTTTATCTATGGTCAGTGGAGTACTTTGTACTCTTCAGAGTGATGGCCAGTAATTCCAAAAGCCTAAGGTTTTCTGAATGATCTACTCTCATTATCTCTGCATATTTTGAAAAAGTTTATATTTATTATCTTCTGACCTATCTAACCCTAATTCATATATTCTCTCTGCCTAAAATCATCTCTTCCCTGCCTGCCTACCTCACCAACTCCTGCTCATTCCTTAAGATTTCATTTAGATTTCACCTTCAACTTTTCTGTGAAATGTTCTTGCTGACTACTTTCCTCCACCCAAAAGGTAAACTTCTATCCAGAATTTTCTTGTTTTATCTTGTTAATGCTTCGTTTTCATTATCAGTTTCTGATTTCAGCTCAGAAATAGGGATTTCACAATCCTATCGGGATTGTGATTGTGATGCACTTTGCTCTTGTATTTTACATTCAGATGCCCAGTAAATGTCAGTGTTACTTCTTTGGCACTTGGATGAGATTAGACATGTGCCTGCTATGTGTCCAGTGCAGAAGCTAAGTCACCTCTGGTTCCGTCTTATTCTTCTGTGCCTGTTAACCATTGCAAGATACTGTCCTTGCAGGGCCAGTGCTACATTGGCTTTCCTCCACAGTCCTACCTACACTGTTAGCAAGTCATATTTTTTGGAGCATCATTCCATGCTTGATCTCATTTTATCATCTCAACTACTTTTAGCATATAAGTGAATTAGAAAGCAAAAGCCAGAGGTCATACAACTAGTTTCTACCAGCAGCACTGTCATGGGAACTCCTAGATCTATTTACTCTTAGCATGTCATCATTATGCAATGATATTACTCCCTTACCAGCAATATTGGCAGTGCTCTTTTTTCAAAGCAGAGGCACTTAAAATGGTTAGAATAGTTGGTTTTGGTTTTCAAATTGACTACAGGGTTATTATATTTTGTTGAACAGTTTTCTGCACAGAATATTCTGAGACTTCACCTCTAAATATTAAATCACAGGTTCCAATATTCTCATTTGAAAATTGAGAACCTAATTGAAAATTGAGAACAACTTGTTATTAATACACCTTTTCTAGTTGTATTCTTTTCAAAATTTTTTGGAATTTTTGGTAATAGGTCTAATATGAAAGTGTAAATTAAAGTTCTTATTGCTTTTCTGGCTACTTTTTTTTTTCAGTTATGCTAACTGCTCTCTTGCCTTCCTCTATTCAGTTACTTAGGTAATTTTACTATAAGGTTTTTTTAGAATCACCTCAGTGGTAGTTTGAAATATTTAATATCTTTCAAAATCTGCCTGCTGATTAAAATTTTTTTTCTACTTTACCATGCTTTATTTAGCCAGTTCATTATTAATAGGCATTCACATTATTGCACTTCCTTTTGAAGTTTGAAAAAATGCTGCAGTAACCATCCTTGTATTTCTTAAAAGTAGAATTTCTGGGTTAAATTATATGTGCCTTTTAAATATTGACAAATGTTTTCTGTCTTTGTCCATTTATGCTACTCTAGCAAAATGCCACAAACTGCGTGGCTTGTAAACAACAAGAATTTATTTCTCATGGTTCTGGGGGTTGGTAAGTCCAAGATCAAGGTATCAACAAATTTGATGTCTGATGAGGGCATAGTTCATTCTAGCTGTGTCTTTACATGGCAGAAGGGACAAGGCAGCTCTATGGGGACTCTTTTTAAAGAGCACTGTCACATTCATGAAAGCTCCATCCTCATGACCTAAATACCTCCCAAAGGTCCTACATCCTACTATCAGCACATTGGTGATTATGTTTCTACATATGAATTTTAAGGGGACCATTCAGACCATAGCAGTTGCCAAATTTTCATTATTCGTAACAGTACTAATTTACACTGCAAGCAATTTGTAGAGATGCCTATCCTTGAGAATGCAGCATATTACCAAAGTTTTTGATGTATGTCTGTCCAGTGGTAGAAAAATGATATCCTACATGACTATTATTTATATTATAAAATTCAAATTATTATATTTTTATTTGTATTTATTTTACATAGTATATATTTGCATCTTAATATCCACTTATATCTAATTTTCATGTTTGTTGTAAGGAAAGCTGAGCATCTTATATATAAGAGCCATTTGTATTTTCATTTTTATAACCAGTTTGTCCATGTCCTTTGCCCATTTTCTATTAAGTTGTAAACATTGATTTGAAGGAGTCTTATATAGTAAGGAAATAATTTATTCTGTTTGTTGTTTGTTAATTATTGTTTGACATTGTTATTAACAGCCATCTATTTTTTGCCTGCAGAAATTTATTTTATTCTTTTTGCAAAACTGATCAATCTTTTGTGTACTACTGTGTTTTACATCATAGTTAGAAAAAAAACAATTTCGCTCCAATATTATTTTTAAATTTTTCATTATTTTAATGTATTTTTATATTTTTATATTTTGTTGAGGTCTTCAGTCTGCCTGAAATTTATTTTGTGGTAAATGGTGGAATAAGGAAGTTTTTGGGTGGACATGTTTTCACTTCTCTTGGATATATACCTAGGAGTAGAATTCCTATGGTCATATAGTAACTATGATTGACATTTTGAACTGTCAAACTGTTATAAAACAGCTGTACCAGTTTACATTTCCACCAGCAGTGTCTGAGGCTCTAATTCTCCACATCTTCACCAACACTTGTTATTAGTTTTTTTACTATAGCCACCCAAGTGAGTATGAAGTAGTATCTTATTATAGTATTGAATTGCATTTCTCTAGTAACTAATGATATTAAGCATCTTTTCATGTTCTTATTGACTCTTTGTATAACTTTTGGGGAAAATGTCTATTTAAATCCTGTACCCATTTTTGAATTGGGTTATTTATCTTTTTTATTATTTGTAAGAGTTCTTTATACATTCTGGATACAAGTCCTGTATCAGTTCTATGATTTTCAGATATTTTCTCCCATTCTGTGGGCTGTCTTTCCATGTTCTTGATGGTGTCCTTTGAAGTACAAAAGGTTTTTTTGTTGTTGTTCTTAATTTTAATTATATCAAATGTGTCTATTTTTTTTTCCTTTAATCACTTGTATTCTTCATTTCCTAACCAAAAAAGCTCTGCCTAATCCAAGGTCATTAATATTGACCCCTGTTTTTGTCCCAAGAGTTTTATAGTTTTGCTCTTACATGTAGGTTTGTGATCAGTTTTGAGTTAATTTTTGTGTAGGGTTTAAGAAAGTAATCCAGCTTTTTTATTTTGCATATGGATATCCAGTTTCAGCACCATTTGTTGAAAAAGCTACTGTATCAATAGACCATATATGTGGGGTTTACATCTGGACTCTGAATTCTCTACCATTGATCTATATTGGTCTTTTCTGATGCTAGTACCACACTATCTTAATTACTGTAGCGTTTTAGTAAGTTTGGAAATCAGGTAAGTGTGAGAGCTTTAACTTTGTTCTCCTTTTTCAAGATATCTTTGACATAACCTGCTGATTTTTCCAAAATCAGAGCACATCAAAAGAAATACAAATAGCACCAGTAACCCTTTGTTTTAGCATATATGTAATGTAAATAGTCTCTTGAAATTTATTCTTAGTGGATTATTTTTCAGGTACTATCCCTTGATTACATTAGACCTAGGTACTACTCTGGTCAGGTAGAGTCTGAACATTCATGGGCTTTAGTTTTTTTCTTGTATTTAGAGGTTGAATCAATTAGATACCCTAAGTCCCTAATATAGCTTCTAAAAATTTGAGTCAATAATCCCTCCTTTCATCTTATTATAGTTGAACATGTAAGTGTAGGAGAGAAAAAATGTCCTCATTAGTTAGTATTAATGAAACACCCATGTTGTACAATTCACAGTAAGTTTTAAAATGGAAAACTAGAATGATTGTGAGTGCTATGGCAAATGGCTTGAATTTTGGTGACTCATAAAATTCTACGAGTCCTCATTCACTATTTACTTTCCATATTAGAAAGTAAACACAATCTCATCTTTTAAATTACAACCCAAAAGGCAATTTTAGAAATATTTATGTTGTAAAGTGAGGGACTTCGACACACCACTGACAACACTAGACAGATCATCCAGACAGAAAATCAACAAAAAAACACTGGGCTTAAATTGGACTTTAGACCAAATGGACCTAGGAGACATTTACAGAGCTTTCAACCTCAAAAACCACAAAATATACATTATTCTCATCAGAGTATAGAACATTCTTCAAGGTAGACCATATATTAGGCTACAAAAGAAGTCTCAGTAAATTTTTGAAAATCAAGATCACATCAAGTATCCTCTTTGAGCACAGTGGAATAAAACCAGAAATCAATTCCAAAAGGAATTCTCAAAACTACACAAATATATGGGAATTAAACAGCCTGTTCCTGAATGATCAGTATGACAAAATTAAGATGGAAATTTAAAAAAATTTTGAAACAAATGAAAATGAAGACACAACATACCAAAACCTCTGGGACAGAGCAAAAGCAGCGCTAAGAAGAAAGTTTATAGCATTAAATGCCTACATCAAAAGAATAGATCACAAATTAATAACCTAATGTTGCACTTAAAGGAACCACAAAAACAAGAATAAACTGAACCCAAAGCTAGCAGAAGAAAAGAAGTAACAAGTCAGTACAGAACTAAAATAAATTGAAACAAACAAAAAAAATCAATGAAACAAAAAGTTCTGTTAAAAAAAGATAAAGAAAATTCATAGACTGCTCAATAGGCTAACCAAGAAGAGAGAAATTCAAATAAACAATCAGAAATGAAACAGGAGAAATTACAGCTGATACCACAGAAATACAAAAGATCATCAGAGACTAAACAACACTATGCTCACAAACTAGAAAACCTAGAGGAAATGGATACATTTCTAAAAACATACAACCTCCCAAGATTGAACCAGGAAGAAATAGAAATCCAGAACAGTAATAAAAATCTCCCAAAAGCAACAAAAAAAGCCCAGGACCATATGGTTTCCAGCTAAATTCCACCAGATATACAAAGAAGAACTGGTACCTGGCTTACCAAAACTGTTACAAAAAGACAAGGAGGAGGGAATCCTCCCTAACGTATTCTGCAAAGCCAGTAACACCCTGATGTCAAAACCAGGCAAGGACACAACAAAAAAAGAAAACTATAGACCAATATCTTTGATGAAGATAGATGCAGAAATCTTCAACAAAATACTATGAAACAGAATCCAACAGCACATGAAAAATAAATAAATTAACACCACCTGCAGAGGAGGCTGAGGAAGATGGATGAATAGACCCCTCCAGCAATCATCCCCACCTATACAAACACCAAATTGAACAACTATCCACACAAGAAAGCACCTTCATAAGAACCAGAAGTTAGGTGAGCAAATCACAGTACCTGGTTTTAACATCACATCAACGAAAAAGGCACTGAATAGAATAGGAAAGACAGTCTTGAATTGTCTAATCTGTCTCTCCCCATCTCTCAGCAGTGGCAGCTTAGCGCAGAGAGTGCTTAGGGGAGGGAGAGCGCAGTAATTGTGGGGCATTGCATTGGAGCTCTGTGCTGCCCTGTCACAGTGGAAAGCAACACAGGGCAGAATTCAGCCAGCACCCATGGAAGGAACATTTAGACCAGCCCTATAGCTAGGGGGAACCATCCATTCCAGCCTTTGGAACCTGAGTTCCAGCTAGCCCCACCAGCAAGGCTACAGTGCTTTGAGGTCCTAAAGAAATCAGAAAGGCAGTCTAGGCCACAAGTAGTGTGATTCCTGGACAAATCCTTGTGCTGTGCTGGGCTTGGAGCCAGTGGACTTGAGGTACATGTGACCCACTGAGACACCACCTGTGGTGGCCAGGGAGGTGTTCGCGTCACCCCACCCCAACCCTATGCATCACAGTTTGCAGCTCCCGCAGAGACTCCATCCTTGGTCTGAGGAGAGAAGAATGGGAGAGTGAAGAAGACTTTGTTTTGCAATTTGGATACAGCTCAGCCACAGTAAAATAAAGCACCATGCTGAGTCCTAAAGCCCCCATTCCAGGCCCTGGCTCCTGGATGATATTTTTTACTTAATTTTTTTTTTATTTCAATAGATTTTTAGAGAGCGGGTGGTGTTAGGTTACATGAATAAGTTATTTAGTGGTGGTTTCTGAGATTTTGGCGCGTACCGCCCTGAACGTGCCCGACCTCATCCGGATGACATTTTTAGACACATCCTGGACCAGAAGGGTACCCACTGCCTGAAGGAAACAACCCAGTCTAAGCAGGATTCATCACCTAATGACTAAAGAACCCTGGAGCCTTGAATAAACATCAGCAATAGCCAGGCACTACTCACCAATGAACCTTGGATGAGACCCAGTACTGTGCTGGCATCAGGTGTGACCCAGCACATTCCCAGCTATGGTGTCCACAGAGAAAGACTCCTTCTTGAGGAAAGGAGAGGGAAGAGTAAAAAGACTTTCTCTTGCAACTTGGGTACCAGCTCAGCCACAGGAAAAGAAAGCACCAGTAGATTCCTAAAGTTTCCAGTTCTAAGCCCTAGCTCCTGGACAGTATTTCTAGACCCACCCTTGGCCAGAAGAAAACCCCCTCGCCCTGAAGGGAAGGACACACGTCTAGCTGGATTTATTACTGCTGACTAAGGAGCCCTAGGGCTCAGTGGTAGCCAGGCAATAGTTGCCACAGGCCTCTGGTGAGACCCAGTACTGCTCCGGCTTCAGGTCTGACTCAGCACAGTCCCAGTGGTGGTGACCACAGGAGTGTTTGTGACCCCTTTCCCCCCAATTCCAGACAGCTCAGCATGGAGAGAGAGATTCTGTTTGTTTGAGGAAAGGTAAGGAAAGAGAACAAGAGACTCTGCCTGTTAATCCAGAGAATTCTGGATTAGGCAAACAAAAGCCAAGAGATTTTTGTCAACACCAGACCTGTCCTACAAGACATGCTAAAGGGAGTTATTCAGTCTGAAAGAAAAGGATGTTAATGAACTATAAGAAATCATCTGAAGATGCAAAACTCATTGGTAATAGTAAGTACACAGACAAGTACAGAATAGTATAAAACCATAATCATGGTATGTAAACTACTCATATTTTGAGTATTTTGAGTAGAGGGACTAAAAGATGAACCAATCAAAAATAAGTACTACAACCACTTTTAAGACATAGACAGACAGTATAATAAGATCTAAATAGAAACAGCAAAATGTTTAAAAATGGGAAGAGTTTTATTGGTTTACAGTGTAGAGTTTTATTGGTTTTCTCTTTGCTTCTTTGTTAGTGTGTTTATACAACCACAGTGTTAGCTTATCAGTTTAAAATAATGGGTTAGAAGACGTTATTTGCAAGCCTCATGATAATCTCAAATCAAAAAGCCTACAACAGATAAAAATTGAAATGCCAGAAATTAAAATGTACCACCAGGGAAAATCACCTTTATGAACACGAAGACTAGAAGAAAGGAAAGAAGGAAGGGAAGACTACAAAACAATCAGAAAACAAATAATAAAATGACGGGATATCAAAGAGATTTCTGTACTCCAGTGTTACATCAAGTTAAAAAAGCTTTTACACAGCAAAGGGGTGGTTAATGGATACAAAAATATAGTAAGATTGAATAAGATGTAGTATTTGATAGCACAACTGAGTGATACAGTCAACAATAATTGTACATTTTAAAATAACTAAAAGATATAATTGGATTGTTTGTAACACAAAGAAAAGATAAATGCTTGAGGTGTTGGATATCCCATTTGCCCTGATGTCACCATTACACATTGCATGCCTGTATCAAAGTATGTACCCCAAAAATATATACACATACTATGTACCCACAAAAAAATTTTTAAGAAAACAAAAACAAATGCTACTGAGCTATGATAACCAAAACAGTATGGTACTGGCATAAAAACAGAATGAAACAGAATAGAGAACCCATAAATAGAATGGAACAGAATAGAGAATCCAGAAATAAATCCATACATTTACAGTGAACTCATTTTTGACAAAGATGCCAAAAACATACATTGTAGAAAGGACAGTTTCTTCAACAAATGATTCTGGGAAAACGATATCCATATGCAGAAGCATGAAACTAGACCCTTGTCTCTTACCATATATAAAAATCAAATCAAAATGGATTAAAGACTTAAATCTAAGACCTCAAACTGTAAACCTTCTAGAAGAAAACATTGGGGAAACTCTCTAGAGCATTGGTCTGGGCAAAGATTTTTTTAGTATATCCCAAAAGCTCAGGCAACCAAAGCAAAAATGGACAGATGGGATCATATCAAATTAAAAACCTTCTGTACAGTGAAGGAAACAATCAACAAAGTCAGGAGAAAACCCACAGTATCGGAGAACGTATTTGCAAACTATCGTCTGAAAAGGGATTTACGACCAGAATATACAAGGAGTTCAAACAACTCTATTGGAAAAAAAAAAATCTAATAATCTCATTTAAAAAATGAGCAAAAGACCTAAGGAGACATTTCTCAAAAGAAGACAAACAAATGCTGAACCAGGTATATGAAAAGGTACTCAACATAACTGATCATCAGAGAAGTGCAAATCAAAACTACAATAAGATATTATCTCACCTCAGTTAAAATGGCTTTCATGCAAAAGACAAGCAATAACAAATCCTGGCAAGGATGTGGAGAAAGGGGAGCTCTCGTACACTGTGGGAACATAAATTAGTGCAACCACTATGGAAAACAGTTTGGAGGTTGCTCAAAAAACTAAAAATGTGCAATCCAGCAATCCTGCTCCTAGGTGTATACCCAAAATAAAGGAAATCAGTATATCAAAGAGATAATCTGCACTTCCATGTTTGTTGCAGCACTGTTGACAATAGCCAAGATTTGGAAGCAACCTAAGTAAGTGTCCATCAACAGATGAATAGCTAGAGAAAGTGTGATACATATACACAATGGAGTACTATTCAGCCATAAAAAGAATGAGATCCTGTCATTTGCAACAACATGGATGGAATTGGAGGACATTTTGTTAAGTGAAATAAGCTAGCACAGAAAGACAAACCACATGTTCTCACTCATTTGTGGAAGCTAAAAATTAAAACAAGCAAACTCATGAAGATAGAGAATAGAATGATGGTTACCAGAGGCTGGGAAGGGTAGTGGTGGCGGAGAGGTGAGGATAGTTAAAGAGTACAAAAATATAGTCAGATAGAGTGAATAAGATCTAGTGTTTAATAGCACAGCAGGTTGACTACAGTCAACAGAAACCTATTGTACATTTAAAAAATAAATAGTATAATTGGAATATTTGTAATGGAAATGATAAATACTTGAGGTGAATGGATATCCCATTTCCTCTAATGTGGTTCTTATGCACCATATGCCTGTGTCAAAATATCTTATGTACCCCATAAATAAACACATATACTGTTTACCCATAAAAATTTAAAATTTAAAAAAAGATAATCTCAATAGGTGCTGAAAGAGTATACAGTACAATTCAGCATCCTTCATGATAAAAGCTCTCAACAAACTAGGCATAGAAGAAACATGCTTCAAAATAATAAATGCAGTAAATGACAAACCCACAGCCAGTGTTACATCGAACAGGAAAAAATTGACAGCATTCCCCCTAAGAAATGGAACAAGTATCCCCACTTTCACCATTGGAAAAGAGGAAGCTAAATTATTTCTGCTTGCTTGCGATAGGTGCTAAAGATGCCTAGATTTTATAAATGAATTCAGTACAGTTGCAGGATGTTAAGTAACGTACAAAAATTAGTAGCATTTCTATACATCAATAACAGTCAAGCTGAGAACCAAATCAAGAAGTCAATCCCATTTATAATAGCTACCAAAAAAAAAAAAAAAACAAAATAAAATAAAATACCTAGGAATACATTTAACCAAGGAGGTGAAAGATCTCTACAAGGAAAACTATGAAACACTGATGAAAGAAATTGTAGATGACACAAATGAATGGAAAAACATCCCATGCTCATGAATTAAAAGAATCCATATCATTAAATTGACCATACTGCACAAGGCAATCTACAGATTCAGTGCAATTCCTATCAAAATATCAATGTCATTTTTCACAAAATTATAAAAAAAGATTTAAAAATTCACATGGAACCACAAAAGAGCCTGAATAGCCAAAGCAATCCTAAGCAAAAAGGACAAAGCTGGAAATATCACATTACCTAACTTCAAATTATAATGCAAGGCTACTAAGCAGTAACCAAAAAAGAATGGTACTGGTATAAAAATAGACACATAGATCAATAGAACAGAATAGAGAACCCAGAAATAAAGCCACATACCTACATTCAATTGATCTTTGACAAAGTTGACAAAAATATACACTACAAAAGGACACCCTATTCGATCTATGGTAACAATGCTGGGAAAATTATACAGCCATATCCAGAAGAGTGAAACTGGACCCATATCTATCACCATATGCAAAAATTAACTCAACATGGATTAAAGACTTAAATGTAAGAACCTGAAACTACAAAAATTCTAGAAGAAAACCTAGGAAAAAATCTTTTGGACATTGGTCTAGGCAAAGAATTCATGACTAAGACCTCAAAAGCAAATGCAACAAAAACAAAGATAGACAAGTTGAACTTAAATGAACTAAAAAGTTTCTGTATAGCAACAGAAAAAATTAACAGAATGAACAGACAACCTATGGAATAGGAGAAAATACTTGCAAACTGTGTATCTGACAAAGGACTAATACCAGAATCCACAAGGAACTCAAACAACTAAACAAGAAAAAAAAAAAACAACCCCATTAAAAAAGCAGACAAAGGACATAGACATTTTTCAAAAGAAGACATACAAATGGCCAAAAAGCATATGAAAAAAAAAATGTTCTCTAATCATCAGAGATGTGAAGATTAAAACCAAAACACAATACCATCTTACAAGAGTCAGGATGGCTATAGTTAAAAAGTCAAAAAATTACAGGTGTTGGTAAGAATGCAGAGAAAATGGGAATGTAAACTAGTACAACCATTATGGAAAACATTTGAACATTTGTCAAAGAATTAAAAATAGAACTCTCATTTTATACAGCAGTCCCACTACTGGATATTTACCCAAAGGAAAAGAAATAATGTATAAAGATACCTGCACTCATATGTTTATCGCAATGCTATTTATAATAGCAAAGCATTGGAATAAACCTACGCGTCCATCAATGGATGATTGGATAAAGAAAATATAGTGTTATATACCATGGAACACTACTCAGCCATAAAAAAGAATGCAATCATTTATTTTGCAACAACATGGATAGAACTGGAGGCCATTATCTTAACTGAAATAACTCAGAAACAGAAAGTCAAATACCACACGTTCTCACTTATAAGTGGGTGCTAAATAATGTATACTCATGGACACAGAGAGTGGAATAATGGACATTGGAGACTCAGGTGGGTGAGTGGGATGAGGAACTACCTAATGGGTACAATGTACACTATTCAGGTAATGTAACTAAAAGCTTCACTGCTGTGAGATATAGCCACATAACAAAACTACACTTGTACTCACTAAATATATTTTTTAAAGTAAGAAATATGTATACTGTAATAGTCTTTCTGTGCAAATAAGATGTACTTCCTATGACAGTGACCTATTAAGCCTAATGGAAATATATTTCTAAATATTTTACTCGTATTTCTGATAGTAAGCAGTTCTCCCTTCTAGGTTCTCTGCTTATGTGACCTATTGAGGTTTTAAGCACAATTTTTTGGTTATAATTTAAATCGCATATACTTATCTTCACTAAAGCAGACCCATTGACATTCTGCGTATCAGTGACTTTTACTTCTTTAAAATTAAAACAGAGAATTTAGTAGACATAAATTTAAATATACACAGAAATAAAAAGAGCAAAAAAAAGTTAGATGTATTTTCCCTAACCAGTTTTTCTTTTAAGTATCATATACATATATAGTTTTCTCTATTACCTCTTTCTTTTACAATACTTGAAGACTTCTGTTTATGTCACCTATTGCCTAATTTTATTAACTTAGATTAGAATTTATGATCATTTGATTTGTTGATGTGCAGTAACCTACACTTTCTGTTTGTAACCTTGATGTATGCATTAAACAAAATTTTTTATAATTTAGTAGTTTAAAGCCTCATAATATACAGTTATTTATATAATTAGGAAAAAATTCATCAAGTAATTATGAACGGTTTTCACAAATGAAATGTAATGTGTTCCACCCTTTGTTAACTAGGAAAAGTAGCACAAATCCTGTTTTTTTTCTACTTTGAATACCTAGTTTATTGGCACAGAAAAGATCAAATTATATATCTTTTGAATAAATGTTGGTTTACAGTGTCCAAAATATTTCTTCTCACATCTACTCTTCTTTTCTAGCCTTCCCTTCAGAAACTTCTTGTTCTTGGCTTTCTGATTTCTTACTGACTACTCTTCTCCTGGATATTTTGGCTCATGGACCTTCAAGTCATCATTTCTTCCTTTCAGTTATTCCTTTACCGCTACCTTAAGACAGTGACAGCAGTCAGCACGTACATTGTTTTGGGATCAATCCATAGATTCTGAGTGCTAGGGCAACTGGGTAAAGGTGACAGAGAATGCCAGTTGAAGCTGCAACCACCCTTCTCTCTTACCATGGCTCTATATTATTGTGACCTTTTAGATCCTCTTCTCATGTCTTTTCTAGGCCATTGCAAGGGAGAAGCTCCATTCCATGGTTGTTGTGGATACGTTCGTTTTCTATGCTATGTCATAGCATAGTGTCATAAACTATGTCATAAACACAAAGGTTTTGTGATCTAGCCTCACAATTCTGGAGGCTGGTAGTCTGAGATCAAGGTGTCAGCAGGATTGGTTTCTTCTCGACTGTGAGGGAGAATAAGTTCAATACCCCTCTCCTACCTTCTGGTGACTTTCCGGCAACCTTTGGCATTCCTTAATGTATTATCCCAACCTCTGCTGTCACCTTTACATGGTGTTCTCCTTTATGTGTGTGTCTCTGTGTCCAAATTTTTCCTTTTTGTAAGGATATCAGTCATATTGGATTATGACCTCCAATGGCCTCATTTTTACTTGATTACCTCTGTAGAGACCTTGTTTCCAAATAAGGTCATATTCTGAATACAGTGGGTTGGGACATCCTATCTTTTTACGGAGACACAATTCAGCACATATCACTGGATATCTTATAATAGCCAATGTCAGAGTATCCAAAACTGGGACACTCACCTTCTTCCTTTGATAAGCATGGTTCCACAACGTAAGGAAGGGAAAGTCTTCTGTTTTCCTTCTTTGCCCCTTACACTGTCACTAAAGAATGTCCAGGTAGTTCTCAAAAATATAATGGCCCAGGAACTACATTGGTATAAAAGGTAAGGCCGAGTACAGTGGCTCATACCTGTAATCTTACTATTTTGGGAGGCTGAGGTGGGAGGATTGCTTGAGCCCAGGAGTTTGAGACCAGCCCGGGCAACATGGCAACACCCCATCCCTACAAAAGATACAAAAAAAAATTAGCCAGGCATGATGGTACACACCTATAGTCCCAGCTACTCAGAAATAGAAAGCTGAGGTGGGACAATCATTTGAGCCTAGGAGGTCGAGGCTGCAGTGAGCCGTGATCATGCCACTGCACTCCAGCCTCGCGACAGAGCAAGACCCTATCTCAAAAACAAACAAACAAAACAAAACCCAACCAAGGTAAGTATATGGCAATATTTGTCCACAAAGAGCTTAATAGGAAATTTGATATTATAACTGAGTACTAAGGGGAGCAGTCCAAAAGTAAATGGAAGATGAGAAGAAAAGCCTTTGAGGACCTAAGAGAGCCAGTTCTAGAGGACCTAGGATTTGGACCTCATTTGAGATTGGATGATGCATAGTAAAGAAAGGCATTGCAAATGAGGAGGAAGCATGGTGAGTTTGGAGTCTGTGTGGAGCATCAGTTTGTATGGAAGACATAGCCAGTGAAGACACTGACTGGAGCAGATTTATGTGGAAGCAGGACTTTTCTGTCTTGTTCTCCTTGGTACCTTCAGTGTCCATCCAAATGCTTGGCATACAGTAAGCACTGAATAAATGCTGATTTAATGAATGACTATTAGAAAGGCAGAGCAAACTATTTTGGTTAGTGAGGAAAGAAAAAGAACATTTATCTTAGGAATGCAAGTCGTTTTAATTATTAGGCCCCAGAGAGACATTTAAATGAGACTGCAGTCATGCCCTGCTACCTGCTTTGAGTTATGTATTCATCTCTTGAAACTGCTTGCTCTTGCCACAAGTACCTACAAATTAACCTAATAATGCCACATTGCACACTGTAACCCATACCCTATAGTTTAGCAATGTATAACCAATCACTAATCAATGTTTTTGTATAAGCCAGTGAGAATTCCTGACAAACAACTTTGTATCAGTCCACTCCCTGTCCCCCTTTTTTGCCTTTAAAAATCCACTTGTAATTGCCGCTAAGTGGAGGGTATATTCAGGGCAACTTAAATCTGTGCTCCTGGGTTGCAGTCTTCAAGTTTGGCCCAAATGAGCTCTCTACTTGTATTCATTTTTGTCTCCGTTTCTTCCTTTTGGTCAACATTAGCTAGGGTAGATTAAAATAGGTGCAGAAAAGTTCAAACATGATGGAATACGGTGCAGCTATAAAATTTTGAGATAGCAGATTGACATGAGCAAATTGTATTAGGAAGATTAGTCTGAGAGTAACATAAAGGCAGGATGAATTCAAGCTTAGAGTGTTGGAATTCTCAGAAATGAATAATAAGCTAGAATGTTTTGGAAATAATATTGGTGTGAGGCAAAGAAGATGTGAAGTTGGAAATAGAAGACAGACAAATCTAAGAGATACATGTTGAATCATTGAGCACCTATCATGTTATATGACTAAATGTTTTTTTAATTTATTATAATTTAGAATTAGAGAGTCTTTGAGATTGTAACATAATAGGCATCCAGGCACGGATGCTCATGCCTGTAATCCCACCACTTTGGGAAGTGGAGGTGGGTGGATCACCTGAGGTCAGGAGTTCGAGACCAGCCTGGCCAATGTGGTGAGACCCTGTCTCTACTAAAAATACAAAAATTAGCCAGGCATGGTTGCGGGCGCCTGTAATCTCAGCTACTTGGGGGGCTGAGGCAGGAGAGTCACTTGAACCCAGGAGGCAGAGATCACAGTGAGCCAAGACCATGCCATTGCACTCTAGCCTGGGCAACAAGATGAAACTCCATCTCAAAAAAAAAAAAAGACTTTATGAGACCTTGGATTTTAAAAGCCTCAAATTAGGCCTTATACTTTTTGGGTACTCAATAGGTGTCAGTGGACAAATACAGAAGAAGGTAAATGATGTAGAAGTTTAATTTCCACCTTGGAGAGTTGGGTAATGATTTATCTTTTGTGAAAAGTGTGAAATCAAGAATCTGTGTTTCTGGTTGTCAGGGACATAAGAAAATTTAATGTATTTCCAAGATGACTGCAGTACATGCAGGTAGTCTTAGGATATGCCTGTTGATCATGACTGCAGATAGAGACTGGCTCATCTGGGAGAGTGGATGTGGCTCTGAATAGGGGGTGGGGGTTGAGGGGGGCAGTTCTTATATTTGGTTGGTTTTATTTTTTTTTTTTCATAAAGAGAACAGCATTAAAATCTCAGGAAGCTCAATTAAGGGTCAGAAGAATGAACAAGTGCTAAAACAAAGGGGGAAAAACAGAATCATAAAACAACTAAAATAGAGATTTAAACAGAGCTTTAATTTTTCCAATTATAATAATGCATTTATAATAACACATCAATAAATGAAATTATGTAACACTAGAAAGTATAAAGGAAAAGGGAAGAAAATTACTCTATAAATCTACCACCAAGAGATAATCACTGTTAATCTTTTAGTATCTATTCTTCCACACTTTTCTGTATATGTATGTATAAACATGTATGATGTTTATATGTGTATATATGCATTTTTTTAGTAGGATCATTCCATAAATTCTGTTTCCTAGTCTGATTGTTTTAGGCTTAATCGCATATATCTTCGTACATTTAACTATACATTCAAAAATGATAGTCATCATTTTTGGTGACTATTTAATGTTCCCTGAATTCTTAGCTCTTCTTTTCCATCTTGCACATGGGACACCTTCTTACTTTTTCTCTCCAGGGACTTCTCTTCATGGAAGAAATTTGCCTTATAAAACACAATCTGGATTGATGTATCTTTTCTTACCAAGTTATCTGTGCTGTTGGTTCTGCCTGTTACTTCCATCCTGTTGATTCTTTTGTGTGCTCGCTAGCCTGTACTGTTAACTCCAAATTCTACATGTCTAGACTTGACTTCACATTCTTTTCTCACTCATGGGTAATACTAGTTGTGGTCCAAAAACTGTCATCCTAACATTGACAGACCAGAGGTTCAACTGTTCTGAGCTGTTTGAGTCCTTCTAGCTAAAGCCTTGGAATCTCCACAGTTTTCTGTCTAAAGCAATTTTATGTTGCCAGGATGGGCTGAGGCAGGAGGGCACTTCATTACTGATCTTTTCCCTTTTGTGTTTTAACCAATAAATACATAGGTCCAATGAACAAAATAAGTAATAAAATATTGGCTTTAATACTCAAAATTAGGGGTTCCCTCTTAAACTGTTAGTAGATGTGACTTTGTACTGTGTTAAATGAGCCATTTGATCCCTTTCATGCCTCGGGGATTGGAAGAGAGAGGTCTGCTTAGTAGATACTTAAACCAGATAGCTGTGTAAGAATAGCTTTGCAAACTTAGTTGATAGTAGAAAGCAGGAGAGAGTCCTGAAAAAGAGGTACCTGGATGATGTGTTCAAGCACAGGTGGTCAAAGAGAAGGAAATAGGAGACAGAGTTGAGTATTGCGGGAAGTCAGGGACCCCAAATGGAGGGACCGGCTGAAGCCATGGCAGAAGAACGTAGATTGTGAAGATTTCATGGACATTTATTAGTTCCCCAAATTAATACTTTTGTAATTTCTTATGCCTGTCTTTACTGCAATCTCTAAACATAAATTGTAAAGATTTCATGGACACTTATCACTTCCCCAGTCAATACCCTTGTGATTTCCTATGCCTGTCTTTACTTTAATCTCTCAATCCTGTCAACTGAGGAGGATGTATATCGCCTCAGGACCCTGTAATAATTTCATTAACTGCACAAATTGTACAGCATGTGTGTTTGAGCAATATGAAATGTGGGCTCCTTAAAAAAAGAACAGGATAACAGCAATTGTTCAGGGAATAAGAGAGATAACCTTAAACTCTGACCGCCGGTGAGCCGGGCGGAACAGAGCCATATTTCTCTTCTTTCAAAAGCAAATGGGAGAAATATCGCTGAATTCTTTTTCTCAGCATGGAACATCCCTGAGAAAGAGAATGTGCACCTGGGGGTAGGTCTCTAACCTGGCCCCCCGGGCGTTTAGTCTCAACTCTTATGGTCGAGACTGCAGAGATGAAATAGACTCCAGTCTCCCATAGCGCTCCCAGGCTTATTAGGAAGAGGAAATTCCCGCCTAATAAATTTTGGTCAGACGGGTTGATCTCAAAACCCTGTCTCCTGATAAGATGTTATCAATGACAGTGGTGCCCGGAACTTCATTAGCAATTTTAATTTAGCCTCGGTCCTGTGGTCCTGTGATCTCGCCCTGCCTCCACTTGCCTTGTGATATTCTATTACCTTGTAAAGTACTTGATGTCTGTGACCCACACCTATTCGCACACTCCCTCCCTTTTTGAAACTCCCTAATAAAAACTTGCTGGTTTTTGCAGTTTGTGGGGCATCACAGAACCTACCGACATGTGATGTCTCCCCCGGATGCCCGGCTTTAAAATTTCTCTCTTTTGTACTCTGTCCCTTTATTTCTCAAGCTGGCCAACGCTTCAGGAAAATAGAAAAGAACCTACATGAATATCGGGGCAGGTTCCCCGATAGTTGAGAGTAGTGTTTTCAGGCACCCTGCCCTGATAATGTTTTATTTTTTAACCTCTGCTCCTCTTGTGGGGAGAGGTGAACAAAGAGATAGAAAAGCTTCCTCCCCAACCCTCCCAAGTGGTGGAAGTCTTGCTAAGAATGTTGGTGTGAGTTGCAAAATGAGTGTCCCTCTCACCAATAAACATTAATTTTTATCCAAATCATTTTGCATCTTCTACCAGTCTCCCTTCTTCAAGTCGGCTGTCAGCACATCATTCCCAAGTTTTAAAACCTAGTGCCTCCTGTTTTCTTTTTCAACAAATATCAACTTTTATGCCTACTTTTCTAGCTTATAATTTCCACCCACCTTTATTTCTCACTAACCTTCATATTCCTCAGGTCCTTTTTCTTTGCATTTCTTGTTTCTTCCTCTCTTCCAATCATATAAATCCTGCCTAGCCTTCAAAAACCAACTTGAGGAAGAATCCACACTTGGAACTTCCCTCTACTTGTCAGACCCAGAGTGAATTTTTCTCTTCTCAGTTTGCTGCATGTTTATGTGCTAAATTTAATGATTTTTAACTCTAATCCCAGAGATGCCTAAGATCCAAGGAGCCTCATTGGGGATGAAGGACAGTTGGCACAGATGGCACACTGAAGACTCCCTGTACCCTCTTTAACCAAAAAGTTTCTGCTCGTACAGATTTTATATAATGGGATTTTATGTGAGATAATTTGGAGAGAGTTCCATAACTTAAAAAAGTGTTTGAGAAATGTTGCTCTCTAATAATAATACCAACTCATGTGTTACTCAGTCAAATGAAATACTGTTACTTGCATTTTTGTTTTATATGTATATGTTTTGTCTCATAAATTACACTGGAAGCTCCTTGAAATTAGTTATCTTTCTTTTCCCCAATGGGGAAGGATTCTAGATAGAATCAACAAACCTAGAATCTGGGGACCTGCAATATTCTTTACTAGTGATACCCTTGGACCTGAGACTAAATATTTGATAGCTCCCTTCTTCTGTGTCCTTATCTGAAAAGTAGTAATGAGGTATTAAATTCTTCAGATGAAAGAGTGATTAGGCCTTTGTATTGAAGTGCAGTGCCAAGCAAAGGGGATGTATTCTGTTGATTGATTCATTTTTAAATTTCATTTTATAGATCTATGAAATTCATACTGAGATTTTAAGTGACACAAGCACTGCCTCTCTCAGTAATATCTCTCATTTTTAAAGACAGCTTATAAGAGAGTGTGGTACATAACACAAAGGAATGGATTGATAAAGATATGATATCATGCATTAGCAGCAAGTAAGGAGGATAGATTTTTCAGGAATGCCACTTCAATTATCAGTTTTTTGTGAGACTCACCCAGTCTTGTGACATAACTTCTCAATCCCATTTATGCCTTTTGGCCTAACTTTTTTACACTGATGCACAATATGTGAACTGGTACATTTTACTGAACTACATGTATAGCAAAGCCCCATTATTTATGTTTTTCTTACTACATTATTTAAGAAGTATACAGTTAATGAAAGTTCCATTGATTTGCTTATTTCCTTTGGATTACAACTACATTTGAGATGCAAGAGGGTAGCTTATTGCAATTAAGAAGTAGAAAAACAAGGCTGCTGAGTGGAATACTGAACTGAGAATAAAGTGCCTTTGTCACCATAGAGCCCCGTTGTTCTTTAAGCATTTTGTTAAAAGAGTGAATGAATGGAGCAGGATAGCACAATATTTTTTCTGTGTGCGGTACAAGGGTAGAGCTGTGGTTTTCTTGAGTCACTGAGACAGAAAGAAGAAAAACTTAAAAAGAAACAAAACTCTTTTCTGGCTAAAAGGTACTTTATACATATATACCCGTGATGTCGCTAGGATAAAAATAACTTTGCCCAATTCCTGAAAAGGAATTCTACTGGGTAGAATCAACAAACCTGGAATCTGGGGGCATACAATATAATTTACCAGTGATATCCTTGGGCCTGAAACTAAACATCTGATAGCTCCCTGCTTCTGTTTCCTTATCTGAAAAGTAGTAATGAAGTACCCTCATCAGATGAAAGTGATTAGACCTTTATATTGAAGTGCGGTGACAACATATGGTGAAATCCTGACCATGAGATCCAGTAAAAGAAACAAAAGATACTCAGCATTTCAGGCTTTGTATAGTCAGTGAGTAAATAAACAAAGAAACAAACCAAAGAGTATTCCCTAAGAACCTAGATGTAGTGTCTTAGGAACTGGGCCACCTACTGAGGATAGAACGATGAATAAACCAAGGCTTTTGTCCTTGAGAAAGTCACAGAGAGGAAGCAGGCCTATAAACAGGCAAATCACAATATGGTTTGATAAGTAGTGTCTGTGAATGGATTTGATAAGCAGGTATGTTTAACAAGGAATGCGCAGGGAAAAGGTAAATAGGATTTTGACATCTTCAAAGAGGAGGTTGTAATGGAAAAGGCTTCAAAAGGGAGTTATTTTGAAGACTGTATTGCTAGGCATTCAACATCAAATATCGGGTGTGGTAAATCTTGGTCCTCTGTTGTCTAAATATAATAATTTAAGAATTTTCCTGTTAGATTTTCTTCTAAAATCAAAGAACTGAAATTTGAAATGGGAAATTTGGAGAAACTTCCATGGAGATGGCATTTTCATTTGCTAACGTTGAGTCTAAAATTCTAATATAAGTATCGTTACAAACCATAAGCAAACTGATGCATACAACCACGTGTCACTAAAAGCAATTTCTAACGATACTTGCTACCCAACCTGTTGAAATCTACCTCTCATGTTATTTTTCTCTCTCTCTGACTCTTCTTAATTTCATTATTTGAAAAACTGAGAGCAGGCCATTCACCTACCTTTCTCCATTCCTCATCTCCTGAACTATATTTTTTTACCTACTTGAGCCCTCTGTCCCCCATATCCAGTTGGGCAAATAGCTCATCCTTCCCATGTAGCCCCCAGCCTCAGGGCCATCATGCCTTATTGTACATAATAAAATCCTGCAATGTTATTTCTGCCACTTTTCCTTCTCATCCTTTCAAAAAGATGTTTTTGTTTTCTTCCCTGAATTGCAAGGAGATTATGCATCTTCTAAAGATGGAGAGATCTATATATGATCATCTCTTATTATTAAATGATAATTTGTACCTTAATTTACAGAAATACCAGAAACTGTACAATGTGACTTTGCTTTATTTTCTCAGAAATGCTAAAGTTCTTTTATCATCATTATTATTATTCATCAGTTCTCCTCTTTTCATTCACTTGTGTACTGATGACTTCTTTCTAGTTTGTCCCCATAGCAACACTGGATAATGCTAATGAAACTGCAACATCTTAAGCTCTCCCACAGAGCATCTCTGTTAAAATAGCCAT
The DNA here is from genome assembly GCF_000001405.40 of Homo sapiens. Classification (NCBI taxonomy): domain Eukaryota; kingdom Metazoa; phylum Chordata; class Mammalia; order Primates; family Hominidae; genus Homo; species Homo sapiens. The sequence continues at coordinate 112,254,052 of NC_000007.14, forward strand.
GAAACACTATTTTCTTTCCTTAAAAGAAATCAGTATTTTGGAATCTCTCTCATGATCAAGACTTAACTTTCTAAACTGTCTAACTAGCATTGAATCTTTAATTTAGAGAAGCTTTTCAGAAAGCAATAAACCACATTTGAGACACCATCTTCTTCCCCACATTCATATCACATGTTGGTATACAGCCATGGTTCTCAAAATATGGTTCCCCAGCAGCATCAGCATCACCTGGGAACTTGTTAGTGTTGCTAATTTACATGCCATACTCCAAACCTACTGAATCAGCAACTCTGGGAATGGAGCCCAATACTCTGTTTAAACGAGTCCTCCAGGTGATTCAAATGTGTGATACAATTCAGGAACCACTGGTGTACAGGATAGGCAGTGCTGTAGTAGGCAACAACATCACATCCAGTTTGTGTGTGTGTCTGGGGTTGTGTTGACATGATTGGAAATTAATGTTCTGTTTGTTTTTTATGGCCTCTAAGTTTATTTATGCTATGAAATATTAGCTGAATAACAATTTGTGTTAAAATAAATATGGCATTACACAATGTCAGATTAGCTAATGAAAAGAAGTGTTTCCTAATCCTTATTTATCTGTTATTAACAAGTGTAAGAAAAAGCCAAGTTAAGATCAGGTGTGGTGGCTCATGGCTGTAATCACAGCACTTTGGGAGGCCAAAGCGGGAAGATTGCTTGAGCCCAGGATTTTAAGACCAGCCTTGGCAACATAGTGAGAACTCGCCTGTAGAAAAAATGTTTAAAAATTAGCCGGGCGTGGTGGCATGGGCTTGTAGTCCCAGCTACTCTGAAGGCTGAGGTGGGAGGATTGCTTGAGCCCAGGGGAGTTCAAGGCTTCAGTGAGCTGAGATCGCGCCACTGTACTCCAGCCTGGGTGACAGAGCCAGATCCTGTCTCAAAGAAACAAAACAAACAAACAAACAAAAAAAACAAGTGATTGCCATTTACTCTATAGTAGTAGGTAATGACTTCAACTATAAAAGTGTGTGGTTTTTTTCTATTTTTGTTTCTTAAATGGAAAGCTAATATATTTCAATTGTGTGGATGCTGACAAATATTCACCTTTTTGAAAGAAGTCTTTTAAATAGTGCTTTTTCTGTTTGTGGTTAATACTTCATTCTTTTTATGCTTAAACACATCAAAAGCATACAGTAAAAAAAGTGATTTTTTTTGGAAACTATGACTTAGCAAAAAATAGGAAGCAGATATAATAGAGAATTGCAAAAAGGACACAAGTTAACTTTATCACATAAAGTTTTAAGAGGCAGGTAGGATCCAGAAGTTGAAGATCCAGGCAGAAATTTAAGTCTCTGAGACAGTATTAAAGTTAAGTATTAAAAATTGCTGTTCACCACAAAAGCTGAACCACCTCTATGCTAGGATGTGGTAACAGAGCCTAAAGAAGTTGCATTGTTGGTGGTCTGGCCAGACCTGAAATCCCACATGTCAGGCTATAATATAAAGAGCTAAACAGGATTCAGAAATCAAGATAAGCAAGAATCCTTTGATCAGGAATCCAGATGTCAGTTAGTCCAAGGAATCAGTAACAATACAGTAATTCCTGCTACCCACTGAAGCCTGATATAATAAGCACCTGGCATGTGCCCCTTCCTCTTGAGGATCACTGCCCAAATTCAGACCCTCACTGTATCTCACCTGGGCTGTTGCAATTGCTTCCTTATTGGAGTCAAATCACTGAATACTAATAACATTCAGTTTTGTGAATATGCAGTCTCTGCCTTCCTTCCGTATGCGCCTTGAAGTGCCCTGCTTTTCCACACTGGACTTGCTCCTTTTATGTATTTGTACTTGCCCCTATGTCTTGGTTCAAATAATTGACTTGTTACACTTTGGCAGATTAGATGCTCTCCTCACCCTGGATTTTCTCTCGACCTTGCACATACCTTTATTTAAAACAAATGCCATGTATTATCATTGCTTGTGTTGCTACCCATTCTTTGAGACTAGAATCTATGTCTTCATCTCTCTAGTCCTCTCTCCTAGCTTGGTGCTTAGCATACCATAGGTTTTCAATAAATAATTTTTGAATGATTGAATAAGAGATTTCTACATATAATAGGCATGGCACACGTAAATCATGGATTTTCCTAAATAATTTTGATTTGAAATATTTAGTCCTTTTCTTTCAGCTATCAGTAATTTTGAAATTCAGCTATTTGTGTCCCAAATTTATCTCCTGAATGTCTTATACATAGAAATAAGAAAAATCCCTTGAAGTTACCACCTACCAGGGACCTAGCAAGAGGAAGACTATACTCTTGAGGAAGGGTATGTTAGCCATTTAAGAACATCTCCAGGGAAGTCCATTAATTAACTTCTTTGGAGTTTTTTTTTTTTTTTTTTTTTTTTTTGAGAAAGAGTCTCACTCTGTCACCCAGACTAGAGTGCAGTGGCACCATCTTGGCTCACTTTTGCTCTCTAAGTGGCTCACCTCCACCTCCCAGGTTCAAGTGATTCTCTTGCCTCAACCTAGCGAGTAGCTGGGATTACAGATGTGCACCACCATGCTTGGCTAATGTTTTTATTTTTAGTAGAGATGGGGTTTCACCATGTTGGCCAGGCTGGTCTCAAACTCCTGACCTCAGGTGATATACCCACCTCAGCCTCCCAAAGTGCTGGGATTACAGGCGTAAACCAGTGTGCTGGCCACATTAATACAGTTTAAAGCTGGGGAATGGGATAGAATGTTTTTGTGCATGCTTGAGAGGTTTAGTACCATAATTTTTGTTCAGAATTGTTAGAAATAGACCATATAGAAAATCTGTTCTTTTCTTTCTTCTCTTTGCATTTTCATACCCGTCCAAAATTCAAAACACTGGGGAAAAGTGGCTAGAACTGGGAAATACAAAACAGTTCTATGTTTGTTCCATGGGAAATGGATTATAATGACCTTTAATTTATTTGGAAACATCTCAGAAAATATAAAGTTTTGTATAAGGAGTTTACCAGAGTTCTGAAGATTATTATGCTAAGTAGTTATTTTTCAATGGGATTACACACTTCACTGACTACAAACATTGTGTATTGATGACCATCAACATAATCAATACAATATTACTTGCTGACGCCACACCGGATATTTCTAAATTGCTGTATATTTTTGGTTTTTGTTTCCATAGTTATTCTTGCTTCTCCTTGCCTTGTGACAATTAAACAAATATTTACCCAGCATTTACTTTGTGCAGGACACTGTGCTAGGTGGTAGAACCAGAAGAATAAGCAAAACAAACAGGCTTCCTGCCTTCATCAAACTTAAAAACTGGCAGGAAAAATAGACTTTAGCAGTATTTCAACTTCTCTCCCTATCTTAATGGGTGCTAGAGAGAACTGGGTATAAAATGAATGTTTATAGCAGAAGTCAGGTCATGAACTCAGAGCCTGCAAGGGACCTGCCAGGTAACAGAAATGAGGGAAGTGGAATAGAAAATAAGATTAGATAATGTCTAAAAACAACAGGTATTAGACTTCATTAGTAGATTTTAGGTATTAGTAATACCTGTTGTTATTAGACTTTATTTAATCGTGACCACTTTAAATTTACTACTACCTTCAGCTTGATGTTAGAGTAATAGGGAGTGGTAAGGGTCATGGCAAACAATAACATACCTTCTCTAAGGAAGCAGCCATTTAGATCCGATTATTGAAAAGTGGAAAATCACTCCCAATGTTATCACAATTTTCAAATTTTTAATTTTTAATTTATATTATTTTATTTTACTTTATTTAATTTTTTTAGAGTCAGGGTCTTGCTCTGTTGCCCAGGCTGGGGTGCAGTGGCCCATTCGTAACTCACAGCAACCCCGAACTCCTAGGCTCAAGTGATCATCCAGCCTTAGCCTTCCAAGTAGGTAGGACTGCAGGACACACCACCAGGCCTGGCTAACATTTTTTTTCTTTGTAGAGACAGGATCTTGCTATGTTACCCAGGCTGGCAAATTTTTTTAAGCCAGAATATGAAATCATTTTTTTATGTCTACTCTATTCATTTTAATGATGGTAACTAATTGAAATTAAAATATTTTGCTTAGCAAATAAAATATATCAGTGAGGTAAATTTGGCGTGAGAGTTGCCAGTTTGTAGGTCCTGAGAGAGTGAGCCTTCTGCAAGGTAAGTGCATGAATTTTAGCATCTAATTTGAATACATTTTAGCATCTAATATGAATATACAGAAGCCTTTTTTTTTGCTTTCTTCCTAGTTAGGATTACTAGATTAAGCAAATGATAATAAGGGATGATGTCAAATTATATTTGAATTTCAAATAAACACTTCTTTTTTTTTTAGTACATACCTTGTATATGTCTTAACTACTGCACAGAATATACTTGTACTATGCAAAGCCATACAGTATTTGGACGTACTTACGCCAAAAAAAAAAGTATTCTTTGGTTATTTAAAATTCAAATTTAATTGGGCATGCTGTATTCTATCTGGCACCCCTGTTCCTAGCACTGTGCTACTATTATGAAACTAAGTTCTCCAAATAAGCGGCCTATGGCTAAATGAAATGTTTTAATCATTTTTCCTATGTGTTGATGTTAATTTTAAGTAATTAAAAATTTACTTTTTTATTGGGTGATTGCTGTTTGTCAAGATGGGCAAGCCTGCAAATAGGAAGTTTAAAATAATCTTATCTATGGGGAAAATTTCTTATTTAGCATTTATATATAAACTTCTAAATTGTTCTTAACATGCTTTATTATTTTGGCACCAAAAGAATTCTTTCTGTGGTTCCAATGAACATTTTTGTCTACATATTTACCCTCGTGCTACCATTTGCCTTTGTGACATTAAAAAAAAACAAAACATATCTTCATAAATGTCCCCCTTTCCATGTTAGCAAATTGATTTTCATTTTAATCTTTGAAAAGCTAAATTATTAATACTTTGCTTCAAATAGTATTCTCCCTGATACCCATGTCACTTTGCAATTGTTTTTGTACTTTTTGAAGTTCTCTTTTCTTCCCTTACTGATATTAACCATCTGTATTAATGAGGTAATAAACCAGGCTTGTTGCTAATGAATTGATTCATTCAGTGCTGGATTTAATTAGAAAGATATTTAACATGCCAGCAGATGTTCTGATTTTGTTTCATTACCCCCAAATATAATAAAATAAAATACAATAAATTTTTATATTTTTGCATAAATTAAACAGAGTCAAGATGTATTACTCTGTTGTATATTGTAAAAGCCTAACTGATGGAGATTTTGTTACTAGTATATTCCAAATATTAGAAGGAAAGTCAGTTTTCTCTTTAAAACACTCACCTAACTAATTAGCATAAGAGTAAAATCTAGGAATAAAAATTACGTAGTAGTAGAGTGCCACGACCCCCAAATCTATAGAAAAGAACCTAAGCCGCAGATACTTCCCGAAGATTTCTTTTTATTACTTTAATAGAGGATGCCTTTTCTAAATTAACCACTAAACAGGTTACTTAAGAGCGCTTAATTTCAGAGACACGTCCAGTGACTTTGTTTTATTAACTCTTTGCTTTTCGTAGTTTTGTTTGCAGTGTCCAAAAGACTTATTTAAAAAGAAAGAAAGAAAGAAAGAAAAAGGCAGCTTTAGGAGAGATTTTTAATGTTCAAGGCTTTATGAGAGAAATTAGGATGAAAAGTTATAAATGTGTTAATGCATGCACAAAAGTAACAGCTCATACAAACTGAGTAGTCCTTATTTTGGACTTTCAGCCTCTAGCATGCTCTTTCTAGAAAGGAATAAAAGGATTTTGTGCAGTGTCCCAGGTACCATATCAACAGATACGTGAATTAAGCAATCACTGACATACAAATACATTAGGAGAGAAAAACTGTTATAAGATTTAACAAGTAGATAAGTTCATCTATCAGGTAAACATCCTGAGATATAAGTATAAAAGCTACAGGCAGCACAGTGGCTCACGCCTGTAATCTCAGCACTTTTAGAGGTCAACGCGGGTGAATTGCTTGAGTCCAGGAGTTGGAGACCAGCCTGGGCAACATGGCAAAACCCCGTCTCTACTAAAAATACAAAAATTATCCGGCATGGTGGTGTGCGCCTGTGGTCCTAGCTACTCAGGAGGCTGAGATGGGAGAATCTCCTGAGCCCAGGAAGTTGAGGCTGCAGTGAGCCGTGATCACACCACTGCACTCCACCCTAGTGATAGGAGTGAGACCCTGTCTCAAAAAACTGCTTCTACAGCACCAAAAAGATTAAAAGGAGGAAGAAGACAAAAGTAATTCCTTTACCCTCTCCAGTTTAGCTTTCATTGCTTTGTTTGGTAGTTCCTTTTGTTTAAAAATATGTCACATATTATTTACAAATGAGTATCATATTATAAATATGGTTTTCTATATTTTTTCATTTAGCAATATGTTCTGAGTATTTTCCCATACTACTCAATCTCTCAAAACACATTTTAATGACTTGCTTAATTTCTATAATTCATTTAAGTATTGTTGGGTATTGAGTCATTTCTAATTTTTTCCTAGCGTTATGTAACATCAACGTATATTCTTGAATAAACCCCTCAGTCTTGCTCTTATAGGGTGTTATTTCTAGGAAGCGATAAGCCTTAGTTACCAGTTAAACTTTAATTTTCAAATTCCATTTCAGAGTGTAAGGAACATATTAATTTCCTAAAACTAGGGCAAAATGGGAATGAAATCAGGAGTGGGAGGTGGGCTAGGCGGAGAGCACAGGTGATAGAAATAGTTGGGCCTACTCTAGTGTCTCTGCTACCTTTTCTGACTTTCAAGATGAATAAAGCATTGAGTGATTGTGTTTTTCATCTGAGGTTCACTTCTTACAAATTTATGATATTTTTCTTTTAGTCTTAACAGTTCTTCCAAGATTTGATAGATTTGTTAATGTCATTCAAAGCCAATCACAGAAATGTGTGTGAGAAAGAAAGATCAGAACTCACAACAATAGGTTACCCAACCCTTAATTAGTTTCTATTAGATCTTGCTTCAGTGGTTCTGTTTATGGGTTTGCTCAGACAGCTTGGGAAGATCCCAGCCACCATAAAAACTTCAGCCGTTGGTCAGTTCATAAACTCTATAGATCTCTATCATTCTCTGCGTTAGATTCTTTTAATTCTTTACTTGGCTTCCCTTGTACTATAGGTTATCTGGTGTCATCAGCTTCAACCAGGTGCATAAGTGATGGAAATGAAGTTTCAGTAGTAAAGTACATACTTGAAGACTGTCCCTCCTTTTACCTTTTCTAAAGTCCATTTTACCTAACATACAACAATTTGGTTTTCAGCTTATTTATTTCAGAAATAAATTTGCTACATCCCATAAATGCAATGGATGGCATTTCATATGCCTAGCTCTATCTACTTTCTGATTATGTTTTTGTTTTTCAGATTAAGAAAACTGATTATTTTATTTTAGCCTATATCGACAATCATTTCTTGCTTTTTCTGTGAGGAAAGAATGATAACTCTGGAATTGATGATGGAAAAAATACTCCTTTTTTGGTGTTAACTTCTCCCCTAATTTATTTTCTTGCTTCTTCCCTAAATACTACCACACCACATAACATTTCACCCCAAATTCTTAAATTTTTTAACCTTTATGATCCATTTAGGAGTGTATCTGTTTTTATGAATTTATTCATAATCTTGTCTCCATTAAAAGACACCATTGCTCATTTGCTTAATCCTCTTGAATATCAAAGCCTCTAGTCAAAGCTCTTGTGTCATTCAGCTCACTTTCACTTGAATATTCTATAATAGAAAACTTTTTTAAAGCAAGGTGACCTGAACTACCATTTGTTCCAAATAAAGTTCATTATTGGTTTTTAAGTAACATCTTTTGACTTATACCAAGGCACTAAACATTTCAGAATGGTTTAGTTTTTAAAGCACTTTGCCAAAGGTTTAGAGTATTATCTTCTATTAAACATTGATTCTTCTGTTCAGTGTCTTGTAGCATATGAGTACCTAGGGTGTACTCATTTTCTATAGAAATTGGTGTTCCCTAACTCACTATTTTCTATTTCTCTACAATGAGTTCTTTTCACTACTCTCAGCCAGCCTGCATGTAATAGCTCTCCTCCTTCCTACAATCTGCCCTTCTAGTTTCGCAGCCTCAATAGATTTCGTCTTTCTTCATGCCCTATCTTCCAAATTACTGAGACATTTAAAAAAGCAATACAAAAAAAAAAAAAAAAAAGATCATTGAGCCACGTGTGTAGACTGCTTGCCCAGATTAATGGATCTTAAAATGGCCAAGCTGCTAGCTAGGAATTTTCAGCTTTATATTAAATCTCAGCATGCAAGCCAAAAAGAGAGCACTGTATGGGATATTGTCATTACAAAGAGAACTTGGTACTTTAAGTTCCTATAGCAAACAGTATTTTTAGATTCAATTTTTATAGGGATTGTCTGTTTGCCATAGTTATTTATTTATGAAAAAAGTACACGGTTTACATGATTTATTTTCTGTATTGATATATTAAAGGCTAATAAGTTAAATATATAAATAAAGGTAATTTATGACAAAAAGTTTGTTCTGTAGCATTGCCCTCAGAATATTTTATAAACAATATAGAGGGCTACATATTTTTAAGAAAAATATTTTGTCTTGATAGTATAAAAATGTGCCATTTTTCCTATTTAGAAACTCTTCAAAGCTTAGCATTTAAGAAGTTATATTTTATATTTGTTCCAATTAGAAATATGGATACTTTTGGTTATAAAAGTTGATATATAATACTGCCTAACTTCATAGGGACTTAGACACTCACAGTGTCCATAAAAAAATAATAAAAATAGTACAGAGCAGTAATAAAATATATATTGTATTTCATTAACAACATTCCTGCTGTCAAGAGGAGGAGGGAAAAACCAGGGTTTCTCCATCGTAATCCAAATGTTAAGATATTTGCTCAGGGAGTGTATTATGAGCTATAATGAGCTTGGGCTCTGGAGTCAGACTTTATGGATGCCAGTCCTCTCCATTTCTTACTGGCAGTGTAACCCTTGTATAACCTTTTTGTCAAGGAAGGGCCTCTACTCAATATGTGAAACAGAAAGCTGGATTTACTGTTGTTGGACAGTGGAGATACGTACTTGTAAGGCACAGTCTTTCTGAATAAAGCAGACTGCTGATCTTATTGAGGGTTTTGAGACTAGTAGAGGTTAGGGACTGGCCAACTGTCAGAAGCAGGAGGGTGTATGGGGATTGGGTCCCATTAGCTATGGCAGTATAGTCATTAAATGAGGCTGTTGCCAATGATTCAGAAATGTGGTAATGGAATTGAGTTCTCACTGACCCATTGGGATGAGTTTAAAACTGTTTATGATTCTTACTACTTAACAATAATAAAACTGCCTTCCTCATAGGACATTTCTGATAATTAAATCAGAGACTACATGTAAAATTCCTAGCATGATGCCTAATAGAAACAGGCCTTCTTCTTTATCAGTCTGACCTTAAAGAGAGTAAAGCCCTTCAACTATGAAAGCCCCAGCTTTTGTAGCTTCAGATCATCACACTGGGCAGTGTGGCCTCTCAAATTTGTCTCACTCCTCAGTGTTATACAGTACATGCTGTTCATTTGCATTTGTGTGTGTAGTTAATACATGGCTCTGCAATGTCAGCATTTTCTGCAGTATTTGTCTCAGTTGTAAGTAGATATCATTTGCTTTCCATGCCAGTGGGCTTTTTGTGGGTTTGGTTTTGTTAAGCTTTTATGAGCATCACATATCTCTGTGAGAACCTGTTGAAAGCTGTGAACACTATCCCCTGAGAAATGTGCATATAAATATACACATTTTTGTGTACAGTTTATTGGGTTCTCAGGCTTCATGAAAGTTCAGGCCCTGCTCTTCAGAGCTACCTCTGTTCAAAAGGATAAATTCTCTGTCAGAATCTTCACCTCTGGAAACACAGATTTCAGTTGTAAAACATTGAAAAATATAAACAAAAACAGCGCCTTAGAAAACAAAATGTATCTTGGCATTTCAAAGCAAAGGTTGACATTGACTAGATAGGAGGCTTCCAGCTCCTGCCAGCCACAATGACCTTTTCTAAGCAAAAGTGTAGGCCAGGGCAATGGGTTTTGAATATTACTGTGCATAAGCCAATGGATTATGTACACTAATATTCATTAGCTTATGTATACTAATATTCAAAACCCGTTGCCCTGGCCTACACTTTTGCCTAGAATGCAACTCCTAAATGCTAATGCCCAAACTTTCTTTAGCCACAACATAATATATAAGTAAACCACATTAAAATGTCCATATTCTTTGACCTAGAAATTCTACTTCTAATAATTTGTCTCAAGAAAATTATCATTTAAAAATGGCAAAAAATTAGGTACAGGTGTTTTCACTGCAACTTTATTTATGGTAACAAGAAATGTATGCAACCTAAGCATCTAACCTGAAGAATCGGTTAAACAAATTGTGTTATGTTTCAATGTTAGAATACTGTGGTTCTTGCAAGTAATTTTATAGAAGGATATTCCATGGTGTGGAAAGTTATTTGTAGCTATTAAATGGAGAAAAAAAAAGTATCAAGAAAGTATTTTTTGAAATTTTAATAAAAATATATGTTGAAATATACAAGTATACCTCAGAGATATTAAGGGTTTGGTTTCAGGTCACCACAATAAAGACAATATTCACAATAAAGCGAGTCACATGGATTTTTTTGGTTTCCTAGTACATGTAAAAGTTATATTTACACATATTAAGTGTGCAATAATGGTATTATGTCAAAAAATAATGTACATACCTTAATTAAAAGATACTTAATTGGTAAAAAATGCTTACGCTCATCTGAGCCTTCAGTGAGTTGTCATCTTTTTGCTGGTGCAGGGTCTTGCCTCAATGTTTGTCTGCTGACTGGTAAGGGTAGTGGTTGCTGAAGGTTGGGGTGGCTGTGGCAATTTCTTAACAAAAGACAACAATGAAGTTTGTGGCATTTATTGACTTCTCCCTTCATCAAAACTTTCTCCATATAAGTTGTTTTGCTTTTTTATCATTTGTGCGTTCAGTGGAGTAGCACTTTCAGCCCCCTTCAACAATTTTTCCTTTGCATTCCCAACTTGGCTGGTTAGCACAAAAGGCCTAGCTTTCAATCTGTCTTGGCTTTCCACTTGCCTTTCCACTAACCTTAATCATTTCTAGCTTTTGATTTAAAGTGACAGACTTGAGACTCTTCACTTGAACACTTAAAGGCCATTGTAGGATTATTCATTGCCCTAATTTGAATATCATTGTGTCTCAGGGAATTGGGAGGAGAAAGGGGAGAATGGCAGGTCAGTGGAGCAGTAAGAACACACACGTTTATCTTAAAGTTCACCATCTTATATGGGCGCAATTTGTTAGCTCCCCAAAACGATTACATAACAATTAGTAACATCAAGTATCACTGATCACAGATCGCCATATCAGATATAATAATACGAAAAACTTTGAAATGTTGCCAAAATTACCAAAATTTGACAGAGAGATACAAAGTGAGCACGTGCTGTTGGGGAAAAATGGCACCAATAGACTTGCTCTGTACAGGGTTGCCACAAACCTTCAATTTGTAAAAAGCACAATAAAGTGAAGTATGCCTGTATATGAAGAAAAATCATCATAATGTTAATGGTGGTTATTTCTGAATGGTGAGATTATGGGTATTTTTTCTTTTCACTTTGCTTGAAAGTTTTACAGTGAACTATGTGTTCAGTTTTTTTATTCAGAAAATTGTTTCAAAACACTATAAGGGTTAGTCAAAATAATTTAGTGAGAGTTTTAATCAAAGTATTACATTGGTCACCCAAGAAGTAAAGAAGATCACTGAGAGCTGTTCCTTTACATTTTGAATGAGAGGAGATGGTAAAAGACCCAGTAGTGGGTTCCTCTCTGTAGAAAAGAAGGGTCAGTATTTGGAGAGGGAAGGGTCCAGAAAGAAGCTACTAGAGGCAGATACTTTGTTGGCTCTGCTGTGCTTTTAAATGATAAGGACAAATAGAAGCTGTGAGTAGTATTTTCATCTTACTGCAGAAAGAGGGAAATGATTCCTATGAATAACATTGTTACATTTACTTTTTAATTCTTTTTTTTTTTGACGGAGTCTCACTCACTCTGTCACCCAGGCTGGAGTGTAGTGGCGCTATCTGGGCTCACTGCAACCTCCCATCTCCTGGGTTCAAGGGATTCTGCTGCCTCAGCCTCCTTAGTAGCTAGGATTACAGGCACTGGCCACCACACCCAGCTGATTTTTGTATTTTTATTAGAGACAGGGTTTCGCCATGTTGGCCTGGCTGGTCTCAAACTCCTGGCCTCAAGCAATCCATCCTCCTCAGCCTGTCAAACTGCTGGGATTACAGGCAAGAGTCACAGTGCCCAGCCTACTTTTTAATTCTTAAGATTGCTATATAGTTACTGTCTGGCCATCAGGTTACTAACATTGGTCCAGGGTTGTCACTAAATATAAATTCAAATATCAAAAAATGAAGACTTTTTTTTTTGACAGCGGGGTAAGAGCTGCAGTAGCTTCTGAGATTTCAGATAAGATACTGAAAGACCTCACCAGCATATCGTAACAACCAAACTGACTTTTGAAAATAATTATAAAATTTAGGTATGTGGAGCACAGAAAATCCTACGGAAACCTTTGAAGTTTTATTGTACTACTAAAAGAATTGCTTCACCAAAAACTTGTAATATCAGCAGTGTTGTGGTTTTTTTCGGTTTCGAAATATCCCTGGGCTATTTATAGTTCTGGGTCTTCTCTTAGAGAATTATCAGTGTCACATAAATGTTAAATTTTAAATAAATCATTCCTGAAGTTCATAAATAAAACCTGAATGCATCAAAAAATACATACTTATATTCCAATAACTGTAGGAATCATCTCTTTGATATTCATAAACTTTCTGTTCTTTATTCCTTTTTGAGTAAGAGTTTGTTCATTCCAGTGGTTTTCACAGGAAGGTAGGTGGGGGGTGGTAATAATGCTTCCCAAAGTATTATAACAATATTCTCTACCTAATTGTGAATCACTGGTTTAGAACGCAGCAGAAATGGCAGCTTGCAGTGAGATTCAGAGCAAAGCATCTTTCAGCTCTGAAAGACTCTGACCACTGCTATAGCCTCTTAATGTATTCTTATGTATATTGGATATGTTAAATAGAATTATTGTTCCCTTAGCTTATTTTATACAACTGAAATAACTTATTTTACATTTCTGTATTTTATTTAGTGGCTATCATATATGATCAATAATCATTGTTCAGTGGACTGCTGGGATTTGGTAAAGCTAGTATCTTTTGATGCTGATCTCATCTTTATCAGTTTCAGCAATCAAACATTTTCCTGATATGTTTTAACTTTAGTTATCTTACTGAAAATTATCACGTTCTATTTGAAAGGTATTATTTCTTAAATGCTTTAGGCTGTATAGAATCAGAATTGAGAATGAGAAAAGATTGGAGAATAAAGTGGGAATACAGAAAGGACAATGCACAACCCTTTAATAATTGCTAGCATGTGATTAGCTTTTGCTGCCTTTTTTTCTCTCTTTCTCTTGCCTACTTCTAAACATCCCCTTCATTTTCTTCTCTTTTCCATTTTATCTATTCCTTTTTCACTGTTAGGGGATATTGGCTGACTAGGAAAATAGTAGAAGGTTTGAGGCTTCGGACCTGAGAGTCATGGAGGGAAAGAAAGTTTTCCCTAGTATTGATATTTCCTTTTTCCAGAAAGGAGATGTCAGCCCACTGAACTTTCAAAATAGCAGGGGTGGCAGCTTGCCCCAGCCAAGACCTTCACCAAGATTTCCCTGGATGCTCCCACAGACGAGTGAAATTCTCAAGCATCAGGAACTAACCCTTTTCTTTTATAGGGACAGATATGCATTTTTGTTAACTCTGACCCAGTTAAGACCCATTCATATCAATCTGAATGATTTTGTGTGCCTATTCTAGAAAGTCAAAGGTACCTCATGACAATTTGCCATGAAAGTGAATTTAATTTTCCTATAAATCAAATCCATCAGGAAAATACCTCTTAGTAAGTCACAGCTTTTCAACTAGTGTCCAGAGAAAGTGACCATGTATGAAAGTACAAAAATGGAAAGGAAGCAGAGTTGACCTTCAGGAAAGAAAAGCTCATTTTAGATTTAGGGGGAAAGTATACCATATGCCTGCATGCACACACACGCACACACAAACACACACACACACACAAAACACAGCTTAGTGACTGAGTATTTTGAATCAGTTTTTGAACTGGAAAGCTGTAGGGCTTAATTTTTTTTTTTTTAATTTGTTTAATTTGAATAGGACTTACCATGAGGTAAAGAACAGTTTTTCTCAGGAGCTTGGAATTCCTAATTAGTATTATCTATATCTTCCTTGAGGACTTACAATGTGTTGCTTTTTGTCTTTTTCTGTTTGCATATGAGATCATTTGGTAAACACTAGATCATTAGCCCACATAGGATCATTTGGTAAACACTAGAAATTTGGAGTGATTTTATAACACAAGAAGTACAAAAAAAGTGTATAGATTATTGTTCCTGAAACTTTTTTGCATATTTAAAATTAAAAGCACAAAGTAGAAAATATTTTAGAATCATGATAACTACCTACCTTCAGATCAGAGTAAAATGTACCAAAACCATGGTGTATTTTAATGCATATAATTGTTCCTTGGCTTGCTTATTTTGATTTACTCTCAATTTTTTTAAGATTACTGATTATCTGTTTTATGTGGTTTGTATAAACATCTGGTTTGGTTTCATTGATTGCCACTTAATAACTTTAGATAAACAGTCAGTTGGGCATTTTGTTTTAATCTAGATTTTTGAGGAGTTTCTTCACTTTTAAGATTCTACATCTCTACACCATGCAGTCAACCCACAGAAGTGTAAGCTAAACAACTACTTACTGTCTTAAGCTTCTGTGTGTTGGGACAGTTTGTTATCTGGCATTAATATGATAATACCTGACTGATACACCTTGATTTGTCAGTATTCAAATATAATTGCCTCTTGTTAGTCATTAGTATAGAACCATATGGACAATGAATGACAAGACCTTGAATTTGTTCATGATCTTATTCCTAGGATGCGTTATCAAATTAAATTTTAAAATACAATGGATTTTTTTTGTTTTTTTTTTGTTTGTTTTACAATTTGCTGTAAATAAAAGACTCTACATCTCTTTGATATCAGTGTCTTTTTTCCATGAATGAATACCCCAAATCATAAGATGGGGAATCTTGAGTGGTACTATGTTACCTTTCTCCATTTAATATGTTTATCTCACTGTATGGCATTTATGTGTCTGGATTTTGGGGGGAATAAATTATTCTAGGACAATTAGTTGTAAAGCATGTTTTGGTAAACCAAACACTATTTTATTATTGTTTTGCAGGAAAAAAACACTGGAACTGTATCAGGGAGGTACAAAGCCTCATTGTTAACATGGTTGTTAACTTGAGGTAGAAACAGTTAAGATAGCCAGTCATTTATCACAGTGGACATTGGCATATGCAAGAAGACTTGTAGCACTTCACTAAAGAGGATGCCTTGGTAGAAAAAAAGGTTTTGGGTCATAGCTTTCTTATCTCTAAAGTGGGTTTTTGATTCTAGGTCCTTTCTAGCTGTAAGCCATGATATACTGTACCAGAAGCACTTTTTCAATATGTGGGATGCCTTTGTTCCCTAATCCCACCTTCTTTATCAAGGGTTTATCAAAATCTAGAAGCTGAGCTGTATTATCAGACTTTGCCAGTAGATACCTTTGTCTGTCCCAGTGTATTATTCTTCCCTAAAAATACTTTGTTATATTCAGGTACTTCTACTCTAATACCATATTTGTGTTGCTGAAAAACTTTGCATTCCACAAAATCACACAATAAGAATAATAGAGATCATATGGGGGAAGAGGGCTAGGGACAGATCGTTCAAAACCAATGGAACTTTGTAACCAGAGCAATCCTAATAAAAAGAATAACATGGTTAAGTCTCCACTGGATTCGCATCCAGAATCAGTCCAGTTAAGTAATCCCCATAAAAAAAGCGTAATATGGTTAATTCTTCACTGGATTTGCACCCACAATCGTAGTCCAGTTGATTCTTTGCATCCTTGAATTCTAGGATTCATGCTTCCTTCTTCAAAATGTAGGTCCTTGGGGGCACTTACATCAAATTGAGGTCAGTTTCATCAAAATTAAATATCTAACCCTGGGTATAGACCTCTGTCAGTCAGGTGTTTTTAAAACCCAGGAAGAAATGCCTTTGAGGGATCTTCATCCTCAT
This sequence comes from Homo sapiens, assembly GCF_000001405.40. Lineage (NCBI taxonomy): Eukaryota > Metazoa > Chordata > Mammalia > Primates > Hominidae > Homo > Homo sapiens. The sequence goes on from NC_000007.14 coordinate 112,270,363, forward strand.
TCTTGGCTTTCTTGAAAATGTCCCTATTTGCTATAAGGAAGGACTTAGAATTTTCAGGAGTTGTGTTAAAGATCTGTATGTATTGCTGAGGCTTGCTTTTAATAATGAGAAAGCTCGGCCCTGATTGATTCAAACCACTGTTGTGCTGGCAAAAATACATATGAACCAATACAACTTATATTGTATTCTGACATTATTCTTTAATTTATCAAATATATATGAGCAGACTCAAAGGAACATATATTAATAAAGACTGTAGTCTAATTATGTTTCATAAATAATCATTTCTTTTTTTATCAGGTATCTACAAAATATAATATCTATCACAAAATATTTCTTCTTCCAAAACCTATAGAAAAGGTAATATGTTTTCCTAAAAACAGAAACCATTTTTTAACTCTTACTCTACATAGTGTCTATCTTCTTATACTAACTTATAAAGTTATAAAATTGATCATATCAAGTTTTCATTAGAACAGTGGTTTGTGCTTTCACATAAAGCATATCTCTGTCTAAGCAGCTGGGAGTAGCAAAAAATAAAATAAAAATAAAAATAAAATAAAATACAAAACATATCCCAGCCATACATTAGAATCTCTGTGTAAAAAAATCAGCATATTTTCAAAGCTCCCAAGTTGATTCATACATACTGTTAGGATTGAGAATTGTTGCCTGAAAGTAAAAATAATGGTATTCATTAGGATGTCATTTTCAGTAAAGTTCCATTTAGACATTCCATTGAAGCTAGTGCTAATCAGATTAACTGCTGGCAGAATTCATTGTTAATTGTTATGAGTAATTTGCAACATGTACCATTTATGTAAACTAGACAACCTATTCTTTCAGAGATACGAGATTTCTATCACCTTTTGGATTTATTTTTGTTATGTAAAACAGGAAATTTAATACCGTATCCAAAATGCTAGGAATAAAATCTGTTGTGTCTTGTTTTATTGTCCAGCATCATTTTATTCCCTCATCCTTCCTCTTTGAAGTCAAGTGATCTTTCTGATGTGGTCACATATTTGTAGAGGATTCTGTTACATCATGGAGATGGGATTTATGATACTTAATGTCACTGAGAACATAGAGTAATTGTCAGTAGACAAATAAATTGGAGAATTATATTTTTTAAGTGTCCTGAACATGACTGAATCTCAGGTGTTTTGCAGGAGCTTTAAAAGACTGCTTATAACTACATTTTTTAAAAGCAGCCCAAATCCTGATGGGTCCAAGTAACTTGAAGAAAAAGGATTTATTAAATACTTCAAAGTAAGGCCAAACCACCTGCCTTAGCAGGCAGGCATGTAACTGGAAATGGAGGACATGAATCTAGTGATTTAGTATCTTACTTGCTAGATATGGGCTATCTTAAAATTATACTTGGTTCTTTTTTTCTCCTCTGATGCTTCTGACATTCTTTTTTTTTTAATTTTAAGAAAGTTTTTATGGGTACATACTAGGTGTAGGTATTTATGGGATAAATGAGATATTTGGATACACACATACAGTGCATAATAATCACATCAGGATAAATGGAATATCCATTACCTCAAGAATTTATCCTTTATTTGTCTTACAAACATTCTAATTTTACTTTTAGTGATTTTTAAATGTACAGTACATTGTTACACAGTATCATCACTTTGTTGTACTGTGAAATACTAGCTCTTATTTAATCTAACTATAATTATACCCATTGACCATACTCCCTTCCCCCTACCCCCTACTAGCCAGCCTCTAGTAACTATCCTATTTTCTATCTCCATGAGCTCAATTGTTTTAATTTTTAGCTCCCACAAATAAGGGAGAACATGCAAAGTTTGTCATTTTGTTCCCGGCTGATTTCACTTAACATAATAACCTCCAGTTCCATCCACATTGTTGCAGATGACAAGATCTCATTCTTTTTTATGGCAGAATAGTACTCTACTGTGTATACCACATTTTCTTTATTCCTTCATTGACAGACACTTACGTTGCTTCCAAATTTTAACTATTTTGAACAGTGCTGCAACAAACAGCAGATATCTCTTCAATATACTGATTTCCTTTATTTGGGGTATATACTTAGCAGTGGGATTGCTGGATCACATAGTAGTTCTATTTTTAGTTGTTTTTGTTTGTTTGTTTCTTTGTTTATTTTTTCGAGACAGAGTCTTCCTCTGTCGCCCAGGCTGGAGTGCAATGGCACAATCTTGGCTCACTTCAGCCTCTGCCTCCCAGATTCAAACGATTCTCCTCCCTCAGCCTCCTGAGTAGCTGGGATTATAGGCACACACCATCATGCCTGGCTAATTTTTGTATTTTTAGTAGTGACGGGGTTTCACCATGTTGGCCAGGCTGGTCTCAAACTCCTGACCTCAAGTGATCCGCCCACCTCGGACTTCCAAAGTGCTGGGATAACAGGCGTGAGCCACTGTACCCGGCCTTATTTTTAGTATTTTGAGAAACCATCATACTGTTCTCCATAGTGACTATACTAATTTGTGTTCCCACCAACAGTATATGAGGATTCCCTTTTCTACACATTTTCACCAGGATTTGTTATTTTCTGTCTTTTGGGTAAAAGCCATTTTAACTGGGGTGAGATGATATTCATTGTAGTTTTGATTTGCATTTCTCTGATTATCAGTGATGTTGAGCAACTTTTCATATGCCTGTTTGCCAGGGGTGGCACAAGCACTTCCTTAGACACCGTGGCTGGTGTCTCACTGGGTCACATGCTCCCCACATCCGCTGGCTCTGAGCCTAGCACAGCACAGAGACTTGCCCAGTAATTGCAGTCCTTGTGGCTGAGTGCCTTTCAAATTTATTTGCGACCCAAGTGCACTTTAGCCCGTGGTTTGCTGGAACTCAGGTTGTGACCGCTGGCATGGGTGATTCCCCTCTGACTAGGGATGGTCTAAATGCTCTCTCCATGTGCACCTGCCGAGTTCTGCCTGGTGTTGCTTTCTGCTGTGACAGGGCAACACTGAGTTCCAATGCAAAGTCGCACAATCACTGCACTCTCCCTCCACCAAACATACAGATTCTCTCTCCAGGCCACATGGCCACTGCTGGGGGATGGGGGAAGGGTGACATGAGCAATTCAAGACTGTCTTTCCTACCTTCTTCAGTGCCTCTTTCAGGGATATGAAGTTAAAACCAGGTACTGTGACTGCTCACCTGATTTTTGGTTCTTATGAAGGTGCATTCTTTTGTGTGTGGATAGTTTTTCAATTTGGTGTTCCTGCCAGGAAGATTACCGGTCAAGGCTTCTATTCAACCATCTTGCTCCCTGACATTCTAAAGTTGTGTTAGGTGTGTCTGTGAACATAACCACCCTCTCTGGTGGAAAAGATGTAGATTCTTCTGCACTCCAACCTCGGCAACAGAGCGAGACTCCGTCTAAAAAAAAATGTGGTTATTTGAGGTTAAGGTAGCTCTATTTTTTTTCTTCAATTGCTTGCTCCTCAGTATCTAGCAGAGCCTTTTGCCTGAAAGTGAACTAGAAGGGAGAATTACTTTCTAGGGAAATAAGTTCATAAAACTGTGATGATCAAATGAGTATCAGCTAAGACTTGCCTAATTTAAGAAAGTTTCTATCTCATATACTAGAACTAAAAGACAATTTATTAGTTTTCATTTTCAAATCGAGTCTTGCTTTATAGCAATTATATATTAATATATAGTATGAGATATATATATATATATATCTTGTTAGAAAAGTTTGAGAAATTCACATGTTCAAAAATAAGAATTTAAATGAGTGGTTATATGGTACTTTCAAAAGTTTATTTTTTATTAATTTTCATTTTGCCTTTGTTTTTTGAGATAGGGTTTTGCTCTGTCACCCAGGCTGGCGTGAGGTGACACGATCACAGCTCACTGAAGCCTCAACCTCCCGGGCCCAAGCAATCCTCTCACCTCAGCCTCCCAAGTAGCTGGGACCACAAGTGTGTGCCACCATGCCCAGCTGATTTTTTATTTTTTGTAAAGACTGAGTCTTGCCATGTTACCCAAGCCAGTTTTGAGCTCCTGGGCTCAAGTGATCCTCCTGCATCAGCCTTTCAACATGCTGTGATTAGAAGCATGAGCCACAGCACCCTGCCTTTATTAACTTTTATAGGCCTAAAAAGAATCATTCTTTATCTGTTCCATAAAAACAAAACTATTTATTATGTTAAAATATTGGTTGTGTTCATGAATTAAGACATCAAACAGTAAAATAAAAATGTGTCATAGCTACTTAATTTTGTAAATAGGGATAATCTTAGCCCCATAACTCAGAAATTTATGATTCTATGTAAAACATTAATTATAATAGGGGGCATCAGATAGGTGATTTACAATTTTCTAGTTGCCAACTCATTTCATTAAAGTATTAACTAGACTACTATTTCCAAAGTAATACTCTGTCATATCAAATGAATTAAATTAGGTTAAATCCAACCTCTGTTAATGTACTGTGAAATTTCCATTGGGCATCACTTATTTAGAAAGTATAACACAGGCCAATAACCAATCAAATCTATCTGTGTCAGAGTTTACCTTCCCTTCTTTTCTATCTCTTCCTCTATAGAACCAAATAAATAAAAGCACTTACCAGTCACTTTGTTCCCATTCTTGCCAAAAAGCCTTTTGTTTGTCAGTGTCTTTTGTTACATTGGCCATCCTGTTCAGATCACTAGCTTGTTTGCAATGGGTTATTCTGGTTAATTAGATTTACCAGAACCAAGATTAGGATTTTAATGTCTTTTTTGCTTATTTTCCCCTTTACTGTTGAAAAATCATCCTACATTTATATTCCCAAATCCCTAATGTCTGCTCCTTCTACTGGTAGTAAGGAAATAACATTGAGAATTTAGTTCCTATTAGTATCTGCCTCTTAAAACACAGTATACACCCAGCCTTGAATTCTACTTAGAGCCCCAGCATTCCTAGTCCTGGCCCTATCAAAGTAAGAACTCGTAGTAGTCTTAATTTGAATGCTCTGAAGTATCTTCAGTAGTGCACAGTAAAAGCAGTAGAGAAAATGAAATGTCTTTGATGTGAAAGAGTATGTAAAGTAAGCATATAACATATAGTATGGTCCTTCATCCTTCATTTCATTTCCTTTTAGATTCTAAATCTCACTGGCATTAAACAGTAGAGTTATAGAAAGTATTTCTATAGAACTGAATATACTTGACCATATATGTTTTAAAGCGTATTTTTTAACACCAGAAATCTTGTCTGATTTAAATCTACAAATAAATCAATAATTTATCATATTAAAGAGGGATTTGTTTTTAATCCATTTATTTTCTCTTCCTAGTATTTATTTCTATCATGAATTTATAATATTTCAAAAAGCTGCTTCCACATCGTTGTTACTGTTGCATTATTAACGTAGACACCACTGATTCCTCTTTATGAAATTGATTAAGAAGGTATCATGTATAAACCAGAAACATTCATAATCTATAGCCAAGAAATGTAACCATTGCACCATTAGTTTCCCACTTTTTTACCAAAGTTGCTTGAGAAAGGAAGTTTAACCACATTTTCATCATTAGGTAGTTTGAAACTAAGAAATGCCACACGGAAATGGGGCAGCAGTCAAAATCTTAGAATCTGCAGTGCTTTGCTGACATAAGAGGGAAAGGAGCTTCATCAGTGTTGTATTGTCAACCATGTAATTCACCCATAGTATGGATAGGAAATCAAGCCATTTCTACAAAGAGGTCCACCTCAAGTCTACCAGATGGTTTGTTGCTGAGTCCATTTTTTAGTAGCTCCTGAACTCATTGAGAGTTTTCTAGACAAAAAGAATAGATTTGGAAATAACCAACTTCCCGGCCCATCGTGGGGGAATCTGATGGATGGATGGATAGTACCTTGGGAATGTATAAGAAAGAAATGTCTGGGTATTTCTAGAAAGGTTGGACATGTTAATAGCTTTAATATTTTGGTAGGATAGTTGCCAAATATTCTTATTCAACCCCTGCGTGTCTCATCTTTGCTATTGCTTATGCTTGCTTATAAATTGAACAAATGGGCTTCCCTAGAAACTGTCGGATGACAAAAGATGCTACAAAGCTTAACACCTAAAACAGAGTTTTCTTTATAGAATGAGAATGTAAAAATAAAAATTTGGACGGGGAGCAAAAGACTTGTTTTCCCTGAGTCTATGTGGAAAAATTTGTTGCCTTTTCTCAAATAAATTTTTGTTGTAGACAGGATGCAGTAATCTAGCCCTATTAGAGACTTTCCAGAATATATAACCCCATAATTTTAGAACCCACTCCTATTAATTATAGTAAATTATAGAAAATTAATTATAGCAATTATTATTAGTAAATTGCTGTGTTTATGTAAAGGTAACATGTTACTTCCAGAAACAGTAGTCCAAAGGGTTAACTTTAATGGTGGAGATTTCAGGCACTGTGATAACCAGATATTAAGAATTACATTTACCAAGGGTATTTATCTGTAGTTTCCATATTATGCCTTGTATAACTATGGCCTGTTCTGTCTTCAGGCTATTTCTGCTCTGACTGCAAAATGAGAATAACCAGAATGATGGTTATTTTAGTAAGTTATTTTGTTGTTTGAAATCCCAATTGAATGACACTATTCACTTACACATTATAAATAAAAATCGTGGATCAAATGATAGAAAATATAAGTAACAGGATACATGATTTTTAAATTTTTATGGGTCCCCAGAACCCTTTTAAGAATCTGTTGATTTTTTTTTTTTTTTTTTTTTTTTGAGACAGAGTCTCCCTCTGTCGCCCAGGCTGGAGTGCAGTGGCACGATCTCGGCTCACTGCAAGCTCCGCCTCCCAGGTTCACACCATTCTCCTGCCTCAGCCCCCTGAGTAGCTGGGACTACAGGCGCGTGCCACCAGCCCGGCTAATTTTTTGTATTTTTATTAGAGACGGGGTTTCACCATGTTAGCCAAGATGGTCTCGATCTCCTGACCTCATGATCTGCCCACCTCAGCCTTCCAAAGTGCTGGGATTATGGGCGTGAGCCACCACGCCTGGCCAAGAATCTATTAATATTAAATCAAGAGACTTTCTTCCCAGAAAAAATTAACATACACACAGTATTTATATAGTTTCCCATTGAATTCCCGAAACCCCAGTCTCTCAATCAAGTGCCCACTGACCTCAGGTTAAGAACATCTGCATAAATTCGATCTGTCTTGTCTAATAGACTAGTCAATAGCCACTTGTGGCTATTAAATTTAAATTAATTAAAACTAAATTAAAATTCAATTTCCAAGTCTCACTATTCATGTTTTAAATGCTCAATCTCCGCATGTGCCTAATAGCTACCATTGTTCGACAGAGTAGATATAGAGCATTTTTTTCATCACAGAAAGTTATGTTGAGCAGCATCAGGTTAGATGATTTTAAAATAGCCTATTTGTCTTATCATTATATTTATTTACCTATATGTGTTTATATAAAACTACATAGTTTGAAAACCCAGAATAGATATTGTAAAAATATCAGTCTCTTTTAGGCACCAAATACAAATCTATTGCTAAAACATATGTTTGACTAAAAGTAAGGCAGCAGGCTAACTTAGCTAGGCCTTCAGGACTGCCATAGGATCATTTGTTTTTTATCTTTTGTCTCCAAAAGATTGCATTCTCCATAGTGGTAGTTCCAAATCTTTTCCCCTTTTTTTAACCTTTGTCTTCAATATGAACAGAGCTTATCTCATATTCTCAGAAAACTGAGGCTATCAATATAAATCCCTTCACTTTTCCTTATGTCTGTATCAAAAATTTCCTTGTGTTTTCTCCCTTGTCTCTTAATTTAATGTTCTGCAGAAATAACAAAGTGATGAACAGAATGCAAAAGCCTTAGAATTTCAACAGTATAGTCAGGACCTAATAGTAGATATTTGGGAAGTAGGCTTATTCTGTTTTATTGAAAGTGATGGCAAAAACAGCAATTACTTTTGCACCAACCTAACCTCGGCTTCACTCTTATGTGATTTAATTCTTTAAATCTGTGTTGGGGCCCTAGAGTGTTTATTTTTAATTAATCCATAGGAATTGCTAATAGATATCAGTGCATATGATGCCCATCTCTCTTCATCCTCAAACATAAAACCATTCTCCTTATTACCAGGATTAGTGATAGGAACTAACCTATAATTGACCATGTGTGTCAGACACTCATGTGCTTTACATTAATTTCTTTGTTTAACACTTAGAACAACTCTGTCGGGTGGAACACTCTATCAGGTGGATATTTTGATTAATTCATTTTATGTTGTGGAAACAGGCTAAGAAAGGTTAAATAACTTGGTCAGGGTTGGTTAATGGGAAGTAATGGGACCATAATTCCTCCAGCCTTGACTTTTCTCTCCTGCTCTCCATTTTTTAAAATTATGGTTAAAAAAAATACATAACATGAAATCTATCCTCTTCACAAATTTTTTAATGTACACTACTATTAAGTATATGTACATTATTGTACAACAGATCTCTAGAACTTTTTCATCTTCCATTACTGAAATTCCATACTCATTAAACAGTAATTCCCCTTTTCCCCACTTTCCCCAGCCCTGGCAACCACCATTCTACTTTCTGCTTCAGTAAGTTTGACTACATACCTCATATAAGTAGAATCGTGTAGTTCGTTTTCCTTCTGTGACTGGCTTATTTCTCTTATAATATCTTCAAGGTTCATTCCTTTTAAAAAAGGCTGAATACTATTCATTGTATTTAAATACTACATTTTCTTTGTCTATACATCTATTATTTCTGCCTCTTGGCTATTCTGAGTAATGCTTCAATGAATATAAAAGTACAAATATTTCTTTGAGATCTTGTTTTCAATTCTTTTGGATAAATAACCAGAAGTGGGGTGGCTGGCTCATATGATAGTTCTATTTTTAATTTTTTGAAGAACCTCCGAATTGGTTTTGATAGCATAAGGTGCATCACTTTACATTCCCACCAACAGTACACAAGGTTATCAATGTATCTACATCCTTGCCAACACATGTGATTTTCTGGGTTTTTTTTAGTAATAGCCATCTTAGGAGGTACGAGATGATATCTCATTGTGGTTTTGATTTCCCTTTCCCTGGTGATTAGCACCTTTTCATATACCTGTTGGATGTTCGTATGTCTTCTTTGAAGAAATGTGTATTCCAGTCCTTTGCTTATTTTTTAATTTGGTTTATTTGGGTTTTATGCTACTGAGTTGTATGAGTTTTTAATATACAGCTGACCCTTGAACAATTCAGGGATTAGGGTCACCAGCTCCCTGCCTAGTCGAAAATCTTGTGTATAACTTTTTACTCCCTTAAAAGGTAAGGAGCCTACTGTTGACCAGAACATAACAGTCAATTCACACGTATTTTGTATATATATTATATACGGCATTTCTAACTATAAAATAAGCTAGAAAAAAGAAATATTTTTAAAAAACATAAGAGAAAATATATTTACTACTCAAGAAGTGGAAGTGGATCGTCATAAAGGTCTTTATCCTCATTGTCTTCCACTTGAGTAGGCTAAGGAGAAGGATGGATTGGTTGTGCTGTTTCAGGTGTGGCTGAGGCTGAAGATATGGACAAAGTGGAAGGGGATGCAGGAGAGATGGGCACACTAGGTGTAAACTTCTATTGAAATAAATTCCTGTGTAATTTATTTCCTGGATGTGCATAGTTCAAATTCGTGTTCTTTGAGGGTCAACTGCATGCTGGATATAAATCCCTTTTTGTTGACTCAGAGCAGCGTGTGGGAGGCTTAGCTTCAGTGCAAATGGGATTTCAGGGCACCACACCTGAGGTCCTCTTGTCAATTATGCTCATGGCAACAGGAGCTTTGAATGGCACGTTTCCATGGCCATTACACCTACTGAATCAGGATCTGCATTTTAACAAAACCTACAAGTGATTTATGTGCACATTGAAGAAGTATGAGAAGCGCTTCCCTAGAATAATAATTTGACACTTTGAGGGTCTTCCCCAGAATCAATAAAAATGTTAATAATCAGCATAGAATCTCCTAAAAAATTCAACTTCCTTGGAATGGTGTTTTTTTACAGTTCATTTGAACAGAGTTGCTGTTCAAAGTGAGAACTAGAGCAGATAATTTGTTGTTAATGTGTAACACATGTGCAAAGTGGATTTAGGGCCAAAGCAGAATTTCCAAGATGTTTGCCTCTTTGCTAAAAGGAGAAAGGATAGACGTGATTTACTTCCTTTTGTATTTTAGGGTTCAAGGTCCCTGTGGCAGAGGATTATATATTTCTGTATCTATTGTCTTTTTTTTTTTTGAGACCAAGTCTCACTCTGTCACCCAGACTGGAGTGCAGTGGCACGATCTCAGCTCACTGCAACTTCTGCTCCCCGGGTTCAAGCAATTCTCCTGCCTCAGCCTCCCGAGTAGTGGGGACTACAGGTGCCAGCCACCACGCCCGGCTAATTTTTTTGTGTTTGTAGTGGAGATGGGGTTTCACCGTGTTGCCCAGGCTAGTCTTGATCTCCTGACCTCAAGTAATGCGCCCACCTCAGCCTCCCAAAGTGCTGGGATTACAGGCATGAGCCACCGCGCCCAGCCCCTATTGTCTTTTACCATGGAGTAAGATATAAATGTGACACTTGTAGTGACAGCTGGAAGTAATCTGTCAGACAAATCTTACTGAATTATGTCTGCTCTCCAGTGCTTAGTAATTTAGAGACTCTCTGTTGGACAGAATAGACTGTCAGATAAGCCTTGCCGCAAGGCCATGTCACCTAATTTATGGGCTTTTCCTTAGGTTTAAAATACCCACACTGTTATATGATCAGGATATTCACAATCCTCGTGTGATCATCCTCTGAACCACTGATTTCCAGGCAGTGGTCTAGGGACTACGGCTTGGTAAAAATTACATTTTCTAAGTCTACAGTAAGGTCTTGAAGTCAGTATTTTTTAAAAAGCTCTCCAGGTGATAAAACTCAAATTTGGAAACCACTGCTCTAAGCTAAAATGTATTCAGGATTCAGGTCTATCTCATATAAACATCCTCTGGTAGAGTGGTATTACTTACTCTGAATTCCAAATGCCACTTGTTCCTTGCTTACTGGGGAGTATACTTACATGAAGAGTGAAAAAATAATTTAAAAATTTCTAATTTAATATAACATACTTTTATTACTCTCAGCAATATTTATTGTTATCTTAGAATTCAATGTAATTTTTACATCATTGCTTATTATTTACTAGTGGGCCTGTTACGCCAAGGCCCATAGCACTAAACATCTGGCTGTAAATATAGTTGGACTACGCACAATCTCAGGCAGAGAAAGTTCCCCTAAAGACAGCCACAGGTGTTCCCTGAAACAGGACTTTCCTAGAAACTGAGTACCTTCGGTCCATTATTCATTCTTTTATGTCTTCATTCAGCAGATATTTATCAAATACCAGCCATTCGATAGCTATTTCAGCTATTCCAGGCCACTGGATTCTTTTTTATTTATTTTTATTTATTTTTTTCTTTCAAGATGGAGTCTTGCTCTGTCACCCAGGCTGGAGTGCAATGGCATGATGTTGGCTCACTGCAACCTCCACCTCCTGGGTTCAAGCAGTTCTCCTGCCTCAGTCTCCCGAGTAGCTGGGATTACAGGCCTGTGCCACCACGCCCTGCTAATTTTTGTATTTTCAGTAGAGACGGGGTTTCACCGTGTTGGCCAGGGTGGTCTCAAACTCCTGACCTTGCGATCTGCCTACCTTGGCCTCCCAAAGTGCTGGGATTACAGGCATGAGCCACCACACCAGCTACATGAAAATACATAAGACTTAGTCCTTGACCTTAAGGAGTTCACAGACTAGCACAGTAATAGAGGTATACACATAAATAATTAATTACAACAGAGATATTTGCTCTTGTTGGGCATGGAGAGATGGGGTGGGCCAAGCCCACAGGAGAACCTGGAGAAGGGCCTGGAAGACAGAATAGTACAAATGCATCACATAAGACACCAGTCTGTGCTGCCCTTATGTATCGGACATAAGAGGAATGTCTAACTTCTGAACAGCTCAAGTGAGTACATTTAAAATATAATTTATTATCCTTCCCTGCCATAAAACAAACAAAACCTGCTTTTCTACATGTATTCCTTGACTAGTGACTGGCACTTCATTTTGTGCTATCTCCCCAGCCAGGAACATGGGAGGCTTCGCCTTAACTCCCTGTAGCCAGTCAGTAATCAAGAACTGTACATTTAACCTCTATCCCTCTCCTCTCCTCTATCCACTGCTATTGCTGCTGCCTCAGACAAGCCCTCAGGCTTAGACACTGCAGTAGTTTCCCACCTGGTCTCCCTAGATTGAGACCTTCCTCTTTCCAGTCCATTCTCATATCAGTTTAGAACATAAGTGGCTTTACTTCCTATAGGAAAAGATCTAAACTCTTATGTATTAGTTAAGAGTGCTAAAGTGTAAGCAAGACTGGTTGGATTCAAACCCTGGCTTCATCACTTGATAGCTGCAGGCAGGTCATTTCACCTCTCACCCCCTCAGTTCCTTCATCTGTAAAACAGAGATGGAAGTGGAATCTCCTTCATAGGGTTATTGTGAGGGTTAATTGAGTTAATACTGTACATGTGAAGTTAACAATGCCTGGCACAAAATAAATACACAATGATTATATTAGTCATAGTGGGGTAGCAGGTTAATTCAGTGTACATGCCAGGTAAATAAAGACAACTAGGACTTACTTTGCCTTCTAAGGGCTAACAGCCTGAAGTGGGGCAAAGAAGATGAAGAGATAAACAAATTACTCCATATGATCAATGCTGTTATAATTTTGAGCAAGGTGCCAAAAAATCATTTGGGAATCAGAGAAAACTTTAAAATCTTCTTATCTAAAAATGTTATATTAAAACTTATTTTCTGGCTGGGTGCCGTGGCTAACGCCTATAATCCCAGCACTTTGGGAGGCCAAGGCAGGAGGCTCACTTAAGGTCAGGAATTGGAGACCAGCCAGGCCAGCGAAACCTGGTCTCTACTGAAAATACAAAAATTAGCAGGGTGTAGTGGCAGGCACCTGTAATCCCAGCTACTCGGAAGGCTGACACAGGAGACTCGCTTGAACCTGGGAGGCGGAGGTTGCAGTGAGCTGAGATTGTGCCCCTGCACTCTAGCCTGGGCAACAGAGTGAGACTCTGTTACATACTAACTCAAGCCCCCAAATACAACTTAATACCTCGCAAACCACAAGTTTCTCTTGCATGAAATTTGCATATTCATGATTTTGTTTCTAGACCTTTGCAGTAACCACAGGCAGTTTGGTTCTCATATGTGTGAATATTTAGGTCCATTCTCTTAGGAACAATTTGAAAAAAGAGAAACTGAGCATTAGACATACAAAAGGGAAAAACAAGTGAACCACAGAGGAATAATAGACTGCAATAAAACCTTGGGAAAAAATAAAGAAAATTATGGAGATGAACTGTACTCTAGTGATTTTTGGACAATGTGGGCTACTGATATTTGCATAAGAATTGCTATGGGGTATTAGGGAGACTGGAGGACATTGTCAGAGTACATATAAAGACAAAGTAGCTTATAAATGTATATATATAACTTCACAGCACCAAATATACATACTAAAGAAGAAACAGTTGGAGAAATGCCATTTGGTACAGGGAGCAGAACAGCATAGTGTTTGAGTTTAGGCTCAACTCAGAATGTTTAGGCTACTGACTAACATTGTGACTTTGGGAACTTAGTTAAGTTTTCTAAATCTTGATTCTCTCATCTGGAAGATTGGATTATGGTAGTACTACTGAATAAGATAGTTAGAATTAATTAGGAAAATGTCCTAACACACCTTGCAGGTAATTTGCAAATAGCAAGTAGCTGATAAATGTTAGTTGTGCTGTTGATTATTATTAATACCATAGGCTTGTTTTCAGCAGTCAAACCAATAAATTTCTGTATATCTCAATTAAATCTGTGGAAAGGATGTAATATAGTACTTGTTATTTCCTACATGGCAGGTAATAATTACTAATGTTACCTTTATTTAGAATATGCTGCCTTTTGTAGCTATATACTAGTGGATGTAAAATACTATCATAGAGTTTCATAAGTATATTACTTATCTCTCTTCCTCCATTCTGTTTTTCACATTTGAGTTTAAATGCCTATGAAAGTTAACCTACTACTAAAAAATATAACCTACAACTGAAGAACTGTAGAATTCCAGAACTCCTTGATTTCATTACCTAATTTAATAAATATAGTAATTGATAACACCAGTTTTGTTAATAGTGCTTCTAAAGGGCTTATGTATTTTAAATATTCTCCGTACTGTCATGTATATCCTATGTGTTTTCACCTTCTCTGATATTAATTTTGTGAACAAAAATAAACAGTTTGATTTAGCATACTTTAATGTGACTAGAGTATGTTTGGGTGATGTATTAGAGACCCTCTTCTATGGGACACCTTCCTTCTCCAGCTCAGTTAAGTGACTCCCCCAACCGCTGCTGCTGTAAACCCTGTACATTCTCCATTTCTTTATATTTTTAACTTACTTGTACCTTCAAACAGACTGTGAGCACTTTAACCTTGGTAGCACTGAACATCATGCAACATCGAACATCCCTGTAGATAGTCAGTTGATTTTTGTTAAGTGAATGAATGAATGCTGCCCTCTTACATTGCTTATATAATTTCTTTTTTTTCTTTTTGAGACAGAGTCACGCTCTGTCACCAGGCTGGAGTGCAGTGGCATGATCTCTGCTCACTGAAACCTCCACCACCTGGGTTCAAGCAATTCTCCTACCTCAGCCTCCCAAGTAGCTAGGACTACAGGTGTGCACCACCACGCCCAGCTTATTTTTGTATTTTTTTAGTAGAGACACGGTTTCACCATGCTGGCCAGGATGGTCTTGATCTCTTGACCTTGTGATCTGCCCGCCTCTGCCTCCCAAAGTGCTGGGATTACAGGCTTGAGCCACCACACTTACATAATTCTTAAGCCATGGTCACCAGTGTACCAGTGACTGATTCAATTAATTCATAAATTAAGAATGCCTTTAAAAAGAAGATAAAGTAAGAAAAAAAAAATAGGAAATTTTTTTTTTTTTTTTTTGGAATGATGTCTAGCCCTGTCACCCAGGCTAGAGTGCAGTGGCGCCATCTCAGCTTACTGCAACCTTCACTTCCCAGGTTCAAGCAAGTCTCCTGCCTCAGCCTCCCGAGTAGTTGGGATGACAGGCACACACTACCACACTTGGCTAATTTTTTGTATTTTTAGTAGAGACGGGGTTTTACCATGTTGGCCAGGCTGGTCTCAAACTCCTAACCTCATGATCCGCCCACCTCGGCCTCCCAAAGCTCTGGGATTACAGATGTGAGCCACCGCACTTACATAATTCTCAAGCCATGGTCACCAGTGTACCAGTGACTGATTCAATTAATTCATAAATTAAGAAAACCTTTAAAAAGAAGATAAAGTAAGGGAAAAAAATAGGAAACTTTAACGGGAGAACTAATATTAACCTAATTCTGAAAACTTGTCTGTGGCTTAGTTTTTGTGTCTTTCTTTCTGAAGAAGGTTCTCTTCTTTCTGAAGGTTGCCTGACTTTCTGCAAATGCCAGAGGCCTTACCCTAGTTTCTTTACCCCAGTTTCCTGATTACTAACTACTAAATAGCCTGTATAAGGTGACAGGTGTAGACGTCCACTCTGGCAGACTAAAGGGGGCTACTGTCACGACTGGCTGTGGTTTTAGGCTCTGAAATGAGAGACATAGACTTTACACATACTTCAGCTCTTAAAGATGCTGTAGAAGATGTTAGGAAGAGGAATAATATAGCCAGGAAAAATGTTTACCACATCACATATGTCTAGTGATCGAGCAGTCATCTATTTGTTCACAGAAGCCTGAATTGTAATGCATACTTGTGTAATAGGCAAATGATAAACATAAGTCAACATAGAAAATTGCCATGAGGGCCACCCAGCACATACTGTGTCTACCCAGCGTGAGAGCTTTGTTCTTGTTTGTGACAAATAATCAGAAACAGGAAAGAGTTTGCAGATGCGACAGGAAGCAACTTAACAGACAGGCCTGGCATCATCTGTCGCCTTAATGTATACCATTTATTCCCTTGGTGTGATGATTCTTAGCCATAGGTCACAATTGAGCCTTAGAACCTTAACCCAGAGTGTTGCAGCCTTCCCCCTTGCAAGTACCCCGGGAATTGCTGCCATTGGCCAGTGTCCAAGAAGAAGGCTTGAACAGCTGCCCTGACAAATGGGTTTCCCCCATTCAAGCAAGCAAATGAGGGGTTTGAGCTGCTTTGCAATACTCCCTGCCTCTGGGCTACAAACACTGTTTAAAATGATAATAAAGTATCCTACTCTCCAGCACTATGTATTTTTCTTTTTGGAGACATGTAAATATCTTTAGGATCTTTTTAATGCAGGAGGTGGGAAATCATCCATATGAAGAGTTGGTTTCAGCTTTTCTTTCTTTCTTTTTTTTTTTTTTTTTTTGGTCTATTCCAGACAGTAAGGATTGTATCCTGGAGCCGCTTTCCCTGCCAGAAAGTCCAGGTGGCACCACCACTTTAGAAGGTTCTCCATCTGTGCCTTGTATTTTCTGTGAAGAACATTTTCCTGTGGCTGAACAAGACAAACTTCTGAAGCACATGATTATTGAGCATAAGATTGTCATAGCTGATGTCAAGTTGGTTGCTGATTTCCAAAGGTAAGTTCTGTTTTTGTCCTTAAAAGAATTAAATTTGACCATGTGTGGTGGCTCATGTCTGTAATCCTAGTACTTTGGGAGGCCAAAGTGGGAGGATCACCCGAGGCCAGTAGTAGTTCAAGATGCCAGCTCTAAAAACAAAATTTAAAAATTATCTAGGATCAATGGCATGCACCTGTAGTTCCAGCTACTTGGGAGGTTGAGGCAGGAGGGCTGCTTGCACCCATGAGTTCGAGGCTGCAGTGAGTTATGGTTATACCATTGCACTCCAGCCTGGGTGACAGAATGAGACCCTGTCTCTTAAGAAAGAGAATTAAATGTATTGTTTGTTAAAGGAGTGACATAATCTATATATAAAATAATTCCCATACAAATATGAAAATTCATATTCATTTTCAGGTTTCTCCTTAGACTTAAAAAAAAAAACTTTACAACTCTTTTGTACTTCTGAGACTTTTTTTTTTTTTTTGAGATGGAGTTTTGCTATTGTCACCCAGGCTGGAGTGCAGTGGCACGATCTCAGCTTGTTGCAACTTCTGCCTCCCATGTTCAAGCGATTCTCCTGCCTCAGCCTCCTGAGTAGCTGGGATTACAGGCACCTGCCACCACGCCCAGCTAATTTTTGTATTCTTAGTAGAGATGGGGTTTCACCATGTTGGCCAGGCCTGTCTCGAACTCCTGAGCTCAGGTGATCTGCCCACCTCAGCCTCCCACAGTGCTGGGATTACAGGCATGAGCCACTGCACCCAGCCAACTTCTCAGACTTTAAAAAAATCTTTACATTATTTTTCTTGAGTCTGTAAGTTTGAGAATGTCACATACTAATTTATTTTCTATAAGTTCTCTAAAGAGATGAACTTTCCAAAGAGTAGATAATACTCACTTTGCAGCATTCCATGACATTGTAGATCTTATTGATGTCTCCCAGATTATGTCTCATGTTTTAGGCCATAGACATTCTCTGAGTGGGTCCTTCCAGTAATTCCAGAATAGACTTGGCAACAGGACACTCAAAAGGCAGTGTTTGGGAATGGGATCCTTGGAGACTTTCAAGCCAAAAGGATATTGCCCAAACAAATCTCAGTTTAAATGTTGTGATGAGGTTGATTCCTTTTTTCCCAATTTATAATTTCTGGAAGTAGTTGTCCAAGAGAAATACCTTCCCTGTATAGTTACTGAAAGCATAAAATTTGGTGTATCTGGTAAGGTCCCATTTTGAGGTATTCTGTCCTGATTTCCCCATAAAACATTGTAGTAGCCCAGACATTGAATACCCCTGCATCTAAACTCTGTTTCTCCCAGGCCATATAAAACATTCCTAGCAAACAGCTTCTTTCTTATGATAGGTCTTGCAAAAGAGCAAGCTGTATTATTAAGAGCTGACTATGAAAGTAGGAAAGCCTGGGGTTGAGTGCAGGCTTTCACACTTCCTAATCTTGTGATTTCCTGCCAAGCTACCTAACTACTCTAAGCATTGATTTTCTCATCTATAAAATGGGGGTAACACCAGCCCTCATGGTTATTGAATATTACATAAAACAAAGTATGGAATGTGAGGGCGATCTGGCTGTGACATCTGTCACCCCATTAATCGCCAGGGTTGATTCGGCTGATCTGGCTGGCTAAGTGGCTGTCCCCTTCCTCCCTCACCACTCCATGTTCATGCCTCCCAAAGCTGTGTTCTCAGTCAAAGAGGACAACCATCTCCACTAGAAGAGGACCAGTCTTTGGTCAAGGGTATACGAGTAGCTGCGCTTCCCTGCTGGAACCTCCAGACAAGCTCTCAAGTCCATTTGTAGGAGAACATAGGGTAGTCAAGCTTCCAAGATTCCAGACACATCCAAATGAAGTGCTGCATGTGGCAGTCTGCCTTTCTTAAAAAAAAAAAAAAAAAAAAAAAAAAAAGAAGAGTATGTGTAGCATCTGCTAGTGCCTGAGACATGTGTACCTGATAAATGGTAGATAAAATGCAA
This sequence comes from Homo sapiens, assembly GCF_000001405.40. Classification (NCBI taxonomy): domain Eukaryota; kingdom Metazoa; phylum Chordata; class Mammalia; order Primates; family Hominidae; genus Homo; species Homo sapiens. The sequence goes on from NC_000007.14 coordinate 112,289,048, forward strand.
AATTTTATTTGTATTTTTATCACCGAAGGTATATTTGAAATCTTAGTTTTCTGCAGCTATCGTTTGAGTTTTCCATTTGTATTTATGCTAATCTAAAAACCTAATTATCATTTGTAAAATATAGCTTTTGAGAAAATTTCATTCAAGTTTCTAAATAATCTAAATTTTTGGAAAGATAGTTTAAGTTGGAATAGCCAGCATACCCACAGGGGTAATGATAACTATTCTCTAGCCTTCATCTCTGTCCTTATTGCCTAGCACCAATACTGAATATTTACCATGTGCCTTCTGTGTATGTTGCCTTATATCGACTCAGCACTACTATTTTTCAAGAGATTTTGGTGCTGCCTTATCAGGTCTCAGAGATAGGAGGACAGTTAATTGAATGATATATATTGCCAACTGCTAAAATAAACTAATTCCCTACATGCTCTCATAGGACATACTCTCTGCTCCTCATTATCATTTGTTATTCTTTATTCTCATTAAAATATATGTGTGTGTATGTCTTTATTCTCAGAGTATTCTGGGAGCTTTCTTATATGCAACCCAGTTATATGTGGTGAGATCTGTTGATTTTGTTTCAGACACTTCTTAGGCTAGAGATCTTCTAATTCATACTCAACCATTGAAAGAAATACTACATAGGTTATTCTTTCCTAAGGCTTCTATTAGTCAGCTTTTCTTTAATATGAAACCTTTATTTTTCTTTTTGAGTCCTGGCTGGAGTGCAGTGGCACGACCTTGGCTCAGTACAACCTCCACCTCCCTGGCTCAAGCAATCCTTCCACCTCAGCCTCCCCAAGTAGCTGGGACTACAGGCATGCACCACTACGCCTGGCTAATTTTTTTTTTTTCTTATACTTTAAGTTTTAGGGTACATGTGCACATTGTGCAGGTTAGTTACACACGTATACATGTGCCATGCTGGTGCGCTGCACCTAATTTTTTATGTTTTTAAATTTTTATGGTTTCACCATGTTGCCCAGGCTGGTCTAGAACTCCTGGGCTCAAGCAATCCACCCACCTCGGCCTCCTGAAGTGTTGGGATTACAGGTGTGAGCCACCGTGCCTAGCCATGAAACTGTTCTTTTATTCCCTTTTATCATATAAACACAAATTTTCCTTCAGGAATTGCAGAAGAACAGTATTAACTACCAGTGATAATTGAATAGTTTAAGATTTTTCTTTCTCCTCTGCCCGTAAAGTATGTGAGGAATGTCTGAATCAGAGTTTGTATTCTCCTTTGTGCTTATGTGTCATAGTTAAGTAGCTATATTTGTACTAATCAATCTCTCTATTTGTATCATTGTTATTAATCTCATTATCCTAATATGCATACGTGGGCAGAAAAATTGAATTATTTACTAGGTCTCGGGACTTAGGAGTCAGTAATTAAATGCTGGGATTATTCATGCTCTAAATGCAGATATACAATAAAATGGATGCTTTAATTAAAAAGAAAAGGATGCATATCTGATATAAGTGCTTTCTAAAGTGTATCTTTAACATGTATTTGAAATATGGAAACCTAGATTTTCCTTGTCAACTGTCCTTCTAATTAAGTAAAATTTTCACTCTCAGCAAGTATAAATGTGATTAATTCTGATTGATCAGGCATGTATCTGAGTAAACTCTGTTGCTTTTAAATACCTTTGACTGTATCCAGTCTTCTTTAGATAATAACCTCCTACTACTTAAGGAAACTAAAAATTCCTCTCCCAAACAATCCAGGTATTGATTGTTATGATCAAAGTTAAGTTGGAATCTTTTCAACATCATGTAACTTGTTTCTAATTTTAGAAGACAAGGTATAAGGTGTAGGGTTGGGAGGAGGGAACATGAGAGATTTATTTGGCATGAACACATTCACTCAGAACTCAAGAGGAATTGTTGCTTCTGAGTACAATAGATAATGAAGATGATAATAAATAAGAGATGGACTTACCTTGTGGTTTACAAGAAGTAAGCTATAAGTTTTCATACTAAATATATAATTTTTTATGAAACAAAATAACACTAAAACTTCCTGGGGCAGGAGAAATAAAAACAAAAATAAAAATCTTTCCATTGAGTCCATTTAACATAGTTATTTATACTGAGCTATTTGCTAGCTTTATTCAGTAGATAAAATTGCTCTGGAAAATAAATGTTAACTTCTTATTTCTTACCCTTTTCTATATTAAATTCCACACATTCACTGCTACTTAATTAACAACCATATTTCAAACCTTTATGACTATGTCAATAACCATACCAATTACAGTGAGGGTGGGCAGGCAAGATATTGCAACAAGGATTTTTTGTGAGACAATTCTGTGAGACATGATTTGAAGTTCCTTTGGAAGAAAAAAAGTATTTGCTGATGACCTAGTAATTACTTTTATAGATTTTTAATGAAGTATGAAATACTTTGATAACTCATCCAAATAGAGTTCCTACCACATGTTATTTCTTAGTGGCCTTTATATATTGAGTAGCTGCAATTGTAGCTTTCAGTAAACTAGAGAAGTAGGAAAAATACAGAAGAGAAGTACTAAATGAGCTCTTAAATTTGAACAGTGTTCTAGTGAGTGGGAAAAAATGCCACAAGAAGCATGTACTGAAGATCTGCTATCTTTATTCTATCACTCAGTTGATTACAATTTATCTGAATGCCCATACCATCCGAAAGGAAATGTATATATTGACACCTCTTAATTATAAGCTTAAAAACCACTATTATGTGTTTAATAACTAGGATGTTTCTTTACTCAAATTTAGACATAGGTCAAATGTATGTTGTTGTTGTTGTCTATAGTATACCACAGTAAGATATGATGCCTAATTTTATATGTTTAAGTTGTATGATGGTTTATGGTTATATTTTGCTTTGTAACAGATGATTTTTTTTTCTTTGATGTTGTTGTCACCCAAGTTTTGGTTAGGAAGAGAACACTCAAATGACAACTTTGTTCCTCTTGGACCAACCTATTACCTGCTTTATCCCATGGGAAACACTTCCTATTTGAGGAGGGCAACCGAGGTTCTGCCAGGCAGAATCTCCCCATGATTCTAAGTTAATTGATGTCAGTAATTTCTTCCCATGTGCATATCACCTTGAAGTAAACTCTGATGGAAAGTAAGCATGTCATGTGATTCTTCTCTTCAGACATCAAAGAGACAGTACTCAAACATAGAAGTTTTTGGAAACTGAGACCCACTGACTATTGGAATCAGGCTCCTGTTACCTCTGTAGTGGAACTTCTCTGCACCCTTTCCTTGCCTAGTTAAGCAGTTCCAAAACAGCCCCAAACAGTTGGTGTCAATTTTCAGCCCTTAGGTAGCAACTTAGGAGCAGTTCAGACTGAGGGCTACTGTTAAGTAGTATGCCTTTCGGAAGGGGAAAACATTCTCTTCCTCTTCAGACTTCATTTCTGTACTTCTGGTTCTGCCTTGTCAAAAAGCATTCTATGTGACCTCATTGGTCTCTGAGGGGAAAAAAATGCTTCAACTCTCTATTACAACTTTAATTATAGGGGCTCTTTCCTGTCCCTGCCTTCCCTTTTCTGCATTTCTTGTACCGATTCGTCCCCACATGACACTAGAGGAACTGTGTTGTAGAAGATTGAGTTTGGCCTTGGAGCCAGAGAGACAAAGTTCACATCTCAATTCTAACATTTTAATTGACCTTGGGCAAGTAAGGACTCATTAAATGGTAGCTGCTAATAATTGTCATTATTGTCACTATCATCATTCTTCTCTTCTACCACTTTAGCCACCTATATGTGCCCTCTGACGCTATTAATATAACTATTTTGTCTTTTTCATCAAATGTTTGCTGAAATGTTGTTGTTGTTTTTGTTGTGTGTCTCATTATTTCCCTGGGATAAATATAAATTATTCACTACCTTAGTCTTATTTAAATATGTTACTTTTTCTTATAGTAATAACTGTCATATATATTAAACACCCAGAATTTTGGACAGCGTGCTTTACATGCATTATTCTATTTAATTATCAACAATTTATTTTGCACATGAATAAACTGAGTTTCAGAAAGATTAAATAACTTTAAGTTCAGGTTCATACCTTTGAATTCAAAGTCCTTGCTTCTCTATTCACCATTGCCTCCGGGGTGGTAATTAATACATTAACTATGATACTTTGACCACTGTCTTAATTTAAAAAGCAAAACTGCTTCTAGCATAAGATCTGTGCAGATAAGCAAGGGACAATATTGATTGTCCATTTAAAAAAAAGTCATTGGCCAGGCACAGTGGCTCTCACCTGTAATCCCAGCACTTTGGGAGTCCAAGACGGGCAGATTGCTTGAGCTCACAAGTTCAAGACTAGCCTGGGCAACATGGCAAAACCCCATCTCTACAAAAAAAATAGGAAAATTAGTTGGGCATGGTGGTGCGTGCCTATAGTCCCAGCTACTCGGGAGGCTGAGGTGGGGAGGATGTCTTCAGCCCAGGAGGCAGAGGTTGCAGAGAGCTGAGATCACTCCACTGCACTCCAGCCTGGGCAATAGAGCCAGATCTTATCTCAAAAAAAAAAAAAAAAAGTCATTAATAATTCAAAGAGCAGTCTGTTCACGAGGATCCAAGCTCTTGCCTGGTCATCTGTTCCACATGGTTTCACACAGATACTTTTCTAAGACTGTGAACATTTTCCAAAGTAAAGTAGTCTGTGTATTCAAGGAGTTATCACTGCCTTTCAACAGGCTCTAGACCCAAAATGGAACTAATTATATAGGGCTGACCACTAGTCTCCGTTTTGTCTAGAGGATACCATCCAGATAGTCCTCAATGGAGTGGCAACCAGGACTGACGATCCACTCCTTGGTGTATTCTAGCAGTAGCAGTAGGGAACCTCCAGAGGGAACTTGGCCTTCCTGTCTTTTGAAGTCAGTTATCTTAGCACCTGGTTCTGCCATGTATAAATTTGATTAATCATGAAAATAGATGTCTATATTTCAATTTAGAGGAATAATCCATCTTCTGTTCTAACATCTCTAATACAGGTTCTACTGTGTTCCTTCATCCCTGTCACCACTTTGTAATAGAAAATGTGCTTGGGGGAGAATAAGAAAAGGACTAGGAATGTCATTTTTATTCTCTTAAGCCTCCTCTTGTCTTCTCTTTCCCCTTTTTTCCTCTCTACCATGGGGTGGTGGGGAAAGCAACTAGTGAGGAATGGAAAGATAGAGACTAGGAGTAGCCATGTAGGAGACTGAGGAGTACAACGTGTTGAAGCTGGCCCAGGATGGCTAAGGAAATAATGTCCCAGCCTTTTGTAGGTACTTTTTCTCTATTTATCTGCTGTGATGGATCCAATATGCACTTGCCTTCTTCTGAGATTTCTAATATGGAAGCCAGTGAGTTAGCCAAGGAGTAGGGTGCATCATTTATATATTTGTGGTTTAAGGCTCAATGGGAGCTTAAGATTGCCATTTTAAGATCTCCTAGAATACAAGTTAGCACTGTTTTATAAGGAAAGGGTTCTCCCCTTACTTACCCATCAAAGTTAACAGTGTGGTTGTACAGGAGAAGAAAAACTTAAACATGGGATTCTATTTTTATACACTATTCATTGGCTTCTTTTTCTTACATATTCTATATTCATTCAGTGTATTTTTATTTGATGTCAGCTCGTGTCATGTTTATCTCTTTCTCCCAGACCTCTCTCCAGCACAGACTTCTAATACACAAATGCCCTTTCCATAGAGCACCATGGTATTGGAAAATTAATGTTAAGAAAAAAATTAATAATAAAAAGGAGACAAAATATTGGGAATTGGGGACTACTTAGAGAACTTTACAGGAATCTTCAAATTCTCTACTTCTTTAAAACATTTACTGTGGACCTAATATATCCAAAACATTCCTAGATGTGCTAAGTCAAGCCATTTAAAATGTCCAAATTTCTACTCTTTCTATATTCTTCATCTATTTCAATAAGTCCCATTTCTTTTTTTGGTTCTTTGGTGTAAGTTACTTGTTTTGTCCCTCAGTTGTGTGGCCTGATAAATTGGGAGCTATAGAATCAAGCTTTCCTTTTCCTCTCTCTATGAAGATAACACTCTCTTCTTGGTACCATTCAATAAATGAGATTGCAGTTGCCAATATAAATCTTGTTAGATAAATGGAAAGATAAACCACTTGTTAAATCCTGTCATCTTACTCCCTCTTTCATCACATATGTAGGTCTGGGTGTTAGGCTTTGGTTTTTAATTTAGCTGGTGTGTTGCTTCTAACTCTGCTCATTAGATACAAGAATTGTAAGTTAGGCTATTTTTCCAAAGTCTAAATTTGCCTCATTTCAGACTCAGTGTAGACATATGGAATTTTTCTGTCTTGTTATATTGATATTGAATTTAGACTGATTTCTCATTGCATTATTCTTCTGACCTCTGTTCTTTTGATACATAAGATAACCACTTAGTTTTCTCTTTACTGCAGAGTGTGTCATAGCCTATTTAATCGTTATTGTATTTTAAAGACACATAAACTTAGGTGTTATTTCAGAAAAATTCATTATCACATAAAAATAATTCATTTTAACTTTCCTATATGTCTGTTTATTGAATTTGGGGATAGTAGAGTTTAGTCATTTTCATGCCCTTACATGGTAATTCCTTTTTATTAAATCTTTATTTGATACTTCTATAATGCTCCACTGCCTTTGTATTCACAAAAAACTGCTAGAAAAGCAGTTTTAAGTTAACATTTGATTTGTTGCTTTGGGATGAGTGAATGTGCTTATAGATTCCTGTCATTCTAAAGCAAATAGTATATTGAATCTTCTCATCGTTCCTTATTTTATGTTGTTCTAAGGTACATTTTATATTGGAGGAAAAGGTTCACTGAACAGCCCATCACAGATTTTTGTAGTGTAATAAGAATTAATTCCACTGCTCCATTTGGTAAGTGTACATCTTGGCTACCATCTTTTCCCTACAGTATAAAAATTCAAAGGAATAATCTTACTGTCTTATATTAGAATTACTTTTACTTTCATGATAGATAAAATTAAATTGATGTGTTTATTTTGCCTAACTTGAATAAAGCTAAAACAGTTCTATGCCAAAGAGATCCTAATAGACACACACATCTGTATTTTTTAAGAAATAAGTCCTTCTGGGGAAAAAATGGTTAATATCTGTTTTCTTATTTGTTTTCCTAATCTCTCAACAGAAGAACAAGAGAATTATTTTTTGTTATGTGACGTTTTACCAGAAGATAGAATTCTTAGAGAAGAGCTTCAGAAACAGAGACTGGTAAGAATTGTTTTTAAAGGGTGAATAGTGTCTTGAAAATACATATAAATACATATAAAATCATATTGGTTTTTTTTTTTTTTACTTTTTGTTATGGAAACTTTCAAACATATGTAAAAGAGGAGACAATACAAAAAGGTCTTAAAACAAAAAAAAAGTATACACTTGACTGAAAATTAAAGCGTTTTATGTTAAAAATGCAGAGAGAATTTTTGGCTTTGTTTTGCTTCCTGGATTATCTCTAAAATAACAACAGAACTTACACATTTTAGTGTAATTTTAGCTGCCTGACACATGCTAGGGTTCAGTAGTCATGGAAAAATGCCCTCAGCTAAAATTGAGTTGAATTGATTAACCTTTTTTTCTCCCCTTTACTGGAATGTGCTATGCACTAGCATTTTTTTTATTTCCCTTTATGAATTAAGCATATGGTTTAATCTACATAGTAGCCTTTCTGGTTTTCAGGCTTAACCATAAGCAAGCTAATTTGAAAACCTCAGCATCTTTAGCCTTTAAAAAAGATAACAGCACATACAAGCATGAAAATTTTTATTTTATTTTATTTTCTTATTTTTATTTTATTTATTTATTTATTTATTTATTTTTTTTTTTTTTTTTTTTTTTTTTTTTTTTTGAGATGGAGTCTCGCTCTGTTGCCCAGGCTGGAGTGCAGTGGTGTGATCTCAGCTCACTGCAAGCTCCACCTCCTGGGCTCACACCATTCTCCTGCCTCAGCCTCCCGAGTAGCTGGGACTACAGGCACCTGCCACCACACCTGGCTAATTTTTTGTATTTTTAGTAGAGATGGGGTTTCACCGTATTAGCAAGGATGGTCTCGATCTCCTGACCTCATGATCTGCCCACCTCAGTCTCCCAAAGTGCTGAGATTACAGGCGGGAGCCACTGCACCCGGCTGAAAATTTTTATTTTCGTAAGTTAATCAGAAAGTAATTTTTTAAATTGTTACTTTTGTTTAAAAGTACATGGGTTCCCATTATTTGTGATTTAATCTCGACTATTACTTGAAGTTGACTTGCTGTTCCTTTAGTGATTTCTTGTAAGTCTTTCTTTTATCTTTGGACTTAGCTAAATATGTTATAAGAGAGAGAAATGATTTAAATATTTGTGCTATATCCTCAAGAGATCAAGGAGAAAAATAAATGCTATTTACCATAGTCATATAATTTAAGAAAGTCCCTGGAAGCATATTTTATTTTGTAGACATCCCAAATGATTATTTCTTCCAGTAGGGGAAGGTGATACCATTGGATGTTGATTTATATCTAAGAAAAGTTTTCCTGTACAACAACTGCAGTAAAGAAATAGGACTTCCTGAGTTTCTCTTCTCTCCTTATAGCAGTGTCTTATGAAATCTGCAAAACAAGGCTAAATTTACTATCATGTCTTATGGATGTTATTTGCGTGCACTTATTCATAATTTCCAATTTACATGAATTTTCTCACTGTTGCTAACAGTGGCCTTAAGAATGATCAAAAGATGTCATGATCCTAGTAGTCCTAAGGATTTATTTATAAGAACTCAAACCCTACTACTTCAGCCATTCTTGTTCTTTAGCATGCAGAATCTGTACGATGTGTCTGCAGATGGACTCAGGTCTCTAAAAATACCTACATATACTGCATTTAAGTTACCTTTTTTACTTTACAGTTTGATAGTGATACATTTAATGGAAGTGAGCATTATGCCAGCTTACAGAAACAAAAGAAGAATGAAAAGGCAATCAATCCATACATGCTCGTTGAATTTCTGCTTAAGTAGATGCCTATACAAAGAAGTACAAGAGTACAAGGCATAATCCATATCATACAAGAGTGTACGGTCTACTTAGAGAAGAAAGATAAATATGTATTCTTATCTTGGTAATAGAGATAATGATAAAATATCTTGCAGGGCTTATGAAGATTAAGTGACATGTAATATACTTAGAACACTACCTGGCACATAGAAGGCACTTAATAAATATTAGCCAATAAAAATAACAGTAATAATGCTGTGTCTTAACAATGAGAAGGATTTGGATAGTTAAGAGAGTTGTAGGGAAGGGAAGAAAGATACATATGCATCTAAATGTTCAAGGTGTATTCAGGAAAATCGAGTAAAAGTCTACTCCGGCTTAGATAGAAAAATTTTTATGGGGAGGAGTATGAGATAAATTTGAAGAGGTAAAATGGAGCTAAATTGTGGAAATCCTTCAGTGCCAGAAACTTGACTTTGTAGTAATAAAGACCCATTAATGTGCCCTCATTGTCCATCAGTGACATGAAGAAAAGAGTAAATGTAGCTGCGTATAAATCCATTTCAAGCTGTCAAAGCCTGAGAAAGACTAGACCAACTTGGGGATTGGAAGTAAGCTAACAATGACTGATGACCATCCATAAGCCATGCCTTGTATTTGGTTCTTGCTTCATAGCACCCTGTGAGGTGGCTATTAAATGCCGTTCTATTTATGAGTAAAATGTGGCCTAGGAAGCTTAATTTGCCCAGGAACACATAGTGAATGAGGTGCAGAGCTAGAGTTTCAAACCAAACATTCCAGGTACATGCCTTTTAAGCCATGCCATGCCAGCGTAGTCATTATTTGGCCTCTCATGTGTCTGGTACTACTATTCTAGGCTCTGGGAATCTCTCTGTCCTGGGTGCTCATGGTCTGACAAGTCTGTGTAGGGAGGGGATTCAGGCTTGGATTGAAGTTTAGGGAAAGCAGAGGCAGTTTACAATAGCCCGCCACTGGAATTCTGATTAGAGGATCAACAAAAAGTAAAAAAAGACTTGCCAAACAGCAGGAAGACAGGCTGAATTTGCCATCAGCCAGTTCATCACAATTTTATGCTACATAGTGTGGAAGCATGAGGTTAGTGTGGGTGATTCTTCTGTGGGCGTTAGCAATGATTATAGGATCTATCTCCTTTATAAAGAAAGAACTTTACAAATCAGTAAGAAGCATGTCCAGAAAGAAGTCTAAATCATTAAATGAAACAAAAGTAACAGTATACTTTTTCTTCTTCTATCAAGTTAACAGGACTTGAAAATAATAGTACTAAATGGTGGCAAGAATGTTAAGAGACAAGTACTTCTTCAGCTGCTTTTAAGAATGTAAACTGGTATACCATTTCTGAGAGGCACTTTCTCATCATGCATTGGAACTCGTGAAGATGTTTATGCCCTTGGCCCATAGTGTGCAAGAACTCATCCTAGGAAGACTTTACAGCCAGAGGGTTTTGAAGTCACTCACTCTACCACAGCTTGGTGGTTTTTTCCTTATGCTGCTACTAATTATACTTTATCAAACAATTTTTTATTAATCAGAATTTCATTCTAGTTTCTAAAACATGTAATTTAAACCAATCAAACTGCTTAATGATAATGGATGTATAATGTATTCAGTGTTTGAGTGACCCCAGCTCAATATTTCAACTCAAAGACTTTGAATTGAGGATCTTGAGGATCTCAACTTGAGGATCTCAACTCAAGTCCACGAGGAAGAACCCTCAAACTAGAGTATTAGTAGGGCATTTGCTGACTTGATTTGCATTAACGATGATTTGCATATGTATTATTCTTAAATATTTATTCTTTCATGTGGAACTCTAGGTAAAGCATATAGTTTAAGTACCTTTGTATGGTTTGCTCTTAGTTCAAAATGACTGTAACTTAAGGGCAGAAACTGTGTCTTATATTTAAACATCCTTCCTAGTCCTCCCTATACTCCTAAGTTCATATTGTTATTTTTCCCCAAACCTCATTTTAAACAAACAGACAAAACTCTGTTTTCTGTGTGAGTGGCTGGAGGTATATAGAGTTTAAATGATTCACTGAAAGTTACAGTAACAGATTTTATGCTAGAATCATATTTCTTTTTCCATTTCTTTGAGATTTCACTGGTTTCTTGACATTTGCAAGATTTGTATGTGTTCCCAGTTTTCTTTTTGAAGAGCTTGATTCCTACTTGACACTTCTTTGAATATTTTCATCCATATTCTGAAAGAAACTACAGAATTAGGAAGATTCTCGAGGATTTCAATAGCTTGAACACCTTCTTCCCTTTAGCTTCCTTTAAAAATTCTCCCGTGATCTTGGTGCATCATCCTCTTATTTCTCATCAGTCTAGCTTAGTCTTGTCCAGTGGTTCTTTTCCCTCTTTTCTCTTAAATGTGTATACATATGTTTCTCAAGATCTTATCACCTGTTCAGGGCATGCACATCTGTATAACTACCACTATTAGGCCTATGGCTTAAATGTTAGTGCTGGTGCAGAGTAGGCAGTCAGAGTAAATATTCATGAATTGAGTTCATCCATAGCTTTCATCCTGGTTCACTTCTGAGCCCCAAATCTATATTTCCTTATGTGAAACTTTTCCATTTGGATTTCCAGTCCACACTTTAATATGCCTAAAAACAGAACTTATTTTTTTCCTCCCCCAAAACTTGCTATTTGCCTGTTCTCCTTTTATTACATAATGACACCACCATTCTCCTGGTCACTCAGTTTGGAAATCTCTAGAAGCATATTTAATTGATTCTTTTTTTCTCACCCCTATATCTAAGTCATTTGTCAAATCCTACCAGGTCCAGCTGAGTCCCAAGTCCCACATCCATACTCATACTTACCTTGTCTATAGACTCACCTCTTCAGGCAATTGACACTGCCTCCAGAATTTTAATATTAATAAATACTTATTAAAATTAATGTTACTATTAATTGATTAATAGTAACTGATTATCTGTTAATATTAATAAATAACATAAATCACTTTATTCTTTTTTTTTCTGACAAGATCTCCCTCTGTCGCCCAGGCTGGAGTACAGTGGCTCACTGCAACCTCTGCTTCCCGGGGTCAAGTGATCCTTTCGTAGCGATGGGGTCTCACTATATTGCCCAGGCTGGTCTCGAACTCCTGGGCTCAAGAGATCCTCCTACCTCAGCCTCCTAAGGTGCTGGAATTACAAGAGCAAGCCATTGCGCCTGGCCCTATTCTCTTCTTCAAAAACCTGCCCTATTCTTTATTGTCTTCATGTTCTTAAGGTTTTCTAGTCTCAAACTGCATTTCCAGTGTCTTTTCCCTAAATTGCCCAGCATCCAATTAATTTGTTTATTCAACAAATATTTATCTTGTACCAGATATTTTCTAAATACTACTGATATAGCAGTGGATAAAACAGGCAATGGTCCCTGCCCTTGTGAAGTTTACACTGTAGTATAAACATTACTTTTCTCACATTTATCAAGTATGTTAGGTACTTTCAGGATTCTGCTTCATGAACTAGGAATGGCAATCCCCACCTGTATAGATACATATCCCTCAAGGCATTGCTCAACTGCCACATTTTCCAAAAGTTTCCCATATGCCACCTGTCAAAATTAATGACCTCTTCTAAGTTCTATTAACACACTATTTTATTTGGCTTTTCAATTATAGTTAGTTATTTTAAAATCTGTCTTCCTTACTAAGATGTCTCTTAGCAGTTTAGACTGTTGTATTAACATTTCTATCTTCTCTGAGGCTTGCTCTTACGTATGAACTGAAATTTCATCCTGAAGTATTGGCTTGTAATTTCTATAAAGCCATATAGTCAAATATCCCTGATTAACAAGGATACAATATAGCTGAGGCAGACATCTATAATCACTGCATTACACTTTGCACTTCAACATAAAAAAATCCTCAGTTTTTCCTTTGTCTACAGGAGAAAATGTGTGGTATTCGTTAAGTTCTCAGTAGCAAGACGTAACTTAACTAAATTGGGAAAGAAGGAAAGGCCTAACTGTATGAAGGTATTTTTTTTAATCACTATTTCAAATGTCAGCTTGAGATATCATTCATGACAACTACAAATATTTTATGAAAGTTTTAACGTATATAACAAATTTATCTTCAGGAGAGAAACAGTTTTTTCTGTTTTTAATTCTACTTCATGTGTCTCACCTCTCCCCACAATAAAGCCACAACAAAATGAAATTGCGTATCTCCCACTGAGAAGATTGTTCTTCCTCATGCCACTTTTTAAAATATAGTTCTAGAGACTTTCAGTAAAGGATCAAATTACTGTATGCCAACAAACTGAAAGTAAAAAAATCAATTTATATTTATACTTTTCTTGCATAATTCCTATCTTTCAGGCACAATACATACAAGTTCTAATACTGCATCTAGAATAAAATTTTCTTAAATATAAGATGATATTTCCCATTGAATGTAACATTGTTATTAACAGTGCAACAGAGATCAATTTAGCTGCAGTGACCATTGAGTAAGTTTAACCTTCAGATTGATGACTGCTTTCTTTGGGAAACAAATGGTAATCACAATCTAAAACGATATTATTCTGAGTCCTAAGGTTCACCACTTTGAGCATCTTCAACAAGGACTTAAAATTTACAGGACAATTTGTATATATACTGGTTGAGTGAGATCAGGCAGGAAATATTACCCCTGTTTAACAGGAAATGCAAGGTCAAGGACAGTAAGAAACATGCACACAACCGTGGTTATATACAGTGTTAAATAGAAAGGGAAGCAATTCAAACTCCTAAATTTCCAACCCCAATCACCATTCTCTTTCTAATTGCACCAGGATACTTTATCACATTTGATCTTTCTTTCTGAGCAAATAGGCCTTTTTTTTTTTTTTTTTGAGACAGAGTGTCAGTCTGTCACCCAGGCTGGAGTGCTGTGGCACAATCTTGGCTCACTGCAACCCCACCTCCCAGATTCAAGCAATTCTCATGCCTCAGCCTCCCGAGGAGTAGCTGGGATCACAGGTGTATGCCACCACACCCAGCTAATTTTTATATTTTTAGTAGAGACAGGGTTTAACCATGTTGGCCAGGCTGATCTCAAACTCCTGACCTCAAGTGATCCACCTGCCTTGGCCTCCCAAAGTGCTGGGATTACAGGTGTGAGCCACTGTGTCCAGCCAAATGTGACATTTTCTAAATTGACATTTGTTAGAATTAATGAAAATGGCTGAACAGGACATAAATATGTATGTAAATAAATAATAATATTCTGTTTTCATTGTAAATAATTTTTTAAAGAAAATCTGATTTCCTATTATCTTAGTTCAGTAGTAGATAGGAATTTCTTATTCCTTTGGGCCTAAGCTTCTTGTATTTTCTTTTAAAACTGTACCTGACCTTGAGTTTATACAGGAAAATACTTCTTCAGGCTGGTAATCCTATACCGAGTCATGCCATGCTGATAGCTTTCTTTTTCCTTTTTCTTCTAAAAGATGGGTATTTTGCAATCTCCCATGCCCACCTATTGAATTTTTTAAAGTCCTTCTCTTCCTACCTAAGCTAAATTCTCTTGTACCTTTAATATAAATAGGAATTTAGCTTTTCTAGTTTCTTGTGTGTTTAACTCCTGCATTTACATTTTATTTTGTACGTCTACCTTTTTTCATTGTGCTGATATTTTCCATGTGAATGTTTAAATTCGTCTCATTTTTTTATCTCCTAGTTTATTTTTTTTGGATATTCTGTCCTGTTTTGAAGACACTCTTAAAAAGCTATCTCAGTGAGACTCAAAAGTAGAAGAAAAATACTATATTTCTATCCTGTATAGCAAGCAGATGGCTGTTGCCTTTATCATTGCAGTTTCAGAAACGGTGGGAGGTACTGATATCTTTCAAGAAGGTGAAATACTAGTCAGATCAACTCTCATGGATTTGGGGGTGTATATCATCATCCAGTTAAGAAATGTATCTCTGTTTTTTATGTTTCACTATCTTATTTTAGTCATTGATATGGATGGCTTTTCCTTGTTTATTTAAGATTCTAATGTCACAAGGTTAACTTTCTATCATCTCTCATAAAATGCTGAGAAAGGTGGATTTTATTGATTGTTTTTAAAGAAACTGTATTTTGCCATTAATAGTTTTTGTTTTAGTACAGTTATCCCTGCCTTATACATGCAGAGCTGTGTGTTTAAGTATATTAAGTATTATTTAGTATATTATTTGAGTATATTGCTAACATAAATTCAAATGCTCTAGTGATCAGACTCTGGCAAACAGATCAGTCATTCCCAATGCTGTTCAGTGACCCTTTTGACACTTAAAAGAGAATTTTGGGGGTGGGGAAAAGTAGCTTTTTATTTGACCCCTGGTGTGAGGGCTTCCAAAATATTTAACTCAGTTATAGGCAGATTCCATTCTGAAAGTTGTTGAAGCTATACATCATTATCTGTACAAATAATTTATTCATGTTTCCATTTTACTTTATTAACCAAACTTTTAATCCTTAAGTTAGTGGAAATTTACTGAACTTTTTATACTTTTAATTTCCTCATATTGAAAGTTACATCAGATAGAATAAAGGATGTGATAGAAAAAAATAATTTCACCATAATACTGAATGGGATTAAAATGAAAATACCGTCTTACTGTCAGAAAAGATAAGAAATGGCAGACAGAACAAGAGGAGTTGGTGTTATGTCTTTAGCCAGCCTCACTTTGAAACAATTTGAAAACTCTTTCAGTAACTTAGACATTGTTCACTTATTCACATCATGTAACTAGTAATTAAAATTATCCAATACTTTCAAATTTATTTAGAATAAAAATTCAGACTTTTTACCAAGATCTCAAAGGATCTGGCACATGCCTCTCTGAGCCACTCTCCCACGTCTCTCTCACCCACTTTCTCCTGTGCTTACTGTACTCCAGCTACACTGGCTATGTCTGTGTTCCTCAAACACACCAAGCTGTTTCCAGCTTTAAGGACTTCGCACTTGCTGTTTGCTGTGCTTGGAATGCTCTTCTCTAGAATCTCATGAGCTGGGCCCAGTGGCTCATGCCTGTAATCCCAGCACTTTGGGAGGCTGAGGCGAGAGAATCGCTTGAACTCAGGAGACCAGGCTCGGTAACAAAGCAAGACTCCATTCCTTAAAAATAATAATAATAATAATAAGCTCATGGCTTTTTTTGAAGGGGAAGGGAAGAGTTTTTGGGGAAGATGAGCCTCTGGAATGGTACTACAGGCAAATGAATGCTTTGGAAGTGCTTTGGGAAGCTAAAGACATGTAGAGTAATTCATATAGCTGAAATGATTTAGGAAAAATTGCCTTCTGTGGAGGATTAACTTTAGCTATCAGCTACAGTGTTTTGGAAAGTAGATACTCAAAAGTTATACTGATTGTTTAATTTGTTGGAAATTCCTTTCTCGGGGGTAGGAAAGATTTAAACCTATTCTGCATTTGAGGTTATGACCAAATAGAAGTCATAGACTACAGTGCCCAATGTAATACTAAACTTTTAATGAGCCTTTAGGAAGTTTTTACTGAATAAATTTGTTTTAACTGATTGAAGTATCCAAGTCAACTGTTTTCACCAAAAAACAAACCAAAAGACCTTCTTTCCTTTATATTTTAAATGTATTTACTCTGATGGAATATAGGGACTAGATAGCAAAGAAGCATCTCTGGTCCCTCTTTTTAATTACCGATGACTGATATACCACTCTCCATGCCTTGATGTCAGTTCCTCAAAGGAATGCTGGTCCAGTGTCTCCAGTGCTTATACTAACAGACTCTGAGTGCTCACACTGTTCAAGAGAAGAGGCTCATCAGCATTCCGTATGTATTAGGGAGCTCTGCCATTTAACCTGCAGTCTGGGTTCTGGTATTATAAATAAGTCACTTCAAAAGAAAGCTAGTACTTTGTGATACCTTTGTATCAACAGGACAGACCTTTTTCTGCATCTGATTAATGAGAATTTTAATTTTTGTTACTTTCAAGTTTCCATTTTCTTGACCACGTACTATTTATTTTCTATCCTGAACTTTAATTAATGGCTGAAAACTTTAATCCTAAATTCTAAACTGTTTTAGAACTGCTTGCTCTTTAAGGTTTTCTCTCCTCTGAGATTTCTGAATGTTCTTTTTTTTTTTTTTTTTTTTGAGATGGAGTCTCGCTCTGTCACCTAGGCTGGAATGCAATGGCGCAATTTCAGCTCCCTGCAGCCTCCGCCTTCCGAATTCAAGTGATTCTCCTGCCTCAGCCTCCTGAGTAGCTGGGGTTACAGGCATGTACCACCATGCCCAGCTGCTTTTTATATTTTTAGTATAGATGGGGTTTCACCATGTTGGCCAGGCTGGTCTTGAACTCCTGACCTCAGGTGATTGGCCCGCCTCGGCCTCCCAAAGTGTTGGGATTATAGGCGTGAGCCACCGCCCCCAGCTGATGTTCATGTTTTTATCCCTTTTCTAGAGAGGCTCTTTTATAATCCCAGCATGTCAGCAAAAAGGGAATGCATTTTAGATCTTTACTGGTCCCTAAACATATTTGGGGAGCACAGTGACCAAGGGGTGGTACTGTAGGTCTCCTCATCTACCTTCTTTTCCAGCCACCTTTCTATCAGGTTGTTTCCAGACCTGACCTATCCTGTCTTTTAAAAGAAAAGGCCTCCATTTTCATAAATTTTAAGTATTTTAAATATTTAATTTTTTAATATTTAAATCTTTTAACACCAAATACATGCCTATAACTTTATTTTGAATGTTCTAAGGCAAGTGCATTGCAGAACTTGCTTGGCAAACTGCAGGTTAGGTTCTCTCAGGCCTGTCCTTACATCCAGCTCTTACACCCCAGAACACTAATACACACTCAGATACCGTTGAGAAGAAAAACTCAGGAATAATTATATTATTTCTCAACATTTTTTACTCCATCCCCAGCAGTAGCCAACATCTACTTTGCAGTGCAGGATTTGGGTCCTTCTCCCAGCAGCTTATGGCCTTTGCTTTGTGTGCTAAAGAATGGTCCCCAGAAGCAAGCTGGGGTTCGTGCCTGTTCACCATCAAAGGGCTTTTGTTCATGTCTCTTTGCCCTATTCCTAGTCTTTCTCCTGAGAACTTGGAGGAAGCCCATGGGGGGAGTTGGACCCCTTGTGTCTAGGACTCTCAGGGATTTTGCCTTTAAGAATTATTTAAAATACAAACTTTTGTCTTCCTGCTTGCCTTTTCCTCCCATGCTCTGTGTTCGTGTCTCTCTTCAGAGAGGCTAACCACCTTTTAGAATTCAGTTTGTCTAGTTGCCTTGTGACTTCAGCTCTTTGGACTCAAAATAAGTTATGAATTTATTTCTTTTTTTTGTTTGTTTTTGAGACAGTCTCACTCTGTCGCCAGGCTGGAGTGCAGTGGTGTGATCTCGGCTCACTGCAGCCTCCGCCTCCTGGTTTCAAGGGATTCTCCCTCCTTAGCCTACTGACTGCCTGGGATTATAGGCGTGCACCAGCATGCCTGGCTAATTTTTTTGTATTTTAAATAGACGGGGTTTCACCATGTTGGCCAGGCTGGTCTCCAACTCCTGACCTCAAGTGATCCACCCGCCTCAACCTCCCAGTTGAATTTTTTTGATTATTCAGCTTTTTCTCATTGATAGGATGTTCTCTTGTATCTATCTCCTAAGCAGAAATTGAACTCCTCCTCCCCCTGCTTGATTTTAATTAGTATCTTAGTGGTTAAGTGCTACTTTTGGCTAAGGTAGATGCTTTTTTTTCCATTTTATAGAGTTCTAAAAGATAAATACATACATACATATGTATTTAGTATGTATACATATGTCCAAATACATATATATGTATTTGTCTACTAAATGAGGTCTAGCTTCAAGAGACTATTGACCCTGTCAACTAGTTGTCATAAATTCTAAAACCTGTTACTATGGCTTGGTGTTTGATCTTGGTGTTGACTTACCTATCAATTATTGTATCAATAAATTGCTATATTTGGTTATCTTCATATCCATTTTGCCAGAAGTTTGTCTTTGGAGTATATGCGAGCAAATTATGTCACTCACTGCCAGATGTTCTTTGGATAGTTTTCTGATACCCACCCAATAAGGGCTTGGCGTCTGCTAACACTTTACTTAAAATTTAATCTGTTAAAAATTGTGACCATGGCTGGGTGCGGTGGCTCACTCCTGTAATCCCAGCACTTTGGGAGGCGAGGCGGGCAGATCACTTGAGGCCAGGAGTTCAAGACCAGCCTGACCAACATAGCGAAACCCCTTCTCTACTAAAAAAAATAAAAAATTAGCCAGGCGTCATGGCACATGCCTGTAATCGCAGATACTTGGGAGGCTGAAGCACAAGAACCACTTGAGCCCAGGAGGTGGAGGTTGCAGTGAG
The DNA here is from genome assembly GCF_000001405.40 of Homo sapiens. Classification (NCBI taxonomy): domain Eukaryota; kingdom Metazoa; phylum Chordata; class Mammalia; order Primates; family Hominidae; genus Homo; species Homo sapiens. Next base: position 112,308,464 of record NC_000007.14, read on the forward strand.
TCGAGATCATACCACTGCACTCTAGCCTGGACAACAGAGCAAGATTATGTCTTAAAAAAAAATTGAAAAAATTATGATCATGATATATATGAGGTACAACTTTGGAAGCCAATAGTTGGTGTTAGGAGGGCGGATGAGGATTAGTGGACTCTGGTCTAGTGTGTGGCTATTCTCTTCAGTCATTTTTGAGTAACAATTAAATGACTTTTCATGCAAGTTCTAGTCTGTGCTTAGGATGTAGAAGAGGAAAGATGTTTTCCCTCACTCACCTCTAGTTTCATGGCTGAGACCTGTAAAACAAAAGACAGATTAACAAAGGAAAAGCATACAAATGTATTTAGTATGTTTTACTTGACTCAAGAGCCTTCATAAGGAAATGAAGACCCAAAGAAATGGACACCTGTGCATTTTTCTGCTAAATTTGATGAAGAAATGGATAGTTGTGGGGAAGTATGATTAGACAAGGGGGATATGATCTGGTAAAAAACTGGAGAGGACTTAGCAATATCTATTTGTTCAGATTCTTCTGTTTATCTTTGTGTCTTCAGAGATAAGGATGTTCCTTTCCCCCAGGTATAAGAGAGGGTACCTTTTGAATGAAGGCTTTACGATCTACTTTAGGGGGAAAGGGGAAGGAGGAGGTAAAAGTGAGCTTCCTGCTTCTGCTCTTCCAAGGTGCCATATTTTGGGGTGGCATGTTCTGAACCCCATCGCTGACTATGCAGTTTTTACAAGAGTCAACCCAAATGTCTCCTCCTGATGATCTCCTGAAGCCTGTGCCTCTGTATCCATGTGAGAGTCTATAAAAGCAACATTCCAGATACTGACTGGAAGAAAGACAGATTCAAGATTATAACCAACGAATACTTACAAAAACTGTGTTCAGGGAAGATTGTTTGAGGAAGACTGGAGACTGATTGTTTAAGACTATATAGAAAAATTTCATAATTTCCCTATATAGTCTTAAACAATCAGTCAGGAGACAAGAAGTATCTGTACTGCATCATGACAATCCATACCCCACCCCTCTGTACCGTTTTCACTGAGTTTGAGGGTGTGCTTTGGGATGAGGGTTAGCTTTTTTTAAGGCTTGATATTGGAAACAGCCCTATGTTGTTTTTTCTATTAATCCTAAGTATATTGTCCATGATGCATATACTTATTATATACCCACAATGACTCTGACACCAGTTACCTAGACAGGCCAAACTTCACAGGTTAAGGGCACAGCCCTCCACAGACTATCCTCACTTCAAACACCAGCCACAAATTGGGGGTTCCTCAGGATACTTTGGCTTCTCACCATCTGGCTACAAATTCAAGAGTTCCCACTACTCTCTCAGGTTCAGTAGTTTGCTATAATGACTCACAGAACTCAGAAAAGCACTATACTTGTGATTACAGTGCAGTCATAGCAATAGGATACAAATCAGAACAAGTCAAACAGAGAGACGCATAGGATGAGATCTGGGAGATTCCCAAATACAAAGCTGCCATCGTTCCTAAGGATGCATTGTTCTCCTGGCACATCAGTATGTAACCATACCCAGACTAATCCCTACCAAGAAAGTTTACTGGAGCTTTGGTGTCCAGAGTTTTTATTGTGGCTTCATTGAGTAGGTATAATTGATTAAGTCATTGGTCACATGGTTGAGCTTGATCTCCAGCTCCCCTCCCTTCCCAGGAGATGAGGCTCATCTTATGTGGCTCAGAGCCCCAACCCACTAATCACATTGTTGGTCTTTTCTGGCATGGCCAGTTCCCATCCTGAGTCATGTCATTTATATAAACTATCAGGTGTGGTCAAAGGGCCCACCATGAATAACACAGACCCTCCAGTCACTCAGGAAATTCTCAGGGTTAATAAGTTATCTCCTAGGAACAGACAACAAGGGCCATCCGAATTCTCCACACAAACCCTTTACCTGGTGTGTTTCCCTTGTCTGCCAAAGCTGAGAGCCACATTTAGGGCCTACCTTTAGGTTAGGTTTGAGAGAGAGAGAGAGAGAGAGAGAGTGTGTGTGTGTGTATGTATTTTATTTTTTATTTGCAATGTAGGTGCCACCCTACTTTTTTCTTTCTTCTTTTACTCCCATTTCTATGCTACATTGTTCTGTAGCAGCTTGAAACATTTATTAGAACAAAGTGGAGGTATAAGTGAAATAATCCCAGATACCTCAGAGTTAATCCATGGTTCTTAAAATAAAAAGCAGGAGAAATAGGAAATTCTGCTGCCTTTCTGTGGAGACTTTGGGCCACTGCTATAATTTTCATGAGGAGATTTGTTGTGTTCTATATTGGAGGAGTGCCACTGGACTCCTAGGCTGAGAATGCCTAGCTGGTTCTGCCATGCTGCTGCCTTTAAGCTGGTTTGGGAAGGAACCTGAGGAGTGTGCCTTTTTCTCTCATAGCCACTCATATATCCATTTAGCCAAGAAACTCTATTGTAAATCTATTACTTGTCAGTATCCATAAAATGTTTTTGATAGCCATAGCTAATAACATCCATCTTGGTTTTACTTTCGTCTGTTAATCCAGGTTATTTCCATTGGATTTGTCCCTTTAAGCATCAGTTTTTTACTTTCCTGTGTATAAATTCTTACCTAAATAAACATTTTTTAAATTGCTCTTTCATAAATTGACTGGTTTTTATAATTTTCAACCTAACTCACATTTTCATTTTCTACCTATGTGTCAATCCCCTATGACTATGTTGAGTGCCATCTGCTATATCTGCTGTTTTATTAATTTTTTCTCTGCTTTTAGCTTATGAATAAAGATGAAAGACTAGGCATTGACCCCTTTGCTGTCACACTTGACATTTTACACTAATTAGAAAAACATATATAGCTTATTATTATGACTCTGCCTAACACATAAGTTGATCTTATATTCTTACAACTATGGTTTTATCTAAGTGTATTTGTAATGAAAATATTAACTGATTTTTATCAGCTTCTTTGAGAGGCTCAAATGTATAATGTCTGAGCCATGCTCTTCATCTCCCTATTCCTAGTATATAGCCAAGAATAAACTTAAATGAATAAAACCTGATATATAGCCCAGCATGAATTTTTTTTTAGAAAACATAAATCCACAAAGTAGATGGGCACATCTTCGATTTGCACATCTTTGTGGTGCTTTTTATGGAGTGTCTCCTAATTTTTTTTATTCATAAGTGACTTCAAACATATGCCACAGCTAATTCTATCTGATGCTAAGCTTTATGAAGGAAAGAAAGAGTAAGGGAAAGAAAAAAAAAGAGGGAGAAAAGGAGGAAGGGAAGAAGGAGAGGAGAGAAGAAAATAGAAAAGAAAAAATACTTTTCTTCATTGTGCAAGTAGCTTCTACTCAGTTTTCTCCCTGATCAGCAATTGTCAGTATGTTTACCACAGAAGAAGGATGCACAGAATTTAAAACTGTTTTGTTTTCTCACATCCTATCAAGGTAACAGCAATAGGAATAAAGGTGCTAGGGCATAGTGATATATGACTGTCTTCTACCTAGACTCCTATTAACTACTGGAGGTTTTGAAGAAATAGAAGCCATGGGAAACACAGCAACTCCATTCAACAGTTATTGTGCACCCTGTCTATAATGCCCAGGGGAGATTACAAAGATGAATAAAACATTTCTGCCTTCAGTGGGCTTATTATCTGGTAGACTACATTTTGAGTTGATTACATAGAGATGATAACATTAACAACGTTTTCCTATCAGTCATTCATATACTTTGGAAGACTATTAGTTTGGAAAAAAAAATTTTTTCTATGCATCAGAGCTTGAGTCCTAGGCAGATGAATTATTTTGTAATTTAAGATTTAGACGTAGAATACCTCACAACCAAATGAAATGTGTGAACCTAGGGTGGTCTTGAGTAGAGGTTAGGGAGGAACATTAAAAGACATTCTTGGGGTAATTGAATAAATCTAAGTATTATCTGGACACTACAAGCTATTTTAAATTTACTGTTGATTTTCTTACTTGTGATGATAATGGTTTTGTGGTTATACATAGGGGAATGTCCTTACTCTTAGGAGAGGCATGCTGAAGTATTTAGGAGTAAAGCATCATCGTATCTGCAACTTATTTTCAAATAGTACAGCCAAAACAAAGTATATAATATACAAATGTACGCGTGCATGTGAAGAGAGAGAAAGAAACAGGCAAAATGTTCACAGTTACCGAATGTAAATATTGAGTATAGGAATGTTAATTGTACTGTTGATTTAACTTTTCTGTGTTGGTGAAATTTTTCATAATAAAAAGTTTTAAAAAATAGAAGAGTAGCAAAGTTTAGGGATAGCTACCTGTCTTATTTAGCTTCCTGGTTTACCAATTCATTTAGAATGTCATGACATAGCTATGTCAGCAAAGGCAATTTCAACAAATAAAGGAGAGCTTTCTTCTCCTTACTGAATTGATTACAATACAATAATGAAAACTGTTCCAGACATAATAGTTACATATTTAAAATATTTTTTTCATATTTTATGTATAAGTGAAAAATGGTCAAAAGTATATGTTATATCTTTGTTGTTATTTTAAGAAATTTACAAGGCAAAAGTACTTTGTAGACTAAACTTTATTAGAGTGGAAAGGAGGAAAACCTTGATCTCATATTTCAATTCTTAATATTTTTTAAAAAATGAAACAAAAGTAATTGTGTTCTATACCAATGTACTTCATTTTCCTTAGCTGTTGGGCTTTATAATTATCACTAATTCGTTTCCTTATTATGACTTGCATCTTCTATTTTGCTCAAAACGTCATGTTAGTAACAAACTGTATTTGTGCCCTTAAAAAGTATGTTTTAAAATTTTTTTTTTTTTTTCAGACTGGGCCTCGCTGTCTTGCCCAGGCTGGAGTGCAGTGGTGTGATCACAGCTCACTGCAGCCTCAAGCTTCTGGGCTCAAGCGATCGTCCCACCTCAGTCAGCCTCCTGGATAGCTGGACTACAGGCACGCACCACCATGCCTGGCCAATTGTTTTATTTTTAGTAATGATGGGGGTCTCCCTATGTTGCCCAGGCTGTGTTTATAGTATTAAAAGTAAAAATGATTTTTTAACAGTAAAAACCTATCCCCAAATCCCTAGTCCTATAGCAAGTAAAATTCTATGTATCTCTGTATATATTTTGTAAAAATTGTCTGTTGTAAGTTTAAAAGAAAACTTCAGGATTTTTAAAAATCATAATCAACAGTAAATTTCTTGGAATAGTTTACATATGTAGTAGACCATTCTCTTTGTTTAAACAAATTATCAACTTACTGTCACTGTGGGAAGCTCTTCATTTTACTTTATAAATGAAATATAAACTACATAATAAGTGCCAACCATATGTCAGTAAGGGATAATCAAGTGTGTTATAAACCCCTTTCCTTTGAGAAAGCCATTTTGATTTTCAGTAGAGCACTTAGATTTGTAGTGTGTATGTTGTTGCACCTCGGGTATAAATGTAGTCATCATGTATTTATTGAGAATCTACTATAAGAAATTGTGTGCATGTGGCATAGAGGAACTCATTTTCTGTGAGTAGAGATGGTTGGGACACAGTTTTCCTGAAGACCAAGCAATATAGATGCCAACTGAATGCTATAAAACTATGGTAAAAAAGGAAGTATCACTTCTAATACAAAAACAGTCTGGGAAAGTCACTTTAATGATTTGTAGAATGTTTCACAGGCAATTTAGAGATCATCTGAAACTGAGTCCTAGAGAAGTGGTATGCCCAAGGCCACATTAAGAGCTACTTCGTCACAAAAACAGGACAAGAATACAGAACCCCTAAGTGTCAGGCCATTATTCTTTCCACTCACCACAAAGATACAGCATTTGAACTGACCCTTGCATAAGCAAAGATGGGCAAAAGAGGGAACGATTACTCCAGGCCATTGAGTGGCTTCAGAAATCATAGTAGGTAGTTCAGAACCGCTATTGAGAATAATACACAACTAAATAGTGTCATATGTTCTTGCTATTCCCTATAACATAGGATTGTATGAGGAAGAAATGTGAGAGAAGACTTTTAAAAACCTAGGTTAGAGGCCAGGCGCAGAGGCTCCCACCTATAAAGCCCAGCCCTTTGGGAGGCTGAGGGAGGAGGATCACTTGACCGCAGGAGTTCAAGGCCAGCCTGGGCAAGATGGAGAAACCCTGTCTCTACAAAAAAATACAGAAAATTAACCGGGCATAGTTGTATGCCCCTGTAGTCCCAGCTACTTGGGATGCTGAGGTGGGAAGATCGCTTGAGCCCACGAAGTCGAGGCTGCAGTGATCCGTGATCATGCCACTGCACTCCAGCCTGGCTGACAGAGTGAGACTCTGTCTCAAAAAACAAAACAAAACAACCTAGGTTGGAATCAAGTACAGAGTATTGTGAATGCCATGCTAAATACTGGGGATTTTATTCAGTAGAAAACAAGGATCCATTAAGGTGTTACTTAAGATTTTATTGATTACCAGTTTTAGTTTTATTTCCAGATAGTGTAATTACGTATTTGCAGACTAATTTTTTAAAGGTTCATTTACAGTGAAATTTTGTCTTCCATCCCTCTGGGCATGCATCAGATAAACATACTTTTAAAATATATGTATGGGGAAAGTCCTTCCTATAAATCCATCCATCTGGTATCTGGTAAGCTCAGTAGATCCAAATTGAAGAGAACTCAATAATAAGAAACAAACCCTACCAGATGAAAATAACTCCCCCGACGCTCATCTGAGGAAGATATTGGAAGCTACTTTTTCTTAGGTACCAAACATATTTGAGTTAATTTTATTCTTAGAATTTGATGATCTGTTTTTCCTTAGCTGAGTTTTGGGAGTCCCTAAGTCCCTATAGTTTTGTTCTAGGTTAAAAGGAAGAACGGAAGGTCTAAACAGAGGATAGCTAATGTAGAGGAGGTGTAGATGGGGGAGCCAGTTGGTGGGTGTAGAAGTAGACCCACTAACAGGGATGAAAAGCTTCAGTGAATAAAGGGAGATAAACATAGATGGCCATAAAAGAGAGAGAATAAAATTAAAGCAAAAGAGCACAACAGTTTAGAGTCATTTGCAAAGTGATCCTGAAAGTAAAATACTTTTGCATTACAGTACAGTATGGTAGTAATTGTTCACAGCAAAGACCCTGTATCATATAGAACAGGTTAAATTATGTCTTGAATTTCGAATACAGAAAAACATGAGAATTGTCTTAGAAACCGTCTTGTGCAAAACTTAACCAACTTCAAATAGCAAATTAAAATGTCTGTGACCTAGAAAGTCTTAGAATTCCTCTTTTTCTAATTAAACTAGAAATAAGGAATAATTATATTTGCATATGTTATCTATGCTGTTATTTTAGTGTGTTCTAAGCCCCAAATGCTGAGTGGCTCATTTGTATTGAATTCATCTCAATGAGGCTTCCGTGTGGGTATTTTGTAAGAAAGATTTTAATGCTGCCCGACCTCTCCAGATCACTGTCCCCTGGCTTCTGAAGTTGTTTGTTCACTAAATAAGAAGGTCATTGTTCTAAGCTCTGTATCGACATGTGCTACAATGGGTACCTTCTGAGAAAAAATTAAAAGTGATATCATGAAAATAGCACCAAATTTGGCACCAAGTAGCTATGCAGCTTTAAACAAATCCCCTAACATCTCTTACAGGGAGTCAGTAGATAGTTTCATGAGATCCCTTTCAGCTGTCATGTTGTAAAAAGCCAGTTCTACACAATATTGGTCAGAAAGAAAATCTTACTAGAGTAGAGAGGTTAGATGTAGTTAGTAGAAATAGAATATATTAATGGGGAACACTGGAAAAATTGTCTTTTAAGAAGTGTCTGTTCATATCCTTTGCCCACTTTTTGAAGGGTTTGTTGGTTTTTTTCATATATTTCTTGGCTGTATAAGTGTCCTCTTTTGAGAAGTGTCTGTTTATATCCTTTGCCCACTTTTTCATATGATTGTTTGTTTTTTTCTTGTAAATTTGTGTAAGTTCCTTGTAGATTCTGGATATTAGCCCTTTGTCAGATGGATAGATTGCAAAAATTTTCTCCCGTTCTGTAGGTTGCCTGTTCATTCTGATGATGGTTTCTTTTGCTTGCAGAAGCTTTCTAGTTTAATTAGATCCCATTTGTCAATTTTGGCTTTTGTTGCCATTGCTTTTGGTGTTTTAGTCATGAAGTCTTTGCCCTTGCCTATGTCCTGAATGGTATTGCCTAGGTTTTCTTCTAGGGTTTTTATGCTTTAGAGTGTTGATGGGAGTATAAATTAGTTCAACCATTGTGGAAGACGGTGTGGCAATTCCTCAAGGATCTTGAGCCAGAAATACCATTTGACTCAGCGGTCCCGTTACTGTGTATATACCCAAATGATTATAAATCATTCTACTATAAAGACACATGCACACATATGTTTACTGCAACACTATTCACAACAGCGAAGACTTGGAACCAACCCAAATGCCCATCAATGATAGACTGGATAAAGAAAATGTGGCACATATACACCATGGAATACTATGCAGCCATAAAAAGGGCAAGTTCATGTCCTTAGCAAGGACATGGATGAAGCTGGAAACCATCATTCTCAGCAAACTAACACAGGAACAGAAAACCAAACACCACATGTTCTCACTCATAAGTAAGAGTTGAACAATGAGAACACATGGACGCAGGGAGGGAACATCATACACCAAGGCCTATCAGGGGTTGAGGGGCTAGGGAAGGGATAATATTAGGAGAAATACCTAATGTAGATGATGGGTTGATGGGTACAGCAAACCACCATGGCACATGTGGCACATGTCACTATGTAACAAACCTGCATGATCTGCACATGTATCCCAGAACTTAAAGTGTAATAAAAAATTAAAAAAGAGAAAACTGAGGATTAAAGAAGTTAAATATCAATTATATGTGAGAGCCATATTTCAAATCCAGATCTGCTCCATGTTTCAGAGCCTGAGCTCTTAACTGTTGTACTGTGGCCAGAAATGGTTGCACGATAGAAATAGGAATCAAGTGGGATCTTGATTAGCAGATAAGATTTGTGAAAGTGAAAAAGAAAAAGGAAATAAAATGACCTCAGGAAAAATAACATATGGAACCACCTTGATTAGAGCAGGATATTATCAGAGCATATTTTAAATTATTTGAGTTGAGATGCAACAAGTTAATTATGCATGAAAATATTAAGAAAAATTCTAGCAGCAAAAAGAGGATGAATATGTTAGAAAAGGGATTGAAATCAGGGAGAACCTTTAGGAGACTTTATTTATGGTAACCCACAATGACTAAAAACTGAACTCAGAGGGGTGACCTTGGGAATGGTAGAGAAAAGTTATATGGAAGATAGTTCAAATGAAAAATTGATCAGAACTTGATTACAAATCAAACTGAGAATTAGGGAAAAGAGCAAGTCAAAGATCCCAGCACAATTTTGGTTTTGGAAGAGGATAGGGATGGGAAAACACTGGAAAAGACAGGGTAGCAAAGGACGGTAAAACCTTGTTGATTTTAATTCCCACATAGCTGTTAAAGTGGAGTGTTCTGTAAGCATTTTATGGGACAGACTTGGAGTTTAATGCAAAAACAGGAATGGAGAAATTTGAAATGTTGGCAACTTTTATATACTCCCTTTATGCTTCCAGCCCAGTTTCCTCCCATCCAGACTTTGACATTTTTTATTAGCCAATTGTGCATTAAGATAATACCATAAATCTGTTTCTACTTTCCAGAGAGAAATTCTGGAACAACAGCAGCAAGAACGAAATGATACCAATTTTCATGGCGTTTGTATGTTTTGCAATGAAGAATTCCTTGGAAACAGGTTTGCCATTTTGCATCTTTAAATGTTACTGTTTTTAATCTGAAAACTCATCAGAACATCCCTAACTGTTGGTTATATAAATTAAGTTCTATGTGTTGGCTCAGGACCCTTTCGTATATAAGCAGTCCTTTTTAAAAATATACCCAACGTCCAAGATGAACTGTAGGTGCTCTAAGCAGCAGAGGGGTATAAATTCTTAAAATGACAGAAGCAGATTTATGTTTAATATTACAGGACTTTTAAAATTGGCTGACCTGCAAGACCATATGCAGCAAACTACTGCAGATGCACCTCTGTATACTAACTCTTTTCTTCTAAATCATTGGTAACTTTTCACTTTTGGTTATTAAAAATAAAGACATAAAAAAGAAGTGGGGGCACTGGTGATTCTATCACCAACCCCAGCTGGTCCAAAACCAGCTGGTGCAGTACAATTCAATTCTGGCACTAATCACCTGGGATTAGCATAAGGTTTTACATATTTAAGGGCACAGGCTCAAACAAGACTGCCTTCACATTAGACACCAGCCATAAACTCATATGGTCCCAGGGCTACCCAAAGTTTTGACCACTGGTTATAAAGTCAGAGGTTCCCACTGATAATTTCATGGGTTTGATAATTTGCTAGAATTACTTACAGAACTCAGGAAAGCACTGTACTTATGATTACAGTTTTACTATAAAGGATACAGATTAGAAACAGCCAAATGAAGAGACAAATTGGGCAGGGTCTGAGAGGGTCCTGAATAAGGAGTTTCTGAATCCTCTTCCCAAGGAATTAGGACCTGTCACCTTCCTAGCACATTAAGGAATTCAGCAACCAGCAACCTACTCTGAGTTTTGGTGTCCCAAGTTTTTATTAGGACTTCATTATGTAGGTATGATTGATTAAATTATTGAACTCAATCAGCAGCCCCCTCCCCTCTCTGGAGGTCTGACTGGCTCAAAGTCCCAACCCTCTAATCATATGGTTGGTCTTTATGATGAACATTCCCCATCTGGAAGCTATGTAGGGTCCTACCATGAGTCTCCTCATTCATATAATAAAGATACTCCTATCACTAGAAAAATTACTAGAAACTTTGTGCTAGGGACAAGAGACAAAGAGCAGACACATTTATTATTACGCATCAGCAATGTTTACAAATATACATTCACTTAAATACAAGTTATGAAGTTGTAACCTCTAGGAACTGAGGATGATTTCACTGATTCAGCATACAGGGGACAATCAGAAAAATATCATTCTCTGCTCACTTGAAAGAAAGCAGTCTTTAGTGAAAACATAGCCCAGCACAGTAACTGACATTGTTATGTGAAAAACCTTGGAAAGGAGAAGGTAGCCACTTATTGGAATTTATAAATTATAATTTATAAATTATATAATATATATAATATATATTATATAAATTATATAAATTTATAAATTAAATTTATAAATTATAAAAGAGTTTAATTGAGGCATTAATGTTCAAAACACCAGTGGTAAAGGTTTGATTCTCAGATCAGTTAGCATAGAGAAAAATCGGTGCCAAGGCCACTGATCGTACTTCTAACTTTGTCCTTCTATTTCAAAGGACTTTACGGGCATAACAATAAAGGCTGGTCTTAAAAGTTAACTTAAAAGTACCAGTGAAAACCCATGCCACCATCAGAAAATTTACCAAACATTACTACTGACAATGTTTTAACAAAATATTTCCGATTTTATGTTGAGGTAATTATTGACCTAGTGAGGAGGCATGTGATTATCATCAGAGATCTCTCATATCGGCATATGGGAAGCTACAAATGGTATTTTTGTTTTCTATAAAGTTCTAGTGATTAATGTGGATACTGATATGATTTGAAATATCCATATGCCATTAAATTCTTACAGTATTAGTATTTGAACATATTAAATATTGGTGTTTCTCTAGTTCCTAATATAATCCTCCTGTTCTTCTAGTCTAACTTATCTGCATTCTGTATTGAGTAGGGTCACATAGGAATTACATGACCTCCTCAGTAGTCTTGACTTATGCCATTGTTCTGTAGTAAATGCACATTTTTTTAAAATAACCAGTGAGAAAGATAAATAGTGTCTAGTTCTTATAAAACGTCCCCTTTCATTCATCAGTTCTTTTCATTTATGAAAAGCTCAGCCTGTAAGATTAAAGACACAACTTGATTCCACCTATGCACTATATTAACAGTGTTGCAGGCATACATTTGTGTACGCCTTGGGACATAAATATGGAATATTTGTGTATGCATTGGGACATAAATGTAGAAAGAAGGAGATGGATAACAGACAAGGATAGAGTAATGAGTACTTTCTTGTTACCATACATCTACTTTTTCTCCTCTCCTCCACACCCTTCATTGTTTGTTTTAACCTGTTTGTGTCTTTGAATCGAAAGTATATCTTATAGACAGTATACAGTTGGATCATTTTTTATCCATTCTGCCAGTCTTCACCTTTTCATTGTAGTACTTAATTCGTGTTTAATGTCATTACTAATAAGATCACATTTACTTCTACCATTTTGCTATTTATTTTCAATATGTTTTAGGTCTTCTCATTATTCTCCTCTATTGTTGCCTTCTTTTGTGTTGAATAGGTATTTTCTAGTGTATGATTTTTAGTTCCCTTGTTTCTTTCTTTTTTTTTTTTTTTTTTTTTTGAGATGGAGTCTCACTCTGTCGCCCAGCCTGGAGTGCAGTGGCAGGATCTCGGCTCACTGCAAGTTCCGCCTCCCGAGTTCAAGCCATTCTTCTGCCTCAGCCTCCCGAGTAGCTGGGACTACAGGCGCCCGCAACCACGCCCGGCAAATTTTTTGTATTTTTAGTAGAGATGGGGTTTCATTGTGTTAGCCAGGACAGTCTCGATCTCCTGACCTCGTGATCCCCCCGCCTCAGCCTCCCAAAGTGCTGGGATTACAGGAGTGAGCCACCGCACCCGGCTCCCTTGTTTCTTATACCATAGATTTTGAACTCTTTTTCTTAGTGTTTGCCCTGGGGATTGCAATTAACATTTCAATTGAAAACAATCTGTTTCAGGTTAATAACAACTTAATTTCAATAATATGCAAAAACTTTGCTCCAATATAATTTGTTTCCTCCTCACTCCTTTGTGCTATTGTTGTCATACAAATTATACCTTTATATATTATCAGCTCATGAACATGTTTTCTAATTACTGCTTTATACAATTATCTTTCATATCAGATATGAGAAGAAAAGGGTCATAAAAATGCGATTATACTGTATTTCATATTTACTTATGTAATTACCTTTACTGGTGATCTTTATTTATTTATGTAGATTTGAGTTATTGTCTAGTGTCCCTTTCTTTTAACCTAAAGAACTTTCTTCAGTTTCTTGTTGGAGAGATCTGCTAGTAATGAATTCTTTCAGTTTCTGTTTATCTGGAAATGTCTTGATTTGTCCTTCATTTTTTTTCTTCCATCATTTTTTTGAGGAATAGTTTTACAGGATGTAGAATTCTTGACTGAGAGTCTTTTTCCTTCAGCACTTTGAATATGACATTCTACTGTCTTCTAGTTTCCATAATTTCTGGTGAGAAATCACTTACTAAGGACTGCCTGCCTGTATGTAAGGAGTTGACTTTTTTCTTGCATCTTTCAAGAGACTCTCTTCATCTTTGCCTGTTGACAGTTTACGTGTTGGTAAGGATCTCTTATCTCTTGGTAAGAATCAATGAATTTGAAAATTGTTCAATTGAGATTTTCCAGTCTTCGGGACAGAAGAAAAAAAGAACAAAAAAAAATAAACAGCTACAGAGATCATCAATCAGATTCTTCCCCTGCCCCACCAGGATTTGTGTTCCTGTTTGTGTGTTTAGTGATTTTCTTGGATTAATTCTCTTGATTTGTCCTACTTGAAGTTTATTGGGTTTCTTAGATGTTTAAGTTAATGTGTTTCATCAAATTCGAAAAGTTTTCAGACATTATTTCTTTAAATGTTGTTTCTGCCCCCTTTCTCTCTGTCTCTGTTTCTCTATCTCTCTTTGCTCTCCTTTTGGAGCATATTATACATATGTTGGTAAACTTGATCTCTGTAGCTGTGTTTATTTTTTTGTTTTGTTTTTTTCTTCTAAGACTGGAAAATCCCATTTGACCAATCTTCAAATTCATTGATTTTTACTTCCAGCTTAAGTCTTTTGAGCCCCTCTAGTCAATTTCTTATTTCAGTTATTGTACTTTAAAATCCAAAATTTCTATTGGTTGTCTTTTTAAAAAAAATACTTTCTGGCTACTATTGGCCACTCTGCCTATGTAAAATACATAATAATTTATATCTTTTTATTGGTATTCTGTTTGGTAAGATATCATTTTCATAATTTCCTTTGATTCTTTAGACAGGGGTTTCTTTAGTTCTTTTGGGCATATTCATATTAGCTAACTTAAAGTCCTTGTCTGGTGTGTCAACATCTGGACTTTCTCAGGGGTGATTTCTGTTTCTGCTTTCTTCCCCCATGTATGTAGAGGAAAGTTTCTTATTTCTTTGTATGTCTTGTAATTTTTTTGTCAAAAACTCAACATTTAAGTAATATAATGTGGCAACTCTGGAAATTGGATTCCTCCTCCACCCCACCAGGGTTTTTGTTACTTTTTGTGTGTTTAGTGACTTTCCTGGACTAATTCTCCAAAGTGTGTATTACTGCTACTGTGTGGCCACTGAAGTCTCTGCACAGTTAGCTTAGTGTTCAGATAATGATCCGACAGATTTCGTTAAATTCCTTGAACCACTGTATCTTCTGCCTTTTGCCAAGGGGCTTTGTATGTGGGTTGGAGCATACCTTCAACACTTCATCAGTTTACAGTTCTGGTTTAGCCTCCACTTCTTGCTTGTGTAGAGTTTCAGGGTTAATCAGAGGTGAGAGAGTAGGATCTTCACAGGTTTTTCTGGGGCTTACATAGACCAGCACATGTGTACTGCCTTCTAGATCCCCAGGAAAATGTCAACTTTTCAGAGTCCTCTGTAGACACCTCATTACCCAGATTTTCCTTTTAAATGTTTTGGCCTATTGTTTGCTGCAATTAGTATTGCCTCAGGCAGCTGTGATGTTACAAAATTGTCACTGATTGTTTCTGGCAAATGCCCTAGGGGTGAGAATTTTTTCAATGGGTGGACTGAATCATGTCAAATAAAGACAAACCCTGTGAATGTGCCTTTTCCCATCACCTGCCATACAGGCTGAATAGTAACAGTTCTTGTAACAGTTCTTTCAGAATGGCCCACTTGTATTCTGCCCCTTCCAGTGGCTGTGAGCCTGCTGTTGTCAAGGCTATTGTGGAGCTAAGGGGAGGAGAATGGAATGGGGCAAATTAAAACATCACAAAGCTCACCATTCTTACCACAGTTGAGCCATGTTTCTTAAATAAATGTTCCTTGGATTGTTGCATCCTTTCTGTTAATTCCAGAGTGCTTAAAAAGTTGATTTCGACCATTTTCACCAGTGCTACTGTTGCTTTAATAGAGGAGCAGATTTTCAGAGGTCCATGCCCCACTGTTCCAGAAGTGCTTCTCTCAAAGCTATTTCTGTAATTTAATCCTGTTTGCCCAAATCACATTTATAAGTTTAGTGAAAACTGATTACAAACAGTATTAAACCAGGACAAAAAATGAGATCAGAGAGCACTATGTAGGGAAATATTTGTTCCTAAAGTATAGGGAAAGAATATTTGAAAGGAAAAGTACATGAAATAATATTTTAAGTAAAACTTCATTTCAGCCCAAAAGGTATTATGTATTTATAGTTATTACATGCTTTTAAGGACCATTGTGAATGTGAAAAAATATAATACCAGTGCTACTTGATTTACAGTGGGGTTACATCTCAATAAAGTCATTGTACATTTAAAATATTGTAAGTCAAAAAAAATTTAATATACCTAACCTACCTTAGGCATGCTTTGAACACTTACATTAGCCTACAGATAGGCAAAATTGCCCAACACAAACTGTACTTTATAATAAAGGTTTGAATATCTGATGTAATTTATTGCATATTGCACTGAAAGTAAAAAACAAAATAGTTGTATGGGTACTCAAAGTACAGTTAGTTCATTAATAATAAAATTAAGTTTATAAAGAAAGGAGTTGCAATAATAATTTAAACTGTTATGCATTTAATTTCCCATAAATTAAAGCAAGTTGACATTAGGAATTAATTTAAAAATTAAAGAAGTAATTCAGCAATTTGAGGAATCATCTTGGCTGATCAAGAATTAAAGGACTTCAAAATCTGACATGAAGCAGATCACATAAGGTGCCATCTCTACTCCAAAGCCCCAAAGATTTTCTTGGCCCTTTACCAACCAGCAACTGTGGCTACAAGGGTGAAGCCTTTCCTCCCTTCTCACCTCAGACTAATAGGCTGAATCAAGCTAATTTTGAATTAGCTAGCAAACCACTTAGGTACTTGTATTAGTCAGGGTTCTCCAGAGAAACAGGACCAATATTATATATAGATATATAAGCGGAGACATATTATGGGAATTGGCTCACACAATTATGGAGGCCGAGAAGTGCCACAGTATGCCATCTGCAAGTTGGAGATTCAAGAAAGCCAGTGGTAAATTCAGTCTGAGTCTAAAGGCCAGAGAACCATGAACTTGAATACCTAGGGACAAGAGAAGATGAATTTCCCAGCTCAACTATCTGGGCCCCCATGGCTTGGATGATGCCTCCCCTCATTGGTATGGGCTATCTTCTTTACTCAGTCTGCTGATTCACATACTAATCTCTTCCAGAAACATCCTCACAGACACACCTAGAAATGCTATTTTTACCAGCTATCTGGGCATCCTTTAACCAGGTCAAGCTGACTTGTAAAATAAACTACCATAATATTGGAGAGGACAGCCAGCCCCTTCTTGAGCCTGCTGCCAGTTCCATCTGTACCTGGCCCCCTTTTCAGAGCCTGGATATCAGGCTTGGAATCCTGGGTAGTCCTGGCTAAGGCTAGGCCACTCCTAGGGGAACCTCACCTGAAACCAGAAGACATCAAGGACCACCAGTTCAGAGCATGGGACCAAGTGCAGACTGTTAACCCCACCAACCCTCTTCCTAACACTGACTTTGCCTTCACTCAGTCTCCTTCCAGCTCTTAGATGTCAGTCATAGAACCCTTGGCAAACCTGGCTCAATTTTGGCCCACTGTGGTAGAACTGTCCTTGATCCAGAAGGCATTAGGGATGGTAGCAATTAAGTATGTGGCCAGGGTAGCCTCCCAACACTCATATCTGCTTTGAGACAGCTGCTTGTTAGCCCTCGTTCCCTCACTTTCAATATCTGTATTCCTGTCTGGCAGGCCCCAAAAAAGTTCAGAGCAAGCCTAGGCTCACACATGGGCTTGTTCTCTGGGGCAACATTGCCTGAGATCATGGGGACCTTCCTAGTACACCTATACCTCCTGAGCCAGCTCTTGGTCCATTCCAAGGCTTGGGTGTCAGGCCTGAAAGCCCTGGGTAGACCTGACATGCTTGGTTACTGTTGGGGGAACACTTTGGAGTCAGGAAGGTCTGGCCTATAAGCCTGGAAACAAGTTCTAAGGACTGTCAGTCTGTTCCACCCACATCCCTCCCAGCAAGCTGCTGGCTGCGGCCAAAATCCTTGCTGAACCAATCCTCTTAGGTCCCAGAAGCCACTGTGGCCTACCTGAACAGAGTCTTCGAGACTGGCCAAGCCTCCAAACTCATTTACCCCAGGAGCCAACCACTGGCCTCTCATCTCGTAACTCAGACTCTAGATGCCAGATTCTTGAGCCCCAGAGAGGTTGAGAGCCGGATTCAGCTCCCCTGAGTACATTCAGTGTGACTCTTAATGGCAAGATATTTTGATCCTAGATAGACTGAGGGTGAGGGAAACCTCCCAACCCACCCATACCCCTTGAGTCAGATACCATTTCTGACAGCACCCAGGCACAATCTAGGCTCTAGATCTTCATCCTGGAAGTTCTAGGCAGATGTTAACTATGGCTCGGCCACTCTAGGAGAACCTCCCTGAATCCAGAGGCACTGTACTTTACCCCAACATGGCCTCGGGGATAGGGGGAACTTTCTTACCCTCTGCCTGACACCCTTCCCCCACCCCAAAACACACACACACACCTACCACACTGCCTACAAGAGGCTCTCAGCTCTGCTTTCACCTGAACTCTTCCACAGCCTGAGCCTCAGGTCTGGAACCCCTGGAAAGGTCTAGCTCTGTCTGGGCTGCCCCTGGGAAAACCTTTGTGGGCCCAAAAGGCACTGTGAACTACCCCAACAAGTAGTTTTAGTCAAAGTTATCAGTAATAGGCAGTGAGACAAATGAGCATACTAACCACAAGGTTAATAAATGTATCTCTTACATAGTTAAAAAAAAAAAAAGTCAACAAACATTTTTATAGAAATGTTTGCTTTATTTCTTTATTTCACTTTCTCAAGGGGAAAAAAAACACTGAAAACATTTTTTTGGGGGGGGACCAGGTAAGTGTCTAAATAATCTAGATAAAACCATATGATATGTCACTATGCATAGTCTATCAATGGTACTTATACTGATGAGGCTCTCCAAAACAATCACCTTTATTTTATGAACTAAAGTTGTGATAAAAGCTCTGTAGAATATACTATACACATATGCTTTTTTGCTATGTAAAAGTTACATAATTACATTTGTCCTTTTCTGTATAAATTAATCAAGAAGTTGGTCATTGTTTTGCAGGTTATCACAGCCCTTGCATTTAATAGACCTGTTAACTGTGGGTTCCAGGTCATTGTCCAATGATACTCTGGCTAAATGCCTGTGATCTTAGGTCATAGCTGGTTGTATTTTCTGTTAGGCAGTTGCCTCTTACTCGTCTCCATGATGAATTGGAAAAGTAGAAGCAGCACAGTTAATTTAATAGTTTAAAGCAGTGATCCCCAACCTTTTTGGCACCAGGGACCAGTTTCAGAATGAAACTGTTTTATCTCAGATCATCAGGCATTAGATTCTCATAAGAAGTACACAACCTAGATCCCTCGCATGCACAGTTTACAAAAGGGTTCGCGCTCCTATGAGAATCTAATGCCACCACTGATCTGACAGGAGGCGGAGCGCAGGTGGTAATGCTCACTTTCCCGCCTCTCACCTCTTTCTGTGCAGCCTGCTTCCTAACAGGCCATGGACCGATACCCCTGGTTTAAAGGACAGAACCTGATTCTTCTATAGAGTGTAGCCAAGCAGCAGATAGTAGAACAAACTTTGGTATCCCTTTACAGAACTGATGTGACTGTGTACACTTACATACTTTATAATGTCACTCTTTAATAGCTGAAATCTTTGTGTTAGTGCTTAGCACTTGCTTATACCTCTAATTAGTGTTTTTATTATGTGAATGCTATTCCAACCCAAATGTGTTCTTAGATGATTTGTGAATAATCCTAATTGCTCAAATTTCTTCCTAGATCTGTTATTTTGAACCACATGGCCAGAGAACATGCTTTCAACATTGGATTGCCAGACAACATTGTAAACTGCAATGAATTTTTGTGTACATTACAGAAAAAGCTTGACAAGTAAGTACTGATTTATGAAACACTGCCTAAAGCTGTTTTAATCTTGGACTCTGTTGTGAATATTTTTAAATTAATTTAATAGAGTAATTAAAGAAGTGGGAATTTCCCATGTTGGAGGAGTTCACATTTTGTACGACAGTCCTTATTTTGTCTAGATCATATTGCCCTTTGGTGTTTTTTAAATTTTTCAAATACACTATGTCATATATACCAAACAATATACATATCATACAATGTATGCCGTATAGGATATGAAGAATATACTCACTGTCTAGCCTAAGAAATAGAACATTGTTAATTCCTTTGAATCTCCCTGTGTGTCTTTCCTCATTAGTATTTCCCCAGAAACCACTATTCTTAATTTTGTAATTGTAATTCCTTTACTTTTCACTGTAACTTGTCTACATATTCAATAAGGTAAATATATTGTCAAATTATGGAATGGTGTTTAATTTTGTGTGAAACGTAGCATACTGTGTGTATTCTTCTGCCTTTTGGTTTTCATTCACATTTGTATATAATACTCCATTTCCTCAAGGTCATATTCTGGCAACCATATCTGGAGCTTAGCCTGTTGAAATAAGGAAGAAAATTCTTTAGGTCACCAAAATGACTTTCAAAAACGTATCCACTTTTCTTTCTAGGAAAGGGCCCAAAATTTTTTCTCTGAGAACCCAGTTTTCTTTATTTAAATAAAATACTAACAAGTGTGGTGCTTCAACCCACAACACTGAGAGCAACAACATAGAAAAAAAAATAAGGGCCGGGTGTGGTAGCTCACACCTGTAATCCCAGCACTTTGGGAGGCCGAGGTGGGCGGATCACCTGAGCTCGGGATTTTGAGACCAGCCTGACCAACATGGAGAAACCCCATCTCTACTAAAAATACAAAATTAGCCGGGCATGGTGGTGCATGCCTGTAATCCCAGCTACTCAGGAGGCTGAGGCAGGAGAATCGCTTGAACCCGGGAGGCACAGGTTGTAGTGAGCAGAGATTGCACCATTGCACTCCAGCCTGGGCAACAAGAGCAAAACTCTGTCTCAAAAATAAATAAATAAATAAATAAGAGGAAGCAAGTAATACAGATTAATTATAAGAAATTTTTAACTCAAATTTTGATGTCACCACTATGTTAAATCGAGTCCCTTCACCCTTTTGTTAAACGACTACCTATAAAATAAGACCAGATGTGCCTTCTAGCAAGATTAGCAATAATGAATATATATAATCAGCTTATCACCCATAAATTGTCAACTATAAAAGAATATACTACAAAAGAATATTATTATGCCCTGGAATATATTCTTTGGCATAAGAAATTGATGAAAAGGTGTTTAGTAGAGATAAAAACAAATTCAAAATTGAAACAATAACAGATTGCAATCATTTGAGAGTTTCCCATGTAAAATATATTATACTTAGACACTATATGGCTCCAGAAAGTAGAACTCTCTACTTTTTACTGAGTAGCAATTATAATACATGTTGTATCAACTGTCAGGCTTAGTATGAGAAAGACATTTTGTTAATAATCTGCTCAAAACTGGTAATCACTGCTTCATTAGGTAATGAATGCCCAGTCAGTGGAAATATTTGAGCAGAAGGTATATGAGAATTATATGGTAGTAACAGCTACTATTTATCTTATTCACATACATGAATAAATACCTAGCACAGTTCATAGTGCATAGTAAGTGCTCAATAAATATATATATATGAAATTATCATTTAAAAATCTCTAAAATGTTGGTATTATCTTCAGTTTAGAAATCAGAAAATGGCAACAGAGAAGGGAAGTAACTTAAAGTCCCACAGCTAGCTGGCACTGGAGCAAGGAATTAAACCCTGCAAATCAGCTCACAGGATATCCCAAACCATGTACTAATTATTACATACAATGGGTGCAGTCAGTGCAAGTCATTATAATTAATTGAAGAACATACCTACATACTTATTTTAGAATAGGTAATTCAGTTAGTAAAGAACCAAAATAATTTTTGGATATTACCTATCTTTGTCACAGTCTTAACTGAATAGCAAAGTTGGTCAACTTAGCTGACTACAAAATACACCATACTATGCACTCTACAAAGCCAAATGAATAAAGTGAGGGGGGATTCTGACAAGGATGGTATATCCCATTTGAAGATGCTGTGTAACCTAAAATGAATAAATATGAAACTCAATAATAATAAAGGATTATTGCAGCAACTATACAAGAGACTTGTTTATCAGTGTTTGTGTATTTCTTGTAGTTTGCAGTGCTTGTACTGTGAGAAGACCTTCAGGGACAAAAATACACTTAAAGATCACATGAGGAAAAAACAGCATCGTAAGATTAATCCTAAGAACAGAGAATATGACAGATTTTATGTCATCAATTATTTGGTAAGGCTTTCTTTTCATAACTTAAAATTTGATTGCAGTACTGCAAACAAAATCTTTCTGAGGACCAACTAATATTTGAATAAGCAATTATTGCAAAAGTCAAAATGTAATTGAGGGGCACATTCAAGTAGTGATTAGCTTTGAAATGGTTAGAGTACAAGACATTTGATTTGACTTGTCTTTTATTTGACAGTGTTTATGTAGTAAAAATGTCATGTCTCTAGAACTCACAGTCATCTTGACCAAAAAAAAAAAAAATACAGCATTTGGATATCCACATACCATCCCCCATTTATGTAATATCTTTTAACTTGGGGCCAGAGACTCCTTTCTTTTTTTTTTTTTTTTTTTTTTTCTTTTTTTCTTGAGATGGAGTTTTGCTGTGTCGCCCAGGCTGGAGTGCAGTGGCACGATCTCGGCTCACTGCAACCTCTGCCTCCTGGTATCAAGCAATTCTCCTGCCTCAGCCTCCCCAGTAGCTGGAATTACAGCTACTGTGCTGCACAGCACTGGGATTACACCACACTTGGCTAATTTTTGTATTTTTAGTAGAGACAGGGTTTCTCCATGTTGGCCAGGCTGGTCTCGAACTCCTGGCCTCAAGTGAACCACCAGCCTTGCCCTCCCAAAGTGCTGGGATTATAGGAGTGAGCCACCACACCTGGCCAGAGAGACTTCTATATATTCTATTCAAAAGAAACTGTTGAGTACTGGATGTGTTAGGTGCTATGCAAAATAATTCTTTAAAAACAATCTCTTTGCTCTTTCCCCTTCACCCCTACAAAAGTGTGTATCTTTATCATTCTCTTCAGTCAGCTTATTTTTAAGGGAAGTTTCAAGGAAACCAAACCATTTTACTATGGAAGGGGATTTTTATTTGTTTGGCTTGTAGGGTAGACTAACCAGGTTACCATGCCAAGCATTTTAAATGTATTGATAGCTCTCCTTTCCAAGAGGCATTCAGATGGAGACAGTGGGGGATGGGGAGAGGCATTTGGAAATATGGGAGGGGATTTTTGATAGACAACAATGACTGGGGAACTGGGCCTGCCTTCAATCTACTGATTTTTAAAAAATATATATGACAAAGGAGGGAAACTACTCATATAAAAGAAGAGGTTATGTAACTCTCCAGAGGAATTGGAAGAAAAACAGAGAGTTCTGTTTTGAATGGGCATTTTTCTTAAGCAAATGGAATTTTTTTCTCTCTCAATGTAAATGAATTAAAACCCAAACCCACTGGTCACAAAAGGCTAATTGAATATAATCAGCCATTTTATCTATTGGATAGAAACAAGCATATCCTGAATTATGTTGGAAATCTCTGCTTTAGGGTGGAATTTTGTCTGTTCTAACTATTCCTTGTAGTGTTAAAATTCCCCTTGAGAAGCAAGTTTAACATGTGTTTGAAGATTGACTCTAAGAGGTTGCCATGGTTTTCTACAAATGTTTTACAACCAGCTAAAGGCAAACGTACCCTTTGAGCTTTTCAATCTTTTCTTGAAATCACTCAGTCATTACTTCCTAGAGCAAATGCTGCTTCAGGACCCAGCCCAGTCTAATAGGGAGTGGACTTCAGTGCTAGCTCTAAGAAATATTCAGCTACTGCATCTAGCTATAGGAGCAATTTAATAGTTCTTCCTTCTGGGGCTCTTTTAAAACTAATATTCAAGATCTTGAGACTAGCAGAACATTATATAGCTGGAGGTTTTCACCTTTTAGAGGAGACTTCAAGGGATTTGCTCACTCTTATTCTGCCAGCACTTTTAGAAAAGTATGATACTTCATTTCCTGGGCATCAAGTAGGGTAGCTGTCAAAACTGAAATCATCTGCCAGGGCCAGCCATCTCTGGATGAGCATGGCAGATTGTGCTGCTCATACAGGGCACGGATTTGATGTGGCGTGGACTACACATTAAGAGAAGTGTTTCAAAAGAAAGTAAGGGCTTTAACAACGTACAAAATGAAAATTAAATTACAACTTTAGAGTCATATTGATAGAAGTCTTTTTTTTAGCTAGCAGCTATTTGAGTACTTATAATCTGCAGGCACTATCCTAGGTATTTATATTAAATTGTTTAATTTAAGTCACAATTTTGTGACACAGGTATTGTCATTAAGCCTCTTATAGGTAAGGGGACTGGGGCACAGAGAGGCTAATTTTCCAAAGGTCACATGGCTAGGGCAAGTTACTTATCCTGTGCATCAGTTTCCTTCATTTTTACAATTGAGACAAGACTAATACCTACATCTTATGCTTTGGGTTGGGTATTTTGGCCAAGTAATGGTGATGAGTTCATAATGATCTATTCTCCCACCCTTGCCTATTCTCTTTTATAATAAACTAAAAAGTGAGCCAAGGTCAAAGTAAAGCTGACTTTAATCAGCACTTTAAGGCTCTGCTCCACAATCTTCATCTTCCTAGCCCGTTTCCACTTCCTATTCCTATTCCCTATTTTCTATTCCCTATTCCTATGCGAAATTCCTGCTGAGGTAAGTAACCAAAAACTGTAAGAATGATTAACAAAAAACGAAAACCTAAAATGTGTTGATGCCTTAGCATTATGGAAATGATGTAAACACCTTTGAAAAGGAGTGAAGAAGCCTATTGGCTTCACTAAAGATATACACAGGCACTAAACTAGAGGGGTGCTTACCAGAGGTATCAGGCTTAGTAACATTCTAGGAATATTTGAAGGAATACTGTTATATATTTAAAGTATAATATTATATAGAACAAGTGTATAAAAAACTGTCCCAAATACTAACAGAGTATAGGTAGAGAAAAATAAAGGCCAGTGTCTTCTCAGTATCATGTTAGTATTATTTCAGACCTCATTAAAGAATAATATTTAACGTGAAGAACATGAGTAATAAATCAATATGAAGAATAAATTCTAAAATTTTAAACAATGAATAATGACAATACTTTATTTAAAAAAAAAAAAGATAGATATTCCCTTGTTATCCCTCTGAGGGAAAAGGCTGACATGAGTGCATGAGTGTGGGCAAAAGATAGAATTGTTATATTAGTAGTGGGTTTATACATCTATTTTATTGACATCATACATTCTGCATACATTTGAGTGCCTTCCAGGTACCAGATGCTAGAAGAGAAAGAAAAAATATTGTAGATAGAAAGGCTGATTTGAGTCACTACTTTCAAAGAGTTCAGAAGTCAGTATGGAAAACCACCATGTAAGCACGTTAGTTTGAACCCTTTGTAATGGTATATGGAAAGTCAGCGTTCGACCTCTCCTATAGCAGATATATGCAGTCATTGAGTCATTCACACACAGAGCTCCTCACCTCCACTTCAAACGCCATAGACTCTGCCAGCGCAACAATGATGGGAACATCCAGGGTATCCGTAGCAAGATACACTCTAATAGGCAGCAGAAGTAGGAGAGCAAATGGACAGAGAGGCTGCATTTGGCTTTCTGAGCTCAGCAAATTGACAAGTTCCATTTTCCTTCTTAGGTGAGATAATTTCTGTGCTGAATCATTCATATCAGTTTCTGAATAGTAACAGACTTGCAAAAACATTAAAAGTCTTTTGCATAGTCTGAATTATCTACATCAAATTCTTGCTTTGTTTTCTCACAAACAAAAGAGTTCAACAGGTAGTGAGGATGGGTTGGGGATAAGGTGCCAGTTAGTTTCACATTCAGATAACCCTTCCTCAGAGGGCAACAGACTGTTTAACATCGAGGCTTCAGCTACATATTCCTACGATGCTCATGTTTCAAACCCTGAGTTTTTCTAAAGGGAATTGGTTTTGCTATGATTTTTATCATTCTTTGATTTAAATTTTTTTATTCTTAAAGTATACAAAGCCACTTATAACAAAAGTAAGCTTTTAACTGATTTTTCATAGTTTTTTATAGTTTTCTCTAGTGAAGTTATTTACACTTAAAACACTTCTCTTTCTGTTTCTGGTGGAGTTTTGTGTAAGCACATGTAAGTGTGTATGTATTAGGGCAGAAGTGTGATGGGTGAAGGGGATCTTTTTTTTCCATGTTTTTTTCCACCCTCTCATTATTCATGAGCCATCTGATGCAGGGGTTTGAGGGGGTGTCTGAACATCTTTAGTGATATGCCTTCCAAACTTTGTTTTTCTTACATTCTTTGCTTTCCTGACATGATTCATTAGCAGGCACAGTGTCTTAATTAGAGAGTTATGTGCTTTTTTTTTTTTTTTTGCTTTGGGTCTTGTTTCTATAATAAATCATATCTTTAACTGTACCAAATCAGAGCACTCTAGGAAACTGGGCCACTTTCACGTGCAAATTGCTTATTTCCTAATATACTGATAAACATGTACATTCATTTTCCTCTCAAGTGGGGTAAGTGGTTAATGCTGTGTGGCCTAGATAACTCTCTACATATTGTACTCAACACTGAGGAAGTTGCAAAATAATGCTTTGAGTTTAGAAGTTTAACAGTGAAAGATATTTTTTGTACTTTTGGCTCAAAATATTCATTGACAAGCAACATTTGCCCTTATCATTCAGAATGATCAAATCACAGAAGGCCCATACTTTAGTAATACCTTGCAGCAATAAAACCATGACCTTAAGTCCAAGTACAGAAAAACCAAGTAAGGCATGAAAGATTTAATTCATTACCAAACTTTCTAACAAGCATCTTGTTGGCAGTGTTGAGGCCATTTTTGGTGTTCTGTAATGAGATTCAGACACTTCATGATGACTCTGGGAAGTACATTATAGAGTCCAAATTAACCATCTCTAATGACATTATGATAGATCTCTGTATATCTAAATGTATGCATCATTTAGCTGATAATGACAGCTTCAAAACCTCTCATTAAGTTGATGAATAATGGATTTTCTTTCTCCCTCTAAATCATAATGGCACTCATAGTTCTTTGTTTTTAGCTAGATGAATACCTTTATTTGGGGGAAAAAGAGTCCATAATTGAGTGAATTTTGGTTTTGTTTTTCCAAAAGGATATTGAACAACAAAGCTATCCATGCTTGTAGCAGGTCAGGTGGGCCTGATCCTAACCATAGTTTAGCTGCTTGAAAACATATCCATTAATGTTCCTACCTCTCTCTTTGTGACATTGTCTGCTTTTGCATGGCACAATGGGAAGATTGGATAGAAAGAAGACAGGGCAAGAAGAGAGGAAGAAACGGCCCAAGGGGAACAAAAGAATTGGGCCAAAATAAATCATTCCTACTCATCACTCCATAAAGTTTTGCTAACGCTGTGACTAGGCTTGCCAGACATAGCGCCAAAAGAGTGGAACTTTTCCACTGATGGCAAAGGATAAAAGGGATTTGAGTAGGTACTAGAGCACCTACTCATGCCTAGTACTATTTCTTTATAGACAGTAACTCATTCATTTAATCACCTTAAAAAAACCTTTTGAGGTAGAATCTAAATTGACCTCAAGTGTATTTTTTTATTTTTTATTTCTAACAAATTGAATTCTACTTTCTAATTCAACTCAAAAAATAGTTTATAGTAATAGTACCCACTGTATGCCAGGCTCTGGAAATGTAACAATGAACAAAGGCCATTAGAATCCCAGATATTCTAATACTCATTCAGGGTTTAGAAACACTGGTTCAAATTTAAGAGAAAAGAACTTGACTGAAAGGATATTGCTGCTTCTCTAAAAAATTATCTCATTAAGGTTTCAACTTCATATTGCTTTTGCACTGTCATTAAGTCAAAAAAAAGTGTTGAATCAAACCATCATAAGTTGGGCCATCTGTATATCCTACTTGTACTGTTTCAAAACCATTTAAACATGGGTGGTTTTGTTTATTTTTTTGGTTTTGATTTTTTTCAAAGTTCTACATACTCTCTCCCTTCTCTTTCCCCCAATGTCTCTCATCCCTCTGTTCTTCCTACAAAGGAACTTGGAAAATCGTGGGAAGAAGTTCAGTTGGAAGATGATCGGGAGTTGCTGGACCATCAGGAAGAGTAAGAGTTGTTATTGCTGCTAATTAATTGCAGTGTTCCAAGAGTAAGAAGACAATGCTTTAGTTTGGTTTAAATTATGAAGCGGGAACATAAGAAGAAAAAAATACCTTCTCTGAGCCATGCATCCCTTCATGTAATGTGGCAAAAACTTGAATTCAAAATAACTTTGACATAAAAATTCCTAAAGACACTGTTATTCCAACTAAATTAAAGCTATTGATTGAACACACAAGTAATATATAATTCAGAGAAAAATACATTCCGAAGTGCTTTGCCTGCTCAGTTAGTGCTCAGACCTTGAAGTGATGTGATCTTTGAACTCTCCATGTTGCTGTCATTGGAATAGAGAATATAACTGCATTGAAGTTAATCCTGTTCTGTGTTCGGGCCATTGATGACTAACTTTAAACATTCACAGCTTCTTTGCTTGAAATTATAAGCTTGAGAAATGTTCTTTTCAACCTAAAAGGATTTCTTATTTTTCATCTTCTTTTCAGTCAAAGCTTTTTGGCCTTTTTTCTCTCTCAGGATTTTAAATTATTATTATTTTAATAGTGAGGTAAAGCCCAAAGGTAGAGAGCTGCCATTTGCTGAATTTTCTTGATGCATAGAGATTCAGGCAGAGAGTCTTCCAGACTGAAATAAAAACATCTTTCCCATTAAGACATACTAGTTGGAATATTTAATCAGTGAATGTTAAAGTTTTAATGACACAAAAGGTTATAAATAGTAAGTCATGACCTGGGCCGGGACTGGTGGCTCCCTCCTGGATGGATAGAGTTAAGGAAAATGTTTCCTGTTTTCTAATAGGGAAGCTTCTGTGTGAATTGGGTTAGGTTGATCTTGAGAGTCTTATCAGTGATCATTTCTGAGCTTGCCATGAAAAATTCTCTCATCTGAATTTGAATGGGTGTTCCTTGTCTCCACAACTCTTCCCTCCTGGCAGTTTTCCTGGTTTGGGAATGATAAGAAGTTGGTAGTATTTCAAAAAGGGAAATGCCAAGGAGCGGGGAAAGTGGTAAAAGGGATCCTGTATCCTTTTTGAGTTCCCTGTCTACCGCCAGATTTAACACTTGCCCAGTTTAAAATAATCAGTATTTCCCTCGTGAAAGAGACACGGTTTGCCTTTGTAAAATACACTATTTGTCATGCAGAAACACATTCCCGGCATCACACCTCACAGCGTGTGCACTCAGTGGTTGTGGTTAATGGGAGAGAGCATCACATTTTCTGATATGTCTCCTTTGCAAATTAAACCTCATTGTCTCAGGACGACATTCCTCTGACTGTAGACTGAGATAGCTACTCAGAAGAACGGCAAATAGGAGAAAATGGAACAGCACCTGTTCACTATGTATATTAATTTCATGGTGCTGCTTTGAATTTCAAAAGCTATATCAGAGAGTCATAATATGATGTGACAGTCTTTACCAAAATGTCAGAGTTGAAAGAGATTGGCAGGGTTTTTTAGTAAGGAGAAAGCAATACCAAGTCACTGTGTAGTATACTCTCTTAATGAAGGGAATCTCCGTATTTTCTCTCCTCTTTTTTAATTCAGTGACTGGTCTGATTGGGAAGAACACCCTGCCTCTGCAGTCTGCTTATTTTGTGAAAAGCAAGCAGAAACAATTGAGAAGTTGTATGTCCACATGGAGGTAAGATACCTGTATTTATTTGAATTTTGTTTTATTCTGACAGGGGAAAGCTAGTAATTGTTGCACCCTCATCTGCTTTTACTTCAGTTTCCCAATCATTATTCCAACCAGAAGAGACAGGCCAGGTCTGTCAGGGAGAACCAGAGCTCAGGGCAATTTAGTTAGTACAGTTGACTGGACCCGAGTGAGCTGTTTGTTAGTGTGAGATTTCTCAGACCACTGATGCCATCTCACCTTTGAGATGCTTACAAGATCATTCTAGCTCAGCAGGTGGGACAGGTTCTGAGTCTTTTTTCCAGTGCTTCTTGTGCTGGTGAATAGGAGAGCAAGAAGGGAGAACATTGCCATTTACAAAGGTCCCGGAGGAATAGGGAAAAAGGAGGGTGGGTAGAGAGGAGCTAGGGCATGATCCTACAGTTCCTTCAGGTGCCAGGATTTAGAGAGAAGAAACTAGGGAGCATTCCTAGTGTGGGCTTTCCCTTCTGGATGCCATTTTTATGTTATAGTGAAGCTTGGAGCTAGCAGTTCTAAACCTTTTTCACCCCAGTATACCTGAGAGAGGACACACACCCTGCACCTCTGATCCTTAGCTGCACAAGGCGGATAGGGAAGGGGAACATGTAATGATTCATGATAGTATCACAGCTTGTGGGCAGAGGGGTGATTATAATAGAAAAATATTACTGGATGATTCTGATATCTCTCCGTCCCCTCCCTGCAGCCACCTCTGCCAATAGTGGACCATATTCTCTACTTTCACCCACTTTCACCTCACCCTTATTCAGAAATACTGTTCTTAGTTTAGTAAAATAAGGGCCTAGAAAGCGCTCAAAAGACCATAAACATTTTCCTTGATTTTAGTTTCTCTGAAAAAGGTTCCCACTAGTATGTGTGTATAATTTCCTGTGTTTAGATTTAATTCATAATATCTTAATGTCTTTGTATTGAAGGCAGCCTTAGTATGCCTATCCTGTGTAAGGATTACCTTTTCGGCATCCTTGACAGGTGTCCTTAACCTCTGCTGGGTCACTTTCAGTGATAACATCACGAATTCCTAATCATCCTTCATATGGTGCTACACTAAATGCCATCCCAGTGAGTTAAATGGTCTTTATCATCTGTGAGATTGTAGGTTAAAACATTTACACAGACAATTGCAGGTGTCAAACAAACACGCAAAAAATAAGTGCATTGTAAAAATCAAAAGAAAGCGTGATTTATAGGAAGGTGTGAGTGAAGAGAAGCTTTGAGGTTTAAACAGTGTATTTGACAGCATAAAATGAAAAGCAGAATTTGTAAAAATTACCTATGTGGGGCAAAGAACCTATATCCATAATTCTAGTCCAAATGCACAGTACAATAGAAACATATCTTACCTACACTTTTATCACACTGCAGAATGCATACATAGACTTCTACATTTTTAGAAGGCTACAAAATGGATAACATTGTAAATTATAAAAACTATAGATATAAGCTATGAGCAATTATAATGTTGTTGCTGTTCTTTGATATGGAGTCTCGCTGTGTCACCCAGGCTGGAGTGCAGTGTCACGATCTCAGCTCACTGCAACCTCTGCCTGCTAGGTTCAAGCGATTCTCGTGCCTCAGCCTTCTGAGTAGCTGGGATTACAGGCACCCACCACCACACCCAGCCAATTTTTGTATTTTTAGTAGAGACGGGGTTTTGCCATGTTGGCCAGGCTGGTCTCAAACTCCTGACCTCGGGTGATCCGCCCACCTCGGTCTCCCAAAGTGCTGGGATTATAGGCGTGAGCCACCGCGCCCGGCCCAATTATAATGGTTTAACTGATTGACATGACTTGTTTGGACTATGCTGTAAAAAAGTTGGGTATGGAGGGAAGTAGTTAGACTTGGAAGACTTCAAAAGCAGAAGATACCGAACTCAGACTGAGTTTCTAAACTACTCAAACTCCTGTGAATAAGTTGTTTATAACTTCAGCCTGAAAGATTAAATAATTCATATGCTTACAGATGTATTCATTCCTTTTTTAGGATGCACACGAATTTGATCTTCTCAAAATAAAGTCAGAACTTGGTAAGTTTGATTCAGAGGTTTTTTTCTGTGATGCTTCATTTTTTATAAACCATCCTGTAAGCTATGCCTATGTTCAGTAGCTATGATTGGAGAGTGCACCACCAAAACATGTCTCTCTATAGATGGTCTTGACAGAACTCTCTGTGAAGCAGTGATGCTCAACCATAATAGTCAAATATGGTTTTTGGTTTCATATACTCCTTCTTTCTCTTTCCTACATATATGAGTGCTTCAAGTGAAATATAAGTTAGTGGTTAATAATATATCATAAATTGGAGGGGGCTAGTGGAATATGGATTTTTAAGTCAAACTAGAGTTCAGATTCCAGCTCTGGCACTTACTGGCTATGACATTGGGCCTCAGGTCAGAAAAATGTTATGAGGAGTGAATAATGTATGGTAAATGGCTACTGCACTGCTTAGCAGTATAGCTAGGATTGTTTGTTATAGGTGTA
Organism: Homo sapiens; assembly: GCF_000001405.40. Classification (NCBI taxonomy): domain Eukaryota; kingdom Metazoa; phylum Chordata; class Mammalia; order Primates; family Hominidae; genus Homo; species Homo sapiens. The sequence continues at coordinate 112,340,340 of NC_000007.14, forward strand.
CCCAATGTATCATTCTAAGTATCACAACAATAGAACGATTTGGGGCATTAAGACATACGTAAAGTACTGACTTGCTAATAGATCTAAGACAGTAAAAAACTTACTTCTCACAGCTCAGCTCAGTCACTGCTTTCCTAGGTCCTTGGATGTGTTACTTTGCTGCTTTTATAGACATATATATACATTGTTTATATAATTAGCTTAGTAGTCAAGCATGGGCTTTGCAGCTGACAGCTATCTATGCGATGCTAGGCAGTTTCCTAATATGTAATGTAGGTATGATACTACCTATCTGATAGGGTTTTATGAAGATTAAATGTATTAATACATGGAAAATTATTAGAATAGTGCCTAGCTCATAAGCCCTGTGTAAATATGTGCTGTTATTATTTGGTATCTATTATTATGCTTTATAATTGTACTGCCTCTTCAGGTTGATTAATAAAAATAAGTGGCTCCTTTAAGAAATTATAATAGTGCAAAAAATGGGTCTGAACAGTTGTCTAATGATTCTGTATTTTGTCATTTTCAGGATTAAATTTCTATCAGCAAGTGAAACTGGTCAATTTTATTCGGAGGCAAGTTCACCAATGCAGATGTTATGGCTGCCATGTGAAGTTCAAATCCAAAGCAGACTTAAGAACTCACATGGAAGAAACTAAACACACTTCGCTGCTCCCCGATAGAAAGACGTGGGATCAACTGGAGTACGTACTGCAAAACCAAATGTGCACTTCTTACTCCAACTCTTTGATTTTGTCCCTTTATTTAATTTCTTTAAGCCTACAGAAAAAAAAGGAATACATATTTATTATAAAAAGTATACATCAGTACAGTGTGGGGAAAAATGTAAAAATATTCAAAATGCTTATTTTTAAAATAATCCCCCTCTTACAAATGAAACCAAGTATTTTTCAGTATTTGTGATATGGAGATAGATACATATGTAGAGAGATGAAGTAGATACAGATTTTTTAAATTATATTTTATTAACAAAATATTGTAAATATCTTTCAATAGCCAGTATCCATCTGTTGCATCCTTTCTAATGGTTGCTAAATATCCATTGTATGGATATAATCTATTCTGCGAGATACTTAGGTTGTTTCTTACTTTTTGCTATTATAATGATACAGTGAATCTATATGCCTACATTTTAGCACACTTATCTAATTATTTAATTAAGCTGAACTCCTAGAAATAAAATTACTATGTCAGAGTTTGCACACTGCTAGGACTTTTTGTATATATTTTGTATATTGGCACTTGAAAAAATTAAGCAGTTGGTCATCTGTTGTTGGATTCCCATGTATCCTTTGCCAGAACTTTGTGGACTGGTTCCCAAGTATCCTTTGCCAAGAACCTTCTGGACTGGTTCTCACATCGTTCTGGATAACCTCAGTCGAGGGCTCCTCTGAGAGACTGTGGGGTTCTAGCTGCCCAGAGCTCCTTCTGTTCTTAGGGAATGTTAAGTCAGTTCCCCCAGAACTTTAACCAGAAAGTTCTAGTTTTTCTCCTTCAGAAAATCCCACACTTGTGAGGGTACCCTGTTTTTATGATCCTTCTTATATAAATTAAAATTTGTAATATTCCAAAAGTAACTTCAAAATGTATTCAGAGAAGGAACCAGAATAACAAACTTTATATTCCGTAAGTGTTTCCTTTTGTGATTACCTAGAAAGAAGGAACTATTAGGCTGGAAAACAAAACACAAGGAAGAGCTTATTATTCTCAATTATTTGAATAATTTGTGTTTGAAAAATTAACTATATTTGAAGTTTGTTAACTTATAAGGAAGAACTAGGACCTTTGAGTAGAAATGAGAAAGATGTCATTTTTAGCTTCACAGGAGGTGTATCAAACAACTAGATCTACCCACTACTGGGGTCAGCTACCTTCGAAGATAGTGTGTTTTGTTATCATGATAGATGATCAAGCAGAGGCTAAGTGGCCAGCGGACAACTCCAGAGGCAACTCTGGAGGGTGGGAGGTCCACGATCTTGGTTTACCAAATCTGGATAGTAGATTTGGTAAGGTTGATGTCAGCCAGTAAAAGTCAAAGTGAAAGCAATCAGAAGTTGTCTCCAGTATAGCCTTTGCAAAATGCTATGAAATTGTTGGCAAGGATACCTGACAAAATTATAGTAAATGTGTACATTCAGCTACCTGGACACTGTATTAGCTTGGTAATTTAATACTATGTATCTGTGGTTGTTTTCAGGTATTATTTTCCAACCTATGAAAATGACACTCTCCTGTGTACACTATCTGACAGTGAAAGTGACCTGACAGCTCAGGAACAAAATGAAAATGTTCCCATCATCAGTGAAGATACATCTAAACTGTATGCTTTGAAACAAAGCAGTATTTTGAACCAGTTGCTACTATAAGAGTACTTGAAAACCTAGAAGAAACTACCACAGAAGCAATTTTTCATGTTTTTCTCCTATGAGACAGATATGAAAGAACAATTTAAATTTGAACATCAACAAAAGATTGGTCCTTGGTGAAATAAACTTTTCAAAAATGAATGTTCTTTTCAAAAAATAAAGTAGAAAAATGCACTTACTAAGAACATGAAAAAAAATGAAGTAGGAAAATAAGATGAAGACTTTGTATTTTGGCTGTAAAGTTTTATTGTGTGATCATCTTAAATTATCTCACTTCATTAAACTCATAATTATATATAGAAGTATATGTCAATTACAAAGAAATGAAATGTTCAAATTATTTATAAACCTGATTTTTCAATCAGTAGTTTCAGTCTCCTCCCCAAGGACCTTCTTCATCCAACAAGTTGCAAAATTTGAATATCCCTTCTGTACTATATTGGGTGAGCTGTAAATGTAATGACTAAAAGAAAAGCCACAGAAGAAAGAAGAAATGGTCAAAGACGTGGATAATATGCAAATTGGCCATTATATTAGAACAATCAAGAGCTGACTGTGTTATTACCACTTTCTGCCTAGGGTGGCCAAATTCCCTAGAAATAGACATCAAGCCAGTTAACTTCACTTTTCCCTGCAATTTGTATGTCACTAACATTTAAATGCCATTTTTTAAAAACATAACCACAATACCATTATGACACCTAAAAAACATTAACATTAACTTAATATCATCTGTTTTCAGTTTTTCCCACTTGTCTCAAAATGTATGTTTACAATATTATCAGTTTCATTACTGATGAATATTATATGCCTCCTGATAAGATGTACTGAGGAGGACAGAATATCACTTTTGTAGATTTATACCAAAAATGCATAATTTGGATATAATGAAGAAACAGTCAAATCCAAGTTTGAGGCTGGGCACAGTAGCTCATATCTGTAATCCCAGCACTTTGGGAGGCCAAGGCAGAGGATCACATGAGGTCAGGAGTTCAAGATCAGCCTGGCCAACGTGGCAAAACCCCATCTCTACGAAAAATACACAGATTAGCCAGGCATGGTGGAATGCACCTATAGTCCCAGCTACTTGGGAGGCTGAAGCACAAGAATCGCTTGAATCCAGGAGGCAAAAGTTGCAGTGAGCCGAGATCACACCACTGCAGTTCAGCCTGGGCAACAGACCAAGACTCTGTCTCAAAAAAAGGAAAAAAAAAAAAAAAAATCCAAATTTAAAGGACATTCTACAAAATAATTGGCCTTTACTATTCAAAAATTTTAACATCATAAAAAACAAAGACTGAAAAACTATTTCAGATTAAAGGTGGCTAAAGATAGCGTAGCATGATCCTGGATTGGATGCTAGACCAAGAAAAAAAGTTTTTCTTTTGCTACAAAAGACATTAGCAGGACAACTGGCAAAATTTGAGTAAGATTTATAGTAAGTGTTATGGTATTGTTGTTAATTTCCAGATTTTGATAACTGTACTGTGGGATGAGAATGTCTTTGTTTTCAGGAAATATTCATACACACTGAAGTATTTAGGGGTAAAGGAGCATTTTGTTTGCAACTTACTCCCAAAAAACTAACAAGGGTATATATAGAATAATGAAGTAAACATGGCAAGATGTTAACATTTAGGGAATCTAGGTAAAAGTATGTGGAGATTCTCTGTACTATGGCAACTTTTCTGAAAGTCTGAAATTATTTCAAAATTAAAAGTTTTTTAAAATGTCTTTTTTCAGCCAGGCACGGTGGCTCACGCCTGTAATCCCAGCACTTTGGGAGGCCAAGGTGGGCAGATCACGAGGTCAGGAGTTTGAGACCAGCGTGGCCAACATGCTGAAACCCCGTGTCTACTAAAAATACAAAAATTAGCCAGGTGTGGTGGTGGGCACCTGTAATCCCAGCTACTCAGGAGGCTGAGGCAGGAGAATTGCTTGAACCTGGGAGGTGGAGTTTTGCAGTGAGTTGAGATCGCGCCACTGCACTCCAGCCTGGGTGACAGAGCAAGACTCCATCTCAAAAAAAAAAAAAAAAAAAAAAGTCTTTTTTCAGTTGTTTTGTTTAATCAGGTTCCAAGTGAGATCCATGCACTATATTTGGTTGGTGTGGTTCTTAAGGGTCTTTTAATCTATAACAATTCACAGTTTTTTTTTAATGCCACTTATTTGTTAAAGCAATTGGATTAGTTGTCTTGCTTTCTGGATTTGGATGATTGTATCTTCTTTATATTATTTAACATGTTCCATTATCATTCATTGTCTCCATCCATTTCTGCTACTATAACAGAGTACCTGAGACTGGGTAATTTATAAACAATTAGATTTTTTTCTCACAGTTCTGGAGGCTGGGAGGTCCATGATCTTAGTTTAGTGTCCAGTTCGAGAGCCCAGTCTCTATTTCCAAGATGGCACCTTGAATACTGCATCCTCCAGAGGGGACAAAGGCTGTGTCCTCACAGGACAAAAGGATGGAAGGACAAAAGGGCCTAGCTAGTTCCCTCCAGCCCTTTTGTAAGGTCATTAATCCCAGTGATGAGGCCTCTGCCCTCATGGCCTGATCACCCTTCTGAAGGCCCCACTTCTTAACACTGTTGCAGCAAGAATTAAGTTTCAACAGGAATTTTGGAGGGAACATCAAAACATTGAAATTATAGCAAACCCTTTTATAAGGTCATTAATCCCATCCATGAGGGCTGTCCTCCTGGCCTAATCACCCTTCTAAAGGCCTTTCTGACCTTTCTTTACAGTGGGTTTTTATTTTTATTTTTTACTTTTCTATTTTTGAGTTGGAGTCTCACTGTCTCCCAGGCTGGAGTGCAATGGTGCAATCTTGGCTCACTGCAACCTCCCCCTCCCGGACTCAAGCGATTCTTCCACCTCAGCCTCCTGAGTAGCTGAGACTGCAGGCACCCACCACCACGCCTGACTAATTTTCATATTTTTAGTAGAGATGGGGTTTCACCATGTTGGCCAGGCTGGTCTCAAACTCCTGACCTCAAGTGAGCCACTATGCCCAGCCCTACAGTGTGTTCTTTATGCAGCATATGTGCTACAGAATGCTGGAGTCTGAGGCTCTGGTTTTCAATTATTAATGCTAGTCTGTGTAGGTAATGCCCCAAAACTCATCTTGGAGTCGTATTGCCTGTCCAGAGACTCAAGAGTCAACCTCCTCCCACCATGCGGTCCTAACTCAACTGTATTTGTTAATTACATAGGCTCTGGCCACAGCTCTAGATTTCTAACCCTCCCACTCTGCAGACACCATGAAAGGCTTTTATTGAAAACTAAGCAAACAAAGATATAGGAGCCTGTATTATAATGAAAAATGCCTAAGTTAAAGATGCAATTAAGTTAAATATTTTAAAACCAAAGATTAAAGAGGCAGTCTAGACAATTAGACTGTGCCTACAACAGTCTGTCTCTAGGAATCAGGTTCATTCAGGACATCAAGGAATGTCTGAAGAGGTTTTTAGAGCATGCTTCAGTGTTAGGACAGGAGCAATGGAAGAATGAGACAATAAACTAAGTAATTGGGAAGGAGAAAGCTTTTTTGGAGAAAAAGTTGATAGAGAACAAGTCAAATAGATATAAAAGGAAAAATGAAATTGAAGAACAGACCAACACATAAAAGGGAAAAGATGTTGTACTTAGGGTTTAATTCATATTAGCAGTTGTTTTTTTAAGTGGCTAAACGTTTTCAAGTTTATTTGGGGACAGAAATGGCAACTTGGACCCAAAGAAATCTAACAAGAATAGAAGGAAAATCTCAGCAAACTGTACTGACTCCTAGATGGAGCAAGAGCATAGGCCACTATTGGCGAAGGACTCTATGTAGCTCTAAGCTACATAGAGACTCCTTGATAAAAACCACTGGGAACTGCTCTTCAAAGACTGGGACAGTGATACGAAGTGTACCCTGAAAGTCAGGACAATTTGAGAGGAAATATCAGATGAAAGCAAAACATTCAAGGAATTATTGGATGAATTTCCAGTTGTTACTATAATTATAGATAGGCATACAAGAGCTTCTTGTGTCCCAAAGGAAATGTGCCTGAGAAATTTTTAGAATTAAGACAGAATTAAGGCAACAAGATGGAAGATAACAGAAGAGAGCCAGGCAGGACAGTGATAAATGGAATCCAAGCTCAGATCAGCTGTTAATCCAATTAGAAAATGCAAGCCAGTTAAGATTATCTAACTCAGAAAGGTGAGGGCGGCCAAGATTTTTTGGACAATGGTTGCTTTTGGCAGACCAAAACCTACTGACTTATCTCTCACAACTGAAGTCCCCATTAGATAAATCTAGAACCAAATGTTAGATAAGCACATGTCCGGCCCAGAAAAGAGAGAAAGTTAAAAAAAAAAAAGAAAGTACAACTAGCATTAGACCTATTTACATTAGGGAAGGAAACAGATCAACATAAAAAGTAAGTTATACTGTAACAAATTCAGCTATTTCTCCCTAAAAGGCCTGCAGAGAAACCAAGCACTAGGACACATCCACTACTGCCAAAAAAAGGAGCAGAAGTACTGTTGGAACCTGGACAGATGGAAAGCAAGGGATGGTTATATGCTGAGGGCTCAGCAGAGGTGTCTGTCCTCACCAGGTCCCAGTGCAACTAGTCTAGTCCAGTTGCACACAATATCCATCCTCCATTTCTTCAATAATAATAAAGTGTGGTTGGGTATAAAGCTACCTAAAATGAAAATTACATTTCCAAGTTCAGTTATCCTGAACTGCACTTCTTTTGCAGCTCAGGGTACTTGTGTCTAAATTGTGGCTAATGAGATATAAGCAGGAGGTCTCATATGACAGCTTCCAAGAGTCTTCCTTAAGATACTGGACATAAGCACCCTCTGCTTTGTTTTTCATCCCTTCCTATCTCCTGTGGCCTAGGATGTAGATATCTGCATATGGGGCAGTGAAGTCGAAGTCATGCATGGTGAGACATCAATGTCAAAGGAATCTGGATCCCTGACACCTTGGAGGACTCTACAGCCCTGGAATGCTGAAATACACATTTATGTGAAGGAAATAAAGTTGTACCTTCCCACAGTTATTTAAGGTTTTCTATTATTCATAGCCGAGCCTTATTCCAACCAATACGCCTAGGGATTCAAGCTGCAGAAACATCAACAGCAGTTTTAGTTCAGGAATAGGCCGAGGATGTTTTCCAGCTGAAATAAGTGAAGGAATGAAGGGGAAACTATTCTTAGAAGCTAGCCTTCACAAGCCGAGGCAATTCCAAAGCCCAAGGCAACAACAGGAGCCACTGTGGCAAAGAACTGGGAAGTGAGCACACAGGAGAGTGTGGAAACTATGCCATCATTATTTAGAGCACAAACTCCCTGGATCAGGGGATGTTGAAGAGAGAGGGCTCAAAAGGAAAATACAGAATGGGGAAAAAAAGGGTCAAAACAGACCGCGCAACTGGGCTTGCCATCATTGCCTATTTCTCAACTTGGCAAGAATGCAAATGTCTCATATGTCACCCTGAGAGAAATATCTGTGGATTCTTCCTCGAGGAATGATAAAACATGTTAACGTCTTCAGGAGGATTCCCCCCAATCAGGTTTAAGTTCAGAGATCAAGGAGATCAGGTAACACACAGATGGACTAGCATCCTGGGGAATCCAAAATCAGGATACAGCTAAGTCTCTGTTATGGAGAATGCAGAGCTCTGGGAGCATCATTTTGTCTTACTACTGAAGATCGTGGAATTGATTCATTTTCTTTTGTTAAATTTTGTTGCTGGTTAGTGCTTTCATGATACTCTTTTGAAAGTGAGATATACCAGAAACTTTGTGTTTAACTTCAAGTTCCAATTCCAGAAGAAAGCCACACTAGCAATTCTGAGACACTCTCCAGGCTGCTGGAAGAAACCACAGTGCATCCCAGCATCAAGAATCTAGTTCAGAATGAGCAGAATAAGAAATTGGGAAGGATGAATTTTAGACTCTGATGTCTTCTAACTTTAACTCAGACAAGAGAATCCAATCTTTGTATTTTAATTTCTCCCTGAGAGATTCACAATGGTCAAGATTGTTTTTAAATTTGAAACATCAATTTTTACCAAAATGTTTTTTATTGAAGCAACTTTACATTGCCATATTATCTCTTTGCAGAACCTCTGATACACTATTGTGAACATGTTTAGACATAATCAGGAATGGAAGATGAAATTAGGAACTTTCAGCTGGGGTTCAGCATGGCCCTGGAATTACTTCCATCAATGAATTGCCTTCTGAGAGCAATAGCTACATTCTTCACCACCAGTCCTAGGAGAATACACAAAGAGTAGTTGTCATTCGGGTGGGGGCGGTGGGAGATGCACTCCTGAAGGTGGGAGCAGCACTGTCCTGATAGACCTCCTGCAAAGGAAATGGTCACACTCTTGGTTGACCTTAGCTTAGTGGGTAAGCCCAATGAGCAAAGAGAACAAAAACCTGAGGAGTGTTGGAAAAGGGGAAACTCATCTTCCAAAGTATTTTGCTTCTATGAGAAAGGGAATCCATTACATAACATTCTTGGTTTCTCTCTGCTCCCTCTTTCACTTCTACCAGACAGAAGGAGTGAATTTTCTGACTAGAAATTTAAAGGACAGGAACTAGCATCTGTGCTTTGGTCCCTTCCTCCTTTTTTTCTTTGGGATTTGCCTGTCTGCAGAGAGAACACAGCCTGTTCTGCTCCACCATTGTATAAACATCAGAGTGGAAGGGTCTGCCCCATGCAGTTGGATGACTGGAGTTGTCCAACACTGTCTGACTATGTATATAAATAAGTGCCTAATTTGGGGGCTCAGTATTAAGAAGCTTGCTTGCCCACAGCAGTAAGCCATGTTCTGCAATATCTTAATTAGCAGTAAAGGTGATATTTCATCTCCATCTGCTTGGCCATTTATCAGCTGGCTCTTCTAGAAGGTACACAGCCTCTTAGCAAATGGTGGATGTGGCCAGGATTACCATGAAACCACCTTTTGGAAAGTTACCACTAAATACACTAAGTCCAGTCAGTCAGGAGGCAGAGTAGACTTGTTTCACATAGAACTAAGGCTGGACAAAATAAAGCCAGAGAGCTGATAGCTTGGATATCATTGTGAGCTAGTTAGACATAGACTTTCTGAAAAACCATCAGTACTAGGGTCTTAACTTGTTGAGTCCCACAAACAGCCTTGAGAAAGAATTTTAGTGCTTAGTGCAGGTCATTTTTTTAAGAGGTAAACCCGGAATATACCGGTTCAGGAAGTAGGAGAGTGAAAAATGCAAAAACAAAAAACAAAAACCATGAAACTGTATATTAAGGAAGAAGTTGCTGGTATGGGAACTAGGACTCAACCTCACTGAGGACCTCTGGGAGATTGCACAGAACACTATTCTTACAGTTGCCCCACAACACCCCCCGCCGCCCCCTCACTACCACCACCAAGGGGCAAAAAAGCTAGGCCATTCACCCACTCCCATTGGTCATGGGTTGAGGGCTGTTCCCAGGGGCAGTATTAATTCCCTGGCACTTCCAGCTTGCCTCACACATTGATTTAGCATCCTCTGAAGGTAGGGGAAGGCCCTCACACAAAGACTGAGAAACTGTTATTGCAAAAAAGAACTGGCAGATCATGACAGTAACTGCTACAAATCTAGGTGTTGTGTCACCACAGAAGAAAACATTTTATGTAAGGCTCAGTGGTCCTCACAGCTTTTCTATCTCACTTGACAATGAAGATACAATCTTACAAGGTGTCTAGCCAGGAATTTTATCTTCATCAAGGGTAAAGAGACGATGGGAAACAGGATCAGAGAGATGAGGACCTGCCAAAAGAAAAAAGCACAACAAAGTGACATCCAACAATATAATATATGGGAATTTAAAATGAGACAAAGCCAAGTCCTGAGCTTTTTTAATGAATGGAGGAAAAGCAATTCTTTGAGAGGATGGAGTAGAACATGCACTCAGAACAAGAATAAATGTTTTAATGTCAGTACTTTGCTGAATGTATATGCAGAATTGACAGACTCCATCCATTTCCATCAAGGGCATCAAATTTCAACTATTGTTTGCTTAGTCTGCAAAAATAGCCACCCTGCATCCTTGAAGCTTAATTCAACTCCTTCAGTAAGTTTTAGATGATGGGTAGTTAAAGGATTAAACTGCTGCAGTTGAACTCTTATGCCTTATAATTGATATATTGAAAGGCTAAAGCATGTTCGATTCCTGATGATAGCAATCTGCAGTGGCATCATAAGCACATTAAATTCAGACTGAAACATTCAGCGAAGTTAATATTGACTTCACAATGTTCTAAGATGTAAGTGAAGCTATGCTCTTTTTGCCTTATAAAATTAGACTGCAAAAAAACAATTTTTGAGGATATTCCCAGTCAATTGACTTGGTTACAGAGTGAGCAGGAAATCAAACTCTAGTTAAGTTCATAGATACTGGTGTTTTATTCATTTGGAAACAGAAGAGAAAAAGAGTATGCTGTAGTAAATTGTTTATAAATTCTTTTTAATTCTAAAGGAGGGGGAGAAAGTGAAAGTAAAAAGCAAACATTATTAATCTCTTACTGTCACAAAAAAAACAACCCACTCTTACACCTCCATCATTGCCTAAAAGACAAAAACTCCAAAGACTGGCATTTGAGACTCCTCACAGTCTGCCAAAACTGCCTCCTCCCTCGTCAGGTCAGTCACCAAGTCCTTTCAGTTCTATCTCCAAACACATCTCAGTCCCTGCCACCATGGTCTGTTATCTGAACTACTATAACAGTTTCCTAACTGGCCTCCCTCCTTCCTCTCTGGACCCTCCAGTGTGTTCCTTCGTAACAGCTAGAGTGGATTTTTAAAAGTCCTCCCATGGAGTTGGAGACCAGCCTGGCCAACATGGTGAAACCCCGTCTCTACCAAAAATAATAAAATTAGCTGGGCATGGTGGTGCACACTTGTAATCCCAGCTACTTGAGAGGCAGAGGTGGGAGGATCACTTGAACCCCGGAGGTGGAGGCTGCAGTGAATTGAGATTGTGCCACTGCACTCCAGCCTGGGTGACAGAGTGAGACTCCATCTCAAAAAAAAAAAAAAAAATCCTCACATGGTGTAACGGACCTTCTCGGTTACTTACCCAGCATCCATTCTCCTTTCTTTCTTTCCTTATAGTTTTCCAATTCTTTGGGGAGCCACTCTACCCTCATTAAGTAACAGCCATGCCATTTGGAATTGACCCCAGCCCTACCTCCAGGGGGAGGGGAGTGCTGACTAGAGTAATAACTTCACCCTCACTGCAGACTGGCTTATTGGATTAGAGATGGGCAGTAACTAAACCCAAGTCAAAGGTGCATAGCAAGCCTGGGTCACTGTGGCCAGTCCAGGTTGCTCCAATCAGGGAGAAGCTGAAGATTTCTGCTAAATGACTCAGAGAAACTAAGACTCCCTTTCCTTATGAAAAAACAAACCCGTACCCTAGTTGCTGCCAAAGCCGTCAAGTGGCGTTGAGAGAAACTAGCCCAAGAACTTTCAGAGAAGAGCAAAATCAAGATAATTTCTGAGGAAGGAGCCAGAGCCCTCACCTGAGAGCTGTCCTCCTCTGGATTTCTCATTTAGTCGGGCCATAAACTCCCCTTGTATTATTTGAACTTTTTAAGTGGAGTTTCTATTACTCACAATAAAAGCTTCCCAGCTGATACAAATGGCTTCCAGTTGAACATGGAATCAAGTCTAAACTTTCTTTTTCTTCTTTTTTGAGACAGAGTCTCGCTGTGTTATCCAGGCTGGAGTGCAGTGGTGCGATCTCGGCTCACTGCAACCTCCATCTCCCTGATTCAAGCGATTGTCCCACTTCAGCCTCCTGAGTAGCTGGGATTACAGGCATGCGCAACCATGCTGAGCTAATTTTTGTAATTTTGATAGAGACTGGATTTCGCCATGTTGGCCAGGCTGGTCTCGAACTCCTGGCCTCAAGTGATCCACCCATCTTGGCCTCCTAAAATGCTGGGATTACAGGTATGAACCACTATGCCCGGCCTCTACATGACCCACATATCTTCCATCTTGTCCCATGCCATTTTCTGGAGTGCCCACTATTCCCCAGGCAACCAGGCCTCCTTCTGCTCCTTGGACAGGAGACTGCACTTTTCTCTGCCTCAGTGTTTTTGCATGTTTTTCTCTCTGTATATTCTTGCCCCTCCTCTTTACAGTAATGTCTTCCTATCATCCAGGTCTCAGCTTAACTATCACCCCATACTTACCCAGTCCACTGTATATGTCTAAACTAATAGGTCTGCTGCCAATGCGGTTTCAAATTTAGCAACCCCAAAGAAAAGAAGACAGGGGAATGTCAGGCTATCAGCTGGAAATAGTCTTGTGTGCCATAAGCAAACATTGCATTTGGTCTCTTCTTCATCTCCCCTCTATTATACAATAGATTTGTGGGGCCATCTCATGGGGTTGGGAGAATTTGATTCACAAGAGTCCCAGAAGGGTGCTGCCCATGAATCAAAAGCCAGGTAAGGAGCCAGACTGCACTTTGCTGTGTGGGATCTAGAAGGTGGCGTGCTGGAAGCTGGTGCTGAGTGATACATGGGGACAAGGTGGGAGTGAGAGAGACCAGCAAGGCAGTGAAGAGACTGGAGAGAGACTGAAGGGGTCAGAGAAAGGGCAGAGCATTCAGCATGGGAGAGGCGAAGAAGACTTTGAGGATATTTTGTTGAACAAGGCATGGTGTGCAGGTGACTTCCTTAAAAACATTCCTCTGGAAGCAGAAAATAGATGATTACCAGGGGCTGGGGGATGGAGGATGGGGAATGAGGAGTTAATGCTTAATGGTTACAGAGTTTCTGTTTTGGGTAATGAAAAAATTCTGGAAATAGATAGTAGTGATGGATACATAACGTTGTGAATGTAATTAATACCAGTGAGTTATACATTCAAAACTGATCAAAATGGTAAATTTTTAAAGTGTTTTTTATTTAATTTTTTATCTGACAAATAATAATTCTACATATTCATGGGGTACATAGTGATTTTTCAATACATATAATGTATAGTGATCAGATCAGGGTAATTAGCATACCCATCATCTCAAACATTTATCATTTCTTTGTGTTGGGAATGTTGAATATGCTAGCTATTTGAAACTGTAATTATTGTTACCTATAGTCATCCTACGGTGATATAGAACACTAGTACTTATTCCTATCCGGCTGTAATTATGTATACTTTAGCAAACCTATCTATCCCTCCCTTTCTTATACTCTTCCCACCCACTACTGTTCTCTGTTCTACATTTTATTTCTTTTTTGTGTGTTTGTTTGCTCGTGTTTTGGTTTTCGGGTTTTGTTTTGTTTTGCTTTTGAGACAGAGTCTTGCTCTGTCACCCAGGCTGGAGTGGAGTGGCACAATCTCAGCTCACTGCAGCCTCTACCTCCTGGGTTCCAGTGATCTTCCTGCGTCAACCTCCTGAGTAGCTGGGATTACAGGTGCCCGCCACCACGCCCGGCTAATTTTTTGTATTTTTAGTAGAGATGGGGTTTCACCATGTTGGCCAGGCTGGTCTTGAACTCCTGACCTCAGGTGATCTACCAGCCTCAGCCTCCCAAAGTGCTGGGATTACAGGCATGATCCACAATGCCCAGCCTGTTCTACACTTTAGAAGATCAACTTTTTTTGCTTCCATATATGAGTGAGAACATTAGGTGTTTAACTTTCTATGCCTGGCTTATTTCCCTTAACATAATGTCCTCCAGTGCCATCCATGTTGCCACAATAACAGGATTTCATTCTTTTTTATGGCTGAATAGTATCCCATTGAGCATATACATCACATTTTCTTCATTCATCTGTTGTTAGACACCTAGGTTGATTCCATATCTTGGCTGTTCTGAATAGTGCTGCAGTAAACACGGGGGTGCAGATGTCTCTTCAGTAGAATGATTTCCTTTCCTTCGGATAAATTCTTAGTTGTGCAATTGCTGGATCATATAGTAGTTTTTTTGTTTGTTTGTTTGTTTCTGTTTTTGAGACGGAGTCTCACTCTGTCACCCAGGCTGGAGTGCAGGGGCACAATCTCAGCTCACTGCAGCCTCCGCCTCCCGGGTTCAAGCCATTCTCCTACCTCAGCCTCCCGAGAAGCTGGGATTACAGGCGCCTGCCACCACACCTGGCTAATTTTTGTATTTTTAGTAGAAATGGAGTTTCACCATGTTGACCAGGCTGGTCTTGAACTCCTGACCTCAAGTGATCCACCTGCCTTGGCCTCCCAAAGTGCTGGGATTACAGGCGTGGGCCACCACTGCACCTGGCCCATATAGTAGTTTTATTTGTCATTTTTTTGAGGAGCCTCCATACTGCTCCCCATAGTGGCTGTGCTAGTTTACATTCCTACCAACAATGTGTAAATGCTCTCTTTTCTCTGCATCTTTGCCAGCATTTGTTATTTTTTGTCTTTTTGGTAACAGCCATCCTAACAGGGGTGAGATGATACAGCACTGTGGTTTTGATTTGCATTTCCCTGATGATGTAATGTTGAGCTTTGTTCATATATTTGTTGACCATTAGTATGCCTTCTTTGAGAAATATCTGTTCAGATCATTTGCCTATTCAAAATGTAAATGTTATGCTATGTATACTTTACCACAATTTTAAAAAGTACACACACGGTGAAAAAAAAAAAAAACAATTAGCTAACTGGTGATTGTGTGAAGGATGAACTGGATTAGGCCAAGGTGATCAAGAAGATTGGTAGATTAACGTGGTCAGGAGGTCATGAGAACTTCAAATGAGGCAGTGACCATCAGGAAAAAATTTGTAAGAAGAATGGTCAGGACCAAATGAGTTTGGTTTGGTCCTGCTGAGTTTGAGGCATATGGTGGAAACTGCCCAGCTCCCTCCTTCAGAAATGAGACACTCTTTCCCTAGCTGGCCTGGTATAGGCTGTTAATGGCCACCAGCTGTGTTCCTTTATGGGGCTCGCCCTTGGCTGAAAGGAGCTACAAGGAGTTCATGGGTGACTTTGGCCAGAGGAGTTGATGAGGAGAGGAAGGTCTGGGTTGCAGAGGATGGAGGCCACATGGGAGGCAGCAAGGGGTCACAGAACCTGAGTCTTGAAGGAAGGGCAGCAATCAAAACATGGGAAGACCTGCTAGGCAGGGAAAGTCATGTAAACAAAGGAACCTGGGCTGGGGAGTCACCCACTTTGAAGGGAACTGCAAGGACGCCTAGAAAAGTGGGCAATGCCTAGGCATGGCTCTCTCAAATGGTAGGCAGTGGAGTCTGAGTAGATTCAGCCAGGGAGTCTCCACACCTGTGCCTGAGTTCTAATGGATTCAGGATTCTTCCTCCTAGTGGGAACCAGAGGCATTCTGTCCCCACAGTGTGGACTTGACCTTTCCTACAGGGTGGGTGTTTCAGTCCTGGCCTCCTTGGACTCCATGTTTATGAGTGCAGACGTAATAAATTTTCTGAAGTGAGTTCCATTAAGCCAGTTTAACTCCCTGATCATTTTCCTATCCCGTCTAGTAAATGTGTTTCTAATACTTTTTACTTTTATTTTTATTTTACTAACATTATTTTCCAAAAAATGTAATTTTGTTTTGTATATATTATACAGGAAGGATTTAATACATCTCATCTAAAAAATTGTATCCATTATAAAACTTCTGCCTTTGTGAATTTTCTATCGTGACCACTGTTTCTATTAAATCCAATTTTTCTGGACATATATTTGTAGGTCTAAATTTTATCAAAACAATTTGATCTTTTATAAAATCTCTAATAAATTCTTCAGTGTGAAATTTTAACCATATTAGTTTATTTTGAGATTATTCTTTCTAATAAAATTCATTGTGACTAAGAAAAAATGTTCCTCAATAAAAATCTGTTGTTGAGGCTTCTGTAGCTAACTGTGTTCTTTTTGGATGTGCCATGAAGAGGCAGGCCACAAGAGAGTTTAGTGGTAATCCAGTAACAAATGGATAATCACAAACCTCAGGGTGAAACTTAGAATCTCCTTTACCAGTGAAATTCTAAGACACTAATGAAATAGTTATTTTTGTCTTACAATCAAGGAATGGCTTAAGCTCTGGAGAGAAGTCTGGCTCATTAATTTCTAGGATAGCTTTATCTTTGCACACTCTTCCTTTCCTTGGAAAGTGACAACGTAGTTTTTTTTAATCTCTCTTGAAACCAATGACATTGTTAATCTTGTTTTTTAAATGTCTCGGTTAGTGAAATTCCTCTTTCAATAGCATATTATTATCCTCAGCTCCTGAAACAACCCAGGTTAAGTTATTAAAACAAGCTAAGGTGCACACAATAATCGTGGGCTTGTGCTCAGGTTGACCTCTGTAAAATTACTTTATTTTTAGCATTTGAAGCCTACAAAAACAGCAAATTTATATGAGTCAACTCAGATGATTAACTTTCAAAGTTGAGGGGGTAAAAATGATCTGGCAGCATGCAACACGCCAAAATGAAGATTATCTAAACTTCATGTTAGCCTAGAATTAGAAATCCTCATGTCTAGGCAGTAGATCTGATATCAAAGCCTGAAGTGCCCACCATCATAATTAATACGAGTGAGTGAGGTGAGCTAGGCAGGGACTACAGCGACCCCACAGGCATGCATGTGTGCCCTCCGCAAGGAGCTGGCTGCTCAGCTCTAGCCCATTTCCCTAAGCAGCCCTGCCAGTTGCTATAGCAGAAACACAGGCCCAGGTGGCCAAATCTTCTGTTTTTCAAAGAAATCAGAAATCTGATGTTTATATGAGATTGCCTGACTTTTAATTCCTGTGTGAGAACTAATTCTAATTTATGACTCCTGATATTTGTGACATGATAAAATAGAATAACAAATTCATACTGTATTGACTATAAACCAGTGCTCCCAAATGTAGGGTGGAGTTCAGACACCCAGGGGATACTTTAATAATTTTTATTTAATAATTTTTATTTGTGTATATTTATAGTATACATAATCCATTAGAATAATGGTGTCTATATATTAATCAAGAGAGTTCAGAGAACCTCTTATGGAGACTACACCTCCAGAATATCATGGAGCAATGGTTCTTAAACTCTGATGGACTTTTAAAAAGAAACTTTTTTTTTTTTTTTTTTTTTTTTTTTTTGAGACGGAGTCTCGCTCTGAACTTATTTTAATGCATGTTTCTAGACATGACACCGTGATATTCTGATGCATGTGGTCTAGGGTGAGGGTGAGAAATCTGCCTTTTTAACAAGTGCCCCAATTGATTTTGAGTCCAAAAGTCCACAGACTAGACTTAATAAACACAGGTTTGTTTTCAAGATTGTAGGCTCTTGAGTCAACAAGTCCTGGGTTCAAATGTTAGCTCTAATCCTATCAGTAGTGATCAGCCATGGGACTTGGAGAAAGTTAAACTGTTCAAAGTCCTAATATTCTAATACGTAAAATGAGCATCATAATAATGGCTACCTCAAAAGTTTGTAAAACAGTGCTCAGCACATAGGAAAGGCTCAATAAATATTCACTTATTGATGAATTATGATTAATTCATCCTTAAATCTTTTGGGCAGTACTAGGGGTGTTGCAGGCAAGCTAAGTGGTTGCCCTTGTCGTGCACCTTACAAAGAGCCTTCGACTGAGCACAGCCCCTTTCTTGTATCACACCCTCCTTTGTCTGCCCTTTCTCAAATTCTTTTCCTCTTCAAAGCTGCTCTTGATGTTCTTTTTAACTTGGTTTCATCTATATGAAGATATTCATGGACATGAATACTCATCACACCTATCTCTCTACTGATGAATATGTTTGAAAATTTTCCTAATAAAAAAGTTTTCAAAAGTCTATATTCACATGAACTGCACCAAACATATTCTTCCTAAGGATGACTCTAATATCACATGACTTTACACCTGGGCAATGAATTTGAGGAATGATCTCTCCAACTTCTGCCATGTGTGAGTCACTGGGAGAGTTTCTGATGTCACCAATATGAATAAAGTCTGAGCTTTATTCATGGACCTAGCATGCATTCTGTGTGAAGCACATCAATCATGCCAATATGTAGAAGTAGCAGTTGTCAGAGCTGTTGGAAGTGGTGTTTCCAGCCCAACCATGATCTTGCTGCTGCAATAATCTAGTTGGCCAGGCCCTGTACTCAATACTGGAGCCAAATCCCCAGCTCCAGACAGGCACTCCCACCAACAAAAGCAGATGATCATAGGAACAGGTAAAAGAAAAATGTAGACAGATGAACATTCATTACTACTAATGGGAAAGAAATTCAAAGCACATGCCCTGATTTCCGCAACTCAGTGCCAATGTCTTTATAAAAAGATACTATTAATAGATTGGAAAGTATAATCTAAAAATCACCAAGAAAATTAAAAAAGCAAATACCAGCAAGCATTGAATGGTATATACACAAAGTGATATTCTATTTTTGGATAAGTGTTTGAAAACCTCATTATGCTGAATTCCCAATGGAAAAATTCCAAGTGAACCTTCCTCCCAAATCTAATTCTAATAGAATTAGAATTGCCACAGAATGAATCAGTTTTAGGCTAAGCTGCTGTAACAAAAAGGCCCAAGGACACATGACTTAACCAAGAGTCTATTTGTATTTTCCATCACAGTCTTGATAGTCCATGGCAGTAGGGCTGCCAGGCCATCACTGCATAGGACTTCCAATCACTGGACATGGGGAAGGAGCCACAGGAGCACATGCCTGTTTCTTTATAGATGCACATCACAGAAGTGCACAAATCACTTCTGCTCACACTCCATTGGACAGAACTTAATCACACAGCCATCCGTAACTGCAGAGTATGCTGGGACATGTGGTCACCAGCTGGGTGGTTATATGGCCAACCCAAATTCAGTAGTTTTATTATTAAAAAGAGAATGGATATTGTTGAACAACTAGCTGCATCTGCTTTATGCACCCTTGTACAGTAGAAGAGCAGAAAGTTTTTAGATTTCTCAAATCATCAGTCAGGAGCCTGTGCAGGATCATGGTTAAGTAGATGGTATTTGGAATCCGACTGCCTAGGTGCAAACCTAGTTCTCTAGCTCACTGTGTACCCTTGGGCAAGTTACTTAACATCTTTGTGCCTCAGTTTTCTTATGTGTATTTTGGAAAAAATAATAGTATCTATGTCATAGGCTGTCATAAGAAATAGATTGGATATCTTTCAAAGTGTATAACATAGTTTCCACAACATAACCCCTATCAAAATCCCAACAGCATTTTTTTGCAGAAATAGAAAAATCTATCCTAAAATTCATATGGACTCTCAAGAGACTCGAATCACCAAAACAATCTTGAAAAAGAAGAACAAGGTTGGAAATCTCATACTTCCTGATTTCAAAGTGTATCACAAAGCTACAGTAATCAAAGCAGCATGGTGCTGGCGTAAAGACAGACATATAGACAAATGGGATAACATAGAGAGCCCAGAAATAATATAGTTTCCAGCATATACCAGGCACTTAATAAATATGCTATTATTATCATCATTATCATCTTAATCATCACTAAGCCTGAACATAATTACCAGTTTCTCTCCCAGCCTACTTCTCTGCATATTGCATGCTGATGTCATGTTACTTCAGGTTCATTTCTCTCCTTTTTATTAGACTTTGAGTTTGGCAAGAGTATTGGCAAGAGTATTGACAAGGTATAAGGAGAAACATGATTTAGGCAGGGATTAAGTGTGGAATAATAGGCTCCAAAATCTTATTAGCCCCCAAAGATTCAGATCTGTTTTATCTTGCAGGTTTTTGAATAGAAATTAAGGGACTTATCCTTGTTCCACTGTTGGGAGTTGCTGGACAGACAATGGTGGTCAGCAAGTCTTCAGGCAAAGCCACAGCTCACACAAAGCCAATTATGGGCTCCTAGGTGCTATTGTTAATATGTTTATACAGAGTCTACTGAGTATGGAAGTCCCAGTGGGGTTTGTACTCTTGAATGCCATACTATTAGGAATATTTTCAACACCTCACTGCCGAGAGAAACGAAACAGTGAAATAACAGCCTAAAGGGGAGCTATATTGTGCAGGTAATTTCGGAGCAAGCTTGAGGTCAAGGAATGAAACACTGAAGGAATGAAGCATAGAGGTCAAGGCCTGGGCATGTGTTTTCCATTGCCTTCGGCTACAACTACTTCTGGAGTTTCAGGAGGACTTAGCAAGAGCCAAGAAAAGTGTCTGAGTGTTTATTGGCGACTATGCCAAAATTCTTGGTTGACATTTGCTCAGAGCAACATTATTTGATGTCCCAGGTGGAAGCTGTTTACTTTTTCCTTCCACGAAATAATAGCTTCAATTTAAATATAGTAAATCGTAACGACCAAATTTGAGTTTCACTTTATATTTCAAAAGTGTTAGTGCCAGTTTACTCCACTCATGCCATCGTCAAAATCTACTGCATATTTTTATTTAAAGGTCCACATCTGAAAAATAATCTGTTTTCATTCCTACTCTCTACCAGAAGATAATTAGAAATTAAGCAACCTGTAAGAATGTACAACTCTTACAAACAAAGTCAAGGAGCAGATGCCAGCCATTCTTCTCCCTGGCATGTGCAGTCGATGCCAAAGCAGATGGATTCTATTAGAGTCACCCTTCTCTTCTGGCTCTGCCATGCCCAAGGGAGTTGATGACTGCTCCCAGACTTACACACTGCCACAAGGAGCTGCCACTTCACTGAGTGTCTGGATCCATGGTGTCTGCAATTCAATTCCGTGGTCCCTAGGGCAACCTGAGGTTCCCAGGGAATTTACACAATAGGAAGAGTTTTCTGTTTCCTCGGAAATTGGGACATGATTTGCACTATGATGAAAGCCAGGACACTTGTGCACAAGCCCCCTTATCCTCCGAGGAACACATGGGATGATATACATTTAGGTAAACAATAGACGTTAGTTGCTGGTGTACACAACTCAGGACTTCAATGAACTCCAGTCCTAGAGAACAACGTGACAAACAAGTGGCTGGGTCTATGCTGCAGTCTCAACTAGGGGTTCATAGCCTGAGGTCCCTACGCCCTCCCCAAAGGGGTCCATGGTTAGAATTCAAGGAGTCCATGATTGTGAATGAGAGGGGAAAAATGACATCTTTATTTTCATGAACAAACTGAAAATTAGTATCTCCTTCCTTTATGAATGGAGACAGTAAATCATGGAAGAATTTAGCAGTGCTTTTGATGATAGAAACCACAGATAGATTCATATCACAATCATCTGTTGCAGATCTCCAAAATGTCATTTGCACTCATTGCTACACCTGAGGTTGTCCTATGTGTACACTCTCCTCCCTTCACCTCGCACCCTCACCACTGCTTCCAGAGCAGTCGCAGACACTGGCACTCCTGGTGGGGGCACAGAGGGGTTGTCACACTGTAGGGAAATTTGCCCCCTGCCCACCTGGCCACCACAAAGTGGCAGCTTCCTGCTGTCTGCCTCCAGGAGTCACTTCTGCATGGCCTCTTTGGGGAACTGAGGAATTTAGAGTGGACCATAAGGGTTAGAATATTTTGAATATCCCCAGGGTAACAACCACGCTACCCTGTCCTTAAATCTCTGCCACTTTTACAAAGGACATTCCAGGGAGGTTTACTTGCTGAGATGGTTGTGTGAACAACTGAAATATCACTTCCCACAGGTTCCTAAAACTGCTACCACCAGAGGGACTGGAATTCACAAATAATGGCAATGTTACATTAGAGGGGAGGTGGATCACAGGTGCTTTGCCTTCATCAGCTTTCATTCCCTGAACCAAACTGCCACTTCACTGGGGCTGAGGCCATTGCATCCCTGTCATTACCCCTGAATACACATCTAAAACAACTGACAGTCACTAACATTTAGTAAATAGCAGCTCTCCACCACCCCTTAACCCCACCCCCAAATGGAAAGCCCTTGTTCCAGCTGACAGCACTCACACATGTAGAGGGCTTCACTGTTGCTTTAAAGCTTGTGTAAGAAAATTAAAAATTTGGAAATTCACCTATGGATCCAAGAACATCCCACTGAATATTTTCTTCGCAGTCCAGCATATTTTTCAGGCCCTAACTGGTGAACGATGCCTTTGATCATTATTCAGCAATGAAGTGTGTGATAATTTCTGCGGTGTGCTATTGAGCCGTTGCTAATGGCAGCCTGCGTCTGGGCCCAGCTGGTAGTGGCTTTCTTTCTCTTTCAGTGGGCTCGGCACTTGGAGTCAAAACAGCTGAGTGGATATTCTCACTCTGCCACTTCTGAGCCGTGTGCCCTGGGGAGCCGGGCTCTCCAAGCCTCAGCCATTTATCTAAAATGAAGTTGGTGAGAGGTTTGGAGGAATGTAACAGGCCCAGCTCAAGGACCAGCATTTAACAAGGACTCAGTCATTTGTTATTTTTGTTGTTTTAATGCTCTTTGGTATTTGAGGAAGCCAAGCGGCAGGCAAAGAAACAGGAGTGTTTGGAATAATAGAGGGAAGGAGCAACCTTGTTATCACTTTATTGTGTGTGAAAGTCTGCTAGAGAGGCATTCTTTAGATTAACAACTTTTTAAAAAAATGCAAATACAGAGGCTGAGACAGGAGGGTTAATTCAGGCTAAGAGTTCAAGACCAGCCTGGGCAACATAGCAAGAACTTGTCTCTACAAAAAATAAAACATTAGTCAGGCATGGTGGTGAGCACCTGTAATCCCAGCTACTGAAGAGGCCAAGATGGGAGGATTGCTTGAGCCTGGGAGGTCAAGGCTGCAGTGAACCATGATCACACTCTAGCATGGGCAACAGAGAGACCTTGTCTCTAAAAAAAATATGGAAATACCTGTGGGGGTATACTTCATTAGACCCTTGGCAATAATTTACACTTGTGGGATATGTGTGACTGCAACAAAAATTAACTTTTGAGCACCCACAGCTTCCCCTTCCCAGGGGATTGGCAGTGAATGTGGAAGACGAAATACAAAAGGGGTGGGGGCAGAGCTCTGTCATGGGAGCTCTGTCTTGGAGCCTGACGGTTCTCTGCCAGGTGGGTGTGAAATGTGAGGACTCACTTTCAATAATGCAGCCTGAGAAAAATGTCAGAGTACTTTGAGGAATCCCTAAAAGGAGAAGACTGGAGCAGTTAAAATGTAGGAAGGAAGTTGATGGGAGAGGGGAGAAAAAGGGACTCCAAAGAATTATTGCTGTGGTTCATATATTTCTTATTTAGGGTTGAGTTCCCCAGAAGCCGACACTACGGTGGAGTTTGGGTTGCAAGTGATTGGTTAGTGACGGCTGGGTGGGAAAGGGAGAACACAGAAGGAAGAATTGGAGTCTGGTGTGGTGCCCTGGCCCTGGAGGGAGTCTGCCACTCACAGACAGGGGTGGGAGGATTAGGGGGAGCCCAGCAGGCTAGAAGGGCCAGGCCTTTCCACTCCTGCCTTACTCAGTCTCCAGATGTGGGCTCCCCAGGAAGAGTGTGACCTTGGCCAAGGGGGCCTCTGCAAAGTTGAGACAGACACTGACGACCTGATGGCTGAAGGCTGTCTGCTCACTGCACTCTCAAGGCTGAAACGAGGGTAGGCATGTCTCTGAGTAACACATTCTCCCAAGCCAGGTCTCAGATTTACATTTCCCAGCCCATGTGTGGCACATTTGTCCATTGCTCTGTGGGCTTCTATTCCTCAGAGGAAACGTGGAAGAAGGAGGTTCTGCTGCAGATGGTCTCAGGCTGTAAATAATATTCACTGGCTCCATCTTCACTCTCTCTTCTAAATTCCCCTCACCCTCAGCTACCACCCCTGCTGGACTCAGGAGCTTAACTAGTGCTGTAACCCAGACCTTTATCCTGAAGAGGCCTAAGCACCTGGTCACCATGCCCTTTGCAGGCCAGCGTTGCTACACTTGCCTGTTTACAGTCACAATTGGGTTCCACCCATAGACCTTCCTGTCCCATTCCCATTGTGTAACAGCAGGCCTGCCTCCTTCCAATGGTCAGCCACAATCACTCCTGCCAAGGTGGTAAGTTCTCATCCTGTTGGTCCTGGACACAAGGAGCCCAAGGTGCCCAGGTGGAAGCCATAGTTTATAATTCAAGGGACTCTTGTTATGTCCTGTGACAAAAAAGTGTGTCTCCTTTGAGTGCCAGGTTTTCTAACCCTGCAGAGCCCAGAACTAAACAAACACAAAGTCTCTCAGTGGCTGGGTCGCTAAGAGGGATGGTGGGTGGCCCACCCCTGATTCACCCTTACTTCTGATCCTATCTGTCCTTTCCCTTAGAGCACACAATGGGCTTTCATTCAGTGAATGCCTTGCATCCTAGAGATTGGCACCCCATCCTTTTAGAGGAATGCTATGGCCCTGGTGCTTCAGCTGTGCCCTCTGTGGGCTGTTTCCATGCTCCCTCAGGCTGGCAGCTTCCGGGAGGTGTGGTATGTGCTGCAACCAGTGGATCCAGGATCGTGGGCCCAGCCTACTTGTCCTTTGCTCTGCAGGGGTCCCCATGGTCTGATGCCATCGGGTCTCATACCATTGGGTCAAGCACACTGTAAGCCCCTGGACAACAGTGTTGGCTGAGGCTTGCAGGTAAGAAATTCAAATCTGTGCCCAGAGGGTGTATATTCCTGAACTGCTGCTTTTCTAGGATTGACGGGGCCCAGTGTAGCCACCTTGCTGCCACACTGGCCAGTTGGTCTCTTTGGGGAATTATACCATGTTAAGGGCTCCACGCTGGTCTCTATTAATGGACATTCAGCAATGGTGATAGTTAGCCTTAGGCCATTTCTCTTTCTACTCAAAGAAAAAGCCATCAGCAGATCAGTCTTGGTAAGGGCAAGTCCATGGCACTGCCCAGGTATTGTCTCCATCTTTGCCACTGTGGCCACTTCATCCATGTGCCAGCAACAGGACAGCTGATGACAGAGGCTAGCCTGGGCATTTTTTCTACTTGGGTGTTATTGCCTCTTCTGTAATGGACACTGTCTGGTGGATGGTAACATTTGATACAAATACCTCCACACTTTGTCCCCATTTGTCTAAACATATGCTCCCCCTAAACCTCTTTGTCTCTGATTTTCTAATTATTTTCTGTCCAGGCCTCTGACCAGCTGGCTGGCCCATCTGATGCCATCTGTAAATTCATAAAGATTCTACCGGGCCAGGTGCAGTGGTTCACGCCTATAATCCCAGCACTTTGGGAGGCCAAGGCGGGCAGATCACTTCAGGTCAGGAGTTTGAGACCAACCTGGCCAGCAAAACCCTGTCTCTACTAAAAATACAAAAATTAGCCAGGTGTGGTTGCAGGCGCCTGTAATCTCAGCTACTCAGGAGGTTGAGGCAGGGTAATCTTTTGAACCCAGGAGGCGGAGATCACGCCACTACACTCCAGCCCGGGCAACAGCGTGAGACTCTGCCTTAAAAAAAAAAAAAAAAAAAAGACTCTACCCTTGAGCCATTTCTCTTACCACACAAAGTGGATAGCCTTATGTACCCAAAGTTCTGTCCATGGGGAGGATTTTCCTTTGCCACTGTCTTTCAAGGCCACCCTGAGTGGAGCTGAAGGGCAGCTGCTGTCTGTTTTCAAATTGCATGCACATACTGACCCATCCGTAAGTCAAGCTTGGGCTTTCTCCTTCAGTTAGTTGCACATGCAGCCACAAGTGTGAGCTGAAGAAGGCAAGCTGGTGCAGGAGTCGTGGGTGCCATGGGGGTCTGTCTTCCCTCTCATGCTGCTTGTTTGTGCTTTCTGGTCCTGTTTATGCTCATTCTTGGATATACCTCTTCATTTTGTGAAGAACTGTTGTGGGACCAGTCTAATACCATGACTTGGTGAGTCTGACAGGACCCATCTTACAAGCGGCAATTCTAGAAGTCTGGTCACTTTCCGTCCTATGGTAAGACATTCTGTCTGTACCAGGACCCAGGAGCATACTGAAAGTTGTTTTTCAAAAGGCATGGCCTTGCTCCTGAACCCTAGGATCTATATTGTGATTCTTCCACTGGGGCTTGCCACAAACTCCACATTCTCTTTTCCCATCACTGATACTTGCAACACCACGGGATCTGCTGGCTCATGTAACTCATGCAGGAGGGCTGCATGCATTGCAGCCTGGACCTGCTGCAGACCCCTTTCCTGTTTTGCAGCTCTCAAATCAAGCAGCTTTTCACCTCTTTCAGTATATGAACTGTAGAAATATTTCTAGCCATAGAATATGATGCCTCCAGTTCCCAAAGAGATCCACCAGGCATAGTGTGTCTTTCTTTGTGGTCAGAAGTAAAACATGCAGTAATTTGTCTTTTCCTTAGGAGGGGGTGCCCACATGGCCCTGACCACTGGACCATAACATTTTAATGGATATAGTTGGCTCCTGTATACTCAAAGAGTTTGTCTCCCACCACCCATGTCTTACCAGCCTCCAGCATGCTAGTCACCTTTTGCTCATTTGGTCCTGTCAACATAATGCCTCATGTAATAAGTTAATATCTTGTTATGCGGAATGTCACAGAACAAGACTAAGAGCTCTATGTGGGAGTAGTGCCAACTGCCAATTATGTCCATCTGAGTTGTTCAGTTGGTGACAGGGGAGCTAATCACAGGGTGGTTCATGAGCACATTAGACCAGATCTCTTCATAGTACATCATGATAGAGGGAAGACATTTACACAGCTCTGGAGCGAAACTGAAAATTATATATTATTGCCCATCCAATGTGAATGTGAATCATTTCTAATTCCCTTTCTTGACTTTGATAAAAAGGAATGTATTCATCAAATCAGTGACCACATGCCATATATCTAATGCCATATACTTTATCTAGCAAAGATATCATATATTTTCCTCCATTTTCTGTTGATATAACTGAATACCTAAGACTGAGTAATTTATAAATAAAATAAATTTATTTATTATGGTTTTGGAGACTGGGAAATCCAAGAGTATGGCACTGGCATCTGGTGAGGACCTTCTTGCTGGGTTACGATACGACTGAAGGCATCACATAGTGAGGGCAAGAGCACGTATGCCAGCTCAGGCCTCTCTTCCTCTTCTTGGAAGGCCCATCATGAGGGCCCCACCCTGATAAACTTTAATCCTAATTATCTCCCAAAGGATCCACCTCCAATCAACATATGAATTTGAAGATTAAGTTTCCAACATATGAAATTTGGGAAACACATTCAAACCATAGTACTATATATTGCCTTTTGGCTATAACTGGTGACACTACTTAGTTGTGTTTGTTGTAGTCTATAGCAGGAGTCAGCAAACTCAAGCCTGAAGGCCAAGTCCAGTCCTCTACCCATTTTTGTAAGCAAAATTTTATTAGAACACAGCCACAGGCTGGGTACAGTGGCTCACACCACAGTACAGTGGCTCACGCCAAAGTGCTGTAATCCCAGCACTTTGGGAAACTGAGGCAGGTGGATCTCCTGAGGTCTGGAGTTCGAGACCAGCCTGACCAACATGGAGAAACCCTGTCTCTATTAAAAATACAAAATGAGCCAGATATGGTGGTGCATGCCTGTAATCCCTGCTACTCAGGAGGCTGAGGCGGGAGAATTGCTTGAACCTGTGAGGTGGAGGTTGCGGTGAGCTGAGACTGCGCCATTGCACTCCAGCCTGGGCAACAAGAGCAAAAGTCCATCTCAAAAAAACAAAACAAACAAACAAACAAAAAAGACACAACCACATTTACAAATTATCCATTCTTGTGATGGTTAATACTGAGTGCCAACTTGATTGGATTGAGGGATAAAAAGTATTGATCTTGGATGTGTCTGTGAGGGTGTTGCCAAAGGACCTTCACATTTGAGTCAGTGGGCTGGGAAAGGGGGACTCACCCTTAATCTGGGTGGGCACCATCTGATCATCTGCCAGCACAGCTAGAATATAAGCAAGCAGAAAAATGTGAAAACAGAGACTGGCCTGTATTTACAGGAATACATCTATATATATATATAGAACTAATGGAATATATATATATTATATAGGTCTATCTATATCTATATCTATATTATATATAGATATAATATACATATATTATATAGGAATATATCTATATAGATATATATAGACCTATATAATGTGTATATATATATATATTCCATTAGTTCTGTCCTTCTAGAAAACCCTAATACAACGCTACAACAGCGGAATTTAATAGTTGCAACAGGAAACTCTATGGCTTGCAAAATTTAAGATATTTGCCATCTGGCCCTTTATGAAAAAAGTTTGCTGACTCTGGATTTATAGTAATCCCCCAAGATCAATTTGGTTTCTCAGGGCCTAGATTGGCAAATTAAAGGGGGATATTTTAGGAATCACCATGTCTATATCTTTTTGATCCTTAAGATTGGCATCAATCTCTGCTTTTTCTCACAATATCACTGTATTAGAGTGGGGGTGGCAGGAGAGGTTCAGAGTCTTTTACTTGGTTTTTCCTGCTATGATAGCCTACTCTTACCTCACAGACCAAGAGCTCTATGTGGGAGTTGCACCAACTGTCAATTACGTCCATTTTAGTTGTACAGTTGGTGACAGCGGAACTGATCACAGGCTATTTCACAGACACAGTAGACCACTAAGCCAGAACTTGGTTAAAATTGTATGTATTACCTAGTTCCCATATACCTTCACTGTAACAAGAGTGTTATGGTGATGCTTCAGGTCTCTAGGTATCAATGTCTACTCAGATTGTGTTTCCAGCAGTCTGCAAAATATCTAGATATTTCCCTTTTCCCATTGCAGTTATCAGAGTAAATCTCACATGAAGAAGAGGAAGAGGCTTCTGAATTGTCTTCTGGGGTGGGAAGATGAAAGGTACTTTCATAATTGTAAACCAGAAAGTGACTGAGGCAACTGAATTGATTTAGAGGTTTATTTTGGCAAGGTTTAGGATGTGCCCAGGAAAAAGAGACACAAGTCACAGTAGAATCCTGTCTCCTGTGCTTTTTCCAAAGAGGGTTTTGAGGACTTCAATATTTAAAGGGGAAAGAGTGAGCAGGAGAGGAAGAAGGAAAGGAAAAAAGGAGGGGAGTGGGTAGGCAACAAGGCAAGTGGTGACATTCTTCTGAGGCTCTAATTAGCACTCAGTGAATCTACATTTTATATGTGCAAAGGAAAAAGTGGAGGGAAAAGTCAATTATGCATTGGTCTTGTGCTTAGTAGATCTACATTTTATATAAAAGAAAGTCAGCATGTGAAATTACAGCTATCTGGGAACAAAAGTAAAGCAGTTTTTATGTGACTCCGTTTGTAAGCTGAACTTTCCATTTGGCACAGTGAATTTGGGGTCCCAAGATTTTATTTTCCTTTCACATAATGTACGTGAGCAACATCTGTAGTCAATGGGCTCTGTAAGTTCAGAGGAGTCTGGAGAATCAACCTTCCTGAACTTGTTCCTTGGCTTTTCCACCCTTCTTGAGGAAATGAGAGCTTCTTTGTATGCATCCACAGAGGCCCTCTGGCTTTCACACCTGGCTTACAAAAGCTTATTACTCAGCCCTTAAATGTTCATTATGTTTCTGTACAGCATCACTGGCACTTAGCAGTCACCATCCAATACCCTTATCCTTGCAGCTGCTCTTTTCTCCATACACCTCATATGCCCAAAATCACTCCAGCTGGTTCATTCCCTTCCATCAGTACACCTTCCAAATTCACAAAGTTTTAACAACTGGACTGCCACCTTGCCCCAGGGCTATCTGTGTTCCTCCTACTACCAGTCCTCATGGCCACCCAGAGGCAACTGATAACTACTCAACAACCTTATCTTATTGCCTGTTTTCTTGGGCCACTCCTGGTACCAACTCACATAGCTTGGATTCTCTGGAAGCAAATGCTGAGATGGAGTTTGAAGTGCAAGGTATTTATTAAGAATCAACACCTGTGAAGGGAAGAAGGCAAGGATTGGGCAAAGGACGAAGTTGAACTGCAGTGCAGGCTGAAAGTAGCCTTGGCCAATTTGGCAGGGAGCCATAGAGGGAGTGTTCTGTGCCAAGCCAGAATGAATGTGCTTATACACCTTCAATGGGCTTCATCATAGAACGTGGGCTGCTCTGGAAAGGAAGAGGCCTCTGAAGTAGCTCACTGCACACCCCATCTCATCCACCCCCAGCTGGGAAGTCAGTCCTTCTTTGAAAGGGATTTAGGCCACCTGCCTATGTGACTGTAACTGAAACACAGGTTCAGTTGCTTACTATTTGCAGAGTCTAATTAACAAGAGTGAGGGCTGGTATAAAGAAAGTGACATTTTTATTCCAAAACTAGCTTAGGGGGAAGAAGTACAGGCTTCCTGCCTTAAGGGTAACACTTTGCTTTTGGAGCAGAAAGCAGGCACTTTTAAAAGGGGGTGTAGCATGAATGACAAGCAGCAGACGAAGCATCAGGTGAGGATCCACAAAACTTGCTTTAGTGCCCTATCTACCAGGTGATCAAGCTGGTGACCATTGGTGTCCTTGTGGGCAGAACTAGGTTGTAAAGGTGGCTGAAACTCTCCAAGTAGGAAATAATTTCACAGCAGGCATATTTTGCATTGTAGATTGACTGTCATCTCTTGAGGCAACCTCCAGGTGAGTGAGAGCTCCACTCTGGAGCTTCTAAGCACATGGTTAGATGAACTTGCACTGTAGAGAGTGTCTGGTGAAAGGGAGGTAAAAGATTATAATTGTATTACTAAAGGGCTAAGTAGGAAGTGAGGAACAGGGAAAAATGGAGAAAAAAGAAAAAATATTTTTAAAACCCATTTTCTTTTTCTTAGAAAAATGGGGGTACTTTGTTACATGTCTACCCCAACCCTTTCCTCAGTGTTGAGAAATCATGTAAAGAACTTGAGTTATTTTGAAATTGTTTTGGTTTGCTTACCTATGCTTCTTGAGTGTGATGATCCTCAAAGTCTTTGAGTAAAAATCATAAGGGTTGGGGAATTAAGGAGGGATCAGTGGTTTAGAGTTTAGGCCACAACAGTATATGAGAGCGGGAAGGGACACTGCCCAAGGAGGGCAATGCATACTTGAAATAAAACCTGGTTAGGAAAGAGAGAGAAGTAAAGGGAAATAGGAGGACCCAGTAGTCAAACTTTGCATATATTACAAGGCTGCCTTCTGTTCGAAAAAACAGGGGAAAACAAGTGTGAATGAAAATGTAGAGCAATTGGAACCTTCAAACTTTGCTGATGGAAATGTGAAATGGCAAAGTCACGTTGGAAAATAGCCTGGAAAATAGTCTGGCAGTACTTCAAAAGACTAAACATAAAGTTGCCACATGACCCAGCAATTCCACTCTTAGATATACAACCCACCAGAAATGAAAACATATGTCCACACAAAAACTTGTGCATGAATGTTTATAGTAGCATTATTCATAATAACCAAAAAGTGGAAACAATCCAAACATTCATCAATTGATGAATGGATAAACAATATGTAATATATTTGTACAATAGAATATTATTTGTCAATAAAAAGAAAGGCAGTGCTAATACATACTACAATATGGATGAATGAAAACATTACACACTAATTGAAGAAAGACCAAACGTCATATGATTCTATTTATATGAAGTGTCCAGAATAGGGAATCTATAGAAACAGAAAGCAGATTAGTGGTTTCCAGGATCTGGACAAATGGGAAGTAAACTGCTAATAAGATTGCTTTTTGGGGTGATGAAAATGTTCCAAAATTCATTGTGGTGATAGTTGCACAATTCTGTGAATATACTATAAACCCATTGAATTGTGTACTTTAAGTGGGGGAATCATATGTGAGTTATTTCTCAATAACACTGTTAATAAAATATTTCATTAAAAAAATTACATTGATCCTGACCAGAACTATCCCTGAAAAATGTTGCCAGTTATGAGAAAGTGGTATATTTTCTATTTTTTTTAGGTTTGGACTTCTAAAATTTCTCTTCCAATATTTGGAATTCCTTTTAGGTGAACACTGGGAATTTGAGCAAGCTGTTGTGCTTGCTCAGCCCTACTCCACTCCAGCACTATAGTTGTAGCAGGAGTTTTCCTGCTCATCCGCTTCTACCCTTTAATAGAAAATAGTCTACCAATCCAAGCCTTTACATTATGTCTGGGGGCCATTACCCCCTTATTTACAGCGATCTGCGCTCTGACACAAAATGATATTTAAAAAATCATAGCGTTCTTCACCTCAAGCCAGCTGGGCCTTATAATAGTCACAATTGGCATTAATCAACCACATCTAGCATTCCTTAACATCTGCACGCATGCCATTTTTAAAGCTATATTATTTATATGTTCAGGCTCCATCAGCCATAACCTCAATGACGAACAAGACATCCAAAAAATAGGAGGACTGTTCAAGACTTTACCCTTCACTTCCTCCTCCCTTACTATTGGTAGCCTTGCACTTACAGGTATGCCTTTCCTCACAGGCTTTAACTCTAAAGACCTTATTATAGAAACCGCAAATACATCATACACCAACACCTGAGCCCTTTCTATTGCTCTTATTGCCACCTCCTTAACAGCTGTCTATAGTACCTGTATTATTTTCTTCGTTCTCATAGGACAATCTCGCTTCACAACTCTGATTATTATTAACGAAAATAACCCTTCCTAATTAACTCAATTAAGCACCTAACAATACAGCAGTATCTTCTCTGGGTTCCTCATCACCAACAGTACTATTCCTGCTTCATCCCCCCAAACAATTATACCACTCCACTTAAAGCTCAAAGCCCTAGGTGTAACCACCTTAGGCCTCTTACTAGCAATGGAGCTTAATCTCATAACTAATAACCTCAAACTAAAGTACCCATTACAGACATTCAGCTTCTCCAATATACTAGGTTTTTATTCAGCCACAATCAACCATTCAACCCCCCACTCAAGCCTATTCACAAACCAAAATGTGGCTTCACTTCTACTAGACGTAATTTGACTAGAAAAGTCTATACCAATGACCATCTCACAAATCTAAGTTTCAGCCTCCATTACTGTATCTACTCAAAAAGGCCTAATAAAACTCTACTTTCTCTCTTTTTTTATCCCATCCCTTCTAACACTACTATTAATTATCTAATCTATTACCCCAAGTATTTTCAATTGCAACATAAATACTAACAAATAATGATCAACTAGCAACTACCACTAATCAACACCCATAACTGTAGAAGGCAGCCACACCCACAGAATCCTCACACAACCCCACCCCCTCACCCTCAAAAATTATCCAACTCTCTACACTTTAAAATCAATTGTGATCACCAGCCCATTGTACTCAACTATTCACTGAACCAACATCAACTCTATTAATCATCCTAATAATAAACCTCCTCAAATGTCTATACTTGACCCTCGTGTTTCAGGGTATTCCTTAATAGCCATTGCCGCAGTATAACCCAAAACAACCATCATACCACCCAAATAAATCAAAAAGACTATTAACCCCACGAAAGCCCCACCAAAATTCAACACAATACCACAACCCACAGCACCACTAATAATTAGCCCTAGGCCTCCATAAATAGGAGAAGGTTTCAAAGAAAAGCCTACGAACTCTATAACCAAGAGAACATTTAATAAAAATAAAGCATATACCATTATTCCACATGGACTATAACCATGACCTAATGATATGAAAAACCATCATTGTACTTCAACTGTAAGAATACTGATGACGAATACCCGCAAAAGACACCCGCTAATAAAAATTAACTATTCAGTCATTGATCTTCCCACAGCCTCCAGCATTTCTACCTGATGAAACTTTGGCTCACTTCTTGGTGCCTGCCTAATTCTCCAAATCATCACAGGATTATTTTTGGCCATGCACTGTTCATCAGACACCTCAACTGCCTTCTCTTCAGTCACTCATATCAGCTGAGAGGTAAACTACGGATAAATGGTCTGCTATTTTCATGCTAATGGTGCTTCAATATTTTTCATCTGCCTCTTCTTACACATTGGCCAAGGGTTATACTACGGGTCATTACTATTCCCAGAAACCTGAAATATTGGCATTATTCTCCTATTCACAACTATAGCAACAACATTCATAGGCTATGTGCTCCCATGAGCCCAAATATCATTCTGAGGCACTACAGTAATTACAAATTTACTATCAGCCATCCCATATATTGGAACTGACTTTGTACAATGAATCTGAGGGGGATTCTCATTTGACAAAGCCACCCTCACACGATTTTTTGCCTTCCATTTCATCTTACCTTTCGTCATTACAGCTCTAGCAACTGTTCACCTTTTATTCTTGCATGAAACAGAATCTAACAACCCTTCAGGAGTTTCATCAGACCCCGACAAAATCACTTCCCCCCGACAATATACAACCAAAGATGTTCTAGGTTTAATTTTTCTCCTCCTCCTTCCCGACCTCCTGAGCGACCCAGATAATTACACTTTAGCCAACCCCCTCAATACCCCACCCCACATTAAGCCAGAGCGGTACTTTTTGTTTGCATATGCAATCTTACGATCTATCCCTAACAAATTAGGAGGCGTACTGGCCCTCGTATATTCCATTCTCATTCTAGCAGTTATTCCAGTACTTCACATGTCTAAACAACAAAGCATAATAAGTTATTAAGTCAATGCCTATTCTGAATCCTAGTGGCTGACCTGCTTACACTCACATGAATCAGAGGGCAGCCAGTCAAATATCCTTTCATTGCCATCGGACAGACAGCATCTATCATGTACTTCTCTACCATTCTCACCCTTATACCACTCACTACCGTAATTGAAAATAAACTTCTTAAATGAAAATGTCCTTGTAGTACAATTCCATACTCTGGTCTTATAAACCAGAAATGGAGAATCCCCTCCCCGGGGCAACTCAGGGAGAAAGCATTCCCGCTTCACCGTCAACAGCCAAAGCTGAAATTCTAATTAAACTACTGCCTGAATTTTTTCACAGCACACACTTTAACTACTATGTCAGTATTAACCAACTAACAGTACTAATTGATTAGTGGTGTCTGAGAGATGTTTGTGGCTATGGCTGTGGCATTGGCAGTTGAGCTTCCCATGGATATGAGGAAACTCCTAATTATTGTAGCCAAGGAATCTGCAGCTTCTTGACACCCATCTATCCATCCATCTGTCCATTCGTCTATTCATCCACTTGTCTACCCATCCACCCATCCACCCACCCCTCCATTCCTCCATCCCTCTCTATCCTTCCACCCACCCATCCATCCATCCAGTTAACATCTACCAGTAAGTACCTACTGTATGTTAGACCTTGTGTAATTGCTGGAGACACAATGGAGAACACAACAGTCATCATCTTATCCTTAAGCTTATAGTACAGCAGTGAGACAGTCAAATAAAAAGGCCATGGCCACACAATGTGATTTACATGTTGGAGAGGTGAGCATAGGGGTTATGAAGAACATAGGTCTCCCTTGATAAGTCAATCCATTCAGTGCCCACTTCATCCAGTCCTCTTTCTACAGTTGACCTCCTTCAGTTTTCTTTCTGTTTTCTCTCTCCACTGTAACCACTTTCCCTTATTAACTTTAAGATATATCCCTTTAGTGAGTAATCAGAATTTCAAATTCTTACTCCATATAAAGCATTTTAATGATGTACTTTTATGATATTAGAATTTTGTATCAGACCCTTGCTGCTATATTATAAATAGATGACCACACTGTCAAGGTTACAACCACATAAATACTCCAGAAACATTGTAGCAAGGAGAAACTCAAGTTCATTGAAATAATTGGATTAATTACCTTCTCTTCAGAGACTTGAAATTTTTCTTCCCCTAGCAACTCTCTTTAGAGAAAGTTTTACTGTATAGCTGTATGCATTCATCTCCATCTGTCTGAGATGGCTGGTTTGGGTTTTCCTATGTGCTCTTAGCAGTTCTGTGAAATTGTTTGCTATTGCATCTGCAGTTCTATTATGATTTGAGATATTTTGAAAGAAGAGTTAGTTTGTTGCTGACTGCATTATGTTGACCACATCCTCACCTGTGTCGATTTACTTCAGAGTTCCTTTTTTTCTAAAACCACATTATCGATCTTTGTAATAATAGGTTTTTAGGTATTACAGATGCTTTTTCATAATTTATTTTATTTTCATTTACATAGTCTCCCAATTTAAAAGAAGCCAATGGTATTCATACTTCAGGAAGATCTGGGCAAGTTCGAGAGTTTGAGTCCTTTGAATAGAACACTGAAGGACATATGCTACTTCTAGTTTGCTTTACAATTTCTCAGCACTGACATTTTAATTTTATTTTTTAGAGACAGGGTTTTGTCATGTTGCCCAGGCTGGCCTCGAACCCCTGAGCTCAAGTGATCCATCCGCCTTGGCCTCCCAAAGTGCTGGGATTACAGGTGTGAACCACTGTGCCTGGCTCGAAATTTTTGAAATTTAAGAAATACTGTATAGATCTAAATATTTATTTGAGAGATGGAGAGAAGAGCAATTGAGTGCTAGTGATCTATATAATGTAACTAAAGTGAAGATGCCATTATAATGTTTGAACATGATATGTAAATTTTATGGTTTGTTTCTAATCTAAATGTTACTTTGAAAAGTTATGGACAAGTCCAGTTGTTTTTGCCTCAGCAGAGAAGTTTCCTCAAATTGAAACTAATTAAGAAAAACATCTAAAAACTTTAATTACTCAAGAAATATTATCTAATTTGGTATTACTGTCTACAGGAGTCGAATTATGCAAAAATCTTGCTTACAACTACATAATTAGTGATTTTATTGAAATGAAGACAGGAAAAAATAACATATGGAAAAAATATAAAATACACTGTGAATTAAATGCCTTTATTTACTGCTCTTCTCAACATCTCCAGACTATCAATGGACCACCCAGACATGCACAATAATAATTTAATTTTATCATGTTTGATATTTTGCCAAATTTTACATTTTATACTTATCTTTTTTCTATTTTGTCATTAAGCAGGTTTTTCAAAGTAGGAGAAGAGAACATATTTTAATTAACTGTTTGTTGGCTTGACTTATAACTTTCATTATTTTATTTATTTATTTTCTGTAGAGATGGGGTTTCACCATGTTGGCCAGGCTGTTCTTGAACTCCTGGCCTCAAATGATCTGCCTGCAGAGGCCTCACAGAGTGCTGGGATTACAGGCATGAGCCACCGCACCCAGCTTGATTTATAGCTTTTAAATGTTTAGACTTACAGTATGTAGCTTTCCATCTGTACTCTGGCCACAGGCTCCACAAGTGTTTGAGGAAAGCCTTAGATTTTTCATGCCTTAGTTTTTTGTTTGTTTGTTTGTTTGTTTTTAGACAGAGTCTTGCTTTGTCTGTCACCTAGGCTGGAGTGCAGTGGTGCAATCTCGGCTCACTGCAACTTCCGCCTCCCCGGTTCAAGCGATTCTCCTGCCTCAGCCTCCCGAGTAGCTGGGACTACAGGCGCGTGCTACCACACCCAGCTAACTTTTTGTACTTTTAGTATAGACGGGGTTTCACCGTGTTAGCCAGGATGGTCTTGATCTCCTGACCTCGTGACCCGCCCGCTTCGGCCTCCCAAAGTGCTAGGATTACAGGCGTGAGCCACTGTGCCCGGCAGATATATATATATATTTTAATAGCACTATATTCACATGATTAAAAACTTTAAAAATATATAGCAAAAGTCAAATTGTGAAAAGCCTAATTGCCACTCTAATTTCATCCATCACATTCTCACCTCTGCCTGCAAACCATTTCTTGGATAATCACATTTATAAAATTATATATGAATATAGCTTTGTATTCTCCTCCCTCCCTTTTATATAAATGTTAGCATTCTGTGTATATTGTCTTATACCTTGCCCTTTCCACTTAACATATTTTGGAATATTTCCATATTAGTTCATCGAGAAGTTTCTCAATCTTTTAAAACAGTTGCATAGTAGTCCATTGTATGGATATATAACAACTTATTATTTGACTATTCCAAGGACATTTGGGTCATTTCCAATCTGTTACTATTACACACAACA
The DNA here is from genome assembly GCF_000001405.40 of Homo sapiens. Classification (NCBI taxonomy): domain Eukaryota; kingdom Metazoa; phylum Chordata; class Mammalia; order Primates; family Hominidae; genus Homo; species Homo sapiens. Next base: position 112,378,652 of record NC_000007.14, read on the forward strand.
CTGACATGCCTGTTTAGTATTACTGCTCCTTGCTCCCAAAATGTCAGCAGCAGCACCCTCTGTCACAGTGGTCAGCCAATGTGTGCTCTTTCACCTTTCCAACTGCCTCTGAGTGGGAAGAGGGATGGTCATGTCTCCAACATTTATATTTGTCATTGCATTTTATTTGTAATTTGTTTGAATTTCTAATTTTACTAATCTTTGTAAGTTTAATTATGTATTAGTTTCCTGTGGCTGCTGTAACACATTGCTGCAGCCTTGGTGGCTTAAAACAACGAAATTTACTGTCTCACAATGCTGGGTGCCAGAATTCTGAAATCAAGTCTGCAAAAAAGGTGTCTGCAGGGTCACATCCCTTTCAGACTCTAGAGGAGAATCCATTCCTTGCCTCTTCCAGCTTCTGGTGGCTGTAAGAGCTCCTTGGCTTGCAGCTATATCACTCCAGTCTCTGCCTGCAGCTTCACATGGCCTTCCTCTCTTTATATCTTCTCTGTATGTCACTTAAAAACTCCCTCTGCCTCTCTCTTATTGCACATGTGGTCTTATTATACATGTGATCATATTACACATGTGATTGCATTTAGGGCCCACTCAAATAATTCAGGGTAAATGCCTCCTTTCAAGATCCTTAACTTAATCTTTTGTCATATAAATGAATATTCCCAGGTCCCAGGGATTAGAACATGAACAGGTCTTTGGGGCCACCATTTAGCTTACTGCAATAGATGTTGCCAAGTTGTCCTCCAAAAAGTTTGAACCAAATTTATACTTTCTTTAGTGATATATGAGTGCCTGTTCCCCACAGTCTTACCAACAGAATGTTGTCAAACTTCTGGATTTTACTAATCTGATAGGGAAAATAATATCTTAGTATAGCTTCAATTGCATTTCTCTTATGTGTGAGTTTGAACATTTGTATATATTTATGAGCCTTGAATGTTTATTTCTATGTGAACTATCTGCTCATGTCCTGTGCTCATTTTTCCCCCCTGGATTCTTGGTCTTTTTTTAAAAAAAAAAACAACACACACACACACAATTTCTAAGCACATCTTATATACCAAGATTACCCTTTCATCTTTAAATGAAATACAAACTTTCTTGATTTTTTTTACTTTGTAGTGTCTGTATCATGCACATAAATGTAGTTGTAGTTCTTTTCCCCCTTTATATAGTTGAATCTTTTATGGCTTCTGTTTTCCTTTTAGTTAGAAAGTATTCCCCTCTCTAAAGTTATATAGCAATTCTCTCAAGCTTACTTCTAGAACTTTTATGCTTCATTTTTTTCCCAGTTTATCTTGAAGTCTTTGATGACCTTAGAGTTTATCCTTATGTGTTGTGTGAGATATAGATCCAACTAAATTTATTCCAGGGCAGGATGTTTCCTGCACTTAGCTTTCTCAGATTTATGAAATATCCTACCTTATAAAAGGCTAAATACTTTGGTATCATGTGTCTAAAGGGAAGCATAAAAGAACAAGTTAAAATTTGAATTGGTGCCTCCAGTATGGCTAACAGCTATCTATCAAAATATACTAACCGGCCATTTATAGGGCATTATTAATTATGATATATCCTTCTAATTAAATACAATTTGCCCTATAGTTAATTATTCTTGCATGCTAGACCCTGTTATAAGTAATTTAATTGTTAATATGTGTTTGAGCTTTACAACACTGCTATGAGATAGATGGTGTTATTACCCCAATTTTAGAAATTGAGGTAATAACACCACAGATTATCAAATGGAGGCATCTAGGATAAATGGCTTGCCTGAGACTACACAGAAGCTGTGTGGTAGGCACAGGAGCTGGGATTTGAACCTAGGCAGCCAGATTCCAAAGCCCACATTTGTGACTCTTCTGCTATCCCATGGCTTAAGAAAAGTGAGGCACGCAACAATGAGAACGTACTTAACGCCACTGAACTAACTAACTGTACACTTAAAATGGTTAAGATGGCAAATTTTATGCTATGTACATTATACCACAATTTTTTAAAAATCTATTTAATTAGTTAATTTACATTACAATAGTAAAACTTTTAATGGGCATATTTAAAATATTTAATTCACCTACAATTTGATAAGTTTTGATGTATCTATGAAACCATTACCACCACAATGAAGGTAATGAACATAACCATTATCCCCAGAGTAACCATTACCCTTCAATGTAAGCTGGAGAAAAATGAAACCGTAGAAGTTCTGGAAGTAAGCATGAGAGAACTAAAAGAAAAATAGAAGCCATAAAAGATTCAACTGTATTAAAGGAGAAAAAAACTACAATTACGTTTATGTGCATGATAAAGATACTACATAATAAAATGATCAATAAACATTTTTTAAATTTATTTATCCTTTCCTCCTGACTTTCCAGCCTTCCATTCTCTACTCCATCCACACAGCATTAAAATTTAAGTTACCTTACAGATCCTTAATGAGAATAATAATCCATATTGGCATCAAATAAACAACAAGTGGCTTCAGGATGTAAGGGTTTAGCAGTTGGCTAAGTTCAGTCAGTTTTTTTTTTATTCAAGTTTTATTTTAGATTCAGGGAGTGCATGTACAGGTTTGTTATGTGGGTATATTGCTTGATGCTAAGATTTGGGGTACAAACGATTCCATATGCAGGTAGTGACCATAGTACCCTTTCCCTGCTCCCTCATGCTATAGTAATCCCCAATGTCTATTGTTGCCATGGACTTAATGTCCATGAGTACCTAAGGTTTAGCTCCCACTTATAAGTGAGAACATGCAGTATTTGGTTTTCTGTTCCTGCTTTAATTTTCTTAGGATAATGGCCTCCAGCTGCATCCATGTTGCTGCAAAGGACATATTTTTGGGTTTTTTTTCATGGCTGTGTAATATTCCATCGTGTATATGTGCCACATTTTCTTTCTCCAATCCACCGTTGATGAACACCTTGGTAGATTCCATGTCTGTGCTATTGTGAATAGTGATGAACATATGAGTGTGTGTCTTTTTGATAGAACAATTTTTTTGGATACATACCCAGTAATGGAATTACTGGGTTGATTGGTAGTTTCGTTTTAAGTTTTTTGAGACATCTCCAAACTGCTTTCCACAGTGGCTAAACTAATACACATTCCCACCAACAACGTATAAGCATTCCTTTTTCTCTGCAGCCTCACCAATATCTGTTGCCTTTTGACTTTTTAATAATAGCCATTCTGACTGACAGATAACATCTGGTGTAAGATGTTATCTCATTGTGGTTTTTATTTGCAGTTCTCTGATGATTAGTGATGTTGAACACTTCTCATGTTTGTTGGCTGCTTCTCTGTCTTCTTTTGAGAAGTGTCTGTTCCTGTCTTTTGTCTACTTTTTAATGGGGTTATTTGTTTTTTACTTGTTGAATTAAGTTTCTTATAGATTCTGGATAATAGACCTTTGTTGCGAATATTTTCTTTCATTCTGTATGCTATCTGTTTATTCTGTTGATAGTTTTTTTTGTTGTGAAAAGCTCTTTAGTTTAATTAGGTCTGACTTGTCAATTTTTGTTTTTATTGCAATTGCTTTTGAGAGCTTAGTCATAAATTCTTTCCCAAGGTTGATGTCTAGAATGGTACTTCCTAGGTTTTCTTCTAGGATTCTTATAGTTTGAAACCTTACCTTTAAGTCTTTAATCTATCTTGAGTTAATTTTTGTATATGGTAAAAGCTAGCGGTCCAGTTTCATTCTTCTGCATATGGCTAACTAGCTATCCTAGCACCATTTACTAAATAGAAAATCCTTTCCCCATTGGTTATTTTTGTTGACTTCATCAAAAATCAGGTGGTTGTAGGTGTGTGGCTTTATTTCTGGGTTCCCTATTTTGTTCCCTATTCTGTTCCATTCATCTATGTGTCTGCTTTTGTACTAGTACCTCGCTGTTTTGGTTACTGCAGCCTTGTAGTATAGTTAGAAGTTGAGTAATGTGATGCCTCTGGCTTTGTTCTTTTTGTTTAGCATTGCTTTGGTGATTTGGACTCTTTTGGTTCCATGTGAATTTTTTTTTTGAGACAGAGTCTCACTCTGTTACTCAGGCTGGAGTGCAGTGGCAGGATCTCAGTTAACTGCAACCTCTACTTCCCAGGTTCAAGCAATTCTCCTGCCTCAGCCTCTAGAGTAGCTGGGATTACAGATGCATGCCACCACACCCAGCTAATTTTTGTATTTTTAGTAGAGACGTGGTTTCACCGTGTTGGCCAGTCTGGTCTTGAACTCCTGACTTCAAGTGATCCGCCCACCTCAGCCTCCCAAAGTGCTGGTATTGCAGGTGTGAGCCACCACACCCAGCCCATATTAATTTTAGAATAGAAAAAAATATTTTTAAAAATGAGGCAGATCTATACACCCTAATCTGGAGTGAAAGCCATGAAGAAGTAAGGGGTTCAGGGAAGGAGAGAGAAAAATAAGTAAAGGAGAACTCCGGTTTCATTGTTTAAATATGCATATGTGTTTGTCTGTATATATGTAATAGGAATATATATAATATATATACATAAGAAAGTATACATGTGCAGAAAAAACTCTAGATGATAAACATCAAATTGTTAACTGTGACTATTTGTGGTTAGAGGGATTAGAGAGGAAGGATTTTTTAAACTTCACACTCTTCTGTAATTTTGTGAGGGAAACTGCAATGAATAACCTTTACTTTTGAAATCAAATGGAAAAGATGCAGGGTGGCCCCCCAAAAAGTCACCTATCATCACATCCCCACCCACCTGCCTCTCCCAGGGCCTTTACATCTTTGATCCTCTACTTTACACCAGGCACAGGGGCCGGTGTCAAATTGGTCACTTGTCCCAAGTTGCTGATCAGAAATCTTGCATTTTCTGTGTTTGCTCAGCACCAGGCTTTCGGGATTTCTTTGTACTCTTCCCCTGTATACCTTGGATTTTCCAAAGGCTGATTATAAAATAGGTGTTTAATATCTCACCAGTAGCAACTGGTATATGCTCATGTGCAAAGTGGCTTACAATGTTCATTAAAAGCAGATACCAGCATGGGACACACATAATGCAAGCGGGGAGGCATGTCTGGCAGACTGTTCCCAAGACGTAACCTCATGAAAGAAGAAAGTGAAAACCACGCCCTCTTTTGGTCACATTTTAACTTTTTCTTCATGTGTCAAATCATAGTTGTTCTGAAGCCCTCCAGGGTCATGGAGGTGGGTTAGGGGTTTGGCTCTAGACTGATGTAATCCTACACCTGTGTTCACATCACCTCCATCTCTGTGCCAGCTGTCACTCCTCCACTGTCAGCAAATGTGGACTCCATGTTTTCCCCTGCTGCTCCAAATCACAGCCTCCCTCACCTCCTGTGCCTGTTGCTCCTCCTCCTGCTTGGCTGCTCTTTCTACTTCCTTTCTTCCTTCTCCGAGGCTTCACCTGCACTTAGTGTGGGCATCATCAAGCCAACCAGGCGAGTGCTGTGAGCTGACCCATTACAGGCAGAGGACTCCTAACAGGATGTAAGTCAGGCCTTTTTTCTTCTCGGCTCAAAATGCTCCTAGGAGTCCTCATTTCACCCAGAGCAAAAGCCAAAGTCCTTTCAGGCCCTGTGAGGACTCACACGACTTGATCCTCCTTTACCTCATTCTCCACGGCTCTCTCTCTTGCTTACTCTGATCCTGGCACATCAGCCTCCCTGTCACTCCTTGCCCAAGCCAGCCATGCTCCCAGCCGAGGGCCTTTGCACTCGCTGTCCCTTCTGCCTGGAACGCTCTTCCTCTGGGTACCACATGACTCAGTCTCACCTCTTTCAAGTCTGCTCAAACGCAGCACTTCCACAGTGAAACCTCTGGCCACCCTATTTGTGACTGCAACCCACTCTATCCCCCTTCTGTCCTCCTCTTCCCTACTTTATTTTTCTCCCTAGCAGGGATTTTCATCTCTTTCATGCACTGATGAATCCCCAACATCTTCATCAGTGTTGAGCGAATAGTCAGTGGACATTAATAGCTCAGGAATGAATTATTTGTATATTTTAGAATCATGGGATCTTCATACGGGCTAAGCTATTTTCACCAGGATTTGGTCTTGGAGGTCTTTTTAGTATCACTATATTGCTGGGTTTTGCATCTGTTTGAGGTAATGGATTGTTAAGGATCCCTCCTGGGCCAGGAAGCTGAAGGTATAACATGGAGAAGTCCCCAGTGTGAAGGACCATGAGGGGCAGTCACACTGGGCCAGGGAGAAGCTGAGACATAGCAGCCACTTCCAGGAGACTTGGATTAATCTACATGAGAGCTTCAAGAAGTCTCTGTTCCACTTACCCCAAAGCCAGCTCCAATCTAGGCACCAAGTCCCATATGCAAATACTGGTATCTCCCATAGGAGAGCCCCATAGCTTCATCAACAGGAACAGCTCACCCAATTCCCTGAGGGTAGGAGGCCTTGATATAGACAGTCATCAGAATGGAGTCCTCTTAGCATCTGCATCTTAAACAGAAGTCGACAGTTAGGGGTGCAGTGGTTGAAGCTCAAAGACCTAGACTAGCCACCCACTCCCTTCTTTATGCCCAGACCTGGGGGTAGGATATTTTTCCTGGACTACTGTTCTACAAACTGGGGGTGGAGGTGGGGGTCATCTGAGCAGAAACGGCAGGGGGCATGGCAGATGCTCTTCTCTCTCTCATTCTGCCAGGCCCGGTAGAGCAGCTATCGACACAGTTGCAGGAAGGCATGAATTGCTGAGCCAGGTCTGACCTGGCTGCCCTCAGGAAGCCCTCTGACAGGGACCCATCAGCTAAGCTGGCACCACGTGGTGTGCCTGGCATTGTTCTTTAGATATTCTACTTCTTGACTTCAAAAAGCATGTTCTAAGATTGGTTAAACCCAGTATCCAGCGTCTGGATGATTGTAAGGGACTCAATGCGGATGGCCCCTTTTCCTGTTGAGTTTTTTAAAACCCTGGCCTCTGAAAAATCTTCGTTCTCTGTGTGTGTGCACTTAGCAAGCCTCCCAGTCCTTTGCCATCTTTATAAATCAAAAGTCTCTGGTACACAACACATGAGATTACTACTGTTGGCCCAAGAAAGACCTTGGAACACTTTTGTCCTTTTGAACCAGAGTCACCTGACTCTGGGCCATTTCCCTGACATAAGATTCCAAGGTAGAGTTTACTAAGATTTCACTCATATTGCTCAGTTTATGCTTACAGCTAAGAGAAAAAAGTTTTAATAATTTCAACTATTAATCAAAAAGAATAAAAAGATAGCAATATCGATTCATATACATTAATATAGATATGAGCCATGAGGGCTACCTGGGAAGGAGAACATTTCTAATATCATTTTGTTCCAAGACCCTGACACCTGGAATTTTGTCTTTCTAATTTTTTTCTCCTTTCTTTCTTCTTCTTTCTCTCTCTGATTTTCTGTCTTTCATAAAGTTTTTTGTGATGGCTTTCCTAATGACATTTTATTGTTATTTTTATAAAGTAGAGGAATGTTTGTTTGCTAGTATTAATTGCCTATTACAAGTCCATTCAAATATATAGATACAATATTTTCTAAAATATTCTTAGATTGTGGTATATGTAAATTTTCTTCATGAATTTCTACTAAGGTTCATTGCTTCCTAAAATTATTGTGCCTGTTGGTATAATCCAGTAGAGCAGGTGATATTTTTCTTTTATTAGTGCAGAAAACATAACCAAAATTATAATTAAAGCAGTTGGTTGAACAGTGAATGAAATATATCACATAACAACCTCATACTTAGATATTACTAATTGTAATTCAATATAATTAACACTTTACAAATTATCCATTATTATTTATTTGGACCGAAAAAAAGCATGCTCTGAGGCTCTTTGCTGTCTGCCTAGGCATTTTTGTGTGGATGATAAAACGATGCCACATTCTATAGTAATAAATATATATGTATGTATATATGTATACACACACACACATTTAATTTCCTTTGACAGATTTTCTCCCTGTATGAGGCAAATGTTCCAACTTATAGATTAAAACCTGTTAGTGAAACTGCTCATGAAGTATGCGTAATGCTCTGAGGTTTAATAAGCAGTTTCTGGGAAGCTGCATGGCTGTTGGAGCATAACTATTACTACAAGGTTGTTATTATTTGATTAGCTCACTATAGAGGAGCCTTGTGAGATTTTGTCATGGATCACTGTCTGCATGTAATAGCTTCTCTCCTTAGTTACAGGAGTAAACCAGCAGTAAACTCCAGAGGCTCAACTCAGGGATGTTGCTATCTTATGCTCTTAGGAAGCATACTAGGTGTGATTAACCCCTTCTGAGCTGGTTAAAAGTGAATTTTCACAGCCTAACTTAGAAAAAGAATTTTTTCCCCCACTTACTGATGATCTCAGACACAACTCTTAAGTAAGCAAAAGAAGTATAATCAGTTTCTTGAATAGTTAGAAACCTGGTTAATAAGTCACTTTTAGTGACAGGTCTCTGCCATTACAAGCAATCCCTCTCTTGTTTTTTGCTTTAGACCCAGACCTAGATGCACCTGAAATGCCAAGGAAGAGGAACCACTGGATGACTGAGGAAGGCATGAAGAAAGATGCATCCTTAAACTAGACCTTCAAGATGGAATAGAGTTTTTAAGAAATAACACTTACACTGAATTGCTTTAATTATATAAAGGAACCATAGAACATTTGAAAAAATGTAGATAAGAATAAAGATGTAAAGATTCAAGGATTTAGTCTTTGGTAACTGTCTTTATAAGTAATATTGTAATAAACATCCTTGTGCATAAATTTTGAGTGTCTCTAGAGATAAATTCTGATTGATCAGAATCAGAGATAAATTCTAAATTTCTTAGGATAAATTCTGAGAGCTGAAATTTTTGGGTCTAAGGCCTCTGAAACTTTATTGCTAAATTGCCCTCCAAAGGATTCTTACTAATTTGTCTTCATACGTGCCACCTATGAATCTCCAAAGCCTCTGTATGATCAGACAGAAGTGGGGAGAGATTAGTGTTGACCTTTAAATAGTCCCACCGAAAGCCATGTTCAGATATACAATGCTACGGTTTCTCTAGACTCTTATAGAGCAACTATTTGGGAATTTTTAATAATCAAATTATGTACCACACAAGAACTCCTTTTTTACATTGCTATTAACCTGTGGTATTCTTGTTCTTGTTCTTGGTGGTGGTGTTAGTTTTACTTAATTTTGCCAAAACCTTGGTCAAAACCTTATTCAACACCCACTAGGATGGCTATTAAGAAAAAATACAGATAATAACAAGCATTGCTGAGAATGTGGAAAAATTGGAGCCCTCACACATTGCCTATGGGACTGTAACATGATACCACTACTTCGGAAAACAGTTTAGCAGTTCCTCAAAAAGTTAAACTTAGAGTTCGCATATGACCCAGCAAGTCTACTCCTAGATATATACCCAAGAGAAGTGAGGATTCAAAACATGCCCACACAAAAACATGTGCACAAATGTTCATAACAGCATTATTCATAATAGCCAAAAAGTAAAAACAACTCAATGACCATCAACTGATGAATTGATAAAAAAGTATGGTACATCCACACTTTTTTTGGTACAAAAAAGAATAAAATACTTGGTTACCTGATACAAAAAAGAGTAAAATACTAAGCCTAGCATGGTAATCCCAGCACTTTGGGAGGCTGAGGCAGACGGGTCACTTGAGGTCAGGAGTTCCAGATGACCCTGGCCAACATGGCAAAACCCCGTCTCTACTAAAAATACAAAAATTAGCCGGGCATGCCGGTGGTTTGCACCTGTAGTCTCAGCTACTCGGGAGGCTGAGGCACGAGAATCACTTGAACCTGGGAGGCAGAGATTGCAGTGAGCTGAGATCATACCACTGCACTCCAGCCTGGGCGACAAAAAAAAAAAAAAAAGTAATTACTGACACGTGCTACAACATGGATGAATCGTGAAAACATTAAGCTAAGTTAAAGAACTCAGTCACAAAAGGCCACACATGGCATGACTCCTTTTATATGAGATGTCAAGAGTAGGCAAATCCACTAAAACAGAGAGTAGACTCATGGTTACCAGGGGATGGAGGGAAGAGAAAAAAAAGGAGTGGTTGCTAATGGGTATGGGGTTTCTTTTGGGGATGATGAAAATGTTTTAGAATTAGATAATAATGACGTTTGTATGACTCTATGACCATACTAAAAGCCACTGAATTGCACACTTAAAAATCCTTATTCTGGCCGAGCACGGTAGCTCATGCCTGTAATCCCAGCACTTTGGGAGGCCGAGGAGGGCAGATCACCTAAGATCAGGAGTTCAAGACCAGCCTGACCAACATAGTGAAACCCCGTCTCTACTAAAAATACAAAATTAGCTGGGCATGGTGGCACATGCCTATAATCCCAGCTACTCAGGAGGCTGAGGCAGGAGAATCGCTTGAACCCAGGAGGCAGTTCAACCCAGGAGGTTGCAGTGAGCCGAGGTCACACCATTGCACTCCAGCCTGGGCAACAAGAGTGAAACTCAGTCTCAAAAAAAAAATTCTTATTCTACGGAAATGAACACATGTCCACAGACAGACATGCATGTGAATGTTTATAGCAGCATTATTCATAATAGCCAAAAACTAGAAACAACCTAAATGCCCATCAACAGGTGAATGGGTAAACAAAATGTACATACATTATGAAATACTATTCAACAATAAAATAAAAGTACTGATACATACTACAACACCTTGAAAACATAATACAAAGTGGAAGAAGCCACGTATTGTATGATCCCATTCATATGAAGTATCTAGAAAAGGCAAATTTATAAAGACGGAATGGGATCAGTGGTTGCCTAAAGCAGGAGGATGGGAGTGGGGATTAACTGTAAATGGACACCACGGAGCTTTATGCAGTGATGGAAACATCCTGAGACTGGGTTTCAATGATGGCTGTACAACTCTACACATTCATAAGAGTCATTGACTTGTACATTTATAATGGGCGAACTTTATGGTATAGAAATTAGACTTCAATTAAGTTGGTAAGAATGAAAACCTTATTAATAGACTTGGCTATGAATGTCCCTTAGACATTCCCGCAGTTCCTTGCTGTAAGGATGAACGTTCTCTATATGTCATAGGGTCCACCTCTGAGTGGAAGAGTTACATAAATGTTTTGAGGAATGGCAGCCTCAGAGCCCACCTCAAGAAACGGGTTTAAAGGGAACAGCCTTCACTGGGATGTCTCACTGACAGTGTATTTCTGAAGCAGTCAGATCCCTGCGTTGTGATATCCAGTACATGACTCTTCTCTGTACACACTCTGCAGGATCTGGAAAGCTTATGAGTGGAGGAGGCAACAAAACTAGAGGAACCTCAAGACAATTCCCAGATCATAGAAACCAAGCCATCCCTTCCTCCCTTTTATAAGAGAAGTTTCTCCTAGTTAAACAAGATTATACAAAATGAACACATATTTCATTTATAAAGCCCATTTGGCCATCCCAATATAGATGATAGCGATAATGGTGTAATTCAAGACTACCAGGAGAGAACACCTGTCCCACCTCACTCCACCCCATATATACATATACACACTTATACAGGTGTACCTCTCTTTGTCTCAGTAATGACTGCAATTCTTCTAACTACGGGCAATATGGTATGGAGGGTATGAACGAGTGCTCTCATGCCAGATGACTGAGTTTCAATTCTGGCTTCACCGCTTACTAGCTGTGTGGCCTTGGGCAAGGTGTAACCTCTCTGTGCCTCAGTCTCCTCATCTGTAAAATGGGGATGGCATAGGACTTTTGTCAGAAGTAAATAGATTACTGCTTGTAAAGTGCTTAATATATTGCCGGACACATAGTAAGTGCTGCATATGTATCAACCACATTCGGGCCCTGGTTCTGGCAGGTACTGGTCTTGTGTCCTCGGGGAGTCATTTCATCTCTCTGGACCTCAACCTGGTCACATGTAAAATGGTGATAATAACCCTGCACTGCTTACTTCTCAGGATCGTCGTGAAGGCCTCATAAAATAATATGTGGACAGTGCCTTGAAAAGCAGCAACCCCATGTAAATGTCTGTCTTGTTACTTATCCTAGGTCTATGTAGATTGTTTGGGAGCACAGTGGTTCTCACACTTGTCAAGAAATCAGACTATTTTCTCCTTTGTGGAGCAAACTGCTTCTACTTCAAGTCTTGGCTTAGAGGTCACTCCTGTAGGAAAACTTCCCTGATCCCCCTCACTCCGAATAATTGTGTTAGGTGCCCCTTCGACACCCTCCCCAGCACACCATACCCGGTGCCCGGTGTTCCTATTCCTTATCATTGCAGTTATGTATGTATTGTCAGCATTTGCTTACTTGTCTGATTTTGAGATCCTTGAAGACAAGAATAACTGTGTCTGGGGTCACCTCTATGTCCTTAGCACTTATTTCAATGTCTAGCACATAGCACGTGCTCAAGAAATATTTGCTTAATAAAGTCCAGATTCAAAGAGCCCACTCCCACTGGATATATTCACTCCAACGATATTTCAGAAGCTTCTCATTCTTACTATCTTCAAACTGGAACTGGTTCTAACCGGTTATCTAACTTATCTAACTTATTACTTATTTAACTCAGCTGATTTAGCTTTCTAATTTATTTCTTATTGCTCTCGTTGCTCCCACTCACTTTGTTCTATGCTGTTCTCCCAATATACCAGGCACGCGTCTGCCTCAGAGCCACCGGGCACGCGTCCGCCTCAGAAACACCGGGCACGCGCCCGCCTCAGAAACACCGGGCACGCGTCCGCCTCTGAAACACTGGGCCCGCGGCTGCCTCAGAAACACCGGGCACGCGCCCGCCTTAGAGCCACCGGGCATGCGCCCGCCTCAGAAACACCGGGCACGCGTCCGCCTCTGAAACACTGGGCCCGCGGCTGCCTCAGAAACACCGGGCACGTGCCCGCCTTAGAGCCACCGGGCATGCGTCCGCCTCTGAAACACCGGGCACGCGTCCGCCTCTGAAACACCGGGCCCGCGGCTGCCTCTGAAACACCGGGCACGCGCCCGCCTCAGAAACACCGGGCACGCGTCCGCCTCTGAAACACCGGGCCCGCGGCTGCCTCAGAAACACCGGGCACGCGCCCGCCTTAGAGCCACCGGGCATGCGCCCGCCTCAGAAACACCGGGCACGCGTCCGCCTCTGAAACACTGGGCCCGCGGCTGCCTCAGAAACACCGGGCACGCGCCCGCCTTAGAGCCACCGGGCATGCGTCCGCCTCTGAAACACCGGGCACGCGTCCGCCTCTGAAACACCGGGCCCGCGGCTGCCTCAGAAACACCGGGCACGCGCCCGCCTTAGAGCCACCGGGCACGCGCCCGCCTCAGAAACACCGGGCATGCGTCCGCCTCTGAAACACCGGGCCCGCGGCTGCCTCAGAAACACCGGGCACGCGCCCGCCTTAGAGCCACCGGGCATGCGCCCGCCTCAGAAACACCGGGCACGCGTCTACCTTAGAACCACCAGGCACGCGGCTGCCTCAGCACCACCAGCCATGCTTCTACCTCAGAACCTTTGCATTTGCTGTTCCCTCTTCCTGGAACACTATTCTATGTCCACATGGCTTTCTTCCTCATTTCCTTCAGGGATTTGCTCAAATATTCTGTTTTTAGTGAGGCTTCCCCTGAATATCTTTTAAAAAATAAAAATCACTCTCCCTCAGGCCTTCCTGATCCTCTCTTCCAATCTTATTTTTCTTCATTGAAATTTTTTTTTTTGAGACAGAGTTTCTCTCTGTCGCCAAGGCTGGAGAGCAGTGGCACAATCACAGCTCACTGCAGACTCAACCTTCTGGGCTCAAGTGATCCTTCTCTCAACCTCCCAAGTAGCTGGGTCCACAGACACGTGCCATCATGCCCGGTTATCTTTTATTTTTATTTTTTTGAATAGACGATGTATCACCATGTTGCCCAGGCTTCTCACAAACTCCCCCCGAGTGATCCGCCCGCCTTGGCCTTCCAAAATGCTGGGGTTACATGTGTGAGCCACCGTGCCCGGCTCCTCCGTCCCTTACCCTTTCACATGCTGTGTAGTTGTTTACCTGTTATCTGTCTCCACTCACTAACTTACAAGCTCCATAAGAGCAGGGATTTTTGTCAGTTTTGTTGGCTGCTTTAGAATAGTGCCTGGCACAGGCCGCGCGCGGTGGCTCACGCCTGTAATCCCAGCACTTTGGGAGGCCGAGGAGGGTGGATCACGAGGTCAGGAGATCGAGACCATCCTGGCTAACACGGTGAAACCCTGTCTCTACTAATAATACAAAAAAAAATTAGCCGGGCATGGTGGCAGGCGCCTGTTGTCCCAGCTACTGGGGAGGCTGAGGCAGGAGAATGGCGTGAACCCGGGAGGCGGAGCTTGCAGTGAGCCGAGATCGCGCCACTGCACTCCAGCCTGGGCGACAGAGCTAGACTCTGTTTCAAAAAAAAAAAAAAAAAAGGAATAGTGCCTGGCACATAATAGGCATTCAGTAAATATTGTTTGAATGAATAAATCTTAAACAGAGTGTGTGATATAAAATGTAAGATTTCCTTTATGACTTGGGGTCATCTACATCTAGCTGGGCATTCCTGACCACCCGTCCTTCTATTCTCATCCAAGCAGAGTTCTTCACTTTCTCCTCTTTATTACTCCTGTTCCTTACACGTTTTTATAGTTAGACTCATCACACTGAATTCTAATTTATTTATAAATATGTTTGCTTTCCTCCCCTTGCTGTAGGCTCCTTGGGGTAGTAACTGCATTTAAACTATTTCTAAATCCTCAGTATCCTGAACAGCGTCTGGAACTTTGCGGGCACCAGTGAAATGTCAGTTGGAACGTATTGCCCATACCTAAAAGAGCAGGTGCAGATACAGTGTGGGAGGTAGGGGTGACTGATTTCGTTTGTTGTTCTGCTGTGTGCAGTTAATGTCCCTGATATAGTTTGGATACTTGTCCCCACCCAAATCTCATGTCAAAATATAATCCCCAGTGTTGGAGGTGGCCGCTGGTGGGAGGGTGATTAGATCATGAGGACGGATTTCTCATGAATGCTCTAACACCGTCCCCTTGGTGCTGTTCTTGCAATAGTGACTGAGTTTTCGTGAGATCTGGTTGTTTAAAAGTGTGTGGCACCTCCTCACCTCTCTCTTGCTCCTGCTCCCTCTTCATCTTCTGTCATGATTGTGAGATGCTGGCGCTATGCTTCCTGTAGAGCCTGCGGAACTGTAAGCCAATTAAACCTCTTTTCTTAGAAATTATCCAGCCTCAGATATTTCTTTATAGCAATGCAAGCATGGCATAATGCAATTCCCATCCCTTTCCCTCAGATTACTGAATCCTAGGATCAGAGAATCTCTGCTTGGTATGTGGAAGTCCTCAGGAAGAATGAGAAACTGTTGATCCATCTCCCCCACCTTCAGCTCCCTCTACATGGAACAAGCTTCTAGCATCCCACCTGTGAGAGCAAAGAGCCAAGGTGGCAGCTCCTTGCCCTCCAATTTGCCTCTTCCTCCTCTGCTCACATTACCCCAGCTCCATCCAAGGCTGCTGATAGGACTGGTTGGTCCCCTGCCTGCTTCCCTTCTTTCTTTCTTAATGTAAAATCCTCAGTGCTCTGCCCTAAGCCCTTTTCCTTTCTCATATGATCTTCCTTTGATGGTCTTTTTTTTTTTTTTTTTTTTTTGAGATAGAGTCTTGCCCTGTTGCCTAGGCTGGAGGGCAGTGGCGCCATCTCGGCTCACTGCAACCTCTGCCTCCTGGGTTCAAGCGATTCTCCTGTCTCAGCCTCCTGAGTAGCTGGGATTACAGGTGTGCACCCGCACGCCCAGCTAATTTTTGTATTTTTAGTAGACAGGGGGTTTCGCCATGTTGGCCAAACTGGTTTTGAACTCGTGACCTCAGGTGATCTGCCCACCTCGGCCTCCCAAAGTGCTGGGATTACAGGAGTGAGCCACCATGCCTGGCCCTTTGATGGTCTTATCTATTCCTGTTCTACCTGTGACAATGCCATAAAACCTAGGATCTTAGGACTATTGAGTATGAAGCACCCTCTTGACAACCTAAACTTTGGTTTAGGTTATCAACCTATCTCAACCCTATCATTAGCAAATGACCTTCACCATTTCCACCCTATCAGTTTACTGCATGTATTATTTATTTACTATTTTAAAAAATCAGTATGCTTTCCCACTTCACTTAGCCAAAGAAATAGTGTCAGCAAAATGAAGAGTTTGTTGGACAATCATTTTTTTTAGAGAGAGAGTCTTGCTCTGTTGCCCAGGCTGGAGTGCAGTGGCACAATCATGGCTCACTGCAGCCTTGACTTCCCGGGCTCAAGCAGTCTTCCTGCCTCAGCCTTCCAAGCAGCTGGAACTACAGACATGAGCCACTACACCTAGCTAATTTTTAAATTTTAAGCAGAGGTGGGGTCTTGCTATGTTGCCCAGGCTGATCTCAAACCCCTGGCCTCAAGTGATCCTTTCATCTCAGCCTCCCAAAGTGCTGGGATTATAGATGTGAGCCACTATGACAGGCCTGGGGAATCTTTTTTTCTAAAACACATCAACATAAATATGAGTGGTAAAAAATTTTTTGAAGTTTCCATGTGGACCACCTAAAATCATATTGCAGACCACACTGTGGGAGACTTGGGTTCAGCACTGCATCTTCACCTTGTAGAGGGGTAAACTGAGAACCAAAGAGGCTAAATGATGCAACTGAAGCCACATTTCCAGTTAGCAGTAGAGCTTTGAGTATGACTTGTACGCCACCTTACCTTGAGTCCTGTGATCTCTCCAGAGCCCAGGACTAGTTTTCCTAATTTCTGTGCTTGCTGTCACTTTTCCATAAATACTGTACTAGTATATCAGATTCAGTCTGATATGGTTTGTCTCTGTGCCCCTAGCCAAATCCCATTACAAATTGTAATCCCCATGTGTCAAGGAAGGGACCTGTAATCCCCACTGTCGAGGGAAGGAAATGATTGGATTATGAGGGCGGTTTCCCCCATGCTGTTCTCATAATAGTGAGTGAATTTCACAAGATCAGATGGTTTTATAAATGGCAATTTTTCCTGTGCTCTCACAAGCTCACTTTTCTCTTGCCTGCTGTCACATAAGATGTGCCTGCTTCCCCTTCTGCCATGACTCTAAGTTTCCTGAGGCTTCACCAGCCATGCAGAACTGTGAGTCAATTAAACCTCTTTTATTTATAAATTAGCCAGTCTTGGGCAGTTCTTTATAGCAGTGTGAAAATGGACTAATACATAGTCCTTACGGAATTCATCTTTCCTCTCTCAAAATCTGTTCCTCTTCTTGACGTCCATCTTCCCATTATACCTATTATCTACCCAGACTCCAAGCATCCCTGATTCTCTCACTCCCATATGCAAGTTGCTGCCGAGACTGTCTGTCTCATCCCTCATTATCTGAGCTGTCAGTGGCAAGGCAGCCTTGCTGAACCCAAATGACAGCCATGTCTCTCACCTCCAGGCTCCCTTAGTACTTTGCATGTTTTAATTTTGTGGTATTTATGACATGCTATCTCTCACATCTGTTCTTTCACATGTCTTATCTGTAAACATTTTTTGTGAGAGGCGCTTAATTACCTTTGAACCTCCACAGTTTCTCATACCTATCTGCCATGCTCTGTATATGAATGCTTGAATGAATGACTGACTGAATGAATAAATAAATAAATATATGCATGGATGAATGAGTTATGCACAATTAAAGCAGGGTAAAAGCAGCACAGGGAGTTATAATTTTAAAATAATCATTTTGTTAACATTTCCATTGCAACTTTTTTTAAAAAGCTTAAATGTAAGTTTTCTTGATGTTTTATGACCAAAAGTCAGTATTAATATAGAGTCAGTTGAATGTGGCTCCCTGGTATGAAATGTAAGTCATTCCTAATTCAGATATAACCATAAAAATTCAGCTTCACTTATTATTGTCCACAGATTACTTACAATGGAGGTACAATCTGTTGGTCAAATAATGAACCGTTTGAAGGATTAGCAGGAGGGTAATTAATAAATATGTGAATTATTCCTTCAAGCTATGGACACTGCCAGCAATCAGCTTTTAACTCTAGCATGTATATTCTTATAATGGTATAAGTCTATAATATTGTCATTATGACACATCATTTACAAACTAGTAAGTTGTGAAGCTCTAGGATTATGTTTTTGAATGCTTTTGTCTTATACTGACCTGGAATCCCAGTTCCTTGCCTTTTACCCAGTTTAATTCATTATACTATTAAAAATTAAGTTTGTCATCTCCATTGTGTTCTCTTTCCTAGCCCTGGGGAATAACATAGGTATCTTCATTTAACAGTCATCACAGGTGACTCTGATGTAGGTGGTCCACAGGCCACACTTTGGGTAAACCCTACATAAGACTCTAGGCATTTCAAGAATGAATGCCGGCTGGGCACAGCAGCTCACACCTGTAATCCCAGTACTTTGGGAGGCTGAGGTAGGCAGATTACGAGGTCAGGAGATTGAGACCATCCTGACTAACACGGTGAAACCCCGTCTCTACTAAAAATACAAGAATTAGCTGGGCGTGGTGGCGCACGCCTGTAATCCCAGCTACTTGGGAGGCTGAGGCAGGAGAATTACTTGAACCAGGGAGTTGGAGGTTGCAGTGAGCCGAGATCACACTACTTCACTCCAGCCTGGTGACAGAGCAAAACTCCGTCTCAAAAAAAAAAGAATGAATGCCATGCTTCACTCATTTGTATCTCCAACATATGCAAGGTGCCTAGACATAAATAGACATTCAATACATGAATAAATGTCTATTGAATGATGACTTCAGCTACTCTGTGTGTGTGTGTGTGTGTGTGTGTGTGTGTGTGTGTGTGTGTAGTGGGAACACCCATGTAAAAGCCAAATCTTTGTTTTGTTCTTAAAAGCAATTCCATAATAGCTGCTTTCTTGCTATGTACCTTAGTATGCAGTATCGAAGCTTCCTTACTATTATTCCAGCATTCATACACTACACTTTACCTTTTAAGATAATGTTTACTTACTTTGTAAAACCCAGTTACCCACAGTTGAAAACACGGGGATCAGAGACCCAAAGAGGAAAGTACAAATCACCTCTAATTCCCCCTCAGAGGAATGCCCATTGTTAACATACGGGCACATGCAATGATTGAATTATACATAGTGGTACTTTACCATTTTTAATTAACAGAATTATCTTTAATTTCTTTTTTTTGGAGAAGATATTTTAAAAATAGAGAATGGTTTCAGATGTCCTGTAGGTTCTGAAGAAGGATGATACATTTGAGGAGCAAAATACTTTTTCAGTTAGGTTCCTAATTACATCTTTTACTTTACTCATTAAGGTTCTTGTTCAAGCAGCAGAAACTAACTCTCACTATATTAAGCAAAAAGAGGTTTTACAGGAAGACTATGTTGTGTGGTCTTGGGATTGAAGAGAAGCTGAGGAATAGGGCTTATAAGAAACAAGGATGTGGCAGCTGCAGAAGGTAGGAGGGACCGCTCAGTGAGCCTGCCCCAGCTTTTTGCCTTGCTTGTCCTGCTCTTCTTAAGGATGAAAGTACCAGGTGAGAGTGGGTTCGGTTTTGTTTTGCTGGAGGTAGGTTACATAAAATTAGCTGAACTTGGCTATAGACTGACCGTGGGTGGAGAGAGAAAGAGAGGGGTCAGGAATCATTTCCAGGTTTCTGGCTTACTTAAATTGGTAATGGTGCCATTTCTTAAGATTGGGAACAATGCCAGCTGACTAGGCTGGCTAAATCCAGGGAGGGGTTAGATGAATGGTTTGATTTGGGGCACAATGAATTTGAGGTGCCTTGAGACATCAAAAGATCTTTAGTAGGCAAGTGGATAGGTGGGTTGTGCTGCACATTCTGTTTGCCTCTCCGGAACTACTCTCCACCCTCCTCCACCCTGCTCTGGGCCCTGGGAGGCTGACCTGCATCAACAAACTCCCTTTGCCTCTGGCTTCATACTGGGTTGGTTCAGTGGAGAACCCCAGCAGATCAGAGAAGGAAAGCGAATGCGGGAGATGTTTATCTATCTGGCTTCCTCCCTGCAGGGTTGCTGTGGGCTGGCTATATCTCTGAACCACAGGCCATAGCCCTTGTCAGGTGACTTCTCCACCTCTCTTTCTCTCCAGGTTCTGGATGTGCTCTTGCTTGTTCCAGAATACTGCATGACCTTTTATCATGTCCCTGTTTCCTGTCCACTCACTCTAGTTGTTTCAGTCTGAATGTATCGCCCATTTCTGCCAGGGTACTAATGAATACATGGGTACAGAATTCAGAGGAGAAGCTCAGGCTGGCTGGGAAGGCATTTTGAGAATCATCTGTTTATAGATGTCATAGAAGCTGGTGTGGATAATAAATCCTTTGTGAGGGAACACAGCTGAGAAATGGAGAGTATTAAGGACCAAGGTCTAAGAAATTCTAACTTACCTCCCACTGAAACAGGGCAGTGAGAAGAATGACCTGATGAAAGGGACCTCCAGAAACCCCCTTGAATTACCTGGAGAGAGGATAGGCATGTGTATTGACCATCCCACAATGACATCACACAGTGGGAGAGAGGCAATTCCCTACAAAGAAATTAGAATGATATTAAAAGGGGAGAATGGATGCTGAGTGGCTAGAGTCAACACACACACATACTCACACGTGCACACATGTAGCATACACACCTACATAATTTTATTAAAATGGGATACACATATCTCTGGTTTGTTAGCAAGGTTAATTCCTCTATGAGTCACAGAAAATCCAAAATAGTAGTGATTTAAATAAGAGAGCAGTTTTTCTGTCAGGTAAATGAAGTTTGGAGGCAGTTCTGGCTGCCATGACACTCCATGGTGGCAGAGATCGAGGCTCCTCTATCATATGCCATCCTCAACATATGAGTTCTACCTCATGGTTCAGGATGGCTACTTGTGCTCCAGGCATCTTGTCTGAATTCTGGCCAGCAGGACACTCCCCAGATGTTGCACATAATACTTTAGCTTACATTCCACTGGTCAGAACTTAGACATATAACCATATCTCCTGGTGAGCTTCTGAGATATAGCTTTGTTTCAGATGGCTGTGTGCCCAGCTTAAAAGCATGAGTTCTAATATAAAGGAAATAGGAGAGAATGGAAGTTGGGACACTGCTAGTGGTCTTTCCCCAAACACATTATTTTGTAATCTGTTTTCTTACTCATACAAACATTTTCTTTTTTTTCTCCCAACTAATTTTGATGACTCCTTGCTGGTCATAGTCAATCTGTAATATTCTTCCATGTGCACTATCTCTCCTAACCCAAAGCACCTAAGAAAAATATCAGATGATATCAAAGATCCCATACATGGCTAACACAGTTCAGGAGGATTCTTTAAGCCAACTTAGCTAATCCACAAATTTTACAACATTAGAGCCAAAAGGACCCATAAAGAACATCTAGTCCAAGGAATGGAGCAGCAACAGATCAAGGCTAGTATTTCAGCAAAGTGCAGCCTAGCTACAAAAGCTTGCCTCTTGCAGCTAGTCCTGACTCTCTGTGATTTAGAAATACTAGAGTATGTTTGATTCATAGGCACATTTTACATCCTGCTTTAGGCAGATATGAATGTGCACATGCTACCCCTGGCTACACATCAATTTCCAGACAGGAATAAACTACGTACTGCTTCTTTTTCTAGGAGGCGTATGATGCTGTGGTGAATGGGGCCATAAATTTCTGCAGGAGATGAACATTCCACAGTCAGGACTCATTACCATGTCATTGGACTGCCTTTTCCCTTAACAAATATGATCAGTTTTGTTTATGGTGTTGGTAGGAAAGGTAGCCATTGGCTCAGAGAATGTAGCTCATTAAGCCAGATTAAAGCAACTAAAAAAAATTTTCTTAAGCAGTGTGGAATAGAAACAATCTCAAATTCCAGCCTAGGGTAGGTTGGGAAGGCAGTAGGATAGTAGGATTTTTCTCATTATGATGGAATGATTTACTTTTTATGTAGGCATTTCACAGTTTAGGAGGTTAACAACTACTCTGAGGCAAATTGTTCTAGAGTTATCAAACTCTGTCCTATGTGCAAGGCAGAGTGTAGCATGGTGAAAGGGGCTTATAATAACAAGCACACAAGATTTTTGGAAAGAAATGAAACTATGAATGACAAATAGTATAATATTATAAACTTTAAACTGTCTACCAATGTTATTTTCATCATCATCTTCTTTGTCTCATGGCTTCAGCATAGATGTTATTTAGAGTTTTATATGTATATATAAAGAGTTATATATATATATAAAGAGTTATATATATATATATATATATAAAGAGTTATATATACATATTAGTCTGATATAATTATTAGGTCCCAGGGAGCCCTAGGTTATTAGTCCCCAAAGATCTATCTTAGCCAGATAGTCAAAGGGTTGTGTACAGCTCTTTCAGTGGGAGAATTAGTAAGTCATCATGTAATTCTAACATTTGTGTGGGCAGAAAGTTGTTTAACTTGAACCTGGTATCCACAATTAAAGATGCTACTCTGGAACACTTTTCAAAGAACCTAATAATTCTCCAAGATTACAAAATGGTAACAAGAGTTGGATACTGCAGGTGTTACTTTGGTTCCTGGTAAATCTAACCTCTGTGTCAGACCGTTCATTGGAGACAGTGGTTGAATAATTCATGGTGCCAGATTTTCAATCTCCATGTAATAGCTTGCCACATGTTGGTCTGTTGGCTGATCCGTAAAAATACATAGTGCACAAAGTAGCAAGTAGAATTATTTTCCCCTATATTATGTGGAAAGAGTCATCAATATTTTTTCATGAATAAGTATTTAAACTACTGAATAATAGCTATATTAGTTATGTATTGCTGTGTAATAAATTACCCTAACCCTTAGAGGCTTAAAATAATTCCTATGAATCAGGAATCCAAGCACAGCTCAGTTGAGTGCCTCTGGCTCAAAGTATCTCTCAAGGTTACAATCAAGCTATCAACTGGGGCTGTGGTCTTATCTAACAGCTCAACTGGTAGTGACATTGGGGTCTGCTCCGAAGATCACTCATGTGGTTGTTTGCAGCCCTCAATTTCTTGCCAGTTGGGTTTTTCCATAGGGCTGACCCATGACATGGCAGCTGACTTTCCATACACCCAGTGATAAGAGAGAAAAAGAGACAGAGAGAGAAAGAGAGAGGAGAAGGAGGAGAGGAGAGAAGTCAAATAGAAGCCAGTCTTTTTTATGACTTAATCTCAAAAGTGACATGTTATAATTTTTGCCATATTCTTTTTTTTTTTTGAGACTGAGTCTCGCTCTGTCACCCAGGCTGGAGTGCAGTGGCACAATCTTGGCTCACTACAGCCTCTGCCTCTGGGTTTCAAGCGATTCTCCTACTTCAGCCTCTGAGTAGCCATGATAACAGGCACATGCCACCATGCCCGGCTAATTTTTGTATTTTTAGTAGAGAAGGGGTTTCACCATGCCACCTGCTTCGGCCTCCCAAAGTGCTGGGATTACAGGCTTGAGCCACTGCAGCCAGCCTCTGCCATATTCTATTCATTAGAAGTGAGCCAATAAGTCCAGCCCACACTCAAAGAAGGTATTACAGAAGGGCATGAATATCAGGCAGCAAGGATCATTAGGAGTTATCATAAACACTTCTTACAACAATGGTATTGGAGTTTTATATTTTGGAAATGATCATTTGGCAGATGGTCTTGGTTATAATAAATTATTTTGTTTTTACATAGCAGCTAATATCAGATTGTTAACAAAGTGAGACCCTGTGAGTTTAGAAATTTGGTGATAATATCCTAGAAAATGCTTAGTATCAGGTCAGGCTTTATGACCTACTTGCAGGTACTGATCCTATAAAATCTACATACTATTTTCATAGGTTCAATGTATTTCATCTAGTAGACTCTCTTTCAGTGAATTAAATAGTAAACTAATTTCTGCTTCTCCGAATTCTTTAAACTAATGAACAGAAAGTCAATTTTACAGGTGAGAATTGAGTTTATTGTTTATTTGGCAAAATTGGGCTGTTATACATACCTTCTAAAATGTAAGAGATGTGTGTATGACTTTAATCTCTAGGAGTTTATATCAATTCATAGAAGATATGCTTTGCTAAAACCAATGAATATTATTTTCTTTATGCCTGTAAAGCTTCACTTAATATTTCTTTTATAAATTCACTGGCAATGAATTCTCTTAGCTTTTCATTATCTGATATTCTCTTTGGGTAAATGATTCTAGCTTGAAAGTTTATTCTGTCAGTACTCTAAAGATACTGTTCCAGCCTCTTCCAGCTTACATGATTTCTGGTTAGAAGTTTGCTGTCATTTTTATCTTTGTTCTTTGTACATAATGTTCTATAATTTGTCTTGGCATTATTTTCTGAATTTATGTTTTGCTTGGGGTTTGTGGAGATTCTGTGAGTTTACAGTTTTCATCAAATTCGGAAAAAATTTGATCATCGTATCATCAAATATCCCCGTATTTTTTCTAACATGTGTAATATAAGCCCCAGTTACACACATGCTAGAATCCCTAATATTGCTCACAGTCACTGATGCTGTGTGTATTTCTTAGTCTTTTTTCTCTCTGTGCTTCATGCATAGTTTTTCTTCTGGTTATAGATAATATTTTCCTGCTTCTTTGCATGCTAATAATTTATGATTGGGGCCGGGCGCGGTGGCTCACACCTGTAATCCCAGCACTTTGGGAGGCTGAGGCGGGTGGATCACAAGGTCAGGAAATCAAGACCATCCTGGCTAACACGGTGAAACCCCGTCTCTACTAAAAAATACAAAAAATTAGCTGGGCGTGGTGGTGGGTGCCGGTAGACCCAGCTACTTGGGAGGCTGAGGCAGGAGAATGGCATGAACTCGGGAGGCGGAGCTTGCAGTGAGCTGAGATCGTGCTACTGCACTCCAGCCTGGGCGACACAGCGAGACTCCATCTCAAAAAAAAAAAAAAAAAAAAAAAATTGATGATTGGATATTGAACATTTTTGAAGATCTGATTTTGCTGTATTCCTTTAAATAGTGTTACATTTTCTTCTGGCACATGGTAACTTAGAATCAATTGGATTCTTTCAAATCTTTCTTATAATCTTTGTTAGGGCAGGTCCAGAGCTGTATTCAGTCTAGGATAATTTAGCCCTCCAACTAAGGTGGAATACTTTTGAAGACTCTATCCAGTGCCCATGTCGTGCAGAACCTTTCCACTCAGGCTTGTGCAACACAAACCATTCTCAGCCCTGTGTGAGCTCTTGGAATTGTTAGGCCTTCTCATTTCCAGTGGTTCCTTTGCTGGCCTTGGGTAGTTTCCTTTCACACACATAGAGTAGTACTCAGCCAAATACTTGAGCATACTCCTCTGTAGCTTGCTTGTTCTCTTTCAGAAGCTCCCTCTTTTTTGGTAATTTGTCTTAAAAATTCTTCTTGCCTTGGACAATACCTGCTTTGCAACACAGCAAGACTTTTGGGGTCTGTTTGAGTTTCCCCTTTTTGTACTGCAGCCTAGAAACTGCCTCCAGTGAGTAAACTGGTGCAACTGTAGGGCTCCCTTTTTAGGGTTTTTTTTTTTTCTCTCAGAGAGCAAGGCCCTGCTGCCTGTTCTCCAATATGTAAAATTGTTTCATTTATTTTGTCCATTTTTTCCTAATTGTTTAAGGTGAGTGGGTAAATATGGTTTCTGTTACTCCATCTTGGCTGGTAGTGGACTTTTTATGATGAAATCAAAATAAATATAGAATTGTACTTTTAAGAACCTTTGTTGTGAGAATTTGAGTAGCAGAAATACTTAGAAAAGAGAAGATAAAATCAATTAACATGTTGAATGCTTCCTCTCAGATAACCTGAATGCAATAGATTATTGCACAATAAAATATTTTTCAGTAGTGCCAAGTGTCCATGTTCTTGCTTCTCCTCATGTTCCCATCTGTGGTTCCAGAGCACAGTATTCACAAAAATTGTATATGGTGGCCAAGGAATATTTTGTAGTATCAATTCATATTACTTAAAAAAACTTGTATATATGTAGGCCTGTTGTAACATGAGCAAAGTGCAATATGAATTCTTCACATTGTCAACTAAATGGAAACAGAATGCTAGAACATTGTACCAGTTTGGGTTTTCCAGAATGCACATGGCAAGACAGAGTCAGAACTGCAAGAGATTTCTTTGGGAAATGCTCATGAAAGATAAAGGGAGGAGGGAAGAGGAGTGGGCATGAGAAGCCTTCAGACCACAAGTGTCTGACACTTGTGAATGGAGAGAGGGAAGGAGGGGAATTGGGGTAGAGGACCCTCAGACTGCAACACATCTCTGAAAAAGTGTTGGCCAGCCCAGCAGGGAGCTCAGGCACAAAGACTGCCAGTAGAAGAGTCCTGTATTGAGCAGAAATGGCTCAGTTCTCTTACCTCTGCCTTGCAGCCTCCAATAGCTCCCTGGGAAGAGTTCAAGCCTCAGCTTGAACACACAGGTAAATCCTAAGGTCTCTGTAGCTCAAGACTGTAGATAGCTGCACACTTCATGGCCATTTTTCTCTTTGAAGGGGGCTCTGAGGGGCCCACCTTCATGGCTTGTAAAAATTGTGAGTAATTTTACTTTTATAAATATATTTAATGAGGTTTCATAATATTTTCAAAAAACTAAATTAAAACATCAAGTTGATTTACATAAGTTTGATTTAAAATTTGGGTAATCATGCTACAACATAGATGAACCTTGAGAACATTATGCTAAATGAAATAAGCCAGTCACAAAAAGACAAATACTGCGTGATTCCACTGATATGAGGCATCTAAAGCAGGCAGACTGTTAGAAATAGGAAGTAGAATGGTGGTTGCCAGGGGCTGGAAGGAGGGGGAAAAGGGTAGTTTTTGTTCAATGGATATAGAGTTTTGGTTTTGCAAGATGAAGAAGTTCCAGGGAGCTGTTGGACAAGATGCATACAGTTAACACTACTGTATAGTACACTTCAAAATGGTTAAGATGGTAAATTTCACATTATGTTTTTACCACAATAAACATTTTTTGTAATCATTCATTATAATTAGTATTTTCCTTTGAATTTTAATAAAATATTTTGAAACAAGAATAAAGAATAATTTTTACTCTGGCCCTAAGCCCCACAAATATTAAGGCCTGTGGAGCTTCTGTTTCTCACAGACCTGGACCACCCGCCCAAATTATAGCAACCTGACCCCAACAGCCTGCTTTTTATGTCCATCTTCTCTCAGAAATCTGATTTTAATAGGCTTGATTCAAAATTACAACTTGTAGGTCAAGCATGGTGGCTCATGCCTGTAATCCCAGCACTTTGGGAGGCTGAGGCAGGTGGATCACTTGAGCTAAGGAGTTCAAGACCAGGCTGGGAAACAGGGAGAAGCTGTCTCTACAAAAAATTACAAAAATTAGTTGGGCATGGTGGTGCACACTTATAGTCCCAGCTACTCCAGAGGCTGAGGAGGGAGGATTGCTTGAGCCCAGGGGGTCGAGGCTGTAGTGAGCCGTGTTCATGCCACTGCACTCCAGGTTGGGTGACAGAGCAAGACCCTGTCTCAAAAAAAAAAAAAAAAGGCAAGCCTATAATTTTTATCCAGATTGATTGAAACAGTGTTAGGACCCTGGCCCCTGCCCCATGCTGGGTGAAATGAGCAGAGAAAGGTGTCGGGGGAAGGAATGAAGTCTCAGGTGGGCAGGGGGAGGAGAATGGGATAGTACTTGGTGTGAATGTTGCCAATAATGAAGCCAGCAATGAAGGAAGAGTGGGTGTAATAAGGCAGGAAAGTACATCGTACTTAGAGGAAACTGAACGGTAAACTGTAATCAGTCCATAACTGACACATTTAAATTTTTCAATGGTCAAAAAGAGGAAAATCACACAACTGACCTGCTCTTAAGACACAGTTTTAGCTATTACTTGAAGAAGATGTCCAACAGGATAGTGCACATTCAGAAATATTAACTGCAAAACTTGAACTCACCCTCAAGATTTTCATTAACTTAGACCCACCTGGCTCTGTGACACTGTTTTCAGAAGGTTAAATGCTTGGCAGTGGGGTAGGCATTTGGGGAAATTTTAGAATTGCACATATCTGAGCAAACTGATTGTGTCCAGAAAGTACTCTTACTGGGAATACAGTGCTAATGAATACAAAATAACAGTCCCTGCTGGGTAGCCTCCAGATGGCAAAACTTACAAGCTGTTTGGCTTTGGAATAGTCATGTAACCTCTCCGTGCCTTTGGTTCCTCATCCATAGCAAGGAGGGATACATAGTTCCTACCTCGTTAAACTACTGTGATGATTCAATGCAATTATGCATGTAAATAAAACACTAGAACAGGTCCTGGCACATACCAATAATTCAATAAATATTATTAATAATTATTGTTTCCTTATGTGGATTTTCTCTTCTTCAGGGCTTGATTATATTTCTAAGCTTAGCAGGCTGCCTTGCGAAATGCACTTACTATGGGAGTCTTGAGTGGATGAGTCTAAACATATCACCACTACTGGTGAAAAGTAAATCAGCTCAAAAATCCTCTAATAATGGTGGTGGATCACCCCTGCACCAAAAGACAGAATACTAGTTAGGGTGGATATTCCATTTTAAATCACTGCTGTATATCTACCAAGCAGGTTTTGAAATGATTCTTCTAAAGGGCATAAAAGGAGTTTATTTTTCATGCCTATTCTTGAAATGTTACAGATGCTATGAAAAATAAGAACAAGAAGTGGGAGGCAAAGTTCTTAGATGAATGTGAGATTTAAGATGTTACTTGACAAAAACATTGCCCAAGAGTTTTTGGTCTTATTTTCCTACATTTCATAATTGTGCCCCACAGGTCTCAATTGTGACATCCTGAAGATGGCTGAATGGCTAATGAGAAAAAGCTAATGGTTCTGTCTGGGACTCCAGTGGCCTTGCTTTGGTACTGTTGACCATTCTCCCTGCAAAGGCGAAGAAGCCCTGGGACCAGAAACCCCCATATTTTTGTAGAATTCCAAGGGTGATGTCAACTGAAATATGGGAATTCAGGACCTTAAAAAAAAAATCTTGAAATGATTAAGTTGAACTCTATTTGATCTGTTTAGATTTACCAAGATTCACTCCTCTGGCTCTGACCAACCTTACTATGTATTGGAAGCCACAATCCCTCCCTTTCACTCCCATATGCCAATTCTGAACATTTTTCTTCCTTGAAAGGCAGACCTAGGAGAACAAGGCCCTAGGACATGCAATTCTATTTCTTGCCTGCTTCTTATCTCACCTTTGAGTTCTAATTTAATGTCTGAGGAATCATGTACTTGTTGACCTGGACATTTCAAAGGAGCTCCCAGGCTGGAATCACAGCCTGTTAAGCCTTAGGGTAACATCTCCTAAAAGACAGCTAGCAGTCATTTCCATACAAAGGCTCCAAAGACAAAACACACACCTGCTTGCCAAAATTCACACTGTACCTGGGCGTGCCACCTGAAGGCACACAACGACTGCTTTCTTGAGACAGGGGCACAGCTCACAAAATGGACCTCAACATCCCAGGTTCCTTCCACTGGCTCGTTTCTCAGGGCTTTGAATCTCCTTCTGTTTACAAGTTTTATATTACTCTTAGGCTACATGCCTCTGAAAGTGAGGCCCCTGGAGTGAAATATGGTGTGGTGAGACAGGGCCAGGTAGGTAAGGGATAACCTGTGAAGCAGATGATTCCTACTTAAGCTCCTAGAGAGAACCTAGACTATACTTAATAAATACTTTTGGCTACTCTTAGGATGGTTAAGATGTCCAAGCTGTCAGTTTAAGCTTTCCTGCTTTGAAGTTGCAGGAAGAACTTGATGTCACACTGCTCTTATCTTTTGACTTTAATTAAAAGCTTCTCCATTTCACCCCAAATCCTGCCTAAGAATCCAAACATTCCCAGGTAGCAGATCAACTTTGTGATGGCCAATAGGCTTTTTTCAATGATTGCCTGTGGATGTTCAAACTAACATTATGGAATGAGCTGCCCTCAAACAGACTGTGTTGGATTTTCTTTTCTTGCCCTGTGGACATCTTGGGCACATGCCCTCTGTTTCTGGTCTCTTTCAGTTATTAGAACAGTCTTGTTTTCAGGTATTAAAAAGTCTAGTTCAGCTGAAAACTTCCCCACCCCTACCCTTTGTGGGTCTGACCTGCAGTTGCCCAGAGCAGCAATGGGGAGGGACATAGGGGTCTATCTTTTCCCTTCCTCACTCCCTGCCTCTGTCTCCTCTAGGATTTGAATGTGGAAGAGGATGGCAGGACAAGAAGCTCCTGCCTTTTAATTTAGCTCTTGCTGTTTATAGTTGTCTCTCAGAAATCAAATGCCCTTTGTGGGCTGGGCATGCTGGCTCACACCTGTAATCTCAGCACTTTGGGAGGCCACAGTGGGAGGATCACTTGGGGCCGGGAATTTGAGACCAGCCTGGGCAACATAGAAAGACCTCATTGCTACAAAAAAAAAAAAAAAAAAAAAAAAAAAAATTAGCCAAGCGTGGTAGTGTATGCCTGTAGTCCTAGCTACTCTGGAGGCTGAGGTGGGAGATCACTTGAGCCCAGGAGTTTGAGGTTACAGTGAGCCATGATTGTGCCACTGCACTCCAGTCTGGGTGACTGAGCAAGACCCTGTCTCTAAAAACAAACAAACAAAAAAGAAATGCACTTGTTATAGGGAATGTCCAAATGCCAGGCTTTCTTTTCTCTCCTGGGGCACTTCTGAGGACAGCCCTCCCCCTGCCACCACCCACCAAAGATCTTCTTATTACACTATTTTCTGACCCAGGTACTGTCCTTGTGTCTGATTTCTTATGACTTCCCCTCTGGTCCTATTCCAAAGTCCTCACCTGGGGTCTCCTCGTCCCTGCCGGCATCCTCTTGAGCAGGGTCCTCTGAAGATGGTTCTGGTCTGATGGCCCTCTGTGATGTCAATTTGGTCCATGGAAAGCAAACACCCTTGTCCACCATTGGGAGGAATGCTGCTGGCTCAGCCATAGTTCTCTGTTCTTGCTCTGGCAGCTCCATACAGTCCCTCGGTTCACACCCTTTTGGGCGAGAATCAGGTAACAATCTCTGTGTTCTTCAAACTCTGGGGGACATGTGTCAAGTTTCTTACTTTGGTCTCATGGCAGTCCCTTCACCAGCCTCCTTTTCCCCCTAAAACATTTCATTGTAGCCTGACACCTCCTTCAGTAAAGTCTTCCTTGATCCATTTCCTTCATAGTATTTCTTCACTGAACTATACTCTTAATATTTTTATACTTTTCTGTATGTATGCTAGACTTCAATAAAAATGCTTGTTTAAGCATTTTCAAAATAATCTTGTATTGAGAGTTACCCTTATCTTAGCTTTAAATTGCTTTGCTACAATCTTTGACAAGTTTAGGAACACATATATGTGAAGGGAGCTCCTTTACCTACATGAGGACCTAACTTGGGGTTCTTTTAAAGCAGTGGTAAGCACATAGTTAAATGACTTGGGGGGCTTATTTGCAGTCACCATTAACTAAAATAATGAGGCAACTTCTGTGTACCCTGGAGAGTCTAACAGAAAACAGAGGTTTTCAAGGGCTCCAGGCTGCATGTGAAAAAATCCCAGCAGCTAAGAGCTTGTAATTTGACATGAGAGTAATGCATATTTGGTTTAGTTTCGTAACTTCAGACTTTTTGAACCAGTTTTTTAAAACAGACATATATGAACTCTCTGAAATCAAGATGATAAGTCATCTGAACTGAAGAGTAAGCTAAATGACTGAAGAGCACTTTGTCATCTCAAATGGAAATATTTGGGGACCCTTTTTCTTAAATACTAAAGACAATGAAAAATGCCTTAGTTTTTTTGAATTTTACTTCTCACTAATCGCTGCCTCAGAGATTGTGTCTGTGATAGAAATAAAAACTTGTCTTTGGGAAGATGAGTGTGTATTTCTAGGTATCCTGCTGGTGCCTTAGCAATTGTTCTGTAAACCCAGCAGCGTTGCCCCCCAACCCCCCCAACTATTCTGGGTACCAATGGTAACACCTATGCCTTGGTTGAAAACTCCCACCATCACCTGGAGAAACTCTTTTATCTCACTGGATGGCCTTGAAAGTCAAGCCACATCCTTGTTGTCTTCTCTGGGTATTTTCTTTTTAAAGTAGGAAGGACAGTTCGGGAAGGTGACCTTCTGATGCAGCTCTTCACAGTTTAACATGAGGCGTAACAGCTGTGTCCTGTGAAATAAGCAACTTCTCCAAACAAGCAACAGTCCTTATTCATCATTCAGATTTTCAGAGGGAGATAAAAATCACTACTTGAAGTTAGCAATGGGTTAACCAAATTTGCAGACCACTCATTTTAACTTATTGTATAACTGTGCGATCTAGAAGGTGGAAAGACACAGTGTAATGGCTTATAGAGGAGATTATAAGAATTAGCTCATAGGTTAAAGATTTTCTGATGAGTTACAAAATGGATTTCACTCACAGGGGCAAATCTCTCTCATAATCCTTGAGGCATTGTACAAAAAAATAAAAAAGCACAGTTACTTTATGCACAATAGTTTTGACATTTTATCAGCATGCAATTAAAATCCCTTTGTCTAAAGTTCTGGTTCTAAATTCTTGAACAGATAGAAGCCCAGAAAGGACTGTGTTATGCATTTTAGAAAGAAGAAATTAATTTGACAACTCATAGAGTTTCGTCCTGGGAGGGAGCGAGTAGTGCGGTGCTGCACTCTATGGGCTGCTGCAGAAACATACAGGATGCATTTTGTCTATCTGCCAAGAAAGTCTTCCCGAGGAAATATCTTCAATCAATTCTCTGGAATAATCTGGCAGCCTGCTCAACACAGATTCTTCTTTCAACAGAAAGAAAAGAGAAATACAATAAATTAAGCAATAGAGGGGAAAAGTAGAACTTAAATATGTTAAAACTCCTCTGGTGGGTGCTGTAGACTGAAAGTTTATGTCTCCTGCAAAATTCATATCGTGAAGCCCTAACCCCTAAATGTGATGGTATTAGTGGGTGGGGCCCTTGGGAAGTAATGAGGGTGAAGCCTCATGAATGGGATTAGTGCCCTTATAAGAGGAAGAAGAGACCACGGACTTCTCTCTCTCTTCACTATGAGGATGCCGCAAGAAGGCAGCCATCTGTAAGCCCAAAAGAGGGCCCTCACCAGAACCCAAGCAGCTGGCACCTTGACCTTGGACTTCCCAGCTTCCAGAACTGTGAGAAATAAATGTTTGTTGTTTAAGTCACCCAGTCTATGGTATATTGTTATAGTAGCCCCAATTGACTAAGACAAAGGTGTTTAAGTGAAGTGAAGAAGAAGTGAAGTGAGGAAAAGGAAAACAACAGGAAAAGCAAGTTGCTGTTGCTCACACATTCAAAAACCAACTTGGATTTGTTCAAGTAGAAAAATCCAGGCAATCATAGACAAATGCCCCAACTTGGAGTTTGGGTGTATATTGCAATGGCATGGATATAAAAAGGAAAGCACAATGGTGTGTTTCCCCCATTGGCTTATCTGGTTTCCGATAATGAAAAAGAGTTTCACAAGCCAGTGTTTGCTCTTCATTAGAACACAGAATGAGACAAACAACGGTTCTGTGTGACTAGATTGTCTGCACTTGAAAGTTTGAATGCCAGAGGTTCTTTTGGGATGTGGCATTAACATGCACTTTAATCTTCTAGGACTTCATCAAATCAGGGAAACGTGCAAAATAGGAGAGAAAACACTTAAACATTAAAAAGGCATCAATTCATTTAATTTATTTAGATATATACTGACAATATGGTCTTTAGATATTATCATTGGTATATACATTTGAATTGGCTTTTTCCCCTCCATTTGGGAGCAGTTTTGCTGATATAGTTTTACTTTTTTTCTCAGATTTCACATGATCAAGAGTATGCCACTGCTGGTTAGATGGGACTGTGATGGATGTCTGATTTTAACAAAATTTGTTCTAAACTAGACTCGTGTCCTTGACCTTCGCCTTATTACCTCCATTCTCTACTAAAGTCATTATAAATTACTCTTAAATGCTAATTTTCTCTCAGTTCCAAAGATTCCTAGAGTATAGAAAAGTACTGAAGAAAGGGTCTTAGAAATGGGCTTGCTTGATTTCCTAATTTTAGTATTGAAAATCATGTGTCCTGGATTATAATCTATGGCTCCCCACAACTCAACTATTTCACATTGAGTCTTATTCTCTGGATCTTGTTCACTGAAAATCATTAGGCTCTTCTGTAATCACAGCAGTGAGTTGGTAATGAATCAATTAGCAGCCTATGGATTCTTATCTCATAAAAGATCAGAAAAAGCACTGGAGAAATCTATGAAACCTGGTGTGCAAAGAATGCCAGCTACCTCAGGTTAGTTGACTTCAATTCAATGAGACAAAAATAGCATTGATCATCTACTCCACCAATAGCTGTTTCTTATTTCCAATCTCTCAGTGCCACAGTTGGGCTTAAATCTGGCCATTATTGTAATCTAGCAGAGAAACACTGTCCTTAGGCTTTTGTGAAATCATTTGGAAGAAATGATTAATTGGCCACTGAATAAGCATCCTTCCCCCATTTCACTTTTGGAAGCAGGATTCTTTGTTCTGCAGCAATGGGCCCAATAGTAGCAATAATAAATATACTTTTGCAGCCTTAGGGTATGAACCCAGGACCGATTTAAGACAGGAAAAGAAGTCTTGTTCCCTTGCCATGGAGAAGGCCTGTGACCTAGTTCTGGCTCATGAAATATAAGAGCAAGTGTGCCGGAGGAAAGACTTTCCTCCTGATAAAGCAAGAGCTGCATGAGAAGAAAGTTACATTTGCCCACTCTCATCCCTTCCTGCTTTATGGAGCTGTTTTGTGAGGCTGCAGGCATCTTGTAACCATGAGGTGTTAATTCTGTGGATGAGACCCCTGAGAGCTGACCATACCTGGAAGAGCCTAGCTCTGAACTTCTTGTTTCTTAAGGTTTAAGCCTCTGCACTTGAATGTTCTGTTAGTTAGAGCTGAATGCGTTCCAGCTGCTACAGATGGTCGAAAGTCTGAGTAGGAGGTAATGCTTCTCCATGCTGCTGCCTGGAGGAGTATTAGAATTTGGCCATCCTACCTTCTATTAATTGCTGCCTTCTTGATTGCCACTTCGATTGCACAGTGCCCTAAGAGCCCTAAGGAGTATAGTTCAGTAAAGCCTGGGGGTGTGTAAAAGCAGCCTGTATTCACAATTGAAGTTGGGCTTTAAATGTGTGGTTTGAAGGGTATCACCATTCTCATCTAGCGTATAAAATAAATAAAATAAATTTATTATCCGCTTTCAGTCTGAAATTCTATTTGTGAAGCTTATTCCTAGAGTGTTCAAGATTTCTTTCTTAAATTATGTGTTTTCTTGAATGGAGACCAGCATCCTACACTCTTATCAGCTCCCATGTTAGCTGAGATGGAGAACTAACTGCAAACTGGGGATAAAATAAATAGAATTTTAGGACCTATGAGTTTGTAGAAATCTTTGAGATCATCCAACCTCACACCTTTATTTTGTAGATTTAAAAGAAAAGCCAAAAACTGTGGACCAGAAAGTTTCAATAGTTTACTGGATAATGTCCATAATCCAGGTTTCCAGGCTTCCAGTCCAGGGGATTTTTTTAATCTTGTTGTCAACCCAGATTAAGTGTGTGAACAGCACATTTAGAATGCCCGATGGAAGCCTGCTGCCATTTCTCTACCTGGGTCTGGAGTCTGTGGGCTTGAAAGTTTATTTGAATAGTTGGCATGCTTTTAGCAATGGAGGTGGGGGTGTGGGGCACGGCATAAAAGGAGGAGCTGATGGACATCGGAGGGAGCAGACACATGGCCACTGGCCTCTGGGTTTTGCTGACGTCTAACCCTGCATTTGCCCTATATCTATGGGAAAGGGCAGGTGCTTCTTTCACTCTTTCTTACTTGATAGACTACATATATGTTTGTTTTGAATAATTCATCTATTTAACAAATGTCATAACATGCTACCTTTATGATAGACTCTCATTCTTTTAAAAAGCCTATTTCTGAGGTTTAGAAAATAAATCACTGCTATGTGTGTTTATAAATGTTTCAGTTTATCTGGGATCTTCAAATAAAAATGTTTCTTAAAATACTAGGTTAAATATTCCAAAGAGGTTCCCATATTTTGTCAAGCACTTATGGATCTATAAAGGCATGCACTGTTTAAATAAATTCTGACTTTTTATAAAAAGGCATGAATTTATTGCAGTGCCAACAGTAGTCAATCTCTTCTTTAGATATGTAGTTTTAAAATATATTGTTTCAAAAGAGCCAGATTCGTAACTGTTTTTGTGATTTGTTTTTGCTTAGACACCTACACAATCCTTCTATTCCAAACAATCTTCAGGTCATAAATCTTGGAATGGTTTCTGTGTTCTCTTGCCCTCTGCTGGCTAAATTGAGATCTTTCTTAGAACATGCCAATCAGACACACCCCGTGGGTCACAGATATACATCCTCCATCCTGCTCGTTTTTGGGTCCATTTGGCAAATGCCTCCTCAACAACTTTTATGCCAGAGATAAAAATCTAGCTTTAGATCCCCTGCTTCTCATCAAGATATCCATGACCTGGTGACTCTAGTTTATAACATCTGTCTGTTCTCAAGCATCTTTTGTATTTACCCCTTGCATCCTATGATTAGCAACTTATTATATCTTATAGCATTCCTGAATTGTCTCTGCTACATAATTAAGTAAATTATCATGCCAGTGAGTAAACATAAGATGTAACAATCTGTCTTGCTTATTAGTTGCTTGTTGTTTGTCTTGTTTCCCCAGTGTGACTGTCATCTCTCTAGGCTTTCATTCAACCCCATCAACTGGATCCCAAAGAGCCCTCGGCCATGGAAACTAGGCCCCTACACCTCTCCCAGACCTTCATGGGCTGCTGAAGGGCCCCTGGTGCCTGCTGTAACCGTGGCATTCACAGGCATCCCCTAGTCCCTCTGCAGTAGAGGGACATGGGGCAAAGTAGAGCACACATGCTTGGGGAAGTTCAGCCCTTCCCCAGTGGGCCATGCAGAAAAGGGTGAAGCAACACACGATCTGAGACCTGTGTTCTCCCCTCTCCTGCGGGGGGTGAACCCCAGCTGACATTCTTGAGGTTCTCCCACTGCTCTCTCCTCTCCCTCATGTAATACTCACAAGACTGGTGTTGTTCTGGGGTAGGCTGTGGAGCAACTCCTGCTCTTGAATGCCTCCTCCTCCATTTACATCTAAATTGAAATCTTTTTCAATTACTTTGTCTCCCAGTTATTCTGAAGATACATGTTATTTATTTATTTATTTATTTATTTATTGGCTCTCTTTGTTGAACTGTACTTTTTTTGTGCAGAGAGAAGGTGTATGGAGAGATTTGAATTTGGGTGGCTGGCGTTATTATCATATGGGAAATGGCAGAAGTTCTCTTCTGATGTTTTGCATTGTTTTGTTTTGTCAGTGAGGTAGAAAACAAGACAACCAGCTGAATGAGGATGGGAGAAGGGTGAGGGGAGAAGATGTGAATGATTATGTGAAGGAGCTGGAGATGGAAGGACAAGGTAGTGTGACACCCTAGCAGCATGAAGGCACCGCTTGCAGTTAGCAGTAGTAAATTTAAAGTAAGACCAGTCAGCATGATCGTGGAATTTTCTCCAGCAACGTTCAGCTGCATCCTGTTGTGGTTTTGCCAAATGAGTACAAAGAAATGTGCTAAGCAGATATGATAAAAACCTTAAAGCACTCCTGTGAAACACAAAAGTAGAAAGATGTGTCGTATTCTTGGATTAGACAATGAAGCATCATGAGGATGCCAGTTCTCCCAGGTTAATATATACACTTATTGTCATTACATTAAAAGTAACCATTTTTTTTTCTGGAGTCAGAGAAGTTGATTCTAAACTACATAAGATAAATTAACAAGCTGAATATTCAGGAAAACTCCTAAAAAGAGGCACTATAAACAAAAGGAATGAACTGGGTATTTAAATCAGAAAGAAATTTTAAACACGAAAATGACCCTAAAATATGTGAAAAGCTACTCAATCTAGCTTATATTAAGAAAAAAGTGAATGAAAAGCATTTAAAAATCTTACTGCTCATCTATTTGATTGGCAAGTTCAAAAAGGTTGCTAATATACTTTGTTGGTGGGGCTGTGGAAAAGTAGGTACTGTCATCATTATGGTTTAGGCCCTATGGGGAATAATTTGGAATTAACTAATAAAACTACATTTGCATTTACCTGTTGATTGAGCAATTCTACTTTTAAGAATCTCTACAAATTCAGAATATGTGAAGAAAGTTATTTATTGAGAGACATTATGTATAGTAGCATGTGATTATAAACAATCCAAATATCCATCTCCATGTTAATAGATTGGAAGAATCAATATTATTAAAATGTCCATACTACCCAAAGCGATCTACAGATTCAATGTAATCCCTATCAAAATAACACTGACATTATTCACAGAAATCAAAATTAAAAAACTAAAATGTATACAGAACCACAAAAGACACAGAATAGCCCAAGCTACCCTGAACAATAAGAACAAAACTGGAGGCATCACATTACATGACTTGAAATTACACTGCAGAACTATAGTAACAAAAACAGCATGGTACCGGCATAAAAACAGACACATAGACCAATGGAGCGGAATACAGAACCAAGAAATAAATACATACTCAACAGTGAACTCATTTTCGACAAAGGTGCCAAGAATATACACTGGGGAAAGGACAGTCTCTTTAATAAATGGTGCTGGGAAAACTGGATGTCCATATGCAAAAGGATGAAACTGGACCCCTATCTCTGGGTATATATAAAAATAAAATAAAAATGGATTAAAGGCTTAAATCTAAGACCTCAAACTATGAAACTACTAAAGAAAACACTGGGATTCAATACTATTCCCATCAAGCTACCCTTGACTTTCTTCACAGAACTAGAAAAAACTACTTTAAA
The DNA here is from genome assembly GCF_000001405.40 of Homo sapiens. NCBI lineage: Eukaryota > Metazoa > Chordata > Mammalia > Primates > Hominidae > Homo > Homo sapiens. The sequence goes on from NC_000007.14 coordinate 112,417,638, forward strand.
TTTCATATGGAACCAAAAAAGAGCCTGTATAGCCAAGACAATCCTAAGCAAAAAGAACAAAGGTGGAGACATCATGCTACCTGACTTCAAACTATACTACAAGGCTACAGTAAGCAAAACAGCATGGTACTGGTACCAAAAGAGACATATAGACCAATGGAACAGAACAGAGGCCTCAGAAATAACACCACAGATCTACAACCATCAGATCTGCGACAAACCTGCCAAAAACAAGAATGGGGAAAGGATTCCCTATTTAATAAATGGTGCTGGGAAAACTGGCTAGCCATATGCAGAAAACTGAAACTGGACCCCTTCCTTACACCTTATACAAAAATTAACTCAAGATGGATTAAGGACTTAAATGTAAAACCCAAAACCATAAAAACTCTAGAAGAAAACCTAGACAATACCATTCAGGACATACGCATGGGCAAAGACTTCATGATGAAAATACCAAAAGCAATTGCAACAAAAGCCAAAATTGACAAATGGGATCTAATTAAACTAAAGAGCTTCTGCAAGCAAAAAAAAACTATCATCAGAGTGAACAGATAACCTATAGAATGGGAGAAAATTTTTGCAATCTACCCACTTGACAAAGGTCTAACATCCAGAATCTACAAGAAACTTAAAGAAATTTACAAGAAAAAAACAACCACATCAAAAAGTGGGGAAAGGGTATGAATAGACACTTCTCAAAAGACATTTATGCAGCCAACAAACATATGGAAAAAAGCTCATCATCACTGATCATTAGAGAAATACAAATCAAAACCACAATGAGATACCATCTCACGCTAGTCAGAATGGCAATTATTAAAAAGTCAAGAAACAATAGATGCTGGTGATGCTGTGGAGAAATAGGAATGCTTTTATGCTATTGGTGTTAATGTAGATTGGTATAACCACTGTGGAAGACAGTGTGGCGATTCCTCAGGGATCTAGAACCAGAAATACCATTTGACCCAGCAATCCCATTACTGGGGTATATACCCAAAAGAATATAAATCATTCTACTATAAAGACACATGCTCATGTATGTTTATTGCAACACTATTTACAATAGCAAAGACATGGAACCAACCCAAATGTCCATCAATGATATACTGGGTAAAGAAAATGTGGTACGTACATACCATAGAATACTATGCAGCCATAAAAAACAATGAGATCATGTCCTTTGCAGGGACATGGATGAAGTTGGAAGCCATTATCCTCAGCAAACTAACACAGGAACAGAAAACCAAACACCGCATGTTCTCACTTATAAGTGGAAATTGAACAATGAGAACACATGGACACAGAGAGGGAAACAACACATACCAGGGCCTGTTGCGGGGTGGAGGGCAAGGGGAAGGAGAGTATTAGGACAAATACCTATTGCATGTGGGGCTTAAAACCTAGATGACGGGTTGATAGGTACAGCAAACCACCATGGCACATGTATACCTATGTAACAAACCTGCATGTTCTGCACATGTATTCTGAAACTTAAAGTAAAATTAAAAAAAAATGTGGTGCACACACAATGAAGTACTATTCAGCCATAAAAAATGAGATCTTATCATTTGCAACAACATGGATGGAACTGGAGGATATTATGTTAAATGGAATAAGCCAGGCATGGAAGGATAAATTTCACATGTTCTCACTCATTTGTGGGAGCTAAAAATTAAAACAATTGAACTGATGAAGATAAAGAAAAGAATAATGGTTATTGGTGGCTAGGAAGGGTAGTGGGGGTGGGGAGGAAAATGAGGATGGTTAATGGTTACTAAAATATAGTTAGAATGAATAAAATCTAGTATTTGATAGCACAACAGGGTGACTACAGTCAACAAAAATTTATTGTACATTTAAAAATAACTAAAAGAGTATAATTGGAATATTTCTAACACAAAGAAACGCTTGAGGTGATGAACACTCCATTTATCCTGAAGTGATTATTTGGCTTTGTATGCCTGTATCAAAATATCTCACATAACCCATAAATATATAAACCTACTATGAACCCATACAAATTGAAAAGAAAAAAAGAGAGAAAAACAATAACAAATATCCATCAACAGGGGACTTGTTAAATCAATTATGGTGCATCCACAAAATAGAGAACGAAATAGCTATGAAAAAGAAAAGTTATCAGCCGGGTGCAGTGGCTCATGCCTGTAATTCTGACACTTTGGGAGGCTGAGGTGGGTGGATTATTTGAGTCCAGGAGTTTGAGACCAGCCTGGGCAACATGGTGAAGCCTTGTCTATTAGCCCAGCTGGTGGTGCAGGCCTGTAGTCCCAGCTATTTGAGTGGGCTGAGGTGGGAGGATCGCTTGAGTCAAGGTTGCAGTAAGCCCTGATTGTGCCACTGCACTCCAATGTAGGCAACAGAGTGAGACCCTGTCTCAAAAAAAAAAAAACAAAAAACCAAGATTAGGAACAAAAGATTGGATGAATAGATAGATTATATATATATTTATATAGAATTCTATATTTTGTGTAGAGGCGGTGATATTGCTTTAAATATATTGAGCAATGTAAAGGTTTTACAAATTTAAAAATAATAAAATTAAAAAGGAAAATGAGAGCACACACAGACATTGGAAACAAATGAGCTTAAAATGAATATCAGATGGAGGGACCACGTGCCTCTTCTTGTTGATCCTGGACTTGTGAGCTTCCCCAGTAAAGCTTGCTCTTTATACCGCAACCACGGCAGGCTGTGGAATTTGCACAACTTGCTTCAATTGTGTTTACTGTCTATTGTCTGTCTTTTCCCACTGAATAGTCAGCTACACGCAGCAGGGATCTCTGTCTGCTTTGTTCACGGATGTATACATATAGCCTGAACATGTCTGGCACACCATAGGTGTTCAATAAATATTTGTTGAATGAATGAAATTCCTTGTGGGCAAGGAAGCGAAACCATTCTTTGTGTGTACTTATTTTAATGCCCCAAAGCTAGCACAGGACTAGCAAAGGAATTGCCTGATATATGTTTTTATCTGAGCCCAGATGTTTTTAGCAGAACTGCAACTACATGCCTGTCTTCACTGACTTCTATTCATGTCTGGGCAATAGCCCTGGACCCTGCTGTCCTGGCTTCATCTGTAGCTGGCAGTCTCCGGCAGCCACGATATTGCCCAGGCTCGTGCTATGTTGAAAGTGGTCCAAACTGCCAAAGATTTACTCTCCTCTCCCTTTTAGTGTACTTCCCACTGGGCTGCTTTGTGGATGTTTCAGAGGAGTTTCTCCATTCCTTTCTAGTCGGCTTACAATGATGGGCCTTGATAGTTTGGATTCGTGGAGAAATAAATCTCTTTTTAAAAATGGCTACATACAGATGAAGAAATTTCTTTCAGTAGATGTGGTTTAACAATAAACTGGACAGATCTGACTATCACTAGGGATAGCATCAACCTCTCCACAGCCCTGTCTTAGCATTTCATTGTTTCCATAATATCCACAAAAAGGCTTTGGTTTAGAGTTCACTTCTTAAAGCATTTAGCCCTAGGAGTAAAACAAGTGTGGATTAAATCCTAGCTTGAACAATTTACTAATTCATCATCCTGGGACTCAGTTTCCACAATTTTAGCAACACCTATTTTTCTGAGTTGTTGGAAATACTAGCAAATATGTATGCTACACCCCTTGAACAGTGTCCATTTTTCAATGAAGAATAAGCTATGAATAAAAATAGACCTACTATTCCTACTAAAAATTGTAGGGGAAAAAGATTGGAAGGAAATACATCAAAATGAATAATCATTGCTGTTAGGTGGTGAGATTATTGTGCTTTTATCTTGGTAATTTAAATTTTCCCCAGCTTTTTATGTCTTGTAAAATGACTTTGCAGTAGGTTTATAATCAGAAATGTTAATAAAATAATAACTTAAATAACCTGTAGTAGTTTAAAAGTTCTCAATTATCCTTCCACAATTCTGTCCTGTTCCTCAATAATAACACAAATCTAACTAAATAAAATAAGTTGTGTCAGTTCATTTCATTAGCAACCAGGAGAATTAATATGAGTACACAGACCGAGGGTCTAAAACAAAAAATCAGTCTGCAAACAAATATGAGTAACAATTTAAACGAGGGGCCTGATCTTCAGCACAAATATTGAAGTCAGAACTTTCAGGACCTGGTGAACAGAAGGCAAGCTTTGAATAATGTTGGCCAAGAAGAACAATCTCGAGATCAGGAAATGGGCCAATAGTGTGCCCTCTGTGAACCAGAGAGCAGCCCTCATTGTCTGCTGGGAAAGCATCCTCTTCAAAGGCACTTCTGGAGGAACCTTAGCCACTCCACAGCCACTTTCAGGGATCAGTGTGGAGAAAGATTCATAGTCAGGTTGTGGGTGCCTCCGCAATGGGATGACTATTGTTTGCATCACCTGAGGGGTGGAAAGTGACCACTGGCTGGGAGAATGCAATCTCAGAGATTGGTACGTAAGAGGGAAGGAAATGCAGAGATGGTAGTTTCTGCTCTGTGAGCTGCTCAGCCCCTCTCACCTCCTATTGCTTGCAGGGGCTGTGATCAAGGTTGCAAGAGGATCAGTAGGGACTGAGTCTCCTCATTGAGACTTGTAACAACTTCGCATTTGACAAGCGAGGAAACAGGAAGTAGGGGGCTTAGATGGAAACATGGGGCGGGGGATGGTATATTTAAGACTTCAAAGGGCAAGTATTTTTGCCAATTCAGGTTCCCCAGTGACTGAAGATGTTGAAATGCGTTTCCTGTGTTGCTCCTTTTCTGTGTTGACCAGCTCTGTAACTCATGACACCTGCAGTCTGCTGCAGAGCTCTGCATCCTGACAATCAGAACAAACCATGCATCTCACAGTCCTACAGTAGAAAGCTAGGGTCAATTAGTTACCAAAATTGATACTTATTATGGGGAGAATTTATAACAGAATAGATGGCAAGCCATTTTTACAACTCTGGCTATGCCCTTGGATTGCACAGGCAAGATTAGGAAATTAATAACATAGTTGCGCTCCATCTATCTTTTGGAAAACACATCTAATTTTTCCCCTTAGCTTCATTTTTATGTTTCCACTTTGTGCAGATCTTTTACTTGCTTTTTCCTCCCTCTCATTTAACTCTTAAAAGAAGAACGGGAGCAATGTTCCCACAAGAAAGTTAGTACTTTTCCTGCTCAGGGCATCCCATGATTCAAAGGAGAAAATGTTCAGGTGTTTATAAGAACACCTGACCATTTGGCTGCACCTCAAGAACTGGGATCAGGAGGTCTGAGTCCAGAGAAGGAAAATAACCAGTTGGATCAGTGGGCGAGAGATGGGAGAATAAATAGGGTTGTGACAAAGAGAAGGTCAGCTGTAAATGGGTCAGGAGACCAGAGTGGACAGAGTAGGCCCTGGAATGCTTGCTCGGAGGCCTGCCATGAAGGATTTCTGCTTGCTTCCCCACCCTACCCCGGGGGCAGGATGACTCAGCACTTCCTATTGTTGTGAAGGCCAACCCCAGGAGGCCCTACCAAGGCTGACTGCTGTTAAAACCAGACTGCACTCCTTCTGGCTCCTGGTTCATTCAAGGTCTACATAGTTAAAGGTTGTTCCAGAGGGATGTGTGTAATTCCTCCCAGTATTTGATGTTCCTTTATTACTTATTTTCACTTGAGCCAACAGCCTGAACTGGTCAGGCTTTGGGCTGATGCCAGCTGCTTTATCTGGTAGCACTGTTACATAAAATTAACATTTATTGGTGATCACTAGGTGCCAACATTATGCGAAGAACTTTACGTGGACATCCCATTTAATTCTCAGAAGCCGATCACAAGGTAGGTATTATCTCCATTTGCATATGAGAAAACTGAGGCTTAAAGATGTTAAATTGGTCAAGGACTAAGATGCTACTCAAGTCTTTTGAGTTAAGAGTCCATGCTCTTAACCCGGTAAGTGGTGGGTATCTTGGCAGAGATTAGAAATCTTTCTTTGAGATTGAACAAAAACCAGAAGGTGATCATATGCAGAAGAACATGGAGAAAATTAAAAGCAAATAGTGGGTCAGGAAGGTGATGAGGAGGGAAGGATAGAGGGAAGGGAGGATGAGCTCTTGGTAGAAAATCAAAGTAGCTAAAACCTCTGGCCCTTTGTGGCCATGGAGGGTCCCACCTACAGGATTGCTCATGTAACATCTTTTCAAGATCGACATGCTTTGTTATCTCCATTTTTCATATATGTGTTCCGTGGATTTATCATGTACATCTGGATTCTTCTAGCCACCAGGGGACAAATGTGAATTCAGTGTGACTGAAGAGGCATCTGCCGTACTGTAACTGAAACACAGGTTCAGTTGCTCACTGCTTGCAGAGTCCAGTTAACGAGAGCGGGATCTGTTATAAAGAAAGTGATTTATTCCAAAGCTTAGCTTATGAGAAGAAATACAGGTTCTTCCTTTTAAGGATAATGCTTTTCTTTGGGGGCAGAAAGTAGGGGCTTTTAAAGGGGCACTTGGCATGAACAGCATGCAGGGGAGGGAGCCAGCAGGTGGGGGTTTACTTGACTCACTTATGGTGTCTTATCTACCCTGTGGTCGAGCTGGCACCATTGCAGGCAGAGCTAGGTTGTAAAGTGGCCATCGTCTGGGGATACTCTCCAGGTGGCAGAGAGTTCTGTTGCAGGCATACTTTTGGTTGTAAATTGACTGTGCTGTCTTGAGGTAATCTGGTGCTCTGGAGGTTCTAAGTCAGCACAGGGTCAGCTTGCTGTGTAGGGAGTGTCTGGTGAAGGGAAGGTAAAGATTATGATAGTATTTCTTTCTTTCTTTTTTTTTTTTTGAGACAGAGTTTCGCTCTTGTTGTCCAGGCTGGAGTGCAATGGCACGATCTTGACTCATTGCACCCTCCGCCTCCCAGGTTCAAGCGATTCTCCTGCCTCAGCCTCCCGAGTAGCTGGGACTACAGGCGGCTGCCACCACACCAGCTAAGTTTTGTATTTTTAGTAGAGGTGGGGGTTTCACCATGTTGGCCAGGCTGGTCTCGAACTCCTGACCTCAGGTGATCCACCCGCCTCAGCCTCCCAAAGTGCTGGGATTGCAGGCCTGAGCCACCGTGCCAGGCCTGTTTCAAAAAATTTTTTAATTTCCTTCTTAATTTCTTCATTGACCCACTGGTAGTTCAGGAGCATGTTGTTTAATATTCATGTCCTGTATTTTCTGAGGTTCCTCTTGTTTTATTGATTTCTAGTTTTATTCCATTGTGGTCAGAAAATATATGAGATATGACTTCCACCTTTTTGAATTTATTGATATTTGTCCTGTGGTCTAAGATGTGGTCAATTCTGGAGAATGCTCCATGTGCTGATGAAAAGAATATGTATTCTACAGCACTTGGGTGATTGTCAGGTTTTGTTTTGTTTTGTTTTTTTGAGATAGCATCTCACTCTGTTGCCCAGGCTGGAGTGCAGTGTTGACATGATTGTAGCTCACTGCAGCCTCAAACTCCTGGGCTCAAGCAATCTTCCTGCCTCAGCCTCCCCAGTAGCTGGGATTATAGGTATGGCACCATGCCTAGCCAAATGTCAGTTTTTTATCTTTCTCTCCACTGATGTCTCCAAACATACTCAGTGTGATGGTGAATTTTAGGTGCCAACTTGACTGAATTGAGGGAGGTGTAGATGGCAGGTAGGGCATCATTTCTGGGTTTATTTGTGAGGTTTTCCAGAGATTATTGATTTGGGAGTCAGTGGACTGAATGAGGAAGATCTGCCCTCAATGTGGGTGGGCACCATCCAACGTGGGCTGGGGTCCTAGCTGGCACAAACAGGTAGAAGAAGGGGAGATTCTCTCCCTCTCCCTTCTGGAGCAGGACACCTTTTCTCCTCCTGCCCTTGGACATCCAATTCTAGGTTCTTTGGCTTTTGGACTCTAGAACTTGTACCAGAGGCTTCTCAGGGGCTGTTGGACCTCTGACCTTGGACTAAGGGTTGCACTGTTGGCTTCCCTGGTTTTGAGGATTCTGGATTTGGACTGAGCCACACTACCAGCTCTCTGGTTCTCCAGCTGACAGGTGGCCTATTGTGGGACTCCTCTACCTCTGTGATCATATGAGTCAAATCCCCCTAATATATCCCCTTTCATATATCCTGTTGGTTCTGTCTCTCTGGAGAACCCTGACTAATACACTGGGGCACTACTCCTTCAAGAAAAACAAAACAAACAAAAACACCACCACCTATTACTCTTTAGTTCTTTCTTGTCATCATCCTATTTTTTCTGTTTACTGTTATATCTGAATAAATATCTGCACTTTTTCATCTTCACTTGTTCGCTGCCCAAAAACTCTTAATCCCATGAAATCTGGCTTTTGCTAAAACATTCTTTTTCTTTCTCATTTTGTAGAAACAAAAGACTTTACATCAGGCCACTTGTCTCTGGTATTCCTCTCTCCTTCCTTTCATGAATAAAACTTTCAGCCAGGTGTGGTGGTTCACTCCTGTAATACCAGCTGCTTGGGAGACTGAGGTGGGAGGACACTTGAGCCTGGAGTTCAAGGCTACAGTGAGTTATGATTGCACCACTGCCCTCCAGCATGGGTGACAGGGTGAAACCTGTCCTTAAAAAAATAAAATAAAAATGAACCTGTCTCATATGTTAGCTGTGGAGGCTCAGCTAGAAACGATATTCTCCAGTCTCCCTTGCAGTTGAGTATGGACATTTGGCCAAGAGTGGGGGCAAATTATGCCTTCCCTTAAGCTGACTACTTGTCCTGTCATTTGTCTTTTGTTCTCACCACTGGTTGGAAGCTTTTAGTCTGTTTTGTGCTGCTATAACAGAATAGCACAGAATGGGTAGTAACTTACAAACATTAGAAGTTTATCTGGCTTATAATTCCAGAGACTGGTAAATCCAAGATTGAGGGGCCACATCTGGTGAGGGCCTTCTTGCCGCATCATGTAAACCAAAAATACAATTATAAGTCCTGCCAGCCATCTGAATGCACCCCTCCTCTTGGCCAAGGGGATTCCAAAGTTAACCTAAAAAATTAATTCAGGCCATGATGGGAAGTGGGATCCACACATGTCTCATTATGCCCTCATCCTTTTTGTAATTACTGATAGAACAGACTCTTTGAGTCTGATAAGAATTTACAATCTATTCTCCCTGAAGCCTGCTACCTGGAGGCATCATCTGCATGATAAAACCTTAGTCTCCACAACCTCTTATTGTAACCCAGTCATTTCTTTCTATTGATAATAACTCTTCCAACCAAATGCCAATCATAAAACCTTTAAATTTACCAGTTACCTGGAGGCCCCCCTCTGAGTTGTCAGGCCTTTCTGGACCTAACCAAGGTACATCTTATATACGTTGATTCATGTCTCATGTCTCCCTAAAATGTATAAAACCAAGCTGTACCCCAATCACTTTGGGCACATGTCGTCAGAACCTCCTGAGGCTGTGACACAGGTGTGTCCTTAACCTTGGCAAAATAAGCTTTCTAAATTGACCAAGAGCTGTCTCAGATACTTTTGGTTTACAATCAAAACATGACAGAAGGCATCACAAGGGTGGGCAAGAGGGGGTTGAATTCACTGTCATAACAAACCGACTCTCAAGATAATGACATTAATCAATTTATTAGGGCAGAGCCCTCATGACCTAAACACCTCCAATTAGGCCTCACCCCACAATCCTGTTGCATTGGGGATTAAGTTTCCAACACATGAACTTTGGGGGAAAGTTCAAACCATAGTGGAAGCAATTGCTGTTAAGGTGGCAGGGCTAGCATGTTGAGGACAGCAGTGCTCCTCTGCCAGCCCTAAACTGATCACCACTGGATTTTTACATGTGAGAGAATTACATTTACACTACATTTTCATCATTCTATTTTGTGGTCTTTTTGTCTCAGTAGCTTAGCAATTACCCTAATAAACTCCTTTCTTTCATTTTTAAAAAGGAATATGAATTCATTGTAGAAACGTAACTTGATGATAAGTAGAAAAACAACATAAACGATAGCTATTGATCCCTTTTACTGATTATTCTGTCTTCTGTGTTTAATTGCTTTCTTTTCTTTCTCCTACTCACAAGCTTAGACATACCCCAGAACTATCTCTTATCTTTCTATGCTCTATCACAGAGAATAACTCATGTAGTGCTTGATTTCATCATTAATTTGTTCACTCATTCAAAAATATCTAGTGAGACCTACATTCTGTGAAGTGCTGCGGATAAAAAAATGCATCAGATGTGGCTCCTATTCCCAAGGAGATCACAGTCTGGAGAGGAGAGGGAAAGGCAGCTATAAACAGGTCCTTTTAACACAGGGTGCTGAGTGCCTTGATGGAGCACTGTATGTGTCATTACAGAGGAGGGCACCTCACCAGCTTGATGGGGGCAGAGGGGTGGGTCTCTATGAAGACCCCCAGGAAAAGGTGAGCCTGGTAAAGAGAGTTTAGAAGGAGGAGGGATGAGGGAAAAGGGAGATAATTCTCAGCCAAGAGGTCAGTCAGGAACCAAAAACCCAGATGTAAAAACTTTCAAGGCATTTGCCAGAAATGCAGTATTGTGCTGACATGTGAGAAGTGCAAAGCAAGGGTGTCAAGAGCTGAGCTGACAAAGGGGTGAGATCACACAGGCTTTGCTTATAATACTATGGAGGCTTGGGCCTTCTCCTGATGAAGCTTTAATGAAGAGTATTAACCAGAAGTGTGAGATTATCAGATCTACCCATAGATAGAGTATTCTGAGCGGCTGGGTGAAGGATAGGTTTCTAGGAGGTAAACAGGGTGGAAACAGGGAACGAGTTTGGAAAAGCTATTTGCAATGGAGTAGTTAAGAGGCAGTGACAGGTAGATCTAAGGTACTGGAATGAAGAATGAAGAAATAAATGAACTTGAGAAATACTTAGGAAATTAAATGGGCATGGCTTGGTGACTGAAGAGGAAATAGGATGAAGGATAAAAGATGACTCCTGGGGGTCTCACTTGGGTGGCTGGCAAGATGAGGGTGACACTGTTAGTGGCTTAGCTATCATCTGCTTATGAGGTGGCTTATCGAAGGTAAGGAAGCTTAACCTTCAGACTCCTTTCCTTGCATGAAGCCATTCAAAGGCTCTGGGAAGGGCCCTAGCAAATTTTGTATACTTGAATCTGTATTCTTTTTCTTAAACAGAGCCCCTACCCTTTTAAAGCTGGTATTAGCTTCAGACACACAAAACCTGAATCCACCCTGCCCGTCCCCTTTCAAGTCATCTTTCTTATTACCAGTAGATTAATCTTCCTCAAAACAAAACGTTGACATCATGTCAATCCTCTTCTCAAAAGCTATTGTCATCATGACAACAGACTTTATTAACTTGACAGTTTTACTTTGGGGTGGCCCTTTACTGCCTCTAAAATTCATCTCCCTACAAATCTTTCTAGTTCAGAAAAGTAACTTTGACCTGTCTGTCCAAAAGCAGGAAAATAATTTACAAATGTTTGAACTCTTTGGTTCTTAGACCTATCTACCAATTGAGTTGCCTTAGTTGCAATTACTCCGTTGTACTTTCTTGTTTGTCTCCCATATTCTTGCTTTGTTTTTATCCCAATTGTGGCTTTTTCTACTTTAAAACACTTGCCTAATCTCAAACCTGGCTATTCAGTTGTGTTTGGCATGTCTTGTACCTAAAGAAACCACTGGCCTATGCACACATCACTCTGTATCATAGTCGTTGGGCACATCCAGCATGTGATTACACTTTAGAATTCTGTTTTTGGTCACGTTAAGTCAAAGGCAATTTGCACTCTAGAATGTTCATTCAGATGTATAAATCTTTGAACATCAGTTATTCAATAGTTCCAATATTTGGAACACAGCATGCTGTCATCTGCAGTCACAGAGGTGTGCTGGACCATTCTCACATCTGAAAGAAGAGTTGTCTTTGTTGTTCACCACATTGCCACCTGATAAATGGCTTCTAAGGATTTTCCTGCAATCTGAACAGCTGCTACTCTGTGTATGAAAAATCTAATTTTACTTTGTAAGATTTCTTCCCATAATGTCCCGTCTGCTTCAACAGATTCTCACTCAGACACACTAAAATGGGACTCATGATATCAATTTAATATTTTAGCAATTTCAATAAACAAGGCATATTCTTTTTTCTTTCGGGATAAGGCAGGCCTAGCATCTTCCTAAAAAAGAATATACTCTGCAACCTCATGTTACAAAAATTGCAGCTTGGTTAAGTTTTCTATTGATAGTCCTTCAGTTTTTCTTATAAGAGCATAACTCATGAGAAAAGTTGTTATATAAATAAAATATAGAATGTTACTATTAGAAGACACTTCTGAGCCATAGAGCATAGTGCTGATGTTTCAGTCAGCACTTTCTCATCTCCCTTCTTCTCAGCTTCTTCCTACTTCTTTATCCTCTCCATGTCTGTTCCATGTTGGCAGATACAAATCAGAGGTATGGTGGGGTTGACAGCACCTGCAGAGCCCTAAGGGCTTCTTCTCTTGGATAAAAGGACTTGGAGCTGCCCACTCTCATTCCACAGAGGGAGTTAGGAGCCAAGGAAAGCAAAAAATTGTAATCAGCAACGTAGAAAAGATGCAACCTGAGGCAGGTGAAGGATTTGGGAGCCCAATTCTTTTTTAGGAAAATGCTGTTTTCTATATCATAATTCCCTTCTGTTATCCCAAGCCTCCTGATTGTTGTGGTACTTCAGGGATTCAGGGATGGGCATGTGTCAGTGCCGGGAATACAGCAGATAGGGAAGCCTGGCAACAATCTGGAAGGTGGTTCTGAGATGGCCAGGGGTGGCCTGCTGAAGACTGGAGCAGCAGTCTAGCTCTTAGCTGAAGGGACAAGCAGTAGCTAGGGAAGATGTGTGGAACAGGTAAGCATTCCTTGGGGATTTTCAGAAGCACTTAGGAAGGAGAACCTGGTAAAAGTCTAAACTTCCTTTTCATCACAAATGACATGAGCCCTGATTTTTGTTGCCCTGGGAACACTAGAAAATAGAGAAGTCTTTCACATCTGGCCTACCCAAAATAAACCTTCGTGAGCCCATGTCCAGGAATGGGGCTAATTCTCTGCTTCTCTTCCACACATATGTTCACTCCTAACTACTTTTCATCCCCTTTCTATCTCTGTTCATTTTGGGGTTGACCAAGTGGGTGGACTAGACTAAAGGGAGCCAGAAGGATCACCTACTGCAGTTTGCTACTCCGCCAGAAGTGGCCTGGGGTACTCATACAGCCTGGGGCCTGATGTAGAAGATTCTCCCAGCATCATGTTTCACCTAGGTCAGCACCGTGTTCCCCAGCTAATTGATACAGAAGCTCCCCAAAGGCCAGTGAGAGTGGAAGGACCATTCCTTTGAGCTCCTCCTTTCTTCTTCTTTCTTGCCTCATCCTTCTCCTCCCCTCCCTCCCACCTTCTTTTCTTCATGTGTCCTTGATCCTAGAACATTTTCTGCTTATTATTTTTCGAGCGTATTGCTGTTACTACCAGTATCCTGTGTATCCTGTTGTGGCCAGAAAGCTACTGACACCATTAGTGCTTTACAGGGCACAAAGGGAGCTAAGGAAGCTTAAGGCTAGACTAGGAGGTTTCTGTCTTGCTCTTTTGGCTAGAAATTATTATACGAAGACATATACTATTGTTTTAACTATATGTCATATTATATATTTTGAATTAAGATTGATTGGTCTCAATATATAAATATGTGGTAACAAAATTCAAATTTGATAATTCAGCATAACAGTTCAGGACTTTTTCCTCCTCTTGAGAAACAGGACTCTGCTACTACCTATGGAGTCTACTCTCTTATCTGTGTTGGAGAACATGAATGACATGCATCAGTTTGGAATATTTTAGGTGAAATCACCTAGAAGCCAGGTTTTGGATGAGGTGTGGTATGATCATTTAACTTTAGACTCACAGCCGCAGTTCACCCTCCCACCACCTATTCCTTATATCTATGCAGTCCTCCTTCCCATCCTATTGCAATACTGGGAGGGAAACATCCAGGGCAGTAGGAAACTCCCTTGTCCCAACCTCCATAATCTGTTTCTCCACTATCTGCATTGATGACCAAAGGTCATAGGGGTTACTCTCTCTGCCTAAATGAGTGGAAGCAGAAATGTCACAGTTATGAAAGTAGTATTCGAATTAAAGAAAGGGGCTACCAAGTATTCTGTCTATTCATTACGATCTTTTTGGAAACTCCTTTATATGGAAACTCCAGTCATCTGAGGCCTCAATTCCTAGAAAGCAAGCATCTCCACATTCTGTCCTTGATATAGATGTACTTGTTCATAAATATTTTGTCCATTTTGGCGTCATCTACATCCTATGTGCTCAATACATATTTACTAAACAAACAAGTGATTCTTGCTGCCTTTAATAGTGTTGTGTTGGCGGTATGAACACAATTTAATGCTAGACGATATTAGTCATCAGGCCAGCCATTTAGCCACATCCTCTTATTGCCTACTCCTATAATTACATGATAAATATGGGAGCATGAATGCCCAAGGACTTTACATATCCTATTTTCTTATATTCATTTGTTTTGAGCATCAAAAATCAGTTATTGTGGCCTACTGTGTACTGGGCATTGTAACTGTAAGTGGTACAGAGTGTACAGTTTTTAGAATTCTCACTATAGTGTGGTAAGAAATTATCTTAATTTTTCATTCATTTATTGGTTCATTCAACAACCATGTGTCAGGATCTGTGTTAGATGCTAAGGAGACAACAGTGAACACCACAGACAAGATCTTGACCTTCATGGCACTTAGAGCTGAGACTTAAAGAAGTAACTTGCAGTTAGAGACATATCAAGTGACTAAGCCAGGATTTGAATCTGATTCCAAAATTTATGCTGTCTCTGAAAAATACTGATAATCAGTTACAAAGAACATGCTAAGCACCAATCTTTTACAACTTGGCTCATTTTTAAACCTTTGAACCAATTCCATGTATTAAGTATGACTATCCCCATTTTACAAATGAGGAAATGGGACTCTCAGAGATTAAATAACTTACCCAAGATCACCAAGCTAGTAGACGGCAGGGCTTAGATCTGGACACACATCAGCCTGGCTTCAGAGCCCATGCTGCTTCCATGTGGTCACACTGCTGGCCAATGGCATAATGAAGAGAAAAGTCCAAAGGCCAAGCACTGTAGGGGTTTATGGTTCAGCAGGTGAGAAAAGTAAAATACACTTACAGTGCAAAGCAGAATATAAGGTCACAAGAGTGTAAGCAAACTGCTTTGGGGTTGAAGAGGGATTATTTTAGTCTAAGGAGTCTTTGAAAACAGAGTGAAAACACAATATAAATAGAAGTTAGGATTATTTCACTTCCTTAATCTTTTTTCCCCAATGAATATATCCATTATATACAATTTATTGAATGTCAGAATGGATACGGCACTGTAAGACATTTCAATTTCAGAGATATTAAATGGTTAAAACGTGTGGATCATAGAATCAACTGTAACCTCCCAATGGGTTCTCCTTGCCTGCCGCCCAGACAGAGCCAATTTATCAAGACAGGGGAATTGGAATAGAGAAAGAGTTGAATTCATGCAGAGCCAGCTGTACAGGAGACTGGAGTTTTATTATTACTCAAATCAGTCTCCCCAAAAACTCAGGGATCAGGGTTTTTAAGGACAATTTGGTGAGTAGTGGGTTGGAAAGTGGGGTGTGCTGATTGGTGGGGTCACAGATGAAATCATAGGAAGGTGAAGCTGTCCTCTTGTGCTGAATCAGTTCCTGGGTGGGGCCAGAAGACCAGATGAGCCAGTTTATCCATCTGCGTGGTGCCAGCTGATCCACTGAGTACAGGGTCTGCAAAATACCTCAAGCACTGCTTTTAGGTTTTACAACAGTGTTGTTATCTCCAGGAGCAATTTGGGGAGGTTCAGAATCTTGTAGCCTGCAGCTGCATACTCCTAAACCACAGTTTCTAATCTTGTGGCTAATTTGTTAATCCTGCAAGGGCAATCTAGTCCCCAGGCAGAAAGGGGTTTTGTTTTAGGAAAGGGCTGTTATCATCCTCTGTTTCAAAGTTAAACTATAAACTAAGTTCCTCCCAAAGTTAGTTCTGCCTATACCCAGGAATTAACAAGGACAGCTTGGAGGTTAGAAGCAAGATGGAGTCAGGTCAGATCTTTCACTGTCATAATTTTCTCAGTTATAATTTTTGTAAAGGCAGTTTCACAACTAAATATAATTTCTTTTTTTTGAGACAGAGTCTCGCTAGGCCGCCCAGGCTGGAGTGCAGTGGCGTGATCTTGGCTCACTGCAACATTCACTTCCCAGCTCAAGCTATCCTCCCACTTCAGCCTCCTGAGTAGCGGGGACCACAGGCGTGAGCCACCACGCCCAGCTAATTTTTGTATTTTTTTTTTAGAGACAGGGTTTCGCCGTGTTGCCCAGGCTGGTCTCGAACTCCTGAGCTCAAAGTGATTAGCCTGCTTTGGCGTCCCAAAGTGCTAGGATTACAGGTGTGAGCTACTGTGCCTGACTGTCTTATTTTTTAATTGATGAGCATGTCTTGCTCTCTGTTCGAGGTATTTTAATTAGTAAAAGTATTGAAGAGTCATAGTCTATTCTCATTTTCATTGAGGTCCCCGTGGGGCTGCTGTGTATAGTTCTTTATTTTGTGCACTGAACATAGGTACCAAGCTGAGAGCATGAAAAGAGTTTGAAATGAAGCCTATATACTAAATGATGCTTCTCACTGCAGGACTGACTCATTCCCACCAAAAGAAGGGCATTTAGGAGCCTTCTTAAAATTTGTATGAATTGGAAAGATTTTTCTGTGGGCTAGCAATGGCCCTGGATCCCACAGCAGGAATGATGATAATGGTGCCACAACAGCCAGGGTTATATACTGTACCTAATATGATAACACATTTTTAATATGTCTACTATATACTTTAAAAACTGTAGAAGTTTATTAAACTCTAAATTAAATTTAAGATTAACTTAGCAATTAAGTAATTACATCATTGTAAAATTTGTTAATGAAAATTTTTATCAATTCCATGTTATTACATAAAGACAAATTATAATATGGGATAAAATTAAATAACTTTAACTTTCAACTACACAATATTTTTGCATATAACTTCAGGGGTTTCAAAGACCATCTAAATCCCATTTTGTGGGATGTTTGGACCTCAGATTATACTAATATCACACTCATACTATTGTACAGAATGATTCAAAAAGAATTGAACACATACAAATATTAATATAAACATGATCACAACCTAACACTTTCCATAGACATTGAAAAGGTCACTCACAGTTTGGCTCATACATGATTCTGAATTACCTGGTTACTGACAAATACATTTTGGAAGTGTTCAGTTATTTTTTTGATCACCCTATATCATTTAAAAACTTCTTCTGAGAGGTTTCAAATGCCAACTTGGCACTCCTAGCCTTGGATGCTATTGTGCTATGACTAAATATTATCCTCATGATGCAAGATGCCTTTTATAGGTTGGATTAATGGTGAACAGAGTAATATTTTATTGGACGGCAATAATTTTACTTTAGATTTCAATAAGTGATGGCGGTATTACCTCTCCACTGCAACACTCCTTCAAAATCAGATCAACACAAAACCACCCGCGGACAGAACCAGAGCATCTCTGAAAGCTTCAGAGTTGTCATAGTGACCATCAAATTGTGAGGCACTCCAGGGCTTATTCTCACAGACAGTGAAGATTCCCAGGACAATGAGTCATTATTAAAGCAGAGAGAACCTCTAAATGGTTCCCTTATTAGATCATTAAGTGTTTGACTGCAAAACATGGATCTGACAACGTGGGTATCATCATTAGCCAGGGGCTGTCTTCAATTTCACAGACTATGTCATGAAACTGTCATGTTAAACATTTATTTTTCTAGCTGAATGTCATCTTTAAGGGATATTATTTCACTGGAGAATTTGCTGAGAGGAGACTGACTTGGATTTTATCAGTCCAAAACTGAGCCAGAGGAATCTGCTACAGGTGTGTGTGTGTGTGTGTGTGTGTGTGTGTGTGTGCGTGCTTGTAAAAAATGCCACATACTCTGACTGCAACCCCATACATGAGCTCCAACAGCCAGTATAAATTCAAGTTGATCTTAACAGAAATATATTTATCTGGTCAGGTTTTAGTTGGCTCTTACTAAAATGAACATTCAACATTCATACTTCAATATATCATTAATTTTGAAATATTTTATATGCCTATTAATCTATCAATATTTTTCTTTTTTCTCTCTTTTTTTTTTTTGTTTTTGTTTTTTGAACAGAGTCTTGCTCTGTTGCCCAGGCTGGAGTGCAATGGCATGATCTCAGCTCACTGCAACCTCTGCCTCCTGGGTTCAAGTGATTCTCTTGCCTCAGCCTCCCAAGTAGCTGGGATTACAGGCGTGCGCCACCATGTCTGGCTAATTTTTGTATTTTTAGTAGGGATGGGATTTCACCATGTTGGCCAGGCTGGTCTCAAACTCCTGACCTCAGGTATCTGCCCACTTTGGCCTCCCAAAGTGCTAGGATTACAGGCGTGAGCCACCGTGCCAGTCCGAATATTTTTCTTCTTAAAGGAAAAGAATTTCAAATAATGTTGACTGATTAAAGCAGATACTTTTCCTTAAAATTTTCTTTTTAAAAATGAAAATATTTGTTCAAGGAACACGTTTTAACTATGAATGAAAGCTGACTGCAACAAATGCAAAATGAGATCACCAAGACACATGCCAAGTATTTTGCTTCATTGAACACCCAGAGCAGCAGTGATGAAAATGAATGTAGGGGGATTAGGGATATTCACTATCAATGATTAAATGGGTGGCAGTTTTTCTTGGCCTATACAATGATGATCCATAAATATTTACTGACGTTTTATTAATTCAACAAATATTTGTTGAGTGCCTGTCTGTGCCAATCATGGGGCTCGGTGGTTGAGATACAAAGATGAATAAAGCAGAACCTCTGTGTGCTATGTTCTGTCCCAGCTAATCAGGTCTTCATAAAAGGGGCTAATAGCATGAAGGAGGAGGAGGGATCAGTTCTAGCTAGAGGGTGGCCATGAAATCAGGCAATGCAAATATTATTATTTCATTGTGTATTATAGTATACAACCAACAAACCATTTATTATATATGTGCCTATGTTTCTAGACTTGCTGGCCACCTATAAAAGGGTCAGGAAAGATTTTAAAGGAAAAGATACTTGATTAAGGTCTTATATATCAAAAAATGTTCACCAAGTTTGGGGAAAGGGCCTGGAAGGACATTCCTGATTGAAGGAAATGTCCAGGGAGCTGCAAGCAATCTTGCTTAGAGTATAGGAGATTAAGCTGAATAGGTGCATAAATCAGGCTAAAGAGAACAGTTTTTTTTGTTTGTTTGTTTTTTTGAGACAGGGTCTCTCTCAACCTCTAGGGCCCACCAAACAATCCTCTCACCACAGCCTCCCAAGTAGTTGGGACAACAGGTGTGTGACCCAGCTAATACCCAGCTAATTTTTTAATGTTTTTGTAGAAATGGAGTATCACTATGTTGCCCAGGCTGAAACAGTGTGAATCTTATTCCGCAGGCAATCAGGAGCCAGTGAGGAGTTATAAGCCAAGCAGTAACCTGATGATTCAATCAAAAAATATGTATGGAGTGTCTCCTACTTTTCAGGCCAGTGCTAGGTGCTGGGTTACAAAGATGAATTAGATACAAGGAACTCAAAGCCTAGTAAAGAAAAATATAAACAAGTTAGTGCAGTGAAAGTCATAGATTTTCTATAATAATGATGATGATGATAGCTTATTGGATGTATATCAATACCATGTGCCAGGCATGTGCTAAGTGCCAGCATGTATTATCTTAATTATCCCATCCACCCCAAGAAGTACTACTGATTAGTGCTATTTTATAGAAGAGGAAACTGAGGAACAGAGATTTGGTAACTTGCAGCTGATAAGTGGTAAAGCCAGGGTTCAAATCCTAATGGTCTGACTTCAGAAAATGTACCTTTTAATCACTAAGGGCTATGCTACTTCCCCATAATGGAAATCCCTCCAGAGCACTAGGGGCCACACTAGATAAGGCAATCCATTCTGCAGGGATGAAAGTGGGGGCTGGAAAGTCTTCATGGAGATGGTAATGGGATTATGGATGGGATAAGGAAGATCATTCTGATAGCTTAGAGCTGGGCAAAACTGGAGGTGGGACAGTGAACTAAGAGGCTAAGTAATACTTGGTAGTTTCAGTAGGAAGGAGAGGAAAGGACAGGGTCTAGACATATTTTAGATGTGAAATGGTTTAGCATGCTGAATGAGGTTAGGTTTCTGGTTTGCATATTGAGATGGATAGTAGAGCCATTAACCATGATGCATAATGCCAAAGAAGAAACAGGTAAAGAGTGGCGTAGGGGTAGAGTGGATATGTTTTTCATTTGCTAAATATGACCAGTCTGTGGGATAGTAAATGAAGAAGACAGTGATTAGATATGGGGTTCTGGAGTTTGGGATAAATATCAAAGCTAGGGATTTTATTGAATGTCATCTTTGAAGAGCTTCAAAAGAATACATTACTTAATTGCTTGTATCTCTCTAAGTGTTAAATCATTACTACTGATTTCATAAAAAAAGGGGCCAAATTTTTGGGTAAAAAAGTAATAACAGCACAAGAAAGAAAATAGTGAAGCTGGCAAAGTGTACTACCTCATTTAAAAGCAAACGTGTAGGCAGGTTTTCTAGCTTATAGGGCTATGAAAATGGCACTGAAGCATTGTGCATACCTTTGAGGAGAAAAATACAGGGGGTGAGGAGAGAGGTAGATCAAGGTAAAGAGGCAGAGTTTGAGAGAACAAGGGTAGGGAAAGAATATTCCTGAATGTTGCCTTAAGCACATAAAGAGCTATAAGTATAAATGTTGTTGGTTCACTTCCTATTTTGAGAGTTCCTTGATCAGCCTAGGGTTTCCAAAAATTTATCATAAGAAACAGAACCTGGAGACAAAGGCAAATTTGTTTGAATGGATGCGTGAATAGAAATAACTTGAGACTAGAAGATACCTCCTTCGCCAAAAAAGACGAGGCTGTGGAAATCAAGCCAACAAATAAACAACCTTCAATCTATATATGTAGAGTCAAATTAACCCTATTATCATGTGGGTGGAGTCTGTTTTATTCCCTCAGTTTTTGGAATATAGCAAAGGTACCATTACTCACCCATCATGGCAACACTTGTTTAGAAGGAAAACTACCATTCATGAATCATTGACCTGAGCATAATGAAAGTTAGCCACCTGGGATACCGTTGACAGAAAAATGGATTCCTCCCGTTGAAAGATGTTTCGGTTAAAAAAAGTTCTGATGCCAATTAATAACAACAACAACAACAACAAGAACAGTAACAAACAACCCTATTAAGGACCATTAAGGGAAATGAAAACTCTTAATCTGGAAGCCAAAGATGGGTAAAGAACAAGAGAGTGAAAAAAGCCCAAAAAGCAGTCATACACAATAATAGTGGGCATAGAAGGAAGGAAATTCTCCAAATACAGTTTTAACAGGGTGTCCTTGGACAGAATTCTGTGGAGGCGGAATGAAGTGGGCAGGGCCCTATGTTCGTACATTGTATGTACAAAACAGCAGGTGACAAGAGTGAGGATTTCAAAGACATTTTCTTTCTTGGAACATATGGGACTTTTAAGGGAAGTAGGGGGATAGTTCGGGGATTATTTTTACTTATTTCTGAATGCATATAAGACTGTTAGAAATTGCCAAATGGTATCATCATTTTAAAGAGATTGTTAGATGTAACAGTATCAGTTGAGATGCTTTCAGCCCCAAGCCACAGAAATCTCAAGTTTAATTTTTTTAAAATATTAAAAGCATTTATTATAATCACATAAGTGGTCTAGGGGTAGGGGATGGTAGGTGGTGCCTGTTGGTTAATTCAGTGACTCAAAAACCTCATCTATGTTCTTTAACCCTTCTCTTTTGCTATTCTTGGTAGTTAGCTTTGTTTGCCTTTATGCTCACAAATGACAACATCCAGAAAAAGACAAGACCATCTGTTCATTTGTATTTCTCTTGGGAAGGAGAAATCTTTCCCTCAAGCCCTCAACTCTTACACCTCACTGGCTAGAGCTGTGTTCTGTGCCCAAGAATAAACCATTTATAAGAGGAATCAATTATAAGAGGAATCAATTAAAAGAGGAATCGATTATGACCCAACCCCTGGAGCTGGGGTCCAGCCTTCCCCTGAAGCACATGGCCCCTCGAAGGAGGTTGGATATCTGAACAAAATTGGGGTTCTGAGAATAAGCAAGAGAGTAAGATGGATCTGCGGCAGGAAATCAATGATGTCTGCAACAAATTAATTTCAAAAGCCATTTTTTTTTTTTTGAGATGCAGTCTTGCTCTGTCACCTAGGCTGGAGTGCAGTGGTGCAATCTCGGCTCACTGCAACCTCTGCCTCCTGGGTTCAAGAAATTCTCCTGCCTCAGCCTCCAGAGTAGCTGGGACTACAGGCGTTCGCCACCATGCCAAGCTAATTTTGTATTTTTAGTAGAGATGGGGTTTCCCAATGTTGGCTAGGCTAGTCTCGAACTCCTGACCTCAAGTGATCTGTCTGCCTTGGCCTCCCAAAATGCTGGGATTACAGGTGTGAGCCACGGCACTCGGTCACAAAAGCCTTTCTTGAATGGAATGAAAATATTTACTAAGTGTGTCTTATTTATATAAGGCTGATAAATCTTTTAGCAGTCTCAGCAGTTTGATAAATGGTTAGTTTTCTCTCTTGATTTTAATAAAACAATTAACATAATTATAATTTAAAGACTATTTTAAATAAATATTTAAATGTGATAAGCCTGGTACGGTCAATTCAGTTTGGCATAGGTTTTTAAAGTGTCTGTTCAGAATTCTTTTGGCTGGATTGGTTCACAATAAATATCAGTAATGATGAATGAAATTTGGCAGTTCACTCATTCTCCATAATTTAGAAAGGTGCTAACATGCCTCCAAAGTGTTAGAGAATCTGTTCCTACTTCCTACTGCCTTTCATCTGAGTGTAAAAGATAGGCTTTTAAAGTCCCACTTGCAAATGCCTGGACAGTTTTCTGGAACTCCAAGAGACACTAATCAAAAAAACAGAGGAGTGCTAAGGAGAAACTGTAAACTATCCTAGTTTGCAAGAAATAAAAACTGACTGGACCTAACTTGAGCATAAGAAACAATTTATTTTAAAAGTTCAGGCTGGGTGCAATGGCTCACCCCTGTAATCCCAGTACTTTGGGACGCCAAGGTGGGCGGACTGTGTGAGTCCAGGAGTTCCAGACCAGCCTTGGAAACATGGCAAAACCCCGTCTCTACAAAAAATACAAAAATTAGGCTAGGCAGGGTGGCTCACACCTGTAATCCCAACACTTTGGTGGGAGGCTGAGGAGGGTGGATCATGAGGTCAAGAGATTTGAGACCGTCCTGGCCAACATGGTGAAACCCTGTCTTTACGAAAAACACAAAAATTAGCTGGGCGTTCGTGGTGTGCGCCTGTAATCCCAGCTACTTGGGAGGCTGAGGCAGAAGAACTGCTTGAACCTGGGAGACGGAGGTTGCAGTGAGCCAACACCACGCCACTGCACTCCAGCCTGGGCAATAGAGTGAGATCCTGTCTTAAAAAAAACAAAAACAAAAACAAAAACAAAAATTAGCCGAGCATGGTGGTGCACACCTGTAGTCCCAGCGGCTTTGGAGGCTGTGGTGGGAGGGTTACCTGACCTCAGTGAGCTGTGATCGCACCACTACACTCCAGTCTGGGTGAGAGGCAAGACACCATCTCAGAAAAAAAAAAAAAGTTCAGGATGTTCCCTGGAAGCCTAAGGCAGGAATTCAATTGAGTCTCTGGTAGTTCTGCCTACCTGGAAGTGGAAGCTCATGACGAGATGGGAAGATCCATTTCTTGTCTCTGCTTCTCTCTACAGTCCTGTTTCATTCTCTCCTCTCTGCAAACTGTCTTTCTTGTTTTTTCATGTCTGTGGTGGGCAGATGATAGCTACTTTTTATTCTCTGCTCAGAAGACAGTCCAGAATCTTTGAGTGTCTCTCAGTTCTAATTCTGAATTCCAAGGAGAGAGAATCTGATTTACAAATAATGCTGAGCTCTCGTGCTAGACTAGGAACTTTATGAGGCCAAATACTCTATTTTCAGGCATCCCTTTGTCTCATGCTCTAGAACATGCTTAGTATATAGTGGACACCTGAGGAATGTTTGTTGAAGGAACTGAGACTTTTCCAAAAATGATGACTATCCAGTGTTGAAACTAGCGGCCCTGAAGAGTTGTGTGATTCCTAGCACTCGCAGAATTTAAGAAAAAAATGGATAAATATCTGCTTACTAATATTAATGGCTAACATGTACTGTTTCATACATTCCTCATTCATATAGCTTAGATTAAGGAACTTGCACACAGTCACCAAACTAGTAAGTGGTTGATAAGGCATTTTGACTCTAGTTCTGTCTGTCTGGATCTAAAACTCGGTGACCCTCCAGCACAGTATATGGCCTCCAATAAGATTTTTAGGAGCAATGCTGGAGGCCTGGTTGAGTCAGTCTAGTCTTGTCCTTATAAGTCTGATCTGGGGCTTAGTAAATTTCTCCTGTTAACCACTTTATCAGCTCCCAGCCAAAAGATCTTCCCTTGCTTACTGATGTCTAAAATTCCATCTTTAGCAGAGTCATTTCTTTCTTTGGTTTAATATAAGGAGTATCTCATCATTATAGAGTACGTGGCAGGTTACAAAGACCTTTACATAATGATGTCATTTTTATGACAATCCAGTGACATCAATAAGGCAGGGATTATTGACTCCCATTTTTGAGATAAAGAAATGGAGGTTCACTGCTGCTAGGTGACTTGCTCCAGAAGAGATGACTGAACTCTCCAGGGAGCCTATGGACTCACCGCTTAGGGGTAGAGAGGAGGAACCTCTTTGGTCATGTCCCTGGGGGTGGGCAGTGAAAGCTGATCCATCAAGAGAGAAGCAAGAGTCACCTCCAAATGGGCTGAGAGGGACGGACAGCCACGGGCCACCTGGTACTGAGTTCTGTTGCTGGACTAGGGACTTTATGAGGACAAACACTGTTTTCAGTCATCTCTTTGTTCTCATGCTCTAGAACATGCTTGGTATATAGTGGACACCTGAGGAATATTTGTTGAAGGAATTGAGACTTTTCAAAATATGACAAATATCCACTGTTGGAATGAGCTTCCCTGAAGAGTTGTGTGAGTTCTAGCACTGTCAGAGTTTAAGAAAAAATGATAAATATCTGTTGACTAATATTAATGGCTAACATTGTTTACTATGTGCTGAGTACTGAGCTAAGTACTTTACTTGTATTGTTTCATGTATTCCTCATTCCAACCACATGAAATAGGTTCTATCATTAATCACATTGAAACCAAGGCATGGAAGAGTGAAGTTACTTGCTCAAGAATCCATTGCAAATAGTATGGCCAGGATTTGAACCCTGGAATACTGAGTTAGAGCCTTGGATCTTAATCATGTTGTCAGTCGTTTCCCAGGTGAGGCAGGAGTCTGAAGTAGGTTACCCCTTAAGAAATTTTCAACTATTTAAGATTCTCTGGTGGTTGGCCGTAAGATTAGTACTACCACACGGAGAAAGCTGGGAACAAGAACTGGTTGTAGACTGGGTGTGGTGGTTCATGCCTGTAATCCCAGCACTTTGGGAGGACTGCTTGAGCCCAGGAGTTTGAGACCAGCCTAGGCAACACAGCAAGACCTCATTTCTACAAACATAAATAAGTAAATTAGCTGGGATACATGCGTCTGTATCCCAGCTACTCAGGAGGCTGAGACGGGAGGATTGCTTGAGCCCAGGAGGTCAAGGCTGCAGTGAGCTGTGATGGCACCACTGTACTCCAGCCTGGATGACAGAGGGAGACCCATCTCAAAAAAAGCCCCCCAAAAACGGCCGAGTGTGGTGGCTCATGCCTGTAATCCCAGCACTTTGGGAGGTCGAGGTGTGTGGACCACTTGTCAGGAGTTCGAGACCAGCCTGGCCAACATGATGAACCCCGTCTTTACTAAAAATACATAAATTAGCCAGGCATGGTGGTGAACGCCTGTAATCCCTCGGGAGGCTTTGGCAGGAGAATTGCTTGAACCCGGGAGGTGGAGGTTGCAGTGAACCGAGATCGCACCATGGCACTCTAGCCTGGGTGACAAGAGTGAAACTCTGTTTCAAAAAAAAAAAAAAACCCAAAAAACAAACACCATCCCCCACCAAAAAAACAAAAACAAAAACAAAAAAACAAAACTAGTTGTAGAATGTAGAGAGGTTGGTAAAGAACAAGTTGATTTTGGTTATGTTTGGTATGAAGAGTCAGGATATCCAAATGGAAAAGTCCACTGATATTCTTTATGTTCAACAAAAAGATAATTCCTACTTACGCTGTTGCCATAAAAAGTTCTTCCAACATAATGCGTCATAACTATCCTAGTTTGGCTGTGTGTATTATGGTACTTATGGCTCACAGTACCCTGTTAACACAGTCTCATATTTTATTATTGATAATACTGCAGCTTTGTGAGATAAGCAACATTCCCATTTTAGAAGACAATTAAACACTGACTGTCTTTTGTCAGAAATTTCATTACAGAAAGTGTATGTAATTTCAAAACTGAAAACCACAAAGAAGTATCTTCTACACAACAAAAAGAAAAAAGCAAACAAAATATATCTTAAGGCTTAAAGAGTTCTAACTAAATTTGCCCGCCGAATCATTTCTTAACAAACAGGGATCTCAAATTTAGCATGCTGTATTATCACCATTCTTGGCAATAAAACAAAAATTGCAAACATATTAAGAAAACAATGCAATCTAAAACACAACAAGTGATAATCCATGTAAAAAATTATTTGATGGAATAACATTACTATTTAATAATAAAGTTCTGCTAAAGCTTTAGAAATATCAGAAAAAACTTACACTGGCAAACATTCATCAGGCAGTCAACAACTGAATGTCCCCTGTATACTGATACTAGGGGTGAAGAGACTCTAAAAAAAAGGGGAACAAGGCAAAATTTAACTTCAAGGGGCCTTTTCTCGCAGCATTGCAAATAAAACCCATGACTCTGGACATAAAAAAGCAACAGTGACACTGGGGACTACTAGAGGCGGGAGGGATGGAGGGGGAAAGAGTTGAAAAACTACTGGGTGCTATGCTCACTACCTAGGTGACGGGATCATTCATATCCCAAACCTCAGCATCATGCAATATAACCATGTAACAAACCTGTACATTATACCCTGAATCTAAAAGTTGAAATTATAAAAAAGCAAACAAGAAAACCCATGACTCCTAGGAACAAGCACTCAGGTTCCCATATGACCAAAGCCAGCCAGAGGCAAACTTGGAATCAGATAGGCCTAGGCTTTCTTTTTTTTTTTTTTTTTTTTTTGAAACAGGGTCTCGCTCTGTCACCCAGGCTGGAGTGCAGTGGCGCAATCTCGGCTCACTGCAAGCTCCGCTTCCCGAGTTCATGCCATTCTCCTGCCTCAGCCTCCCGAGTAGCTGGGACTACAGGCGCCCGCCACCACGCCCGGCTAATTTTTTATATTTTTAGTAGAGACGGGGTTTCACCGTGTTAGCCAGGATGGTCTCGATCTCCTGACCTTGTGATCCGCCCACCTTGGCCTCCCAGAGTGCTAGGATTACAGGTGTGAGTTACCCCGCCCGGCCGGCCTAGGCTTTCATCACAACAGACGCACTGTTTACCAATGGTACGACCTTGGGGAAGTTGCAAAACCTCTCTAAGCTCATTTCTTCATCCACAAAATGGTAAAACTAATCTTTTCTGCGTAGGGTTGTTGTAAGAATTACATGAGAGGTGTGAAAACAGTCTAGAACAGTGGCAGTGTGGACTTGCAATAAATGTTAGCCTCATCCTTTTCCCCACATTAGTTCCTTTGCTTTTAAGAAAACTGCTAAAATACAGAGGAAATTGACTCCCTCATTCAATTAAAAACACAGTTATTGTCTACTGGGCCACTATGTACAGATGTATAGGTTGTTCCCTGCTGAAGAGAGATTGGTGACTGGATTCCAGCCCATAAACACTCATCAGACTTGGTGTTCTGTTTCTAATTTGCACAAAGGTGCTACATGTGTGTTTCAGAAGTGACAAAACTGGGCTTTGCCCACAAGTAGCATGTAGCTTGTATCTCATGTCTGAGGGGAAAACAGACAAGTAATCAAGAACTACAATACATATTAAAAAAAAAGAAGTAAAAAAACCCTACAATACATATAATTAATGCTAGTCTAAAGAAGGCACTGCAAGAACAAAAAAGAAAGACATTTAAATCAGACAATTTGGGGGGCCCAGGATTAGTGACCGAGGATCAGTAACTTAAAGGATGATGGGGAGATCGTGGGGAAGGATGTTCTAGGCAGAGGAGTGACATTTAATTATTAATACATTTATTCATTCAGTAAATGTGTTTTGTTAGTTCATGTCTTTTATTAACTCATACACAATTAATTGTCTTCTGGTTTGCTGAAGCAATGAGACATTTGTCACAATAATGTCTGTCAAAGTGGCTGGCCATAAACGCTCCAGTACCACATTCATCTGAAGAGCACTCTAGATGAAGGCGACTTATTTTGCCATTCTCATCCACCTTACAGTATTTCAGGACAGCCAGCTTCACCTTCTTTCGCTTACGCTTATTCTTCTCAGGAGTGGTGTAAACATTCAGTAAAAAATAATTGAATATCTAAGTGCCACGTACTGTTCCAGTACTGAAGATACAATAGTGAATAAAACAGACAGGATCTCTTTCTTGTAATTCTAACATTCTAGTAGAAGAGACAAAAAATAATTGGGCCAAAAAATATTAAGTAGTGCGATGTACTTTGGGAGAATATAAGCAGGGTGGAGGTGCTGGTGGTAGGTGGGGTGAGGATGCGACCTTAGAATGGAGAGTGGAAGAGTGGGAGAGTAGGAAGGCCTCTTCAGGTAGGTGTCATTTAAGCTCAGATCTGAATGGCAAGTGTGGGAAGCTCGGGTTGATCATATCAGGCAGAGGGAGGAGCTGTTGCAAGTCTTAAGTGGGGAATGAACTTTGTGTTTTTAAGTTGGCAAAGACCAGTGTGGCTGAAATGCAGTGGATGAAAAGAGGGGCAGGAGATGCAATATGGAGAGAGAGGTATGTGCCAAACCTAGGTAAGGCCTGGAAGCTTGAGAGTGGTGAGCTCAGAGACCTGCTAAGAGTTTGATATGGCATTAGGAAAGGGACTGTGTTAGGTGATGAGAGAAGTGATTTGGGAGATACAGGCAAGAAACAGATTCCGACAAGCCCTACATGGAGGATCTGGGAGGTATTATTTCTGCTCAGTGCTATGCAGAGAATCCCAAGGAGGCCATGACTAAAGTCATTCAAAGAAAACCTTTCATGTTTATGCCTTCAAGGAAGGTATGAATACTGAATCTTATCTTTATTACTTGTTCTTGAATCAAAGTCATCAATGAGAACTTAGAACTCTTCTCAGGCGTGCCCCTAAATTCTGATTAATGTAAGATTTATTTTTGCAACATTTGAGTATACTTACCCTGATGGTGATTTCTGTTCCATGGAATGTTAAACTAAGTTGTTTTGTAAAAGAAGAATATATTTTACAATGACTTAAATGTTGAGGCAGCACATAATGTCATGTTGGTAACAAATATGTGATATTTATTTATTAGAGCATGAGAGTATTTTGCCTCCTGATATATGAGGCAGACATTGCTATTTGTCTACCTTATATCCATGGTTTCCCCTTCATTCTTAACAACAGAACCTCAATTTTGTTTGCGAATGAGCCCAACCGAAAATACTTGTGTTCTAAACTTCCTTGCAGCTAGGGATCATCCTGTGACACAGTTCTGGTCAACATGTAGGTGGAAGTTTCTAGGGAGTGTGGTCTTTCCTGAAGAAAAAGGCAAAGTCTGGAGAAAGCCCTTTTTCCTGTTCCCTTTCGTGCTTCCCCTTCCTTTCTGGTATTTGTAATCATTTAGTGACTTGATGTTTGGAGTCTTCTAATTTCTTTAAACATATTGCAAAATAGTATGTGGAGCTGAAGACCACTGTCCCATGAGGAGGTGGGCTACATCTTTGTGATGTTTGCACTGGTCTGGAGCTAAACTGCAGGCATAAAACTATAGTAAGGTAATTTTATCAAAAGTACAGTATCTCTCAGAATTCATTATACTGAAGGCTGTACTTCATGTTTGTAGTGATAAGTAGTTTCTCCCTTTCCTTGATCCAGAATGTATGTATGTAGTGATACATAAGTTTCTCCCTTTCCTTGATCCAGAAAAATCTAGTCAACAATTATTTCTTAAATGTTCATTTAACTATATATATACTGACTATAATTTCAATTTCAAATGTAACACTTCCTTTTGTGCCATGAGGGATACAGCAAGATTTTTTCAAGTTCCTGGGCCTGTAGATTTAAAAAAAAAAAAAAAAGAAAGAAAAGTAAGAAAAAAAGAAAAGAAATTAAAAAGAGGAAAAGATTTTTGTTCTTGGGAAGCTGATAATTTCATGAGATGACAGATGTATTCACAAATAAATGTAAAACAAGTACGTATATGATGTGGTGGGCCATGGCCAGGCCTGCCGCAGAACGACTAAGTGGATGTGAAGGGATTTGGAAAAAAAGCCCCTGCCCCAAATGCAAAGCACACGTTTCCAGGGCTGGAACCTGGATGTTAGGCCTAGGTGATGTGACTCCAGAGTGGCAAAACTGTTGCCTTATGTATAGTATAAATTGTTTCTGGATGGTGAAGAGCCTAGGGTTATAAAAGTTATTGAGTCTACAATTCTGTGAGACATCTCATTCTGTATAGGCCCTGTCACTGAGTTGCAGTGTGCCTCTAGATACAAGGAGTCAGTGTGAGCTGCTTCCTCCCCCACAACCTGCCTCCGTATTTGGTTTCTGTGCTCTGTGCAGTTTACTGGCTGCTTCAGGATTAAACAAAGTAAAAGCAACCCTGAAATGTTGCCCATTAAATAGCATCTTTGAGTAGGCCGTGTGGGGAGGTAATAAGTGCCATTAGGGCATTATTAGGATGAGTGTCAAAGAGTTGTGAGGAGGAAGAAACTTCTGGCTGGAGGCTTCAGGAAGGTGGCAGCATGAGCTACATCTTGAACGGTGGATAAAATTTCTTAAGGTGAAGATGGGAGGAAAGGCATTACAAGAACAGGAAAGAATATGAATGAGGAAATGGAGGTAGGAGAAGAGAGCCGTGTATTGGAAATGAAAAGCAGTCCTGTTTGGCTGAAGAACAAGAACTGTATGAGGAAGCAGTGAAAGATGAGGCTGGAAAGGGAGTCAGGGCCAGGCTAAAAGGGTTGGCATTTAAAGTTAGTCATGGGAGCCATGGAATGTTTTTGAGCAACTATTAAAGCAGGTGGATTAGTAAAATAGGGAACACACAAATAAATCTGGCAGCATTACTGTGCATGAAACATGGATGAAAAGACTGGGAGATCGCTTAAAATGCCCAGGCATGAACTGAGGTCACATGTGATCACAGAATAGGACAGGAATTTAAGAGTGCTATTTTAAAACTAATTGCTTTGCGGGTGGGGAGGGGGTGGTGCATCAAAGGGAAAAAAGACTATGAATTTGAGTTTTGGAATTTAACATATGGGAGGATAATAAATAGTACAGTGAACAAAGGGAAGACAGGAAGAAGGAAATATAGTATTCGTTTCAGAGATGTTGGGTTGAGGCACAAGTGGAACATTCTGGTGGAAATTTGCTACAGGCAATTGAAAATAGAATAGAGCTCAGCTGAGAGGTGGAGTGGCGGATGACTCACCTACATTGAGGTGAGTCAGGGACTTTGATCTGTCATAAGCATAGTATATGAACCTAATAACAGGCTCTAAATACTAGACAAATGTCCTAACAAGGAAGACAGAGATCTAGGAGTGCCTTGAGAAAAAAGGCAGCACTGCGATTATTGATCTGTATAACTTGTGTTTGTTTTACCAGCTGTGAAATTCTCAGAACTGGCAGGTAGTATTGTCAAGGGACACATTCTTGTATAGAAACCCACAACGCTGAATCGTCATATATTCCTAGTCTAGAATCTGAGATATACACGAACTCCACAACTAAGTAGACGAAAGCATCCCTTTTTTTGGGGGGGGGGGGGGATGGGGGGCACATAACCCTGAACCACGGTCCAATTACAGGTACAGTACTGATGATGGCTTAAGTAGTTCATGGAACTAGTTAAAACTAAAACCATGGAAATGTTACCCAGGAGAGGTAAGGCTGCGTGCCTGGCAGGTGCCGCAGGGAAGTAGGGGAAAGGTTAAGGAGAACACCAGCCTCCGGAGAAAGAGAAGCAAAGGTGATTGCATAGCTGCCAGCTGGAAGCCGACTCTCGTCATAGGGCATACTCGCCCCACTGTGCATCGCCGGTGCCTACCTCACCCAGTTCCAAGGCGGGGGCGCGCCGAGGCAGGGGTGGGGTCACCAGGAGAAAAGCAAGTGGGCAGAAAAGCCCGTTGGGAAGAGACGGCTGGGAGGAGGCCCCGGCCCCAGCCTTACTACGTTTCCCAGAATTCAGTGAGGCCACGAAGACAGGCTCCCTGGGCGCGGACGGAAGACTGGCCGCATGGGATTTGTAGGTAGGATCCGCGCCCCGCCCGACGGAGGCGTCCAGTGGGGAGGTGTGCAGGGATTGGTTGGGAAGCGCTCAAGCCCCGCCCACAGAGTGACGTCAGGTGGCGGTATTGCTACTTAAGGCGTCGTGGCCTCCCCTGCCCCGCCTTAGCTCCCGCGCTAGAGAGAAACATGTATCGTTTTCGATCACAGCTCTTCACGGGGATTTCTGCTGCCGCCACCGCCCACTCTTACCCCCGCCGCTTCTCGACTCTGTTGTTAGCCGAAGACTCGCCTCTCAGCCGCCCGCCGCACAGACGCACGAGTAAAAAGTGCAGCTCCATCGGCTGATCCTCGCTAAGCTCCGACTCTGGGCGGCACCGGGCGTCCCACGATGCCGAAGAACAAGAAGCGGAACACTCCCCACCGCGGTAGCAGTGCTGGCGGCGGCGGGTCAGGAGCAGCCGCAGCGACGGCGGCGACAGCAGGTAAGGGGTATCCCCGCCGCCGGCATCCCAGTTGCCGGCCAGGCTGGCGAGTCTTCCATGCTTCGGCACGGTGGGAGTTGTAGTTCTTTCTCTGATGTACACATTTGCATTTCCAGGGTGCGTGGTTTGGCTACTGAACTACAATTCCCAGCGTGCCCTGGGCGCTGCTCCTC
This sequence comes from Homo sapiens, assembly GCF_000001405.40. Lineage (NCBI taxonomy): Eukaryota > Metazoa > Chordata > Mammalia > Primates > Hominidae > Homo > Homo sapiens. The sequence continues at coordinate 112,450,956 of NC_000007.14, forward strand.
GCGCGATTTAGATCTGGCGTGCGAACCGGACTCTTGGGCACCGGCCGTGGGGGCAGGGAGGAACGGGTCCTTGGGCCTGAGAGTGTGTCGGGACAGGGGCTGACCGGGAGCTGGGCGGGAAAGGAACCATTGTCAGAGTTCCTTTCTCGGCGGCGATCTCGCCCGATCTCTCCCCGACCACGGGTGGGGAAGAACGGGGAGTTGAGCCCGTGCCGTCACTGGCCGCCTTTGACACCCTGGCTCCAACATGGAGCTCCTGGGATGCCAGACGTCCGGCGGGTTTGGACGGGCTCTTGCGTCACGCGGCCTGGGCCTTGCGCGGTGGGCCCGGGGTGACGCAGAGGCGCTGGGGAAGCTTTCCGTCTCGCAGGTCCACCTGGCCAGGCGAAGGCGTCGGAGGCGGGGGGACCACTTTCTCCCCCCTAGGCTGTGCTCCTTCCCCTAACTGGCACCTGCAGAAGCCCTGAACCTCTAGCACCTCTGCGACCACCCGAGGCGACCTCCTGCTCACGGGGGGAAGAAACGCGTTCTCCTTTGTGCTGCATTCTATATGTTCTCTGCAGTGAGCCCCAGAGAGGCAGGGTGGTGAGGAGCTTAGGTTGCAGTTGGCTAAAAGTTGAGGTTATTGTGCCCTCGCTACGAAGTTGAAACTTTTCCTGGGTGGGATGAGTAGGTGCTTAACTGAACTTATGGTTTTCTACTTATTATATGGTTAAGAAAAAGGATTCCAATTGGAATTGGAAGGCCCTTCTAGGAGAGACCCCAATAAACTCAAATCGAGTATTAAATAACCTGGGTAATATTTTATTTAGAAATTTAAACAGGAGTTAAATATTGGAGTATTCTCCGACGTTATCACACTGGAACTATTAGCCATCAGGTATTTTTGGACACAGTTGCCCCTCTGCCACGGCTGCCACTCAGAATGATATGCCTTTGTTCACAAGAAAAGTAAATATGGGGTTATGTTGTTAAAGGTTATTGGAAACTGGCATTTAAAAAAGCTCAAAAACTCGTGATCATGTATTAAACATTTAATAATTGACCATAGGGAGGGATTCTTAAAACAGCAATTTTTTACATTTTTTAGGTGCCTCTTTATTTTGAATGCTCTCCATGTTGATGAAATTCATTCTTTATCAAGATGTAAAATATGTAATTTATTGTGGCCTCTGGTTGCTCTATGTGAATTGAGGATACTTTTTTTTTTTTTGTTAAGGGAAAGAGGGAGTCTGGCTCTGTCGCCCAGGCTGGAGTGCGGTGTGGTGTGATCATAGCTCACTGCAACCTCTTAACTCCTGGGCTCAAGCAGCTCTCCCTCCTCAGCCTCCTGTAGCTAGGACTACAGGCATGTGACACCATTCCTGGCTATTTTTTACATTTTTTGTGGAGACAAGGTCTATGTTGGCCAGGCTGGTCACGAGTCCCTCGTCCCCAGGGATCTTCCTGCCTAAGCCTCCCACAATGCTGGGACGGTGCCTGGTCTGAGGATATTTCTTACCACTGTGTTTCAGCTTTTCCTCATCTGAATCAAACATTTGAATTCTTTCTAGAAGGTATTTATTTTATTCTATTACCCTTTTGTTGATGAAATGGAAAAGTTTGAAAGCTAAAGTTTGAAAGTTATAATGATGTTAGTAATGGCCTAGATCACGCACAAACCTTTAATCCCGTCTAAAGTTTCTGGGCAAGCCTCCTTCCCTCTTTGTGCTTATAGTACCTATACAGGCCTCTGGTGGCTGTATGGGGATTGCCTTTTAAATTTTGCTTCAGGGCTCATTTGTGACCTTTCATCAGCTTTATTGCTGCTACCTTTTCACTATTTTAGTAGAAAAGATCCATTTCATCACTGAATTTTAGCATATGTAAACAAGTGGAAAATAATTCTTTGATTAATTTATAACACAATACATGCTTTGAATATCTTTGGAAGTGTGTGCTAGAACTTGTTAACTGTGGTTACCTCAGAAGTGGAGCTGGGGAAAGGTATGGGGGTGAGATTTACTTTTTAAAACTTTAACTTGGTCCTATGTGAATGTTTTACTTGTTTAATAAACAATGAATAAATAATAGTTGAGTAGAAGAGATGGAAAATTACACAAACTTTTGCTTACTTAACAAGCCACTTACCTAACTAGTATTTTTAAATGACATCTAAAAGAAATGGGATTCAAATGAGGTCTCCACTATGTAACCAAATTGTCATTATTACTTTAATGAGTTTTCTATTTAAACTCTTTATTTTTTTTATGTTAGTGGAGAGTTTTAGGAAGCTAATAAAATTGACTTCTTTTATACAGGTATGTCATAGCACTTAATTTAAAGAGAATATTTTTAAGAAAGAACAAAACCTTGTTAGTAAGCCCTCTAGAAATAAGTACTTTATGTGCCTAGAGTGCCATCTCTTTCGTGGTACTTAGGATCACAGTGTGGGTGGGTGAGTTTGACCTAAATATCAGGCATTCATACAGGGTTCTTTTTCTTGATACATATATATGTGTATTTTTTTTCTTTCCCTCGAATCTTAGAAATCATTAATACTGATGAGTTAAGGGAGCAGAGTAAGAGCTGCATAGGAGGAATACTCTTAGAAATAGGCTATGAAAAAGAAAAACTGTGAATTGACTTGTGAATAAATGTTAATAAAATTAATCAGATGACACTCATCTGTTGCCATTACTTCAGTCATAAAAACGAGGAAGATAGATCCAGAAATAGAGTGTGATGTCATAGGTCTTTGTTTATTCCTGTCCTAAGCACTCCAAGAAATTTTGAGATTTTGGCTTCATTGCTTAATCTTTATGCTTTACTACTTTGGCACCACGCAAGCAAATCTGAAGGCCACTTGCTTGCTGTGTTAATTTAAAAATCTGCTAAATTCTCTGTTTTGATTTTAAAAAAGACAACTCCGTTAAAAAAAAAAATCCAGCCCAACAGTAACAGGCTTAAATTTGGAGCATTAAAAAAAAACCGTTAAGGTGGTGACGTTTGAACATACGAACTTTGATTTTACTGAAAGGGAATTAGGTTCAGAGGTTAATCAGGTGACTCACGGTCACTTTTGGGGCAGAATTTGGGACTTAATTTAACTCAGTGCTGAATTGTAGTTTATGACTTGGCAGTCCTTTTATTAATACAAAATCCCTAAGTGACTGTATATTTATTCCTGAAGTTAATGAAGTTTAAAGAAAGATTCTAGTTTTTAAAAAGAAGATTTTATTTTTTTAGTAACAGCATTGGTACTTTTTTTTTTTTGAGACAGAATTTTACTCTTGTCCACAGGCAGGCAGTGCAATGGTGCTATCTCGGCTCACTGCAGTCTGTGCCACCTGGGTTCAAGTGATTCTGTGCCTCAGCCTCCCAATTAGCTGGGATTACAAGCGCCTGCCACCAGGGCCAGCTAATTTTTGTATTTTTAGTAGAGACTGGGTTTCGCCATGTTGGCCAGGCTGGTCTCCAACTCCTGACCTCAGGTGATCTGCCGGCCTCAGCCTCCCAAAGTGCTGGGATTATAAGTGTGAGCCACCGCACCCGGCCAGCATTGGTACTTTTAAACTCTTGCACATTGTAGAAACTTTCCCTTAAAGGTAGTTTATCTGATAGGCTTTTATACTATATCAAATACCAAAACTTCTATTTTAAGCCTTTTTTGTCTTCTCTCACTTCAAGTTGTCTTTAAAACTACCCTGCCTTAACTCCTTAATTCCCCTTAACATAAGACATGTGTAACCTAAAAACCCATTCACCAGTTCATGTTTGCTAAGTCCAGCCATTCTCATTGGAAAATATATTTGTCTTATTCTTATGATTATCTATGATACAACACTATTTCTGGATCTGTTTTCATTGTCTTCATGATTTGAAATCATGGTCTAGAAATAATTATTTCATCTTCATATCAGTTTTTTTTTTTTTTTTTTTTTTTTTTTGAGACAAGGTCTTGGTCTGTCGCCCAGGCTGGAGTGCAGTGGCACCATCTTGGCTCACTGCAACGTCTGCCTCCGAGGCTCAAGCGATTCTTCTGCCTCAGCCTCCCGAGTAGCTGGGACTATAGGCACGCACCACTACACCGGGCTAATTTTTGTATTAGTAGAGACGGGGTTTCACCATGTTGGCCAGGCAGGTCTCAAATTCCTGACCTCAAGTGATCTGTCCGCCTCAGCCTCCCAAAGTGCTAGGATTACAGGCGGGAGCCACCGCGCCCACCTTTGTATCAGTTTTTGTGTCATAAAAAAATGAGTGCGTCGGCTGGGCTCAGTGGCTCACACCTGTAATCTCAGCACTTTGGGAGGCCGAAGTGGGTGGATCACGAGGTCAGGAGTTCGAGACCAGCCTGACCAACATGGTGAAACCCTGTCTCTACTAAAAATACACAAAAAATTTGTCAGGCGTGGTGGTGTGCGCCTGTAATCCCAGCTACTCAGGAGGCCGAGGCAGGAGAATTGCTCGAACCCAGGAGGTGGAGGTTACAGTGAGCCAAGATTGTGCCACTGCACTGCAGCCAGGGCGACAGGGAGGCTCTGTCTCAAAAAAACAAAAAAAACAAAACAAAACAAAAAAAAGAATGCCTCTTGTTAGAGGACTGATGCGTATAGTTGATGTATCATTGGTCCTTTGAAATACGTAATTAGGTGAACTTAGTTTAAGAATATTTAAGTATGTTCACTTGTGATAAAATCTCTTTTTATAAAATGAGTCTGTGGTTTTATTACTGGATTTCTCTTTAAGTAAACTTAAAAATTCCAAAGTTAAATATTTAGGTATATGGCAATAAAATAATTTACCTCTTTCCTCTTTTACCTAATAGGTGGCCAGCATCGAAATGTTCAGCCTTTTAGTGATGAAGATGCATCAATTGAAACAATGAGCCATTGCAGTGGTTATAGCGATCCTTCCAGTTTTGCTGAAGATGGTATGAGTTTTAAATTTAAATTTGCAACTTTAGATAAAATGTTTCAGGTGGAGGAATTCTTGTAGCTAAAGTATACTATTATTCCCTGTTTTTTTTCTTTTAAATTACGATGGCTGTTTTATATTATTTCTTAGGACCAGAAGTCCTTGATGAGGAAGGAACTCAAGAAGACCTAGAGTACAAGTTGAAGGGATTAATTGACCTAACCCTGGATAAGAGGTAGGCAATACTGGAAACTCCATTCTGTGTGAGTCTATGCTTGATCTTAGTCAAAAGCTAAGAGAAATGATTATTCTGTGTGATTCTAATCAGTTACCTTACATGTATATAATTTGTGCAGCTCTCAGATAATAGCAATATATTTTTCCTAAAGGTTAATTTGTTTACTTTGGATGTTTCTTATTCCGTTGGACTTTAATGTGGGTAGTAACATGCCATTAGAATTTAGATTGAGTCAGATTAGTCATTATTCTAGCATAATAGCACATACATAGCTGTATTTGATTATAATAGAAATGAATTTGTTGAATTAAAAGTTAATCTTCAACTAGAAATGATAACGAAACCTTGCTTTAAGCTGCTTGTCCACTAATGTTATGATATGAAAAAATGTCAAAGCTAGATTGTTTCTTTTCACTATAGCTTCAGAACTGACCTTAATAGAATTAAAAAGCCCTGAAGATGCAATTCTAGACTTTTATAGTTTTAAAAAAAGTGTAAATTTACTTAAATATGTAATATAGGAAAACAATACATTAAAACTATACTTGTACATTGAAACGATAAAATATTATGTAAGCATTTAAAGTTGTGGCTATCAAACTAAGAAAAATGCCATGATATAAAGCAGCCTTAAGTGTTTTGTGTAACAAGGTGAGTCATAGATGGAAATTAAATTATATTATTGACAAATGGTTAGAGCTTGATGAGAATTAGATTTAAAAAATCTATACATAGGTAAAGTTTAGAAGGAAATAAGATTTTAAAAAGTTATTTATTGTATACTCCAACTGGATCTTCTTTCTCTTACATTGGGTGTTAAATAGTGCGAAGACAAGGCAAGCAGCTCTTGAAGGTATTAAAAATGCACTGGCTTCAAAAATGCTGTATGAATTTATTCTGGAAAGGAGAATGACTTTAACTGATAGCATTGAACGCTGCCTGAAAAAAGGTAATGCCCTTATTTTTGAGTCACAGACGTACAACTAATAAGGAGTGTGTTATCTTCTTTTCAGTAACATTTAGTAATAGCACTGGAACACTGGCCCACTCTTAAAATTTTCTAATAGTCAAGGAGTGCACCATCTTGTTATGGCTCAAAATGAGACTTGTTAGAACTTTGTTTTTGTATTACGTAAACCAAAAAAAAATAGCTTGAAACTAAGAAGGATTAGGGTAGATTGTCATCAACCTTTTTTGTATCAGAAGAGGTGATGGTCATTCTCTTGTTATACCAGAAAAGCTTGAAAGTGTGTGTCAGACATCTAGCTCATTTTCCCTTGCACTTATATAAAACATTGATTGTACCTGTAAATTACATCATTTTCAGGATATCCCTTGGAATACTTGAATTCTAGAACTTTGTAATAGAAATTCTGGAATTCAAATTGTTACAGTGATAGAACTTTTAAGACCAAAGAGAAATCTTAAAGATAATTTTATCAGACCTTAAAGTCCAGTGTTAGTAGGCTTACTAGATTTAGGAACCACCAAATTTAAAAAGACTTGTGACTCGGCATGGTGGTTCACATCTGTAATTGTGGCACTTTGGGAGACCGAGGTGGGAGGATTGCTGGAAGCCAGGAGTTGGAGACCACCTGGGCAACAAAGCGATACTTGGTTTCTATTATAACAAACAAAACAAAACGAGATTTGGTGTCTGCCAACTTATTCAGCCAAGTAAGAACATTATGAAAATAATTATCCTCCACTATCATTATTTTATTAGCAAAATATTATAGCACCAAAAATGTAGAAATGCACTTTTAAAAAATTGAATGAACTAATAAGCTTTATATCCTTATTTTTCTCATTTTACCTGAGAGTAAAAATTTTGTTGTAAGTGAAACCTTTGATCAAATTCACTCTTCCATTGAATAGAATAAAGAAAGGCCTAGGAAAACTGAGGTGGGTCTAAGCTGATATATCTTGTTATTGGTATAGTTGATAGCAGACCCAACTTTTTAAAGATAACACAATGGCGCTATTAAAGGTGTTTTACATTCAAACTATATGCTATAATGGTTGTTGGACTAGATGACCTTTAAAAATTCCATTTTAGTTTGCGTATTTTTTACATTTTTAATTTATCAGGTAATAATTTAAGCTCAGTATTTGCCCCACACTTGTGGTGTATACAGTTCTCAAGAGTTAATTTATATGTACCTTTATATAAATGTATTTTTTGTACCACTGCATTCCAGCTTGGGCGACAGAGTGAGACCCTGTCTCAAAAAAAAAAAAAAATAAATAAAGTTAATAAATGTATTTTTTACGGTTTTAAAGAGTTATTTTTAATCCCGTATTTATTTTTAAAAATGTTGGTAGGGAAACCCTGAAGGTTTACCTAATGGACTGTGTACATCCGAAATGCTTAGGAGATTAATTCAAGGGCAATTTGAGCACTGTTTATATGAGTACATTAAGGAGTTTGAAGATAGAAATTGGCTTGAAACACATTTAGTTGAACTGTTAAAATAATCCCTTAAGATAGATACTAATCTCCATTTTACAGATGAGGAATTCTATTTAGAGAATAAGAGTAACTAATCGATGATCATTTGGCTAATAAGTGGGATCTAGGATTTGAGTGAGGTCTGTTTCTATAGTTTGAGCTCTTTAGCCTAAGTTTGTAACTTACATCAAAGCCTGGAGCATGGGGTTTCAAAAATGGTAAATGCTATTTTGTCATTGATCAAATTTGGGAAATAACTGTCTTAGTAAGTTAGTCTACTGAAAAGACTATCGTGATTGCATCTTGGCTGCTTTTATAGGTAAGAGTGATGAGCAACGTGCAGCTGCAGCGTTAGCATCTGTTCTTTGTATTCAGCTGGGCCCTGGAATTGAAAGTGAAGAGATTTTGAAAACTCTTGGACCAATCCTAAAGAAAATCATTTGTGATGGGTCAGCTAGTATGCAGGCTAGGCAAACTGTAAGTATAAGATATTTACATTTATAGATCTGTCTATTCATGACACCCAGACGTGGTGCGCCTATAGTACTGTACCAGCTACTCAAGAGGCTGAGGCAAGAGAGAGGATCTTGTAAGTCCAGGAGTTTGAGGCAGCGGTGAGCTATAATCATGCCACTGAACTGTAGCCTGGGAGACAAAGCTACACACTGTATTTTAACAACAACAACAAAAAAGATAATTCTATATTTATGGATTTGGGTAGACATAGGAAACTGAAATTCTGATTTGTGAAAGTCTTCTAATTTTGGGGTTTGAGAAAGCTTTCATTCTCTAATTGTTGGATGTTTACCTCTTGCAACACTTGACTTTAGATTTTGGGTTTTGGGGGTTTTATTTTTTGTTTTTGGTGCGGTAATAAGTGATACAAGTGATCATATGGAGATGTTTTACTGTGTCACAGAAAACAGAAGACACTGAGGTGGTCTTAGTGGATTTGGAAAAATAACATGTGATCCTAAGCTGTTTTTTTAAACAAGTGAATCAGTTTAAGCTTGAAACATTTTAATACTTTTAATATTTATTATCCAAATCCAGCTTCCTTGTTAGTATTACTTAAGGTAAGTAATAATGTTACTTAAGGTAAGTAACATTAATCTTTGTCTAAGTAGCTTGGTAAAAATTTATTTCTTCTTCTTATCATCACCACCCAATGTAAATTGGCTGGAACCCCAGGCCTCCACTGCAGCTCTGCCCACCTCTAGGTTCTCTCGATATGGCAGCCAGGGTAGCTAGGTGACAGACTCAGCCAGAGCACATCACTTTTGCATCTAGTTCCTTGGCTTACCAGCCACCTGGAGGCTGGGAATAGTCTAGCTGTTTGCCCTGGAGGCAAAGAAATTGGAGTTTGGCAACTTCATAGTAATCTCTGTGCCCTCCAGTAGTTAGTAATTCTGAAATATTTAATTAGCTTTTGCTACTTAACTTTTTCTTTTCTTCTTTTTGGGTGAATATGTGCAGCTTTTAAATCATGTGGAACTATTGGTATAATTTCATGCTAGAATGACAGAAAACACTCTGCTGGGTAGATTTTTGGAGCAGTCACTTAATTTTGATTGTATGTAAGTTTTTTTGTCATTTAAAGACTTTTTTTTCCATACTTCCAAGTTGCTGTGAATTTTTAAAAAACCTTAGCCTCCCCATTTAGCAGATGGAATCCATATTAAATTGAGGCAGTCCTAGGGTTTTTTTTTTTTTTTTTTTTTTTGACAAGGTCTCACTCTGTTACCCAGGCTGGAGTACAGTAGCACAATCATGGCTCACTGCAGCCTCCACCTCCTGGGCTCAGGTTATCCTCCTGCCTCAGCCTCCTGAGTAGCTGGGACTATAGGCATGTACCACCATGTCTGGCTCGCTTTTAATATTTTGTAGAGATGGGTCTTGCTGTATTGCCCAGGCTGGCCTTGAGCTCCTGGGCTCAAGTGATCCTCCTGCTTTGGTCTCTCAAAAGTGTTGAGATTATGGGTGTGAGCCACCGCACCCAGCCAGTCCTAGTTCTTTAATTGGCTGTTTTTCTTAGAGTCATCAAAAGGAACGATGTAGCCTTGCTTCTGCTGCTTGCTTAGCAGTAGGGATTATGGATTGAAAATTTCCTTTAATGCTTAGGCTACTTTTAGATTTTAACAGTGTCCAATTTTTACTAGGATGATATAATGACAATAAAATAGTGATACCAAGCAGATTAATATCACAGATATCCTCATAGTACTGGAACAGACTGGCTAAAACCTGGGCCTGATACCAATGGTGACTTTAAAGACTTAAAGCTTTAATAATGCTTAGAACAACATGAGGGAATTTTAGTGACAAAATGTGGAGAAAGGGGAAATGGAGAATAATAAAATCTCAGATTACAAATTCTATTTTTATATGGATTAATTTGTTAAAACAAATGTTCTGAGAATTGAAGGCTTCTGTTTATGTTGCAAGTAGATGGCTTGTGTAAGTGTTGTGTTCTGAGTATGTTTTATTCGATAAGCTTTACCTTTGTAATCATATACTATACTCACTTTTGTTTAGCCCTTCCCCTCCCCAAACAAAAGGCAATTATATGATTCCCAGCCTCTTTTCAGCATAATCCAGAATAAGTGAAATCTGAGTTAATGGGATTAATTAATTAATTAGGTGGGAAGTTTGAAGACAATTATTTACATTTTATGAAATTTCTGCTCCTGTGTGCTTATTTCTTGGAAGCTGATTTCTTTTAGAAGTTTTCATAGTAGAGTCTTCATAAGAACAAAAGAATATAGTTGTAACAGCTTAAAAACCAATGGAATTGTAATGTGTTTTAAAGGCTTTTTGATAGAGGGTAGGCTTCTTTAGCTCATATGTCTAAGCTTTCTATCTTTGAATTACAGTTGAAGTTTAATGATCTAGTAAGCACCTGTAAAGCATACAGAAAGGAAACAAGGGGATAGTTCACCCTTTCAGAATGCTTTACTGACATAGACTCATAAAAATGATTCAATAATTTAAATTATAGATTATGGAGCTGCAATTGTTTCAGAAATTATGTAATTCTTTTGCATGCTTTTGATTTTATGGATCAATAAAAGAAGACTGAAGAGGAACAGAATCACTTTGTTAAAGTCATGCTGTGAATTTAGTAGCAGAGCTTGAGCTGAAACGCACTTCCTTTGATCTTAGTTCAATATTCTTTCTCTCCTCACCTCTTTTATGTATAATGTTTGGGACCTAATATATTATGCTGCTGAGAACATTTTCACGTTGAATTATAAAAGCAGGAAGATGTAGAATTAATAAGAAATAAAATCATTAATGTCTATATATATATATTTTTTTTTTTAGTGTGCAACTTGCTTTGGTGTTTGCTGTTTTATTGCCACAGATGACATTACTGTAAGTAAAAAACCTTTGATTCTAGTTATCTGCAGTTATTTCTAATTTAAGATGGTTATCTTACTTCATATTCTTATGCATTAGGAACTATACTCAACTCTGGAATGTTTGGAAAATATCTTCACTAAATCCTATCTCAAAGAGAAAGACACTACTGTTATTTGCAGCACTCCTAATACAGTGCTTCATATCAGCTCTCTTCTTGCATGGACACTACTGCTGACCATATGCCCAATCAATGAAGTGAAGAAAAAGCTTGAGATGTATGTATTTTTAGTTTCATATTTTATAAAAGCAACATTTAGTGGACATAATTGGTTGTATTCACATAGTAATGACTAACTATTTTTTAGGCATTTCCATAAGCTTCCAAGCCTCCTCTCTTGTGATGATGTAAACATGAGAATAGCTGCTGGTGAATCTTTGGCACTTCTCTTTGAATTGGCCAGAGGAATAGAGAGTGTAAGTATCTAACTGGCAGAGGAAAAAGCTTGTGTCACAAGGCCCATTGTTCCATCATTACCTTGCAATTGAGAATTGGGCAATAACTTTGGAACATGGCCAGCTTGAGAACCCAGTGATTTATTTCCCTACTTCTTGGCAGTGGTGGTGTAATACTTTAGAGAGCAGAAACCAGTAGGGGTTGGTACAGCAGTGTTTGACTGTGGTTCATTATACTTAATTTTTGCTATCTATAGAACTGAAGTTTAGGGATCCTCATGGAGAGAGTTTTGTCTAATATAATCTTTATGAAACTGCTTGAATTTCTCAGATACCCAATACATCAAGCTAATGAAGGCATGTGATGCTTCATAATTAATATCAAACAAATGAATAAAATATTAAGTCAGCATAGGTTTGGGATGAGATGGGTTCAGTAACTTCTCTAAGCCAAAGATGGAAATAAACACTGCTCATTAAGACTGGGACATGTGCTTTGCAGTTACCCATTCACTTGTCCACTCACAGATGTTAGTTACCATGGCTTGGCTCTCGAAGGGATTTGAGTTTGTGATAGTTTGATCAGTCGACCCAATTTGCTTTGTACCTGTTTTTGGTTTAGCACTTACCATCTTATGTTCCAGGAAATCCTTTATCTCGGGCAAACTGGGTCATTTGGTAACCCTAATTTGTCATCTCTATTTTAAGGATTGCTAAGAGAAAGGAATGCCTCAAATCTTACCATTGGAAGGGAGAATGTATTCTTAAGATATGTGATTCAGATACTGTGCTGATATTTAGAAATGAGGAGCAGGTTTGACTGTCTTCACACTGAATCTGTGAAGGATCCAATAAGAAAACTCAAATATATGGGAAATGGGTAACTAAATAGTAGATATTATTGCCAACCTTGAATTACTTACTAGATGCTTTTTAATTTAAGGAGAAAGAATATATTTTCATTCTGAAACTTTTTTGCATTTAAAGAAGTTATTTAACAGTGAACGGTTCCAAACAGGATTAATACAGTTCTGCCATGTATAGTCATTCATATTCCATTCTAGGCCTGTATTGAAGGAAGTTTACAGTCTTAAAATTTTTATGTGTAAAGTGGCTCTCTCCAACTCCCCTACACTCCTTTTGTTTGAGGGATAGTAGGTAGGAATGGAAAGTAAGTTAATGTTGTCAGTAGCTAATAATTCTCCTTATGTGAGAAATTGGACTCAAATTTAGCAATCAATTTAATTTTATTGAGCTAGTTAATAGCTTCTTAACCTCAACGCATGGAAACCAGATGTCCCAATTTTTAATCTTACATTCCTCTACTGGCCAGAAATGGCAGTTTCTTTTCTTTTTTTTCCTTGGAAATGCATTTTTAAAATGAAGTCATAATGCAGTTTAAATTATACATGTTGAATTTGTTTAAGTTTGTATAAACATATATATAGACACATACATACATGTATATACATATACATATATATACACATTTATATACACACACACACACACACACACACACACACACACACACACACCCCACGTATCTTTTCTCCAACTTAATAAATTACACAGGATAACCAGGAGAACTCATCCAGACATATTTCATTTGACTTGAATTTTTATCCAAGGACAAAAATGAACTGGGTTACAAAACAGAACCTAGTGTTTTTATTTGCTTTTTTTTTTTTTTTTTAAAATAAGCTTTTTATATGTGGGTGCTGGTTGGGGGATAGTTATAGGGTGTTCAAAAATTAAATCCAGGGCGTTAGTGAAATACATAGACAGATTTAAAATAGGGTTCATACAGCAAATGAGTTTTGAATTATTCAAGGCTTTTTGCTAACTGACTTTCTGATGTTACTAACTTTGAAATCTAGTGATGTCATGAATTCTGCCTGAGAGACTTAGAAAAAAAACTTTTGAAGAGCTAACTTTTAGGTTGGATTTTAATGAATGAGTTGGTTAAATAATAATAATAAACTGTGTTCAAAGTTGAAATTAGTAATTATTACTCCTTTATGAGAGTTCTAGGTTAATGGATGTTTGCCATATAACCAATTAGATAATAGTAGACTCTGGAGCTGTTCTGCCTACCTTCGGATCTCTTTCTCTCTTACTAGTTGGATAATATTGGGCAACTTCTCTATGCCTCGGTGTCCTTATCATTAAAATGGATAAATTATTAGTCACAACCTCATAGAGTTTTTGAGAACACATGATAGGTACAGTGTAAGTGTTAGCTGTTACTTGGAATGTTGGTTGAATTGAGTATTGCATTTGGCAGTAGTCTACTAGTGGCCTTTTAGGAACTGTAGAGTAACTTAATATAAGAGACATTATTTGGTGGGCAGAATTAAGATCTTGGGAGCCATTGCTGGTGCAATCCTCACTTGGGAAAATTTAACAAAATATAGTTAGACCTTTTCCAGGTCTCACCCATTCCATTCCCCAGCTGAGCGGACAGGGGAAGTGCTACAGCACAGCGAGAAAAAAGATAATCAAAGACCAAATATACTCCTTGGAGCCAAATCTGAAATCACCTAGATTTTATACTTCAGAAGCAGCAACTTAGCATTCTTCTTGTTTTTTTGCCCTTGTTTGTATAATAACTGACTCTGTGTAAAAATATCTCCATACCTTGACAAAGATATTCTGCCTTGATTAGCAGGAATTGAAATAAATAAGTCTTTTTAAAGACAGGGTCTCACTCTGTTGCCCAGGCTGGAGTGCAGTGGCAAGATCATACCTCACTGCAGCCTCAGAGTTCTGGCCTCAAGCAATCCTCCCTCCTCCTTCCAAAGTGTTGGGATTATAGATACAGAGCCACTGTGTCTGGCCTCAAGTTTTATTTTAATATTAGGCTTTTGTATGATTTTTATTTCTTAATACTTAGCTATCCAAGACCCAGCTTATTTTGTTTATAATGAGTGTTCCAGTGACTTCTGTATAGAAATAATAGCTTGGGGAATGGTTAGCTTTTGTGACCTTAAGCATCTCACCCTGTCTGCCTAAACTTTTCTGGAAATTTTCTTTGGTTTCATTTCATCCTAATTCCATTCAACTTTTGAAACCATTTAATTGGTAACTGTTATTTTGCTATGAAATAATTATCTTCAGCTGACCAGTTTGTTGTATTTATATTGTGTTAGATTCTGTTGTATTTATATTGTGTTAGGTTCAAACAGGCTGTTCATAACAGTAAGATCTATAACTTAATGGATGTTTATGTCCTGTGTTTTATATATTTCTAATAGTTCATTTCCCTATAAAAAACCTAGGAGATGTGGGTGGTAATAACTGTTATATAAGAGGAGCCTGAGACAGATTGCTAATGTAGTGCTGCCTGAGGTTGTATAGATCTACATGGTGGATGCTTGTGATTCAAACCTAGATGTTCTGACTGCAAAACCTATGTCTTAAATATGGTATTAAACTGCCTCGTATGGTTGTGATGGCTACACAGATTTTTTTTAAAAAGGTGAGTTCTATATACCTCCAAGTCTAGAATATTGATAAAATAGTTAATGCTTCAGAATTTATTGGGGAATTTATTGTCTTTTTAATGCTTACAACCATTGTTTGAAAGGTTGGGTATTTTCTTTTTTTTCAGATGATAAAATAGATTTATAATTTATAAAACTTGGTATGGAGAGCAGTAGATTGATGATTCTGATCTAGGACTTTTGACCCTGTTGTGTAGTAATGACTGCTGGTTTTTTTTATTATTATAAGAGTATATTAAGATATTTATTTCTCTGGGAGCTCATTTCTTATTTGTCCCAGAGTGGTACAGCTCTATTATATAATTATCGTAAAGTCCTATTAATAGGCTTTTGGAAGCTGTTTATGGACTTTTTTATTACGTGTTACATTTTATTTTCTTCCTTCCTTTTTTTGTGTTTTTAATGCCCAAGTATATAGAGTCTTTTTTCTAAACTACTTAGCATTTAATTTTTCAAGTTTTAATAGGATATTGAACTTGGTGATTCACAAACTAAACTTGATTGGGTTTTATCCATTGCTAAGATTATATTACCGTGAAGTTTTTCAATCTCAGCACGCACTGTTGATATTTTGGGCTGGATTATATTTTGTCATTGTAGGGGTGGGGGCTGTCTTGTGCATTGAAAGATACTTTGCAGCATCCTTGGCTTCTCCCCACTAGGTGCCGATAGCACCCCCTTCTCCTAGTTGTGACAACCAAAAATGTCTCAGACATAGTCAGATGTTCAATGGGAGGTAAGATCATCCCCAGTTGATAATCACTGGCAGTGATTCTCACTTCTTAGAACAAATTAAAATAATGTATAGAATTTTCTTAAATTTTGATTTATTCTTCTATACAAATTAAAAAACCCTTTACATATACATATATACACACATATATATGTTTAAAATACTGTAAAAGAACAAGTAGCCAATAAAATGAGTAGGAGACTGCTAGTCCCTGAAATGTACTTGTTTTTTATAAATAAAATTATTCCCATCTTGTTATGATGCAATCTGATTCTTTGGAATTTAAACACAGTTTGGTCTATTTTAATACCCACTTTGCATCTTATTAATGGGTGTTGTCTCTAACTTAGATATAGGAGGTTGAATTGGAACATTTGAAGAAAACATTTGTTGGAATAGTTAAGAATATGTAATTGGAAATATGACAAGAAGATATTTATGTACTTAAAAGCTAGAATATCTGTCACATTAATTTCAAGCTTATTTTCCACCAGTGTAATAATCCTTTTCATTTTAGACATTAAAAGAAACCAAGAAGGCCTAGAAGAGCTGTTATATTAATATAATAAGTTAAATGATTCTTAACCTCTAATGCAATAAATGTTAAACATGTATGAATAAACTAGAACTGGAGATTGCCCATCTCCTGGCTTCTTAGTAAGAAGTGTCTGTTCTAGTTTTGATCAGCTAAATAAGTTTGACTCATTTTTTAGTTTTTAGTGTGGTTGTAAAATGGAGTTAGGAAATAAAAACACCTCAAATAAAGAGACTTCTTAAATGCATAGCCACGTTAACTGTGACAAGGAAGCCCATAATCTGCTTAAGGTCACAGCAAATTTCAATACATTTTGCAGCTGTCCCCCAAAAGGGATTAAAACTTGTTCTTACCTTAAATAATTTAATCACCTGAATTATGTGCTTTATTGCTTATTTGAAATATGGCAGTAAATTAGAAAGTAGATGCTTTAATTGTAGCTTTATGCCTTTGGGATAAGAATAATTGGAAGTCTGTGAATGTTTGGTTTGGGGACTGGGGAGCCAAGGGTAGAAGCTATATTGGTATATCTGTCTCTCACTGAACTTTGAAATCCCAGTAATGTCTTATATATGGTGGGAACACAAGAAATATTTGTTGGATGCATTTACTTGGAAGGGAAATGTTAATTGTTTTGCTGTAGTACATCATCTTGTAGTCAGCATTTCTGGGTTCGATTTTTGCATGAAAACATGTGTTTATGTGTGCCTAGTCCCTAAATACCATGAAGATTTACATTGCCTTATGCAACTGGATATTTTCCAAATGTAGACTGTTCTTTGTTAGCTCTATATGAGGTCAGAAAAGAAAAATAATAATAAAGGAAACAAAATTGCTTTTCTTGTCCAGGACTTTTTTTATGAAGACATGGAGTCCTTGACGCAGATGCTTAGGGCCTTGGCAACAGATGGAAATAAACACCGGGCCAAAGTGGACAAGAGAAAGCAGCGGTCAGTTTTCAGAGATGTCCTGAGGGCAGTGGAGGTAGGCTTCTTAAATGCTGTAATAGCTTCTCATTTTGAAATTGGATTGTTTCAGGCTGAACTTGACAATTGTACCATTTTGTTGATTGAATTTCACCTTTGAAAATAATTTCTCATTTTACGACCTAGCAGGTTTTTAACAATATAAGTGAAGACTTTTTTTTTTTCAAAACAAAAGAAAATTAATGCTGGTGTATAAAGATACTTTATTTTAGTTTTTTTTCTTTTAAATAAAAAGACCCATAGTGATAGAAATGTATTTGACCTTGGTGTATTTGTCATCATTTAAACCATGGTGCTTAGCATATACATTCTTAGTGTACAGTGTTTTTTGTGAATTTAATAAGTTATTGCCTACCCCTTAGACTCCAACCCAGCTTGATTGTCATTTATTTATTTATTTGAGATGGAGTCTCGCTGTGTTGCCCAGACTGGAGTGCAGTGGCACGATCTTGGCTCACTGCAACCTCCGCCTCCCGGGTTCAAGTAATTCTTTGCCTCAGCCTCCTGAGTAGCTGGGATTACAGGTGCCCACCACCATATCCGGCTAATTTTTTGTATTTTTAGTAGAGACAGGGTTTCACCATCTTGGCCAGGCTGGTCTTGAACTCCTGACCTTGTGATCCACCCGCATCGGCCTTCCAAAGTGCTGGGATTACAGGCGTGAGCCACCGTGCCAGAGATCTTCATGATCTTTCTAGGAAAGCTGGAGGCTAAAAACCGAAATAACAAAACCCAGCATTTTAACAAGGCCACTTAAAATCATTATCTGATGCTTGAATTTCTTCTGTAATCCTCAAACCTGTTTCAATCTATATGGCAAATAAATTGGTTTAGAATGCATGGCTAAAATGAACTATAGGACAAAAGATATCTCACTGGAGAAAACTGAAAACTTTAATAATTGTTTTTTGGTAGGCCAGGTAAATATTTTTTGGTAGGCCAGGTAAATTGTTTTTGGTAGGCCAGGTAAATATTTCTTGGATTTGAAGGGTGTGTTTCTTAGATTATTGCTATCTGATACAGCAGTTATTTTAAGAATATCATCAAAATGTCATTCAACTTGATGTGTGTGTGAAAATTTAAAATGAGAATTTAAACTGGAGATGGTGAGACCCCACCCCAGATCCAGTTTTAATATGTTCCAGTGAATTCTTATATATACCCTACTTTCCTAATTTTAATCTATTTTTAGAAAAGTAAAATCTAGGATACAAATTAGATCCTTTGGGATCTAAATACTTTTGGTTAATGCTGACTCTTATCACATTATAGTAGGATTTTATATTTACTCTGGATTTTATAGTCTAAAAAACAAAAAAACCCCTAACTCGAGCAAATATCAATATTAAGAATTAAAAATTAGTCTTATAATTAGTGTGGCAGTATCTCTAAAGTAAGCCATTTTCTTTAAGTAACTATAAACTATTCCTATATTTGATTTTTTTTTGAGTTACTGTAGTCTCCAAAGATATGATGACATGTCCTAGATTTTCTGGATGGACCTGATTTCAAGTTTTCTGCCCTCATGCATCCCCTTTGAGTAGTAGATTGTAAGGGTCTCTACTGGCCCTCAAACCGGGCCAGCCATAGCACTCAGTACTGATTATTCAGAGGAAGACACAAGTGACGTTTCAGCTTACACCAGTATTAACAGCCCTTTGTTGTGTATTCCTCAGGCACTGTTAAATGGAAACCATTCCTATCCCATAGTGATCTACCCGCCCACCTTCTTTTCTTCATCTCAGGATCTCCCTTGTCCCTCCAGCCTCTGCTTCAATGCACCTGCCTGAGAAAGGCCTGTCCTCAGGGCTTTGCTGAGAGTTGTTTCTCTTTTTTTTTTTTTCACTGGAACCTAGCTTTTTCTGGAGCACCCAGCTTCTCGGATGGGTCTTTAAATGAAGGTTGCTCAACTGCCACAAAGGATATGTAAACATCTTAGTTGTGGTAGTGGCTGCCACACCATTTCTTTTTATTTAAAACATTTCTTGAGGCTCACGGATTCCTCAAATCAGCAAGCACTTAATGTTTTAGGTGTTTTGCCATACAGTTTTCTTATCTCATTATACCTCTTAAGCAATAGAATAGTCTCCTTCTAAAGGAGAAATGGGGACCAAAGGAATACAGAATAGTTAAGTAGCAGAGCTGAAATTTGAACCCACTGTTCTGTGCTCTTTGAGCATGGCCAAATCCTATATACAGATAGGTCAAGTGAGAAAGTAACGTTTCACTTAGGTCCGTCGATTAGGTCCTTGGTGACCTTTATAAGAGCAGCTTCAGTGGAGTGATGAGGGAAAAGCCAGACTGAAGTGGATTGAAAAGTGAGAAGTGATTAAGTGAAGGTGGTATGCCTTGACTATTTTAAAAACCTTGGCTGTGATGGGAAGGGGAAGAGAGTTGATAGCTGGAATGTAGTGCCAGATTGCGGGAAGGTTTGTTGTTTTGTTTTGTTCTAGATACTAGAGACAATTTATGGAGAAGGAACCTGTGGAGAAAGGAGCATCTGAAAATGTAGTCTGTTCTTAATATCCATGAGGCATTGGTTCCAGGATCCCCCTCAGATACCAAAATTTGAGTATTCAAGTCCCTGATATAAAATGGCATAGTATTTGCATATAACCTATGCACGTATACTTTAAATCATCTGTAGATTACTTATAATACCTAATACAATGTAAGTGCTATGTAAATAGTTGTTATACTTTATTGTTTAGGGAATAGTGGAAAGAAAGAATAGTCTATACATGTTCAGTATAGTTGCAATTTTTTTCTGAATATTTTCAGTCCATGGTTGGTTGAATCCGTGATGCAGAACCAACCAGATATGGAGGATTGACTATATATGTAAAAGATTGAGATTAACCTTGAATTGTGGAGGGACAGAGGTTTGTCTGTTACCAACAGGAAAGAGGATAATAGGTAAGGATGCTGATGACTTTATAGAGGGTTGGTGGGAAACAGTTCTTTCTTGGTGCCTTAATGTTTTCTGAATTAAAGAAGATTGAAATAAGATAACTCTACTGTTATTTATTTATTTATTTTTGAGCTGCTGTTACGCACCAGACGGTCACTGTGTTTGCCTCACATGCATGTCCTCTTTTACACCTCTAATAACCCTCATGCAGTATAGGTAAAGATGGCCCCATTTTACGGGCAAGGGAACAGACTCAGCAAGGTTAAGTTACTTGATGAAATCACAAGCCCGCAAGTTGCATGTCTGTATTAAGTCTAGGGTTGACGGTCTTTTCTATTACATTATATACTTTGTCTGCTGAGTGAGAAGGGGCTGAGGTAGATGTCTGGAAGGCAGGTGGAGTGGTTTTGTCATTCAAGTTCCATCTCCTTTCTCCTCTCCCTGTGGCAGTCAGCTCCTCCCTTCCTGGTTACTCTGACATACTCATGATTTACCAAAGAATTAAGTAGCCAGTTTTCTTCTTAACAAGTTCTGCCACTATTCCAGCTGACTTTTTTTTTAATCCATCTGACTTCTGTTTCTGTGTCATTTGGGCTGCACTCCCATGGTTACACCTTCGAAATGGTCTTCTGACAGAATTGTTTCATCACTAAAATCTTAGATTCTAGTGTTACTTCTTATTTTCTTAGAAACCTAGCCTGAGACCTCTTGGAGCCCTTCTGGTTGCTGGACCTTTCCTTTTTGCTTGGTCAGTTAACCCTATTTACCCTCACTTCCTTCCCTGGATCCCTACTGCCCATCATTTCACCCCCTGCTTGTGGTGCCATTTTGTTTTCCTGACTGTTCTGCAACTTTCTTCCCTCTCCCATCCTAGGCCATTAAAAACACCTGACTTTTTTTAAGTTTGTTGAGAGCTGTTGAAATTTAAAGGTATTCTCAACAATGTGGTTTTTGCCTTAATTGTTACTGAAACTCAGTTGTGCCTTCAAGTTTATCAAAACTAGACCAATTCTACACCCTTACATACAGGATAGCAACAGTTTGTCCACATCTCAGGTATGGCAGTATCAGTTTAAGCCATATTGTTCATTTATCTCAGCATGTATATGACTGTTTAGAAATTGTGTTTACATAAGATCCCTCTGAGCCATTTTAGTGCCTGTGGTAATTTTGGTTCTTCCATTGGTTAGGAACGGGATTTTCCAACAGAAACCATTAAATTTGGTCCTGAACGCATGTATATTGATTGCTGGGTAAAAAAACACACCTATGACACCTTTAAGGAGGTTCTTGGATCAGGGATGCAGTACCACTTGCAGGTAAGTGTCATCCTTTCTACATATTTGCTTTTAAAGTAGGGAGCAGTCTTGAATATAGCTCACTTAATTGGCTTTTGAAATTAATTAGGTATCCAGAGTGCTTCCACATGTTAGAAAACAGTAAACTTGTTTTTGAAAGTAGACTTGAATAAATCTGAAGCTGTTCCTTTTTTTTTCTTTGTATTGTTAAAGTTGGGTGGACGGTTACTGATGTCTGTATGAAAGCAAATAGCTTGACATAGCTGTCTTGGATTCAAGGCATTGAAAACAATTTGCTTTCTATTGAGAAACAGAAAATAAGTGATCTAAGTTTATCTGTGGGTTCCACATAACTTCTGTTAATCAGAGTCACTCTGTCTAGTGAAAAAGAGCTATAATGTTTAATACTGAGCCATACCACCTTTTTCTTTCACATAAGTCAAATGAATTCCTTCGAAATGTATTTGAACTTGGACCCCCAGTGATGCTTGATGCTGCAACGCTTAAAACGATGAAGATTTCTCGTTTCGAAAGGGTAGGTTTTGTTTTTATTTTTAATAAAACTAAGTGCGCCAAAGCTTTGATTCTGTCTAGTGTCAGCAACTTAGCTGTGTCTACCTATATGTGGAGTTTTAGTTTTTCATGATGCTTCACATAGAATAGCTGTACTAAAGATACAGAAAGCATTTAGAGTGTGGGGGGCGTGTGTGTGTGTGTGTGTGTGTGTGTGTGTGTGTGTGTATATATGTGTCAGCCTGGGTGACACGAGTGGGACCTTGTCTCAAAAGCAAAACAGAGAAAAGAATATTGCTGCTTGTTTGCCCATTAGGTGTATTTCTTTCATTTTATGAAACATATTTTGACAACACGTTAAAATTTAATATGTACATATATATTTTACGTATAATTCTATCTTAATATAGGAACGGTGTTCATTATTTGTTTCTTTTTATTCTTTGGAGTTTTTATGTTTAAGAATAAGTATTTACATAGTCCTTTTGTATCAGATAATAGCCTGCTAAGTGAAGTACCAGACTCGTTTTACAAATGAGGAAACTTAAGAGAGTTAAATAGTAATTAATATCATTTTTACTTAACATTTCTTTTTTTTTTTTTGAGATGGAATCTTGCTCTGTCACTCAGACTGGAGTGCAGTGGTGCAATCTCGGCTCACTGCAACCTCTGCCTCCCAGGTTCAAGTGATTATCCTGCCTCAGCCTCCTGAATAGCTGAGATTACAGGTGTGCATTACCACACCTGGCTAGTTTTTGTATTTTTAGTAGAGACAGGGTTTTGCCATGTTGGCCAGGCTAGTCTCGAACTCCTGACCTCAGGTGATCCACCCACTTTGGCCTCCCAAAGTGCTGGGATTACAGGCATGAGCCACCATGACCAGCCTGCATTTCAAAAATCCTTAATTTATGTATTTTTTTTTGTGCTGAGATGAAATTCATATAACAGACTATTTTAAAGTATACAGTTCAGTGGCACTTATTACATTCATGATGTTGTACAACTCTAGTTCCAAAACATTATCACCTCAAAAGAAAACCTTCTGTTCATTAGCAGTCACTTCCCTTGTGCTACCCCCCGCCACTGGCAACCGCTAATCTGCTGTCTCTGGATTTACTTTTTCTGGAGATTTCATACAAATGGAGTTATATAGCATGCAACCTTTTGTGTCTGGCTTTTTTCATTTAGCATAATGCTTTGGAGGTTCATTCATGTTGTAGCATGAATTCAGAGAGCTTTATTCTTTTTTGTGGCAGAATAATATTCCATTGTATGGATATATATCACATTTTGTTTATCCATTTTAACAGTTGATGGACATTTGGGCTGTTTGCATCTTTTGGCCGTTGTGAATAGTGTTGCTCTGAACATTCACATACAAAATTTTTTTTGAAAGGCTCTTTGCAATTTTGGGAGGTATTACCTAGGAGTGGAATTGTGCTGGGTCAGATGATAGTTTTACATTTAACTTTCTCAGAAACCACCAAACTCTTTTCCATAGCTGCTGCACCAGTTTACATTCTCATCAGCAATGTAGAAAGAAAGGTTCCAGTTTCTCCACATCCTCACTAATAATTATTTTAATTATAGCCATTCTGGTGGGTGTGAAGTGTTTAATTACATTTTATAGAACCTGGATATTTTATCAGTTTTATATCCACATAATTGTTTCTTGTACGGCATTTTAAGTTTTTTTTAAGAAACATTAATATTTTTACATACTTCTCTCTTTTGAATAATTTTTTTGAAGAAATCCCCTGCATAATGTATTGCCAAATTACTTTCCAAAGTTACTCTTATATTGGAGACGATATTTAAATTGTCTCCAGCAATGAATGAAGGCATGTAGCTGTTACACAAAGATTTGACACCATTGAGTTTTATAATTTAAAAAATGTGTTTATTTAATTGATATTAAAATGGCACTTCATCACTTTTTTCCTTGTTCTAATTGACAGCCAAGTAGGACTATTTTCTGCATTAGTCATGATTTGTCTTTTCTTGGATGAAACAATGTTGATGTCCATTTTTCACTGTTGGTTTTTGAAATCGTCTAACTTTCTTGGCGTTTTACAATTTGATTAGTACTTTTCTTAATATGGAATAGCCATTAACTCTTTATTTATTTATTTTTTTTGAGACGGAGTCTCGTTCTGTTGCCCAGGCTGGAGTGCAGTGGCGTGATCTCGGCTCACTGCAACCTCTGCCTCTCGGGTTCAAACGATTCTCCTGCCTCAGCCTCCCGAGTAGCTGGGACTACAGGCATGTGCCACCATGCCTGGCTAATTTTTTGTATTTTTAGTAGAGACGGGATTTCACCGTGTTAGCCAGGATGGTCTCAATCTCCTGACCTCGTGATTCGCCCACCTCGGCCTCCCAGAGTGCTGGGATTACAGGTGTGAGCCACCTTGCATGGCCCCTGTTAACTCTTTGTTTTTCTCCTTCATTCTTTGTGTGTGTTTTATAAACATTTAAATGTTTATAGGGTCAAATTAGTTCATTTCTTTTCTTTGTGACTTTTACCCTTTTTCTGTTTTGTAAGAATATCTTAAGTCTTACTGATGCACGTTTTTCCTTTTTTTCATTTTAGCATTTATATAACTCTGCAGCCTTCAAAGCTCGAACCAAAGCTAGAAGCAAATGTCGAGATAAGAGAGCAGATGTTGGAGAATTCTTCTAGATTTTCAGAACTTGAAGACTATTTTCTAATTTCTATTTTTTTTTCTATTTCAATGTATTTAAACTCTAGACACAGTTTTTATCCTGGATTAACTTAGATAACTTTTGTAGCAGTGGTTATATTGCTTATAATTTAATGTACAATACTATTGAAACTGGTGAGTTCTGATTATTAAATATTCTCTGTAAATCAGTAAACATGTATAAAGTATTTGTAATGTTTGGTCATAATTTATTTATGAAGACAGCAAAAGACTGATTTCATGATGGGGAAAACAATTAGCCAAAGTTTAATTTCTTACACTGTGGTTGTCAAGAATACTGATTTACTATAATGATATATACATGCAAGATATTTAACTTAATATCTTAGACAAGAGTTCTGGGTACAATTTTGGGATCTAGTTCCCCTGGAAAAGCTGCTGTATTTTTAATTTTTAATGGAATGTAGCTTTTAAAATCCTGTCACTGGCATCAACAAAAGGAATTATACCATGAGACCTTATAGCTGTACTTAAAAGCCATTCAGTTCAGCTATTGGGAGTTCATGATGAATTAGCATATGCCAGAAAGGTTGCTAACCTTAACATCTGAGAGCAGTAACACTGATTTTATCTGCTGTATGAGACTTTGTGCATTTTACTTTGAAATAAAGATTTTTTTCCACACTGAAAGTGCTTCTCTTCTAATAGAAGAAATATTATTTATGGCTTTGAGGTACAGAGTCCAAAATGACTAGGCCAGGTGGGCAGGGAGACAAAGCTTTATGTGTATATTTACAAACATTAAAGTAGATGAAAAGAATGTAGCAATACATAATTGGGATTAAGGTTTCTGACTTTCAAGAATATTTCTGCTTGGCAACATGCAGTGTGGCTCATGCCTATAATCAGCACTCTGGGGAGGCTGAGGCGGGAGGATGGCATGAGCCCAGTTTGAGACCAGCCTGGGCAACATAGCGAGACCCTGTCTCTACCAGAAATTTAAAAAATGAGTGTGGTGGTGTGTGCTTCTACTCTTTATCTACTTGGGTGCTGAGGCAAGAGGGTAACTTGAGCCCAGGAGGTCAAAGCTGCAGTGAGCCGTGATTGTGCCACTCCAGCCTGGGTGACGAGTGAGACCTTGTCTCAAAAGCAAAACAAAAAAGAATATTGCTGCTTGTTTGCCCATGAGGTATATTTCTTTCATTTTATGAAAAGCATTTTGACAACACGTTAACATTTAATAAACTTTAGATTAAAATATATAGTGCAAGCAACATGCCATTTCAAATCCGTAGACTTGTTTCTTTGATACTCTTGCTGTAGGTCGCCGTGAGGGGTAGGGAAGCATATATACTGTAGGGAGAAGTATCAAAATCATTTAAGGTCTTTTTTCCAAACTAGTGTTCCCCTCCCACATCCCAACAACTCTTGGAAGTCTGGTGCTCCCTCTAGGTGAAAATCATTTGCTGGCTTATGGAGTCACTGTTGCTGAGTCCCATCCCCCAGTTACAGTGCAGTGGAAAACAGGTTTAGAATCTAGAACTTGTTTGTATGTTGTCACTTGGTTATGTTCCAAGTAGGTTAGAACCATGGAAAAGAGATTGCAAATGGTAGTTTCTTCTAGATATTCAAATGCATATATGTATGTACATGTAATTATAAATAAATAATGAATTTTTATTAAAGTGTTGTATGAACATAGGTTTTTGTTTGTTTTTGAGACAGTCTCCCTCTGTTGCGCAGGCTGGGGTGCAGTAGCGCAATCTTGGCTCACTGTAACCTCTGCCTTCAGGGTCCAAACGATTCTCCTGCCTCAGCCTCCTGAGTTGCTGGGATTACAGGTGTGTTCCACCACACCTGGCTAATTTATATTTTTAGTTGTGATGGGGTTTCACCATGTTGGCCAGGCTGGTCTTGAACTCCTGACCTCAAGTGATCTGCCCGCCTTGGTCTCCCAAAGTGTTGGGATTACAGGCATGAGCCACCGTGCCCAGCCTGAACATAGTTTAATGGTACTTCAAGGCTAATAAGGAAAGCCCCTTGCTCCATCCTTTCCTATTCCTCAGTCCCATCCCAAGAGACATTCAGCCTTCAGTTTTTTCTAGCTCGGTTCTTTCAGCCTTCAGTTTTTGGTTTTAGGTTTCTAAATAATATGATTATACAGCCATTTATTTTTTAGGTGTTTGTCAACTTACTATTAAGACAGGTGAAAATTTCTTTTATTGTTTCACATCCTTCTAATATTATTTTGGTTAGATCATGTACCTGTTTGCATAGCTGTGATCATACTTGTATGTTCACTCGTGAATTAATTTAATGTGCTTACATTTTCATTCTCATACAACGTTTTGTCTTGGAGTTAATGCTCTTTTTTTTGGCTTTTTATGCACATCATTGATTCTTCCCAAACAGTCCCAAATAAATTTGTCACAACTTTTCTTGATTCTGTACTTGTTTCAATCTAGACTAGTTTCTCTCATCCAATTGTATAGCAGTTTTCCTGAGACAGCACTATCGTGAGGATTTGTTTTTCTTTCTCTTGAATTGTATCCCTCATTTTCTGGATCCCATGTCTTAATTTACTTCTTTGTTAACATGGAGCACTTCTTTCAGTAGTTTCTTGGGAATGAGTGCGTGAGAGATCAGTCAGTTATTTAGTGACTTCATATTTCTGAAAGATAGTTTGCATGGAAATTCTAGGTGGAAAATCAAATTTGGAATTTTTGAAAATTTTGACAAGTGTATTCAAATTCAGAATTTTGAAGGCATTGCTCTATTCTAATTTGCAAAATCTTGAGATATCTGATGCAGTTTTTATTTTTATTTCTTTGTTTTCTCAGCATCTCTGTTTCTAGTGTTCTAAAATTGCATGATACTGTGCTTTGGTGGGATTGGCAACCTGGAAAATATTAAGTTCTTCATCTCTTCTCTTCCTCCTCATTTTCTTTGTTCTGGAACTCTATGACATAGTGGAGCTCCCAAATTGAATCTTGGGCCTTATTTATTTTTTTTTTTTCTGTCTGGGATATTTCTCTAAGACAATTTTCCAATTTGTATTGCATTTTGTTTTTGGCTAGCATTAAATTACTTGCCTCTGTGTAGCTCCATGCCACACTCTTGCCTCTAAATCCTAGGCCTGCCTGAATTCTGCAGGATCAGTCCTACTGTCACTCATCTGTGATAGCCCTGCTAAGGCAGATACCACTCTTCTTACCATGTTCAATACATTTATTGAGCTCTTCAGTATTGTTTCTTCCTATTTTAATTTTTCTGGTTTTGTAATTTGTACTCCTGCTTTTTTACTGGGCTTTTGGGAGGAAGAAGGTATAGAGTGTTAATCTGCATGTTGAATTTATATGCAGGTGACTTTATTCATGAAACTTGTGGTAACTGCTAGACAAGGGTGGCTGGGTGTTCAATGTGTAAGAATGCTTGTGTTTTCTTGAAAGTAGAAAAATGTTGTGTTATAGACTAGTTGTTCATTGCTTGATTCTTGATTAATTTTGCCCGCTTTCATTATTTTGAGGCTCAAGCATTTTGAAGTATTCATTGTCTGTGACTCCTCTTTGATGGGTACTAAATTTCCTGGGAGTGAATTTAGATACCCTGAGATGTAATATATGAAAGAAAAAGCAAATACTTGAGAATGTCCCTAGATTAGACACTTCATGTGAGAATATCTCTTTTTGTGACCCAAAACTCTTTTTTTTTCTTTTGAGATGAAGTTTCGTTTTTGTTGCCCAGGCTGGAGTCCAATGGTATAATCTGCCTCAGCCTCCTGAGTTGCTGGGATTACATGCATGTGCCACCACACCCGGCTAATTTTGTATTTTTAGTAGAGATGGGGTTTCTCCTTGTTGGTCAGGCTGGTCTCGAACTTCCGACCTCAGTTAATCTGCCTGTCTCGGCCTCCCAAAGTGCTGGGAATACAGGCATGAGCCACCGCACTCGGCCCCAAAACTCTTCTTAAAGGTGGTCTTGCAGGTATGTTATAGTTAAAATGAAGTAGGTTGTCTTGCTTTGTTCTTAAGTGGCTTTCCAGAAGTCTAACTGGTCTAAAGGCAGTCTTATCCCCCTCACTGGTGTATAGTTCAATTCAGACTTGAATGCGAGGTATGGGTTTACATCTCATCTCTGCCACTTATAATCAGTGTATCCCTCAACAATTAAATTCCTTAGTCTCCATTTCCTTCCTCCTTCAGGGGAAGTTAATATTCCACAAAGTTAGAAGTTACAGGAGAGGAAAAGTAGTAAACGCCCCAAAATGAGGCAGTTACTTCTATTATATCTTCAAAGGATACATGGCTCAAGGCAGATCAGGTAGTTGGGAGATTTCTTAAAAACAGCATAATAGCTAACATGAACATTTTCATTATTCAGAGAAATTTGACATAGCTTTTTAACGTATGTTTCTGAGAAAAGTTACTAGTTATATTGTCTTCCTCCAAGAATTAGTCTTTGGGTACAGATGAGGCTTGAAAAAATGACATTCCCTCTTAGACTAGGTAGTGTGAAGGGAAAAAAAAAATGACATTCCTCTTCCCCCAAAGCAGAGTGAGGTCCGTATGGGATATAGGTGTAAAGAAAATTTTGGGCCGGGCATGGTGGCTCAAGTTTGTAATCCCAGCACTTTGGGAGGCCGAGGTGGGTGGATCACTTGAGGTCAGGAGTTCAAGACTAGCCTGACCAACATGGTGAAACCCCATCTCTACTAAAAATAAAGAAATTAGCCAGCTATGGTGGCACATACCTGTAATCCCAGCTACTTGGGAGGCTGAGGCAGGAGAATCTGGAAGCAGGAAGGTCTCAGTAGGCTGGGATCATGCCACTGCGCTCCAGCCTGGGCAACACAGCAAGACTCTGTCTCAAAGAAAATTTTGTGGAACACCTATTTTCTCACTGACATGAAAAATGTTTCAAAGATGAATAATGTCCATCAAGCTATGGCAATGGAAGTGAGGATGATAAAGGATTGCACAGTTGTTCACAACCTCACTGTTAGTATCCTGCTGAGATAGTTGGTCTCCTCATCACTGTAGCATCTTTTATGTACAGCAGAGGGCAGAAGCTCCTTGGCATGTATGTGAGGGAACCACATATATGGAAGGCTGTTATTCCTGAGAAAGGAGGATGTGCAGACACTCACAGAACAAAGCCTTTGTAAAGGAAAGGCGGCCGATGAGATGGAGTGCTTCCTTCACCTGTGGTGGGTCTGTATCCATGAAATCGCCCACTCACAATCGCTTTTTGTAGCTACTGGAAGCACTAGGCGTCTGACCTGCCATCATCCTTGTTATGATGTCATAATCATATTCTGTCCGTGTTTATTGCAGTTCTCTGGTTTGTCTGGAGTGTTTGCAAGTCAGTCATCATAGTGGCAGCTTCCGCCTGCTACAGGATATTTATATATGGAAGCATACCATGGCAGGAGTGCTGGAAAGGTGGTGTCAGCTAACAGTTGCTTCAGCCAGATAAGGACGGTAACTTCAGTCCAATAAAAACCTCATCAGTTACCAACTAAATCAGGGCATGGTGTTTTTTTGTTGTTTTCTTTTTAAAGCATAGTTTTAGTAATATATTTACTAAAAACCTTAGACATTATGAAAAAAGTCAGGATTTGGAATCTTACACTGCTTGGCTAAATTGACACAATATAGACCAACAGTTTCATCCTGGGGCTTATGGGTCTCATAGGAGCACCCGTATGCTGAAGAAAGGCAAAGAGAGAACTACAGAATTTGTAGAAAAGTTTTGTTGTAGTTGCTTCTGAACAATTAGTTTTTGTTTGTTTGTTTTGTTTTGTTTTGTTTTTCTGGTAACCTAGCAGTCAAAGCTCACATTTTTGTAAGTAATTTGCATGCTATTACTCTACTGAGACTGAATTATGATTCTCGAGTCTGGGAAGTTTTTGTTGCATGTGCTCTGTGTTTTTCATTTTTGATAGAAATGATTTAGACTTGATTTTAAAAATTACTTCCTGAATGTGAAGAGGCATTGACTGGGAAATGAAATTAAAGAACAAATTACCATGACTCATTCAATAACACTGCTTATTAGCTTTGAATTATGCCCTATTATAACAATTCTGATTTTGTGGCAAGCAATACTGGTGTGAGTTATTTCTGTGGTTTGATACCAAGCACCTGCCTGGTTAAAAAATAAAGCACCAGGCAATTTTTCATAGACAATTATCTTTATTTGTTGGAATATTTATTTGTAAATAGTCAAAGAATTCTTAAATGACAAAAAATCAACTGTTAGCAGTGATCTAAACCAGAGGAAAATGAAATTACTTACATGTTTCCAGTCAAGGTATAAGAAAGGGTTCTGTTAAAGGGATGCTGCTTTAGCCAATCTTGGTGAATAAGCAAATTTGCACACTGGAGTTGAAAGGAGGGTCAAGTTAGTGTGATGAAGAATTGCTAGTAACACTGGCTTCTCCAGCCTTGCTGGTTGTTCCTAGATGCCCTCATTTGGAGATGCCAAAGATAGCAACTACTGGGTGTCAAACAGCCGTGGGGCCTGGTTTTAAGGCCATGTGATCTTGTATCCCTTTACTAGCAGCCTCATGAGTCATTTGCAAGTCATTTGCAGGCTCTTGGAGCCCTGGAACAGCACCCAACTCAGTTTTCTCTGCTAGTTCTTTATTTTTCCATTTGCGTGTTGCAGCTCATTAAAAAAATATTGGAATAGCATATATTTACATTGTGACTTCACTCTAAAGAAGACATTTTCTTTCAAAGCACGTCATGGCTCACTAGGTTGTTGTCTTAGTTTTTTTTGGAGTCACCTTTTGAGTAGATAGCAAGACCAGTAATATGGAGATTTTATTAGCTGTACTCTTAAAGTCAGTTTTTGTGGCCATGATTTTCTAGCTAGGTCTCTATTTTGTAAACATTGATTAAGCCTCAGTATGAAATTGAAGCAACAGCAGATACATTCCTGAAGGGGAAGCTAAGGCTCAAGGCTATTAAGTCAGAGATCCAAAAATGAACCATGCTTCAGTTACCACACCTAAAATAGAAGCTGTGTGCAGAACAGTGGTCCTGTGATGTGACACATAAAACTTTTTTTCCTGGTCACATATTACTGTTTGGTCAAATATTAGTATAAATGGATGATAAAATATGAAACACATCTAAAAGAATTGTTTTAAAATCTGTGACTATGCATGAGTGAATATTTTGGGGCCTTGGTTTTAACTGCAAAAGGATAAGATTTGACTGACCTCTAAGGCCCTTTTACTCTATTTGCTGCTGCTTTTTAATTTTTTTTAATTGTCATATCAAGTCATTTCCTTAGGAATGCTCTATGAAGTATATTTGGAATTCAGTAATGTCAATAAAGTGCTATGGTAGTATCTTATCTGAAAACTCAGGGAATTGTTTGTTCTTGTTAATTAAAATTTCAAGATAAGTGAAACACACTTTTTTAGTTTTAACCCTAAAAAAAATTTTTAGTCCATGACTTTTTGAGCTCACTTTCTTAGCTAGGGTTCTGGTAGCACATTTTTCACAAGTACCAGTAGTTTTAGGTATTACTGGGAAATTGTTTTTTTAATATTTTAGACTAAGTTTAAATTGCTCAGTAAGTGTCTGATACTTTTTTTCCCCACATCTTCTTTAGGTGTATACTTTTTTTTTTTTTTTATGAATTTGGTTTCTCCCAACTCTATATTGCTCTTCATTCTGTAGATGAGTTTTAAAGGAAATTTTTGCAACAACAGAAAGTAAACAGTGTGTTGTCAAATACACACAGGCACCATATTTATCGCATTGACTTTACTAGAGTCCAGATAGACATCACATGAGGATTTTTATCCTCAATCTTATTTCTGTTCATGTACTTATTATTAACTGCCTCCAATTCTTTTGAAAATGGTGAGATTTAAATCCTAAATAAACATTTCAGGTGTTCCATCTTAACATAAGTCACCAACTTCTAAACCTGGCACTGGGCATTTGAAGAATAGGATTCGTCCCTACTCTAAGGAGTTTTCAGTCTATCGGGAAATCAAAGATGTAAGCAAATAGATGCAATAAAATACTACAGATGTTCTGATAGAAGAATGTAAAGAATCCAGCAAAGGCAAAAGGAAAGACAGGTTGGTTCTCTCTTCCTAGGGGAAGTGATGTTTGAGCTGAGTCTTGAGGCAGGATTAGGAAGGGATATAGAAAAGAAAAGTAGCACAAAGCAAGACTCATTGAATGCTGAACAAAAGGCCCGATTCCAGCTCTGCTGCCAGGCAAATGTGTGATCCTGGGCATTTACCTCGCCGAGCTTCCATTTCCTCATTTGCGGAAAGGATGGGAACTAAAGCACATCTAACACCCTTTCTAGATCCAAACATCCTCTATCACGATTAGACTTGATAACCATGAAAGGAAAAGCTTTTATAGTAATTGAAATTTGTCTTTCTAGAGGCTTCTTTTCACATAATTAAATGGCCACAAGTTCTCTGTTGTGCTAGAGATACATCTCCACATAAACCTTTTAAACTCTTCAGGATTTTCAGTGTTGCTTGCAGTTGTGCTGTCGTTAGAGAATATTACTTTCAATATTTAATAAACCTCAAGCTATTACATAAGTGACCTCAGTCTAAGGGAAACCCAGGTGGAAGAGATCTCAGAGGTCCTGAAGTCTAGCAGCATTCCTCTCTATAGCAGCTAAGTTTGCTAAGATTGTTGTCTTGGGGACTCACAGTCAGCATCTTATGGCTAAAGGAATTGTGTGAAGAGAAGGACTTACATGCCATATGGAGGGAGGCTATAAAAATTGCAATTTTCTATTAAAGCCTCCTGCAATTAGAATGGTTCATGGTAATATTCTCTTTTTTCAGAATGTTTTGTGGCCACTGCTGACTAGCTTAATTTTGTCTACCTAGTCTTCTTGCACAAAGGATTTGAGGCATCTCACCAGAATGTGAACAATGTAATAAAAGAAAAATTTTAAAATTAGTTACAAAATAAAAACAGATCCAGGGAAAATATAGGCAGAACTGAGACATCTGAGGAGGAGAAAAGAGTGTTTGCAGATAAGCAGGGTATACATGGATGTACAATTCTTAAAATTGGGCCACACATTTGACTGTGAGCTTCCTGGCAAGCAAAGCAAAAAGAACGATTACAAAGTGGTCCACAGAAGGAAATATTTTTTTCTGGATAAGCCAAGTTCTCTAGAGCCTTAGTTGAAAATACTATTTGTGGGTGGTTCTTCATAGGCCTGTCTGGCTTCCTGGTGGCTGTGGTTCTTGTGAAGTTGAGTTCACAAGCCCAACCTCTTGTTTTTAACATCAGTGTTTTCTTCCAGGGACAATGACTCATTCTTCCCAGGACACTGGTTCTTGTGGCATTCAGGAAGATGGAAAGCTTTATGTGGTGGATTCCATAAATGACTTAAACAAACTAAACCTCTGTCCAGCCGGATCGCAGCATCTGTTCCGTATGTGTGCTGGGGAAGGCACAGCAGCCCTTCCTAGCTTCTAGGCTACCTAAAAATAGCCACTGCTGACTGGATGTGTGGGTGTGGTGGAGGGGGAGGGGGCATTAGGAAGAGGTTGGCACTGGAAATGTTATTTGTTGTTGGGCAATTTTGCTTTTGTTTTCTGAATACTTGACAGGATTA
This sequence comes from Homo sapiens, assembly GCF_000001405.40. Classification (NCBI taxonomy): domain Eukaryota; kingdom Metazoa; phylum Chordata; class Mammalia; order Primates; family Hominidae; genus Homo; species Homo sapiens. Next base: position 112,485,127 of record NC_000007.14, read on the forward strand.
TGGGCTTTCTTGGATCCTACACGAGATTTGAACTCTTGACTTCAAATATTCTGAGATCCTGTGGCGTTTCTGTCCCTGGAAAGGGGTGGAGCCTGCAGAGCTGGACTCCTGGAGGCTGGCTCATCCCTCTCCTAGTGACCATGGCTAGGTTACCGATGGGGACCACTTCCCACAGGAGTGTTGTTTTATAGCAGATTGCTGAGAGAATGCTCAATCCAGAGCATTTTCTACTTACAAGTTACAAATTGTGCAATTAAGGGTTGGAGAAAGGGGGTGGGGGGAGCAAAATAAAATCTGCTAAATACTAAGTGTGTATCTTGCCTCCTAAATATTATAAATGAGCTTTATCAGATCACTCTGAGTGCCATCTTTTCTAGCTTAAATGCTGACATTCAAACACCAGTGTTAATTGCTCACTTGCCATTTGTTTCATATGCACTCTAAACTTACTGTTCCAATTTTATATCTATTATTTCCTGTCTAAATCCTTTCCAAGTTCCTCCTTTTTTTCTTCATTTTAATAAGTTCAAATTTTCATCTGTTTTTATTGCTGTCAGTCTCAATAGCAGTAGAAGTTTAGGTGTCAGCCCTATGCTGTTGCTTTGATTAGGAAGCAAAAGTGGCTGAAGCGTATGGCATAGGATGTACTTATAAGGCATGGGACATAAGCCACCCATCTGTCCATAATCAAGTGGCACAGTGAGTGGGACCAATTCAACGTAGGAGAGTATGCAAAAAGTAATCCAGTGATCTCCACTACCCCAGGTTTCTGCGTTGCTTATTCACTGCAACAAATAATCTGGGTGTTATTAGGCAACTAGATCTTGCAAAACGGTGATTAAATGCAGTCAATTCTTGGTTTGAGTGAACCAAGCTGTCGATAAAATGTAGCTGCATTCTCAGTTCAACTGCAAAGCATTTAAAAGAACGTTGCTTCCAGAGCATATCCATCCAGAAGACAGCTTTAAAAAACCAAAATAGGTCAGGGCCATTTTTGTTTAAATGGATGTAGGCTTAACTGATTATTCCTATAATAAAAGAAGTTTCCAGGGAAATATCCCAGAGCATTCAATTGAGTCTTCCACCCAGCATAGGTATCCCACAACCAGCTCTGTTTTACTCCTGGGTTACTTTGGGAAAGGGTAATAGAACTTCTATCACTCTTAGCCTTTAACTTCTATATTCCCTCTCCCCACACACAAAAATTCATGTTCTGCTATTTCAGTGTTAAGACAGTCTTCAAAGAACTTTCCAAAGAGGTCTAAGGAGATAGCTTAACCCTGCTTATTCCTTGAATACCAATAGAGAAGAAGGTAAATAATTCACAAATTTCTCTGTGCCCAAAGACATTCCTAAAACAGAAGTCACGGCCGGGCGCCGTGGCTCACGCCTGTAATCCCAGCACTTTGGGAGGCCGAGGAGGGCAGATCATGAGGTCAGGAGATTGAGACCATCCTGGATATCATGGTGAAACCCCATCTCTACTAAAAATACAAAAACTTAGCGGGACGTGGTGGCGGGGGCCTGTAGTCCCAGCTACTCGGGAGGCTGAGGCAGGAGAATGGCGTGAACCCGGGAGGCAGAGGTTGCAGTGAGCCGAGATCAAGCCACTGCACTCCAGCCTGGTTGACAGAGCAAGACTCTGTCTCAAAAAAAAAGAGTCACTTTCTAGGCTTGTCAGAGAGAAAGTGGGTGTGTCCATTACTCACGGTCTAACACTGGGGTACTGTTCAGTTCTGCTGACAAGTTGTATGCTGAGCAGTTTTTGTCCTTGTTTTTTGTTTGTTTCATATTAGCTCTAGAGGACAAAATCCCAGTCCTTGGCACAAACTCAGGAAATGGAAGCCGGAGTCTGTTTTTTGTGGGGCTGCTAATTGTGCTGATTGTCAGCCTGGCACTGGTTTTTTTCGTGATATTTCTAATAGGTAAGTACCACCACAGGTTTCTTTTTTATTACTTGTATGCATTTATTCATAGCTGGTTAACTTTGCTCCCACAAAGTTTGCACCCTCCAGTCAATGCTTCCTGGTCATCAATGCTTACATTGAAAAAAGAAGGAATGCCTTGAGTGAACACCACTGGCTGAGGACAGGGTCCCTTGGCCACAAACCCACTGCAGAAGCCCATAGTGCCAGAAGTCCATGAATATGTATGTTAAATAATTCTATAGCACTTTAGTTTCTCACTTGGAGCCTCTAGCTGCCCAATGGAAGGCAACTTATTCTGGTTGATTCTAGCTTTACTTTATCCAATGCCTAGATTTCTCCACTAAATTCAGATCTATAACATCGAAACATTGAGGTTTCGAACTGAACTCGCTCCCAGGTTTTCTCACTTGCATATCATCCTAGACATCAATGAGAAGCACTTGAGGGCTTGTGCAAGGCCCCAGAGACAGTGTTGGAGATGTATAAAGGTGGCTTCTTTCCAATTTGATCCTGTCCAGGCAACCTACTCCTAATATAACCTGCTTTGTCTGCTCTTGGCCTGGGCCATGCATGTCGTGACCTTGAGTGGTGACTCAGGCTTCCCCACCTCAGCTTCTCAGTCAAGAGATCCTTCAAGCCTTCAGCGCCACCCTCCTCTCTGCCTTGGATGTGGGAGGGGTGCTGTCCACCTGCGGTGCTGTCTTCCCGTTCTGAGCGTTGCCTCTTCCCACAGAGCCCACCAGTTTCCTCTCTCATCTGGAATTATTTTGATTCTCTTCCAGATGACTTAAGAGCAGACAGAGCCTAAGGGAAGGTGTCATCTTTGATACCTTTTTGCCTGGGTGCACTGCACTGTCATTTCTTTCACCCTTGAGTGCTTTGTAGCCTTTGGAAGGGCTCTAATTTAATTTCATTCAGGATTAGAGGAGGCAGAGGTGATGATGACGATGAGAGAAGACAGGTGGGCAGAGTTCATGATGACCCTTTCACCGCTTCCAATCCCATTTCCTCCCCCAAAGACTCCTCCCTCCTTACAGCTTGAAGGTCTTTATCTAGCCTCTGGAGAAAAGGGTTGGGACTGGGAGGGAGGGGTCATGTTTAATTGCTTCTCTTGCACCGGGCTGATGACCTTTTGCATTTAGAAGCTAACATGTGTACTATTTTTACAATAGTTGCAAACTTGCATCTGATGATGAATTAGGGGAGGCTTGGCTACTGAACCAGCAATGCCAGAAAGAGCACATGCGCTAGTATTCTGAACCGTTACTCCAACATAAATTAATACTGGGCATGTCATCCTGCCACACCCGCCTGGGGGTAATGACGGAGTTAAACTATTAGGAAATTTTAGGTATGTCTACAGACATGTAAACAACCCTCTGCCAAATTCTTTTTTTCTGTGAGATAAGTAGCAAGATTGAGGGAAATAATACCAAATGCTATATATTGAGTCATTACTCTGTCCCAGACACTGTGCTAAGCCCTTGATACCTCTTTGCTCACAACCTCATAACAACTCTGTAGTGTAGAATCCATTATTATTATTATTATTATTTTTATTTTTAAGATGAAATCTCACTGTTGCCCAGGCTGGAGTGCAGTGGCGTGATCTCAGCTCACTGCAATGCCACCTCCAGGTTCAAGCGATTCTCCTGCCTCAGCCTCCCAAGTAGCTGGGACTACAGGTGTGAGCCGCCATGCCCAGCTAATTTTTGTATTTTTAGTAGAGATGGGGTTTCACCATGTTGGCCAGGCTGGTCTCGAAATCTGGACCTCAGGTGATCCTCCCGCCTTGGCCTTCCAAAGTGCTGGGATTATAGGCGTGAGCCACCGTGCCCAGCCAAATCCATTATTATTTTGGTTTTACCAGTGCTGAAACTGAGATTTAGAGAGATCTATTAATGTGCCCAAGGTCACGTTGCTAATAAGTGCCAAAATGGGGCTCAAGGATACTCCACTTGACATCAAAGACTATGTACTTTATCAACATCACTATGTTCCACTTTTATGAATAGCTTTTATTTTATATTTGCCTTGAGTGTTTTTTATTGAGAACAAAGTCATATTAAATGAGAAACAGAAAGATCAGGTGAATAAAGAAGAGTGTTTTTTTACTGGATAATTGCTCTGTGTTAGATACATTAAGTTTATTATCTTAAATCCTTCCTCTAGCCATCTTAGAAAATTTAACTCTGATAAGCAAACCTCAAAGTGTTCCATTCCGTATCTTATTGCCAAAGGTCCTGTGTATTTGGAAAATATTGTTCTTCCATTCTAATGGGTGGTCTGAGGGGGAATTATTACACATTCATTTTGGGCTGGTAATTCAGAACAAGCAGACTTATGTCAAAATAGGCTGGAACCCAAAGAATGTAATTTCTCAAATGAGCAAAAACCTTTTTCTGAGAATGGGTCTCAAAATAAAGCAACATAGCAATCACTTCTGGGAGGATAATCAAACATGCTGACAGCTTCCTTTGGTTGCTCACAGCAAGGTCTTTTTTAGCCATAATTGGTGTGAAGTTGCCAAAGGTAGTCTAGGTTGGCACCAAGAGATTGTAAAAACAATTCACTGGATAGGCAACTTCAGCCTTCACCAGTTTCTCTACTGGGCTTCTGGCATGCATGGATATGGGAACAGGGGATTTGCCAAGAGTGTCTTTCAGCATCAGCTGAGCACCAACATGGGGATCTGATGAATTTCAGTGGAACACAGTGGAAACCAATGTAACACAGTCTGTTTTCTGTTTTGAAGTTCAAACTGGAAACAAGATGGATGATGTGTCAAGAAGACTAACAGCTGAAGGAAAAGACATAGATGATCTTAAGAGAATCAATAACATGATCGTAAAGCGACTCAACCAACTCAACCAACTGGACTCTGAACAAAACTAAAGGAATGATTTTCTGAAAGCACCTGCTAACACCTTGAGCTTTTTACTTTCCTGGGAGTGTACAGGGTTAGGAACTGAGAAAGTGCACTTCCTCAGGCAACAGATGATCTGGTCAGGCAACCCACCCCTGGGGCCCACTTTCTGCAGCAAGATGGGAGCAATTCCAAGGCAAGTGGGTATGGGAATAGCAACTAAAAAGGGGTGAACTTGTCTCAGCCCCCTTTTATGGTAGGGCACTTCAACTTTAATGGGGTGGGCGGCTAGCAGGGAGGAGAATCAACAAAGCAAGAGAACTTGACTATGTACGTCCAACTTCTTACAGAAGGAGCTTTGCTACCAGAACAAGTTCACTGTGTCAATGAAGTTCATGACACCTCATGCACCTTTACAGATATCTGGGAAAGCCTGAGAAATTCATTGAGTTTTATGTATTGAAGGGAACCAGGTGATTACTCTTTTCAATAAGAGGGATTCTGCTCAGGTGATTAGACTTTGACTCTATTTCCCCAGGGACAGTGATGGGTGGGCCCCAGAGCTAGTTGCTGTCTGGTGTTTGCTGGTGAAAACATGAGCAGTAGTTATGTGGGGCTGAGAGTCAAAAGGGAAAGCCTAATTAATTCAACTAATGTTTATTAAGCTCCTACTCTGTGCAAATCACTCTACTCAAGAGGAGCTCACATAAGAGTGCAGGATAAAGAAAGGAGATGGACAGTTATATGTAATTATATAAACTTTGTGTATTTTGTTTCTCATGAAAAAACCCCTTTGGCACCCTGCTGATTGATTTGGAAGAAATCTGATAGATTTGTGGCCTTTCCTAAATTGCACTAGGAAATTATGTAGTTAGAATATTTGGAACCTGCATTAGTTCCAGCAATGAAAGTAAGACACACAGCATATGACATAAGACACAGTGTGAAATAAATGAGTTTAAAAAGCATATGAGTCTTAGAAAATCTTTTATTTAATATAAAAATATTCTACCGGTCAATTGAAGAATGTATTATGATTCTATCATTTTGGATTGATCAAAAACATTTGGGTTTACTACGATATTAAGCATTCACTTTACAATACTAAATAGTTAATGAAATAAACACATTTTGCTTACCCAGTTTTGCACTCAAAAACCATTTGTATTAATACTCTTTTTCTTAAAATTGATAGATATCTTGCAGAACACTGTTAAAACGTGAAATTTTCAATTATTGGAAAGTCTTTTTTGACCTATTGATAGGGTATGGCAAAAATCATTTGTTATCACGATTCGTTGTAAAGTTGTTTCAGAAACTGATGATCTGATGCAACAACTCTTTGAAAAAAAAAACACTTATTTCTTTCCTTTCTGTATGCCCTTATTATACTTTTCTCCCTTTTCTATCTAAACTGTGGATATATTTCATCCTCAGTTGTAACCTTTATTCCAAGAAATTTATGGTTTTTACAACATAAAATAGTGTCTGATAAATCATTTTATTCATCTTTTTGGAGCCAATGTTTTTTATCTGTACTGTCCTGCCTGTATTGCACAGACAGAGGTGTGGTGATGCCTCTGACCCTCACAGCCTGGAAGACTTCAGTCACAACAACCCCTGGTATTGGGTATTCGATTCACAAATTAACAACTTCCATTGGACGTGTTTAAAAAGTATTGGCTGGCTACAGATAATCCTATGGTAGTCAAATACAGTGGTTGAGAACATGGACTAGGGGATCCAACATCCTGGTTTGAATCCTGGTGCCACCACTTATTGTGACTTTGGGGAAATTAACTTAATTTTTTGTTTTCAGTAAAATCGAATAATTAGAAAATTGATTTCATAGTATTATTATGAGGCTTAAAAAAGGTTATAAATATAAAGGACTTAAAAATATAAAGGACTAACTCAATAAATGTTAGTTGTTATTATAATGATATTATTGTTAAAAGTAGTAGGTGTGGCATAGTGGAAATAACCGGCTACATTTAAACCTCTATTGGTGAGACTAAGGACAAAACATTTTTTGTGGCATGGTTTAAGATGATAGCCACCCTGATCTCTTCTGAGCAAGGATGATGGGGTGAGAGTCTTTTAGCAAAATAACTCGTTAAGTTACGGTATAACAGGCGATCAGTATAAGCAGGAGGGTTTGTTGTTTTCCAAATGATCTAGTCTGAAGAACATAAGGATCCACATTTACCTACCTGCGATGGAGCCAGGAACCTGTCTGTCTGCCCTGGGCTAAGGGCTTGACCCACAGGGTGCACTGGGAGGAGGGAGTGGGACACTAAGGTAAGGCCCAGGAGAAGCAAAAGGAATAGAAGGGACAGCCGAACCAAGACATGTCCTGATAGGAAAATAAAAGAGAGTTTTGCACCATTCTTTGGACTTTGGCTGTGTTCACAAGAGGCTGAGAGAGAGATGATTGTTCTAGTAACAGACTTTATCTCCACACCCTTCCTGATGTTGCCAGCCATTATGGGAGGATCACACATATCTTCTGACTCCAGGTGCAATGTCATGTACTTTGTATTCTGCCATGAGGACCCTGGAAGAATTTTCTTATAGCCCCACAAAATTGTTCTGTGTTGGTAACCACCTATAGGTGGGCCTGGCCCAGCTCTGCATACCGTGCACTGCTGTGACACCTGGAGGCTGTTGGATCTTGGAGCTACCTGGAACTAGGAGGCCCTGGCTTCTAGTAAGGCCACTGAGCTGCAACCTAAGGGGTACAGGGAACTTATCACTCAGGAATAGACCAGGGTCATCTGGCCAGGACTCTGTCAATGGGCACCAATCCCCAAAGCAAGAACAAAGCAACAAGGAGATATGAAAATAACACAAAACAACTGTTTTGTTCTGGGTAACAATAGCCTGGGGAAAAGGGGAGAATCTTGGTGCGCATGTCATTTGGACTAACTGAGGTATCTTGGAGTATATTGTGCAAACCATCATGTTGTAACAAATTTTTATTGCTTAGAAAAAAAATTAATGGAAACAAGTTCTCCTTGAGTCAGGGCATAAAAATAATTTTATTCCAGCTTAACATAATGACCCTATTTATATTCAGGAGAGAAGGATAAGCAAAAGAGATCGATCATCAGAAAAGACTGGTAATCTATCCCCTCTGTGAATGAGTTTGGCCCCAAGAAGCTGTGAAAAGAAGAGAGAGCCTTAGAACTGTGGTCAGGCAGTGTATTTTCTTTTAAGGAAACATAAAAATGTTCTTACTGGAATCCGTGCAGCCACTTATTTGGTGAAGATGACTTATCAGTAATTTTTTTTTTTTACATAGGGAAAACATTACAGAAATGTAATTCTACTTTTTATGAGGATGAAAATGATTTTTTAAAAAGCACATGAAAAAACAACACAGAAGAAAATTCCATTTGATAAATGGGTACTAGGCATATACACTGTGCCCAGCAGTGGTGCCATGCTGTGCTGGACACTACAAAGGGTGTCAGAGGCAGGGAAATCATGGTCCCTTCAAAGAGGCTTCTGATCTGGTCATGCAAATAAGCCATGTACAGGCAACCAGTAGTGATCTGTAATCATGAATCAGAAATAGCAGTTCCTCAGTGTGCCCATCCGAGTATCACTTGAGAGGCTGGAAAGACCCTGATTCTTGGACTGTGGCCTTGGCTATTCTGACTTAGCAGGCATGGGGTGGGACTAGGAATTCCTGTTATGAAGTGCTGCTGTGATGATTCTGGTGCTCGGTTTGGGTGGCTGGACAGATAACGGATTCAGAATAAACTTGGGTTCTGATTCTGGTTCTATGCACGAGTAACAGTGTGGCCTTGATCATGTTCCTTAATTCCCCTGACTTTCAGCATTTTCTTCTGTATCATGGGAGGGTGTTGCTGCTGGTAAGAATAAGGGAGTTGACACAAAGCCCTTCAGTCTCTGTGTTGTTTACAGGTCACTAAAAAATTAAATGAACTTAAATTGTATATTAAAGAGGGTGGCCATTCTGTAGATATTATTTTGAATGTTTAGGCAACACTAGTAATCTCTTGTCAAAGAACCCCCAAATATGTTCAGAAGAACATATCCCTGTCACTTCCTCCTTCACTCATTTTTATTTTCTCTTTATTTCCATCCCATTCCTGTACCTCCGGTCCCACTTGTCTTGACCTCCTCAACTGCACGGAGCTTAGGCTCCAGTTTATGGGGCTGTTGAGGGCTATTTTGATAGCAGGTTTGAGCAAGCACCTGGGAACTCCGAAGGGTGAGGGACCCGAGGAGATCCCAGGCAAGGGGCTTGCTCTACGTACTGCCCCAAGAGAGCCTGAGAAGATCTGGTTGAGAAAAGTAGTGCTGCTCGGGTCTCTGCCTAAGGGAGAGACCCTTAGGCATTAGACTCACCTAGACTCACCCCTAATGAGTCTAATTAGACTCATTAGACTCACATTAGACTCACCCCTGCCTGATCCCACCCACATCAATTACATCAGGATCCACCAAGTCCCATCATTTTGAGTGGGAACTTCCTGTCTTGAGTCTTCTTCTGAAGACGTTTTCTAGACCCTGTGATAGGAGAAGATTGACATTCCCTTCTGGGGATGGTCAGATGTCCCTTATTTGATCTAGCCGTATAAGTGACTTAGAAACAACTCTACTCTTCAGATTTAGTGGGATTAAAAATGTAATCAACCAATATTAAAATATTCAATAATCAATTGGAACCAATGACAGTCATGCACCATGAACTGAGACAAGTGATTGATTTATTCCTCAGGAGCTGAGGAGCAAAACCAAGTGTTAAAGTGAGCAGAGATAGGCTGTTATGTAGTATAGTGCAACTCCTAAAACGGCAAAGAATAAAATTTGTCTTAAATTTAGCTGAGTTTTCTGTCTTTGCAAATGAGTCAATTTGGACAAAACTTGTGTTACCCTTGAATTTCCCTCACCACTTAAGGGAAATCAAAAGAAGTCACATAATCGGTCAGAAAGAAATTCAAGGAAGCATTTACTTCTGTTTCATTTCTTCATTTTCTCTTTTTTTTCCCCCTTCAAGATTAGTATTAACATTAACATGGCTGGGAATTCTTCTGTAGACATTTGCTTTTTGGCCAGCAATGTGGGGAGCAGGATGTGAAGGTGGATAAGAACAGAGACAGCAGCCATGGCATGAAATATAGAGCCCACCTGCAAGGCGGCAGGCAGTGTTTGAAGTCTTCTTAGATGGAGGCAGGCATGAGATATTTCATGTCTTCCCAAGTGGCTAAAGAACAAATGATCTGTGAGAAATGCAGTCCTGAATTTAGAGAGTCATGATCCTAATTCTTCTTCATTTCTTGGCCTCATCTATTCCCTTTTAAATTTTGAAACTTGATTCATTTTTCATGCATGAATTCCCAAAGTAATGAGTTGTAACAGGCTTATTTCATTAGGAACATTCCTTCTGAATGTGCAGTGCTGCTGCCACAGAGCATTTATTGTTTAATGAACAAATGGAGCAGACCAAACAATTGAAAACCAGTTAATAATTCAATTAAGGCTTCTCCAATGCTAAAAATGTCTAATTTGTCATTCCCTAAAGTGATTTTCAATATCGCCAGAATCAGACTAAATTAGAACTCTACTCTGTGTCCCCTTCTCAAACCTAGCAAACTTCTTTAATATTCATAAGTCAGGGTCAGCTTCTGAATTACTGTAAACTTATGTAGAGGCTCAAAAACAGTTTTTTATAGACTCAGAAAAACACTGACGAAAGACATGAGGCAGCCTTTGACATTCAGTCTGGGACCTTTTAAAGAAAACTTTCAGTAGAGATGCTAGAAAACCCAGGTTCTTTCCATATTACTTGGTAAAAATCACAAAGGAATATTTTATAAATGTTTTCCCACCAACTTGATGCAATTCACTCTTCTTTTGAGCCTAGAACTTCATTTGAACCTCTTAGATTTTGCCTTGTAATCGTGTATTTGTGTTGTTCCCTTTGTTTGATTCTGGTCTGGGCATCCCCAGCGTGTTAGTACATTGCTCAATAACGTGAATTTGTTTAATTGAATTAAGCTTGGAAGAGTTTCCAGGCTGTCTGCATTGCCTCTGATTTGCAATTACAGCAAAGTGGTGTTCACTAATAGGAGAGGAGGGACACCTGGTGGCAGTTGGGTACTTCAAGCGAAGGAGGTCCATTTGAAAGAAAGAAGGAAAGTGAGAGGATAGAGTATGTGTGGGATACTGGAGGGAGAGCAAATGGTGGCATCAGACCTAGAACAACTGGGAGCTGCAACTGGAGGAAATGGCCATGAGTAGGCTAAGAGGGCTGTGTAGACAGTGGTGAAAACTGTGGACTTTGGAATTGAAGGACCTGTCTTTGAATCTGGCTCTGCTGCTCACAAGTTGTGTGAGCTTGGCTAAGTTATTTACCTTTCCTGGGCCTTGGTCAGCTCCTCGATAAAATGGGAATAACACTTATCTCACAGAGTTGCTGTGATGATCGAACAAAATGATGCCTAGCACTTGGTAAGCACTGGATTTATGAGAGTGGCTAATCTTTTTATTTGCAGAAAGAAGGGGGAAAGCAGAGTCTGAGGTCCAGACAAGACCTTCTGCTGGCTCTAGAGAGGGGCTGATGGTTCTTTTGGATTTGAGGAATTTTCCTCAGAAGGGAGCTCTCCAATCCCACTTTTAGGAAGGTCTGCACAAGGTAACCTTATCTTCAGGCCTCTTCTGGGAAGAATCTTCTCGTGAAGCACTAGGAATTTATTAAGCTCCAGACGCTTTCATCATGTAGACGTGCATCCCTCATGGACCTTATCTCTAAGTGGGGAAGCAAGGTTACCACACAATGGCAAAATAAGAAAGAAGACATGGTTAAGTGCCCAAATTTATGGCCCAGAAAATAAGAGCTGGAATGGTTCAGGGGAGGGCAGATATCTCCTTGAGCAGACAATAAGCTAACTGCTATCCCAGGAAAGCCCTCAGCCCCATGCAAACTGGGACAGTTGGTCACCCTACCTTTAGAGAGAATAACAGAGCCATCCAGAGAGTTTCTCTGGATGTCTCTACAGAACTGCCTACAACCTCACCCTAACTTTTAGCTTTTCCTCAAGACTCACATCGAGGTAAACTGCTTGTTTTAAGAACTAACCTCTGTCCTTAATTCAGTCTCCTATTCCTAACCCGGGACCATGTTCTATCTAGTCAATTTGTCCCTTTCCAACTGCTAAAACATTTCTCAAATCCATCCCTTCCTCCCTATCCCTACTGTCTGTGCTCTACTTAAGCCCATAATTGTGTTTTGTCCACATGATCACAACAGACTTCCCACCGGTCTCGTAGACTCTGGGTTTGTCTCTTTCGAGTCCTCATTCCACAAGGCCATTAGAATAACCTTCTTAAAAATGTAAATCTATACCCTCCCTAGTAAAAAATCTTTAATAGTTCCCAAATCCTGCTTTGTAGGTTCTTTATAGCATGCTATTTCCACGATGTCTTTGTTCAGAGAGTCCCTTCTCTTTGGGATATTCTTTCTAATCCCTTCATTTCAACATCCCTCCTGCATGTATCCAGTCTTCTCAAACAGACCCTCTAAAATGTTTTTGGTTTTGCTTCCTCAAGGAGTCCTACCCTAATATTTTCAGGCACCAGATGGACTTTGGAGTCAGGTGAACTGGATTAGAATCTCAGTTCTGATTCTTAAAAGCTGTGTGGCCTGGGAAGGAAACTTAACCTCTTTCTCAGTTCCTTCCTCTCTGAAAATGAGGGTGATAACATTGACCCTATAGTGGTTGAAAGGAGATCACGTGTTTGTGAAACACTTAGCATAACTCCTGGTTCACAGTCAGCATTCCACTGGGCTGTAACCACCACGAGGGTAGAGACCATGTCTCTCTTTTTCATCCTTGAAACCTTAGTGCCTAGCAGTGTCTGGCAGACAGAAGGCTTTTTGAATAAATGAGTAAAGAAACAGTAGCTTTTAGGAATGTATTTATATACATATGTATTTCCTACAGTTTCCTCCTTATTAAAATTGCTTGGGGATAAGAAACCTCTAATTTTCCTAGGCTTTCTCTTATTTGCAAATGCATCTGTTTACTCCTCAAAGGTGGATTGTGGATTCTTCATGAAGAAGAATGATTTAACCTGGAAAGATTAGAGATGTCAGTTGACCAGGGAAAGCTTTTCTTAACTTATAGTGACCTTTGTGGAGGAATCCATTGCTTAGTGGACTCTGATGATGCAGCTCGTCCAGTCAAGGTCCACTCTCCTTGACTTTGCAGCTGCTGTCCTGGGGAAGGATGATGAGGGGGAGCTCAGTCAGCAGGTGAGACAGAAAGGGGGTCTTGCAGGAAAAGGAGGTGAATAGATTGTCCTTGTTCTTGCTTTACTCTCTACTCAAATTTGTCTGGTTTTTGTTTGTTTTGTTTTGTTTTCAGATGTAGGACAAAAGAGACATTTTGCTGGTAGTGGTGCAATTCTTTTTTTTTTTTTTTTTTTTTTTTTTGAGATGGAGATCGCAGTGGTGCGATCTCGGCTCACTGGAACCTCTGTCTACTGGGTTTAAGCTATTCTCCTGCCTCAGCCTCCCCAGTAGCTGGGATTATAGGCACCTGCCACCACGCCTGGCTAATTTTTTTGTATTTTTAGTAGAGACAGGGTTTCACCATGTTGGCCAGGCTGGTCTTGAACTCCTAACGTCAAGTGATCTGCCTGTCTTGGCCTCCCAAAGTGCTGGGATTACAGGCATGAGCCACTGCGCCTGGCCTGTGGTGGAATTCTTTACAGTCTGAATTTAGTGCAGGATCAGCTATGTGATTTGTGGAGCCCAGTGCAAAATGAAAATGCAGTGCAGGCCCCGTGTTTATAAATTCTTAATAATTTCAAGATGGCAATAGCAGAATATTAAACCAAGCACAGTGTCCTCTGCAACTGCACAGGCTGACAACCGAAGAAACTGCTCTAGTTTAGAGATTTGACAGACAAGAAAGTCTGTGTGTTCCTGACATTTTCTGCAGTGTTCAGCTCAATTCCTGACTTACGAAGTTTAGAAAAAGAAATACCCAGCCAGTAAGTCCTCTCTTCTTCATAAAGCTCTGCTATGTTCCCTGTGATTTACACCGTCTTGGTCTTTTGGTTTGTTTTGCCCAAGACCCTGAACGTCTTTGCATTATGGTTTCTCCAGGTTTAATTCTTTTTTTGTTGTTGTTTTTTTTTGAGACGGGGTCTTGACCTGTCACCCAGGCTGGAGTGAAATGGTGCTATCATAGCTCACTGAAACCTTGACCTCCTGGGCTCAAGTAATCCTTCTGCCTCAACCTCCCAAGTAGCTGAGACTACAGGTGTGTGACACCATTCCTGAATAATTTTTTAAAAGTTTTTTTGTAGGAATGGGGTCTTGCTTTGTTGCCCAGGCTGGTCTCAAACTCCGGGGCTCAAGTGATCCTCCCGCCTCAGCGTCCTAAAGTGCTGGGATTACAGGTGTGAGCCATTGCGCCACTGGGCTGTGCCACCACTCCGGGTTTAGTTTTTTTGTCTGCCTGCTCTCATCCTTTTTGTTAGAAATTTGAATGTGCACTACATTCTTTCATTCCTACATTCTTTCTTCTTTGCATTTGTTGTCCTTTAAACAGATTTTCCATCTTTAATTCATTTACATTTTTTTTAAACTGTCCTTCTACGGTCATTTTAGTTTTCTCTGGATGCCTTCCAATTTTCATTTTTTCCTCAGCAAATAAAGTGTTTAAAATGGAGTGTGGTGATCTAGGAGCCATGGATGTGAAGGCAGAGCTTAGGCTGCCTTGATCTTAGGAGACCCAGCTTATAACTGGATGGTTCGCTAACCCCCCAGCAACTGTTATGCTCTAAATTAGACCCACTCTTTTCTCATGGTTGGCTTCTGACCCAGTATACTTGGCATTTCCTTTTTCAAGCTTTTCCTACATCCATTTTGTATCAGCTTCCTAGGTGTAGTTTTACTTCCAATTATTTTAGCACTCACCTTTAGTTGAATCTTGATTGATTTTTGACTATTTATTTTCTTTGGCTCCATACCAACTTATTCTTTGGTCTTAATTTTTGACCTAAGAAAAGAAAGTCCACCCATATTGGGTCAGATATTTAGCCCAGGATTCTGCTTTTGGCAGTCAAGGATATTTTATGGATGAATATGGTGGTTTTCCATAGTTCATCTGAGTGATTAGAAATTAAAAACACATCATGGATCTATAGCATATGATATTAAATTCTTCCTCATAGCTGTTTATTTCTGTATTTTATTATAATTTTTGGCTTTCTGACTTCCCTCTCTTTCCCTTCTCTTCTCTATTGCCTCAGTCTGTAATTTCTAAAGCAGGTTTTGTGCCTTCAAGACTATTGCCTGGGATTGGGTAATCAAACTAAACAAAGCATTGGAAAATCTATATCTATAAAGAAACAGAATTGTTGTTTATTCCTTGTAAAAAAAAAAAAAAGCAAACTCAAAATCTACTAAAAGAATGGGAGTTGCTTCACAGACCTGTTGGAAGAGAAAAGACATCATTTCTGAGTTTGAATGACTGCCATAGATAGGTATGGATATGAATTTATCATGCTTAATATGAAAGGACAATTAAAACTGTGCCTGATGTCACCCATTTGTGTCTAGATCTTAATGTTCTCAACACTAAATGAACATAAAAATGGAAAAAGTCCTAACAATGATCTTCAGTTCAAATATACTGTTTATCTGGAAATGGTAACATTGCTGAAGTTTTTGGTACTGAAATTTACATTTTTTTCATTGATTAAAGATGTTTGAACAGCTCATTCTCTTAAAAGTAAGTTTTAAAAGTGATCTACATATGTAGTTAATGGCTAACAGCTAATGTATTCTAAATTCTAAAGTGGATTTAGAATAAAGAGCAGAGAGTTTTTCCACTAGGTGGTAGGATTTTGCCATGGTCATGTCTCGAAATGTTGCGAGGAGGAAAAGTAACTTAAGAAGAGTAAAATTAAGATAGAAAGTGACTGTAATAACACCACACATTGATCAAATAGATTTTCTTTCTTGGCACAAACACAGAAATTTACTCCTAATGTATTCTTGAAGTAGGCCTAAAATAAGTTCAAGGATTTTTAATTTTCGGGAAAAAACTGGGCATTAAAAGAACATTTTTAGAGACTTAGTTTGTATTTTATATCCTTTTATACTTGTTGGATTTTCTTTTATCATGTACAAGCTCTGCCAATTCAAAAAATCAGTCTGAAACCTCTGTGAGACCCCAGTTCTCTCTGCTTATAGGATGTCTTCTAGCAAGTACATCATGTCTGCATTTGTCAGAATTTTTTTTTTTTTTTTTTTTGAGATGGAGTCTCACTCTGTTGCCAGGCTGGAGTGCAGTAGCGCAATCTCGGCTCACTGCAACCTCTGCCTCCTGGGTTCAAGCAATTCTCTTGCCTCGGCCTCCCGAGCAGCTGGGACTACAGGCGTGCGCCACCATACCCAGCTAATTTTTGTATTTTTAGTAGAGACGGGGTTTCCCCATGTTGGCCAGGATGGTCTTGATCTCTTGACCTCATGATCCACCTACCTCGGCCTCCCAAAGTGCTGGGATTACAGGTGTGAGCCACCGCACCTGGCCTTTTTTTTTTTTTTTTAATTAACAACTTCTTTTTTATGTTAGTGCCTTTGTGGCAAAAAAAATCTTGGAACTGAAGAGAGGAAAATCTCAAAAGGTATTCTTTATTGTCAAAACAATTTATTGAATTTCTAGTTGCTTCTAAGGACATTTGTATTCCAATGCTCAGCCTTCCTTGTTGATTTAAATGTGATTGTGTTGCTAGTAATACTTATTTTACATATCATAAAACACGCTTTGATTCATTTGCCCTAGTTCTAACCAGGAAATAAGATTAGAAAATATTCCTTGTTCTTTAGGTTTTTACTTTGACTATGGAATTAAAGTGTTTACATTTCCATCTAGTTTCTCTGAGTAAAATCTTGACTCCTATGCTAAATTCCTTTAATTTTTCCTTATCCAGTAAATGAATCTTCCTGATCCTTTTCTTATTCCCCTGTGTGACACCCTGGCCCTTTTCCCTACATCTTTTGAGCTCCACAAAGGCCTCTGTTGAAAAGAAGATTTAGCTGTAGCCTCAATAGATTTGGGTCAGACTCTATGATTAATATTTAATTTCAGCCCTTAGATAAAGGTCGGCCAGACGTTGTTTCTCTCTCTGAGTCCCTTTGTGTCTAAACTCATAGTGTAATTTGCCGTGTAGAGCCATAGCCCTGACCTTGTAACCTTTCTGCTATCTGGGTCTTTCTTCGAGTGCACAGCTTGTCTTCCTTTCATGAAAATTTCACAAATTGAAACCTGATTTTGTAGAGGAACTGGGCTTAGGCTCTTGTTAACCCTCACGCTGACCCGGGGTGCTTTCCTGCATGAAGATGACACACCCGTTCTACAGGGTGCATGTTCTGGGCTGCTTTCTCCTGTTGTGGCAATGCTTTTGGCAATCCTTCTAATGCTCCTGTGGCACTCCCTTACTGATAATTTGCTAGGTAACTATTATTTATTGCCTATTTTGTGCCAGGCCCTGTGCAGAGTGCTGGGGATATATAGGTACATAAGGTAAATGTGGTCTCTGCCTTTACAGGCTTCATATCTAGTGTGAGGTAGAGATGAGCAAGGCGGCAATGATAATTCAGTGTGGAAATTTAGGATGGGAAAAGTACAGGATGCTCTGGGAATCCAGAGAAAGGGAGTCTAATCCAGGCCTGGGTGGTAAGAGAAAGCATATCAGTTACTAGTGCTAGGCAACAAATTTCCCCAGAGCTTAGTGGCATAAAACCACCAATTTATTACACTTACAGTATTTGTGGGTCAGGAATTTGGGATGGGGATAGTGGGGCAGTTCTTCTGTTCTATGCCACCTGGGACCTCATCCAGGAAGACTGGAATGGCCGGGGGCTGGCATCATGGGAGGTGTCTTCCTTCACATATTTGGCCCCTGGGCAGGACCCACACATGAGATCTGGATTTCCTCACAACCTGACAGGCTTGGAATGGTTGGATTCCTTACATGGGAGGCTCACAGCTCCAAAGAGCATGTGGAATGAGAGATATTGTTATGGCCATCTTTTGAAAGCCCAATATGTACAGAATATTTCCCAGAAGAATTGAACATTCAGCAGACCTAACGAATGTGTAGATATTAGCTGGGCAAAGAGGAGGGAATAGTGTTTCAGGTAGAAAGAATAGAATGAATAAGAACCTGGAGTTAAGAAATAAAGTGTAGTGAATTTGAGGAACTGGATGAAGTTCGGAATAACTGGGGCATCATCAAGTAGGAGGAGGAAGTGGTGCCTGATCAGGCTGGACAGGCAGGTGTTGATGGTGTGCGGGAGGCCGGTCCCACGGGACAGTGGGAAATTATTAAAAGTCTTTAAGGGAGAATAACAAAGTAGTATTTGTGCTTTAAAAAAATTACTCTGGTTACACTGTGGAGAATTAGAAGGGCTAAGAGGTGAGGCAGTAAGACCAGCAGGCAGGAAGTTGAAAGCCAGAAGATCAGCTAGCAGAAAGTTATAAGCCAGTGGTCAGATGGTGATGACCTCTTGGAGCAGGAGGACTGGGAACAGAGAAGATATTTAGAGGCTCAACTGGGCTTGGTGATAATTAGAAATGCGGGTGAGGGAGAGGGAAGAGTCACACATGGTTCTCAGTTTTCTGGCTTGGGCCGCTGGGTAGATAAGAGTGCTGTTCACTGAGATGGGGGAATACTGAAAAGAAGCAGGCTTTGTGGGTGAGGAAGTTGATAAATTCCAATTTGAGGTTGAGCAAATTCTGACACAGACAGCAAATGTCCAGTGGGCAGTTGAATATATGGGTCTAAAGTTTCCAATCTGTGTTTTGAATCCATGCTTGACCTGATAACTCATATGTGAAACTGGTATTATGAGGAAGTATAAACTCGACCAGCCAGCACGGACCCAGCCAAGTTCTGTCTTGGTTAAATTTCACTGTGGTAAATTTTCTTTTCCTGATTTTCTAATATCACAGAAATAATACATACTTCTATTAAGTTTTAGGATCAAATAGCAAATTTGAATTACATGTTTCACTTGCCAAGTGGTCTTGGCTGGACACATAACTAATTGATTAACTTAAAAGAAATTAGCCAGGCATCGTGGCTCACGCTTGCAATCCCAGCACTTGGGAGGCCGAGGCGGGAGGATTGCTTTAGGCCAGGAGTTTGAGAGCAGCCTGGGCAACATGAGGGGATGTCAGTGGGGCTGCAGGGATGTGGAGATGCAGGGACTATTAGGCAGTATTCAGTCTGATGGGGCCTGGGCTCTCAAAATGGTGCCATGCTGCAGCTGTTTAGCACTAAGGTATGTGGGATTCAGTGTGAGCTCCCTTTCTGGAGCACTGCTACCGTGTGGCCTCTAGAGAGCTTCCTATGCTAGTCTCAGGGACCCAAGAATTGAGGGGCTCTCCTGTAGTTAAGATTGCTGGAGTTCGTGGTGGGAATTTGGACTGTTGGGGATGTCTCACTTACTCTTTCCCTGCACTGGGGAGCGTTTCTGGGATCCCAGCTGGCCACCTCACTTCCCTCTCCTTTTATGCCTCTGGTGTTTCCTGTCACTTCTCTGTTTAATTTCAGTGTTCTTTTAGATGTTCTATTTGCAGTGTGATTATCTACTTGCTATTTTGGTTGTTCTTTGTGGAAGAAGCGAGTGCTGGATGCTTTTCATTAGCCATTTTAAAAGCCCTTGGGTAAGGTTAATTCTCCCCTACACAGTGGGTTTAGGGGCAGGGTTAATGAAGAAAAAGTCAAAAGTAACTTGGTGACTTAAAGTCTGGGTGATTGAGAGAAGAGAGGTGCTGTTGTCAGAAATGAAGCCAAGAAGTAGATCTGAGTTGGAAGATAGGAGGACAAGAAGATGGGAGGATGATCATAGATCTAGTTTTTGAGTTGAGATGATGATCTACTATCCCGAATGCTTGCTGATCTCAGAATGGCAGTGGTGGTGGAGGAGGCAAACCTGCACAGGTGGCATGGGTGGTGGTGAGGCCAGTGGCAGAGGCGGGAGGGGCAGCCAGGGTTAAACAGGTTCCTGAAAAGAGAGAGTGGATGGAGTTTCCAGAGCATCAGGAACCACCACTTACCCTGCCTGGCAAGTCTTGGATTAGGAAAACAACCTCTGAACAGCCTACTTCCCACTACCAGGCTCTTTTGGGAAACCTACTTTTCATAGGTGACAAGGCTGTCACCCTGTTGGGGTCATTTCTTCATGCTATAAGAAAGTCTTATTTACCATGCCGATGTTAATAATTTTCTAAGCAATAAAATCAATATCATCATTGAGGTTTATTTCACTCAGGGTATTTTTGTCCCTATTTCAATTTATAATCTTTTCTATCTCAGTGGTATCTGCCAGACAATTCAGTCTTTATCTGTATCCACAGAAGACATATCTCAGACTGGCTTCACCCAGTAACTTCCAAATGCTCATTTTCCTAGAAGACCCATAAAATTTTCTGTTTGTAATAGCCTGTACTTAACTCTAGTCTAAATTTACCTTTAGTTTATTTTTGTAAAGATGCTTTGGGTATTAACAGAGCTAAGATGCCTCTCCAGGGTATGCTTCTGTATTCCGTGTTTCTCTCTACCAAGCAAAATTTCCCAAGACCTTGAGCCCTCTTGTCTATCTAGTCAGTGAATTGCCATTGCTTTTGCCCATAGTCTTCCTGATGATGGCAGCAAAACTGTAAATTAAGAGCCAAAGCCAGTGATACAAATGGAACTCTGCAAAGCTCCAAGCAGAGGTTCCAGAAGCCAGAAAAACAAACATGCATGAGCTCTCAGGGAGATAGCATGATGGGCTGAGTCATGAGATAAGGGGCCTCTGTTCCCCCTCTTCTTGCTGGGGCCTGGAGGAAACAATGCACCCAGTATTTCATTCTCCTGAAAGATGGCAAATTACTCCCATTGTTGAATGTCTACCTTCCTTGCAGGCACGGGCTGGCCAAGTGTCTCCTGGAGTGGGGAAAGGAGATGAGCCCCCTAAATGGCCTGTTTCTTGAAACTTCCCATATCCTTGTAAGAGTCTTATATGGAGGGAGAAACCTATTGAGAAGGGGTATTGGAAAATCAAGCATAGCCCTCTGATGGGTGATGATTAACTGTGCTGTTAATCTTGGCTGGCAGCTTGGTCAAATTCCCTCCCCAGGATTGGCTGTTTTTTTCCCGTGTTACACTAGTCAGTCTCTCTCTTGCACGCTATCTTTAGGCAATTGGCCACTGTTAACATCCATGCTCTGTGCTCTACCAAGTGCCACCGGCTTTCCTCAACTCTTCTCTGAGAAGTACCTGAATGGTAACTGAATTGGTAACGGTGTGTCTGTGTCACAAGGCCTTGACTACAACAGAGATGTGGCTATATCTGGCCCATGGGGGTCAGTGACAACTCCCCTTCCTGCATTTATTTGCTTTTAC
The DNA here is from genome assembly GCF_000001405.40 of Homo sapiens. NCBI lineage: Eukaryota > Metazoa > Chordata > Mammalia > Primates > Hominidae > Homo > Homo sapiens. The sequence continues at coordinate 112,506,370 of NC_000007.14, forward strand.
TTGTATAACAAGGTGCCCTGATAGGGTACTTTCCCTGAGCCTTTTGCTTGCTTTTGAGAGAAACTGACAGCTGTACGCTTAGTAAGTAGAGTCACATGGGACTAGATCTTTAATTGAAGAGTTAGAGGAGTTGAGTTGTTCCTTTTAATGTGTTACTATAAGGCATCAGAGTGCCTGCCCTGGACAAAGGGGTAAGGGGACTTTATGTCTGACTTGGAAGAGCCAAAGTGCAATTTTATTACATGCATAGATTGTATAATGGTAAAGTCAGGGCTTTTAGGATATCCATCACCCAAATAACATACATACGTATGTACTTAATGTACTCACTAATTTCTCATCATCTACCCCTGCCCAGCCCCCTACCCTTGCAAGTCTCCAGTGTTTACCATTCCACACTCTACGTCCAT